>NC_000007.14:102506779-103131779 GCF_000001405.40 Homo sapiens
CCTCGTCGGGGTCGACCTCTGTCAGGTGGGCCCACCCGCTGAAACCTGTGGGGTCAGCTCAGCCAGGGACCCGGCCCTGAACCCCCATACCCTCCACCCTCAGCCCCACCAGGCACCTTGAGGCACCTCCATAATCTGGGAATCCCCTAGGCACCCGTGAAGCAGGGGCTGGTATCCCCAATGACAGATGGGGAAACTGAGGCTCTGCAGGTGAAGAAACAGCAGTTGGAAGAGCTGGGATTAGAATCTAAGTCAGTGACCTGGGGCCTGTGCCCTCACTATTGTGTCATTTTTGTCGTTGTTGTTTTTAGAGACAGGGTCTCACCCTGTGAGCCAGGTGTGGTGGCGCATGCCTGTAATCCCAGCTCCTCAGGAGGCTGAGGCAGGAGAATTGCTTGAACTCAGATCGCGCCATTGCACTCCAGACTGGGTGACAGAGCAAGACCCCATCTCAAAAAAAAAAAAAAAAAAAAAAAAAAAAGATGGAGTCTTGCTATGTTGCTCAGGCTGGTCTCAAACTCCTGACCTCAAGCAATCCTCCCACCTCAGCCTCCCAAGGTGCTGGGATTATAAGCGTGGGCCGCTGTACCCAGCCAGATTCCCCATCTTAAAACGGGAAGAGAGTGGCCCTCCCCTAGGGCTGCTGGGAGGAGGGTCTGAGGCCCAGATGGAGAAGCTACAAGATTGCGCCATTGCACTCCAGACTGGGTGATAGAGCAAGACCCCATCTCAAAAAAAAAAAAAAAAAAGATGGAGTCTTGCTATGTTGCTCAGGCTGGTCTCAAACTCCTGACCTCAAGCCATCCTCCCACCTCAGCCTCCTAAGGTGCTGCGATTATGAGTGTGGGCCGCTGTACCCAGCCAGATTCCCCATCTTAAAACAGGAAGAGAGTGGCCCTCCCCTAGGGCTGCTGGGAGGAGGGTCTGAGGCCTGGATGGGGAAGCTACAAGGCACCCGGAGGAATAGCCTCACTGGGGCCACTAGACCCCAGAGACGCTGGCTAAGGCTGCAGGTGGGAAAGGCCTTTGGCCTGGCAGGGGCCAAGAAGCCCCATGAGTCAGCAGAACCTGCCTTCGCCCTGCCCCCATCCCTGGCCCAGCGTCACAGACAGGAGCAGGTGTGTGTGGGGGGAAGCCAGTAAGCGGGACACAAAGGCTCTGATGGCAGAGCCCATAGCATCCAAGAACTGGTTTGAACCCTCAGAGAAGCCCAGAGAAGGCAGGAGCTGCCCAAGGTCACACACAGTGAGGCTGGCACAGGGCTGAACCCTCAAAATCATGTCTGGGCAGAGCATGGTGGTTCACACCTGTAATCCTAGCACCTTGGGGAGGCCAAGGCGGGAGGATCTGTCAAAGCCAGGAGTTCAAGACCAGCCTGGGCAACAGAGTGAGACCCCCATCTCCATTTTTTTTTTTTTTTTTTTGAGACAGAGTCTTGCTCTGTCACCTAGGCTGGAGTGCAATGGCGCAATCTTGGCTCACTGCAACCTCTGCCTCCCAGGTTCAAGAGATTTTCCTGTCTCAGCCTCCCCAGTAGCTGGGATTACAGGTGAGTGCCACCATGCCCAGGTAATTTTTATATTTTTAGTAGAGACAGGGTTTCACCATGTTGACGAGGCTGGTCTTGAACTCCTAATCTCAAGTGAATTGCCACTGGGATTACAGGTGTGAGCCACCATGCCCGGCCTCCATCTTTGTTTTTCTTTTGGAGATGGAGTCTTGCTCTGTCATCCAGGTTGGAGTGCAATGGCGTGATCTTGACTCACTGCAACCTCCGCCTCCTGGATTCAAGCGATTCTCCTGCCTCAGCCTCCTGAGTAGCTGGGATTACAGGTGCCCACCACGACGTCTAGCTAATTTTTTGTATTTTTAGTAGAGACAGAGTTTTGCCATGTTGGCCAGGCTGGTCTTGAACTCCTGACCTCAGGTGATCCACCTGCCTCGGCCTCCCAAAGTGCTGGGATTATAGGTGTGAGCCACTGCACCCGGCCTCTATTTTATTTTTTATTTTTATTTTTTATTCATTTATTTATTTATTTATTTTTGAGGTGGAGTCTTGCTCCGCTGCTGAGGCTGGAGTGCAGTGGCGCGATCTCGGCTTACTGCAAGCTCTGCCTCCCAGGTTCACGCCATTCTCCTGCTTCAGCCTGCCAAGTAGCTAGGACTACAGGTGCCTGCCACCACGCCCAGCTAATTTTTTTGTACTTTTAGTAGAGACGGGGTTTCACCGTGTTAGCCAGGATGGTCTCGATCTCCTGACCTCGTGATCCACCCGTCTCGGCCTCCCAAAGTGCTGGGATTACAGGTGTGAGCCACCGTGCCCGGCCTTTTTTTTAAAAAAAAACTATATAAAAATTGTAAAAACAATAACACAAAACAATGTCTGCATCCCAGAAATAATTGAAAGGGATCTCCAGCCTGGACTGGCTCTAGGCCAACCCTTCAGACTTAGGACACAGTAGTACTAGGGCCCAGATGGAGGCGACCCCATGGGTTACAGAAGGAGCTGGCCTGATTTGGAGAAGGGGTCCCTATGCTTCAGCAATAGAGTGTAAGGAGGCCCCTTCTTCTGCCAGCAGAGGCCTCAGATTCCACCCATAGCAGCCCCTCTTCACCCTAGGGAAGAGGCAGTAACAACCAGGCTTGGGAACATGCTGCAGAACAGAGGCCAGGAGTACAGAACGTGGCCCCGGCTTCTGGGGAGAGTAGAAATGGCTTTCCCTGAGCAGGAGACCAGACGGAGCCTAGAGGGGAGGTCTCCGAGTGGGAGGGAGGCCAGGGACTGGGCAGACCAGTGTGGGAGGGAAGGGAGAACTTACCCTTAGGGTGAGAGGCTATGGTGTCCCTTGTAAGGCAGACCTTTCCGATAACGTCGTCCCGGCTAGAGGAGGGAGACGGAGGCAGAGCTGGGCAGGGCTTCAGTATCTGCCCTCTGGGACCTCCCACCAAGTTCAGGGCCCCCCCGGGGGGAGCAGGGTGGTGGACACCGCTGTCATTTCCAGAGTAACCCAACAGAGCTGGACCTGTGGCCCTTCTGTAGGCTGTGGGTTCTGGACCCTCTAGGGGGATGTGATAGGTTTCTCACATGCCCACACATGCCAAGCTCACACTCTCTGGGTGCCCATCTCACAGCTCACACCTGCACGCACACGTGTAGTCCATGCACACTTGTGCCTGCATGCCTGCACACACACGTGTGTATGTGGCGCATGCACCATGGAGCCACGCATGTGCACACCCACACGCTCAAGCTTTTCGCCCTCCCAGGCCCCCAGGCTCTGCCTCCCTCCAGGCTGCAAAGAGGATGCCAAAAAGGACCCAGGAGTCCTGGTGGTGAAATGGGCCAGGGAGCAATCAGATGGCCAGGTCTGGGTCCCAGCTGGAGAGGGGGGCACTCACCTGAGGGCATCCTCATCCATGACATAGAAAGCCACAGCGTGGAAGGTGGGCGGCAGGTGCACTTGGTACTCCTCACCCCAGAAGGGGCACAGGGTCTTCCACACTGTGGCTGTCCTGCAGGAGAGAACCCTCAGCATGTGCCCAGGCCACTCCCAGGCCCTGGGCTGGGACCTTCCTTGTATCTTCCCCTACCCCTATAACAACTGGCTCTGCCACTGATGTGTTTTCCCTGTGCCAGACCCTACTGTTCACCACCAATCACTACCCCCTGACATTCCTCTCTGCTCTGGATGGGGCACAGGGCTGCCTCTCTCTGGCTGTTATTTATTTTATTTTATTTTTTTGAGACGGAGTCTCGCTCTGTCGCCCAGGCTAGAGTGCAGTGGCGTCATCTCGGCTCACTGCAACCTCTGCCTCCCAGGTTCAAGCAATTCTCCCTGCCTCAGCTTCCTGAGTAGCTGGGATTACAGACGCCTGCCACCACGCCCAGCTAATTTTGTCATTTTCGTAGAGACAGGGTTTCACCCTGTTGGCCAGGCTGCTCTCGAACTCCTGACCTCAGGTGATCTGCCCACCTCGGACTTCCAAAGTGCTGGGATGACAGGCGTGAGCCACCGTGCCCAGCCTCTCCAGCTGTTTTACATTTGGGGAAACTGAGATCACAGTTGGCAGGCATTGGCCTCAGGTCACAGGGTAGCTGCCTCAGGGCGACTGGTGAGCCTGGCCTCACATCCTCACCCAGCTCTGGTCAACCCCCTTTGGATCAGAGCCTTCAACTCATGGGACTCAGTGGGCTAGCGGGTGGGGAGACGCTGAAGCCCCCAAGGACCCGGATGAAAGTTCAGGGGACCACCTCATGCCAACCACTTCTCAGACAGGTCATCTGTTTCCCTTCTGTATCAAGAGCATCAGAGCCATCACACCCCTCTCCCTCTTGCTGTCTGTGGTTTGCAGACCCTCGAGAAAGGCTGGGAGCCTGCTTGCAGGTAGGGAAGGACTGGGCTCCGAGTAGGCCACGGGCACTCAGGTGGGCAGAACAGTAGGGCAGCTCTGGCCATGAACTTGGAAGCAGGAGTCTGGGTGAAGGAAGGGAGAGGACAGCAAAGACCCTGCCCAGAGATCATGGGGACCATGGAGGAAGGGACATCCGGAGGAAGTGACTCTTCAGGGTGCAGGCTGGGGTTGCCCAGCCTCGAGGGATATTACTATGGGACTCTCAGGGGACAGGACCCAAGTTAGAGCCAGGACCAGGGAGGGGAAGGGAGCTCAGGCTCTGGGGTGGCCAGACTTGGGCTCCAGTTGTGGCTCTGCCACTTTTACTAGGCATGTGACCTTGGCCAGGGTAGTTAGTCTCCCTGAGCCTCAGTTTCCTTGTCTGTAAATGGGGTCTAATGATATCGTATCTCGTTAATTGCAAGAACTAAACGGGCTGGAAAAGGGCTGGCTCCACAAATGAGAGTTGTTGTTACAAATCGTCAGCATCTGTCTCTCCCGGAGGTTGTGATGATTGCAAAGATGAACAGAGTCCGGTGAGAGGCCCTTGGCCAGGCCAGTTCCCTGAAGGTCTTTCTCGTCTCCTAGCTGGGGTGTCAGGGCGAGGTGGGGAATCCCAGGCAGGGGACCAGGTGCTCCAAGCCCCCTCCCATCTCCGTACAAAATTCACAACAAAATTCACACCCCTTTGCGGGGAGAGCGCGGGCCGATGAGAGGCTGAGCGCCCCTCGGTCCTGGGGGTGGGGGCGGTACCTGATGATGGGCTCATTGTCCACCTTCACGATGCAGTAGGGGTCGCTGCTGCCAGTGCTGCAAGACAAATAGGCAGGGGCGGGGCTGGAGGGCGGGATCGGGGCGGGGACTCGCGGCAGGCTCCTCTCTCTTTTGGCCCCTCGGGAGGAGTGCGGGGGAAGAGAGCGGAGGCTGAGTCTCCGCGTCCTGGTTTGGAGACCGCAGGCTCCTCCGGCCAAACACGGGTCCCCGCCCTCAGCCCGGGAGCGGATGGTGAGGGAAGGGCAGGAACCCGCACCAGGGCTCCCCTTTCGCGGGCAGGGGTGGGAGTAGATGGAGGGAGAGTTGTGGGGGAGGGAGAAGGAGGGGGAGGAGACAGGGATGGGTAGAGAGAGAAAGGAGAAGAAAGGAGGGGGAAGGAGGAAGGGGAGAGACTGGGAGAGGGACAGAGGGAGGGGCAGAAAGGGAAGGGGACGGACAGGGAGGGGAGAGAGAGGGAAGAGGAGACAGAGGGAGGGGGCTGAGAGGGAGGAGGAGAGAGGTGGGGGTTAAGAGGGAAGGGGGATGATAGGGAGGGGGAGAGAGAGGGAGGAGAGTAAGAGGGAGGGAGTTAAGAGGGAGGGGGAGACTGAGTGAGGGGGTGAGAGGGAAGGGGTGAGAGGGAGGGGGAGAGAGGGAGAAGAGTAAGAGGGAGGGGGAGAGAGGGAGGAGAGTAGGAGGGGGAGAGAGGGAGGAGAGTAGGAGGGGGAGAGAGGGAGGAGAGTAAGAGGAAGGAGAGTAAGACAGAGGGGGAGACTGAGGGGGTGAGAGAGGGGGGAGAGAGAGAAGGGGAGAGAGGGAGGAGAGTAAGAGGGAGGAGAGTAAGAGGGAGGGGGAGACTGAGTGAGGGGGTGAGAGGGAGGGGGAGAGAGGGAGGAGAGTAAGAGGGAGGGAGTAAAGAGGGAGGGGGAGACTGAGGGAGGGGGTGAGAGGGAGGGGTGGAGAGGGAGAGGGGAAAGACAGGGAGGGGAGGGAGAGGGACAGAGGGAGGGGGTACTGGAAACCTCCTGTTCCTCCCGCAGGGGATAGAATGTTCCTCCTTTCTATGCCCTCCTACCCCATCCCTGCCTCCCCCCAGAACAGCTCCAAGCAACAGCCCCAGGCAAGCTCCTGGGACCCCTACCCTCCACACCAAAGTCGAGCCCCTTACTCTCCCTGGAGCCTTTGCTCCTGCTCTCCCCAACACTGACACTGCTGTCCCTCCTGCCCAGTCGGCCTTCAGCCCTGCCAGAGCCCTCCCTGGCCCCAGGACGGGACGGGGAGGAAGGCCTCCCTGGACTCACACTGCCTGCCCACTTCATCCAGCCTGGTAGTGATCAGCTGCCTCCCACCTGCTCTGAGCTACCTGGGGGCGGGGAGCATGCCTGTGTCCCCAGGGCCCCCACAGGGCTTGGCACAAGACAGGCAGCCCATGAGTGTTTGCCGAATGAACAGACGAATGAATGAACTGATGAGTGAATGAATGAATAAATGTAACAGCTATCTGGGGAAAGAGGGATGGGGGAAGGCAAACACGCGCTCAGTTCCAAGGGTCTCAGGTGTTGGGGGGCTCCTGGGGCTGGGAGAGGCCTGCAGCCAGGCCTAGGGCTGGTACTGGGTAAAAGTGGGGAAGTGAGGGCTGTCTCTAGAGCTGTTCCTCCAGTGAGTGTCCATAAAAAGGAAGTGTGTTTCTATGGTGGAGGGTGGGGAATTCCAAGCTCTGCTTCCCTTCTCAAAAGGGGCTCTTCCGGCAGAGGAAGGCATTTGGGGCCAACAGCTCCAGAAGCTCCTGGACACAGACAGGAAATGTCTGCCAAGACTCAGTTTTCCTACCTATAAAGTGGGAAGTGTAACCCCGGCTCACAAGGGAGCTTCCCTGGGTCCTGAGACGATAGAGAAGGTCTTGGAGGTGCTCAGTAAATGTTAGCACTGCCTGCATCTCTGACTGTAACCTCCCCCTGCCATCATTTGAGAGCCCCCGCCTCCTGGCCAGGTGTGGTGGCTCACACCTGTAATCCCAGCACTTTGGGAGGCCGAGGTGGGCAGATCACGTGAGGCCAGGAGTTCCAGACCAGCCTGGCCAACATGGTGAAACCCCGTCTCTACGAAAAATACAAAAATTAGCCGAATGTAGTGGTGGTGTACAACTGTAATCCCAGCTACTGGGGAGGCTGAGGTAGGAGAATCCCTTGAACCCCGGAGGAGGAGGTTGCAGTGAACCAAGATCGCGCCACTGCACTCCAGCCTGGGCAACAGAGCAAGACTCTGTCTCAGAAATAAATAAAATAAAATAAAGAGCCCCCCCACCTCCAGGGAGCCCCCTGTGAATACCCCAGCTTGCATCCCATCAACCCAAAGCCAGGGGACTCCAGGTGCTAAGAAATCAGGCCTCTGAACACCCCAGGTGCTGGGCTGGGCTGCAGGATCCAGGAGCCATACAAGGAGCTCAGAGGAGGCAGGGAGAGGTCAGTACTGACTGAGGCAACAGGGGACCTCCGTGGGCTGTCCCCCACTACTGGGCTGCTACTGCTTCCAAAGGCCTGGAAGCAGGACCCGAGTCCTGGTGTGCAAGGACTATGAAGAGCCGGGTGGCTGGATCAGAGGTGGGGCAAGAGGACGGTATTGAGAGCAGGCCGAGGCCAGATTTAAGGACCTGGGCCCAACCATGGTCCCCAGTGGGCTGCTGGGACCCAAGCCCTGCCCAGTTCCTTCTTCGCTAGTGTTGAGGCCCCTAGGCTGCCCACCTCTCTCATTTCTCCTTTCCCGAGCCAGTTGCCACTGGCCTGTCTGGCTACTTTCGGGGCCTCTATATTTAGGGCCTTGGCAGTTTCTAGGCTGTGGAAGGAGGAGGACCAGGGAAAACCCCAAAATAGCCTTGGGCCAGTCCCCAAGGCCACTTGGTGTGGGAGGCAGTGGGTCACTGGTCATCGTGAGACTTGGCTCATGCCTAGGTACGTGGGGACGAGAGACAGTGGGAAGAGGCAGGGCAGGAACAGGCAGGCTCTGAAAGCTAGCAGTGATGGGGAATGCAGCTGCGCTCTGTGCCCTTTAGAGGAATAAAAACCCATGAGTAGAAGTGGCAGGAAGGCAGCTGGCAGCTGTGTGAGGACAGCTTCCTCCTTGGAACTGTCTCAGTCAAGATGAGCCACTATGAGAGGCGGTAAGCTCCCCGTCCTCAGAAGTATGCAAGCCCTGGCTGGAGGAGATGCTACTCAGAAGATAGGCGGGGTGCTGGTGAGGCACAGTGAAACTCCAGTACTCAGTGAGGGCCTCCCATGATCTCCAAACCCCTGCCCGACTCTGCAGCCAAATGCTTTGCATAGGATTTCCGAGGCTCAGTCTCACTGAGCCCAGCCGCAAGCTTACAGCCGCGGGCAGGCTAGAATTCTCAGCCTGTCGGCAGCAAAGGCAATCTGAATCCTGACTTCTCTACCTACCCTCTTGGCAAATGGCTTTCACTTCCTGAGCCTCAGTTTCCCAATGTGCAAACCGAGGATGTCTATCTTATAAAGCTAAGAAGAGGATTAAGTGGGGGAAGTCCTCAACACCTCTTATTCTCCCTACTATGGACCCGGTGCCAGGATGAATGAGTCACAGTCCCTGCCCTCACAGTCAGCTGGGACAGGCACCACTTGACGGAGGAACTGCCACACCAGGGGCTTCCTCCTGCCACCCAGAGTGCTGGGGGGCGAGCCCAGGAGCCAGGAACTCTGCCCAAGTGCACCAGGGAATGCCCTGGAGAGGAGAAGTTTGAGAGGAGTCCTGAACATTGAATAGGAGTTTTCTGGAGGACTGAAGTGGAGTGCTTGAAGGCAGAAGTCCCCACACATGGGCGAAAGCAGAGATGTGAAGGGTAGTAGCCCAAATGTGAGGGACTGTTTATGGGATGGTTTAAGAGGCGGCTGACAGGTCAGAGCTGTGTATGCAAGCCACAGGGGAAGATGGGGGGTTGCAAAGGAGACGTGAGTAGGGCAGGCAGGGGGGCAGGGTGAGGATCGAGATCCCAAGGCACCCCTCCACTGTAGATGGAACCCCTTTGCCCAGAGGCAAAGCACTGAGCAGGGAACCAGGCACTGGGCTCCCAGGTGGGCATACTCCAAGAGCTTGGCTGCCCTGGGCTGGAGAGAGCCTGGAGCCAGGCACTAGGGCCAGCTGCTGTGGGGATGAGGAGGGAGGCGACAGACGGAGGGGCTGCTCCTCCCAGCTGCCACCAGCCAGAAGAGGCCAAGATGACCTAGTTCCTAGTGCCAGTGGTGGCAGGGGGTGGGGGATGCTTAAAGGCTGGGCCTGGAGGCTGAGACCCTTCTCAGAGCTCCTCTGCCTTCCCAGCCCACAGACCTCACTGCCAGCTCCCACTCCACCTCCCTCCAAGCCTCCAAGCACAGAAACCCACCTAGGGATGCCCACCGCCCTCCCTTCCCCATTGTCATGGTAACTGCTGAGCTGGGCCTCATCAGACCCAGGGGGCCTGGAACTGGCACTGCTCTCGGTGGTGGCGCGCTGAGCTTGCTGGGAAGCTCACAGGGGCCACCACACATATGTGTGAGCAGAGTGCCTGCCCCCCACCCTGCTCCACCCCCTCGCCCATGCTAGCCACTTCTCTGCATCCAGGAGCCCGGGGCGCCCAAGGGGTGGGGAACTGCAGCTCCGCAGACTTTGGACTCTGTTTCCTCCAGGCTCCACTTTTCCCCCTCCCACCCTCCTCCTCCAGGCAGCCAGTGCCCCTTGACCTTTGAGCTTTCCCCCTCTTCCTCTAGAGGGATTTCAACCCCTAGTTTAAAGAGGGGAAACTGAGGCTCTAGGAGCAGGGAGCTGCCTAAACCCTGTACATGAGGAAGGTGGTGGCAAGACCAAGATGGTGGGCCAGGGGTCAGGCAGCTCAGCCCTGGGACCTACTGAGAAGAGTGGAACAAGGGGCCCCTGAAACCTCCCCAAATCGAGCCAGGGACCAGGGGAATCCCCAGATGTCAGTGCCTGTGAGAAGCCCTAGACTCAAGACCCTGCTCTGCCTGCCACTTGGAGCCAGCATTTCACTTCTCTGAACCTCAGTTTTCTCATCTGTAAAATGGAACGGTGAGAACTGCCTTTCGGGGTGGTTGAGAGGATTAACGGGATGGCTCAGGTGTAAAGCCCAAGGCACAAGCGACAGTTACTACCCTCCTTCCCTCCCCCACAGTCCTGCACCTGTCCTGGCCTCCTGACCTGTTCTCACTTTTCATGCCAGTCCCTCCTACCCGAGTGCACAGCAGGAAGCCCGGGGACAGCCCCTGGGCCCCAGCATGTGCTTCAGGTGCACACTCCGGGGCATTAAGGGCTCTGGAACTACTGAGGAAGACCCTTCCTTTGCGGGGGACACCCCACCCCCTCCAACCCCACCCCGGGGGCAGATCACCAAGACGTCTCCCCTGGCATGTCACCAGGCTCCAGCTCCTGTCGTATCAAAGCCCCTTCCCCTCGTGAGCCGCGGATCGCTGACAAATTCTCGCCCCCTCCCTAGTTCCCAGCCCCCAGCCCTCGGTGACACTTCCCCGCCCCCCGGTTGTCACCCCGTCTGGTGCTCGCAGAAAATGTCACTGTCCCCATTTTCCCCGCCGATCCCCCACCACGGCCGCACTCCCGCACCCTCTCCGCTGCTCTTGTGGGTGGACCCCGGAAAGGTCAGGCGTCCTGGGGGGCAGTGCCCCTCCCCGGAAAGTTGGGGCTCCCACCCCCGGCCGCGCTCACATGTCCTTGGCGGGAAGGTTCTTCCCCTCCACGATGCGGATGTACAGCGAGCTGCGCTTGGCCATCGCGGGGTGCCGGCTCGGGGGAAGCCAGACACCGGGGTCCGGGGTGGCGGGCGGCGGGCGCTGGACTGGGCGCCGCAGGGGGGGCGGGCCGGGGAGGAGGCGGGGGCGGGGGCGGGGCGGCGGGGGCGGGGCTTCGCTGCCACTCCACTCACCCCGCCCCCGCCCCACGTGCGGGGGACACTGCGCCCGGGCCGGCCAATCCGCGACCGGGGTTCCCCAGGGCGGGGAGGGGCCGGCCGGGGCCGCAGCTCTCATTGGCCGTCTGGGGCGTGAGGGGCGGGGCCTGTGAGGAGGCGCTGACACTCGCCGGGCAGCCGGCGCGGTGGCTCGAGGGGGGCGCCCCTGGAGGAGCGGGTGGGGGACACTGCAACCTCCACCTCCCGGTTTCAAGCAATTCTTCTGTCTCAGCCTCCCAAGTAGCTGGGATTGCAGACACGCGCCACCACGCCCAGCTAATTTTTGTATTTTCGGTAGATACGGGGTTTCACCATGTTGGCCAGGCTGGTCTTGAACTCCTGACCTCAGGTAATCTGCCCACCTCGGCCTCCCAAAGTGCTGGGAATACAGGCATGAGCCATCGTGCCTGGCTGTTTTTATGTTTTTTAGAATCAGAAGAAAAAAAATATGTATTTTTTGTATTGGTTGGTTTGTGTGTGTGTGTGTGTATGTATGTATGTATGTATGTATGTATGTATGTATGTATGCATTTGAAACAGGGTCTTGCTCTGTTGGCTGAAGTGCAGTGGTGCAATCATAGCTCACTGCAGCCTCAATCTCCTGGGTTCAAGCAATCCTACCACCTCAGCCTCCCATGTAGCTGGGACTACAGATGCATACCACCACGACTGGCTAATTTTTTTTATTTTTAGTAGAAATGGGGGGGTCTCATTATGTTGCCCAGGCTGGTCTAGAACTCCTGGCCTCAAGTTATCCTCCTGCCTTGGCCTCCCAAAGGGCTGGGACCACAGATGTGAGCCCACCATGCCTAGTCAAACAGGAGTATAATAGTAATGAATATGTAATAATGAATCTGACCTGACTGGTATCAGTCAGTCTTTATGCCAAAGCAGTTGTAAAATACACATTTGAATATCTTTTTTTTTTTCTTTTTTTTGGGGTGGAGTCTCGCTCTATCACCCAGGCTGGAGTGCAGTAGCGCAATCTCAGCTCACTGCAACCTCTGCCTCCCTGACTCAAGGCATTCTCCTGCCTCAGCCTCCCGAGTAGCCAGAGCTTCAGGGACCTGCCACCACGCCTGGGTAATTTCTATATTTTTAGTAGAGATGGAGTTTCACCAGGTTGGCCAGGCTGGCCTCAAACACCTGACCTCAGGTGAGCTGCCCACTTCGGTCTCCCAGAGTGTTAGGATTACAGGCGTGAGCCACCGTGCCTAGCCGTATTTGAATATCTTAACCCATATAAGTCAAACATGCCTAGGGCTCACAAAAGTTACAGTGCATCCTGGCACAGGAGAGGAGGCAGCTCTTGAGTTTCAGTGCATGCTTTTGATATTCACTATAGGTCAATGTCGTTGAAAGAAAAAGTGTTTGAGGCTGGGCACAGCGGCTCACGCCTATAATCCCAGCACTTTGGGAGGCTTGAGATCGGAGGATCACTTGAGGCCAGGAGTTCAAGCCCAGCCAGGGCAACATAATGAGACCCCCCCCCCTTTGCTACAAAAAATAAAAATATTAGCCAGGCATGGTAGTGTGTGTCTGTAGTTCGAGCTACTCAGAAAGCCGAGGCAGGAAGATTGCTTGAGCCTAGGAGGGGAGGCTGCAGTGAGGTATGATCGCACCACTGCACTCCAGCGTGGGCGACAGAGCAAAACTCTGTCTCCAAAAACAAAAACAAAAACGAGGCCAGGCGTGGTGGCTCACACCTGTAATCCCAGCACTTTGGGAGGCCGAGGTGGGTGGATCACCTGCGGTCAGGAGTTCGAGACCAGCCTGGCCAACATGGCGAAACCCCATATCTACTAAAAATACAAAAATTAGCCGGGCGTGGTGGCAGGCACCTGTAATCCCAGCTACTCTGGAGGCTGAGGCAAGAGAATTGCTTGAGAACCCGGGAGGCAAGAGAACCCGGGAGGCAGAGGTCGCAGTGAGCCCAGTTCGCACCATTGCACTCTAGCCTGGGTGACAAGAGTGAAACTCAGTCTCAACAAACAAACAAACAAACAAAAAAAGCAAGGAAGGAAATTCTTACACATGCTAAAAGATGGATGAAACTTGAAGACATAATGCTAAGTGAAATGAGCCAGTTACAAAGAAAGACAAATAGTGGTTGCTTCCACCTATGGGAGGTATCTGGAATAGTACAATTCACAGAAGCAGAAAGGAGAGTAGAAGTTTTCAGGGGCTGGAGCGGGGCAGGGAAAGCGAGTTGTTTGTTGAGTGTAGGGTTTCAGTATTGCAAGGTGAAAAAGTTCCAGAGATGTGCATATAGTTAATACTACTGTGCTGTCCACTTAAAAATAGTGAAGATGGGCCAGGGGCGGTGGCTCACGCCTGGAATCCCAGCACTTTGGGAGGCCGAGGTGCGTGGATCGCCTCAGGTCGGGAGTTTGAGACCAGCCTGGCCAACATGGTGAAACTCTGTCTCTACTAAAAATATAAAAATTAGCTGGGCGTGGTGGTGCACGCCTGTAGTCCTAGCTATTCAGGAGGCTGAGGCAGGGAGAATCGCTTGAACCTGGGAGGTGGAGGTTGCGGTGAGCTGAGATGGCACCACTGTACTCCAGCCTGAGCGACAGAGAGAGACCTCGTCAAAAAAAAAAAAGCTTAAGATGGGCTGGGTGCGGTGACTCACGCCTGTAATCCCAGCACTTTGGGAGGCCGAGGCGGGAGGATCACTTGAGGTCAGTAGTTGGAGACCATCCTGGCCAACATGGTGAAACCCCGTCTCTACTAAAAATACAAAGATTACCTGGGCGTGGTGGTGCACACCTGTAGTCCCACTACTCGGGAGGCTGAGGCAGGAGAATCACTTGAACCCAGGAGGCGGAGCTTGCAGTGAGACCAGATGGCACCACAGCACTCCAGGCTGGAGACACAGTGAGACTCCGTCTCAAAATAATAACAATAAATAAATAAAATAGTTAAGATGGTAAACCTTATGTGTTTTTTTACCAGAATAAAAAAAATGCACCCATACCCCAACTCTGTAATATATTTTGGCAATATAAAACAATTGAAAAGAATTTTATAACAACTTTCAAAGCGGTTTGGGGGCAAGTAACTCATTTGATTTGCTCCTGGCCTTGACTTCTCTACCAACATCATGCATTCTTGAGAATCTTAGGATTCTTCCAAAGTGAGAAAACGTGACCTACGAATTGTTTTCATGCGCAGTGATGCATTTTGAAATACTAAATTTAACAATGGATGAAACTGACATAAAGTTATATTTAGAAGACATTTCAGTAAACATTTACTATTTTTTAATGTTGCAGTTTTAATATTTTGGAGCCAAAGCATTTCCCGCTCTTAAACCTCGAGGAGTTTTAGGAGCTGGAGGCCTCACACCTCTCCTGGAAAAAATTGTCCCTGCCCTAAGGAAGGACTCCTGAGCCACCTTCCGTCCTCACCCATCAGACTCTGACAGTGGCTTCTGGTGGCTGTCCTGCTGTGCCATGGCCCAGAGCCCCCAGAGAGGACTTTGGGAGGAGGCAGGTCCTGGAAGAATGAGACCGAAGGCATTGCTGGAGGAAGAAGGAGAAGCCCAGAAAACTGGATAGGAGGCAGGAGCAGGGGATGAGGAGGAAGTTGGGTGGCAGGTGCAGAGGGTGGCAAGGGCAGCCCTCTCCGAAGGCCAGAGGAGTCCAGCTGTGAACCCGCAAAAGCTGGGCACAGGAGCCAGGGACACAAGGATCCCTGGCAGGCTCTGGGCCAAGTGACAGCTGTATGTTAAGAAGTCCTGGCCGGGAGCGGTGGCTCATGCCTGTAATCCCAGCACTTTGGGAGGCCAAGGCAGGTGGATCACGAGGTCAGGAGTTCAAGACCAGCCCGGCCAAGATGATGAAACCCCGTCTCTACTAAAAATACAAAAATTAACCCGAAATGGTATTGCTTGCCTGTAATCCCAGCTACTCGGGAGACTGAGGCAGAGAATCACTTGAACCCGGGAGGCAGAGGTTGCAGTGAGTCGAGATCATGCCACTGCACTCTAGCCTGGGCAACAGAGCAAGACTCTGTCTCAAAAACAAAAAAAATCCTGGCTGGCCAGAGGGGCAGGCTGGGAGTCATCAGAGGCCAGATGGGGCTCTATCCCCAGCTTCCCCCTACCCCACCAATCTTGACACTCCTACTGCACCATTTAGACAGATACCATTGAATAACAGTTTTAAAGCCAAGGTCCACAGGCTGGGCTTGGTGGCTCAATGCCTGTCATCCCAGCACTTTGGGAGGCCAAGGCAAAGGATCGCTTGAAGCCTGGAGTTCAAGACCAGCCTAGGCTACATAGCGAGACCCTGCCTTTACGAAAAATAAAAAAGTTAGCCAGGCATGGTGGTGCACACCTGTAGTCCCAGCTACTCGAGAGGCAGAGGTGGGAGGATCGCTTGAGCTCAGAGGTCACGGCTGCAGTGAGCTGTGATTGTGCCACTGCACTCCAGCCTGGGTGATAGAGCAAGACCCTGTCTCCAAAAACAAAAAGCAAAAACCACAAAAAAACGAGGTCCACAGTGAAGATCGCAGGCTCTGGAGCCAGACAATTGAGTTCAAATCCTACCTCCACTGCTATGATAGGAGCTGCTGTGTGACTGGGCCAGTTATTCAGCCTCTCTGGGCTTCATCTGCCTAATCTGTAGAGTGGGGCAATGGTGGCTGCACCCCGCAGAGTGGCTGGGAACAGAGTGTGCTGGTGAGCCACTTGGTCACCAGACCGCAGAGGGCACCTCCCTGGGGCAAGCACTCAGGACATCCTCACGTTAATCCCCAGAAGCAGAGGAGCAGGGCTGTTCTTACCATCCACCCCCCACCCCCCCCCTTTTTTTTTTTTGAGACGGAGTTTCGCTCTGTGGCCCAGGCTGGAGTGCAATGGTGCAATCTCGGCTCACTGCAACCTCCACCTCCCGGGTTCAAGTGATTCTCCTGCCTCAGCCTCCCGAGTAGCTGGAATTACAGGTGTGTGCAACCACACCCTGCTAATTTTTGTATTTTTAGTAGAGACAGGGTTTTGCCATGTTGGCCAGGCTGGTCTTGAACTTCTGACCTCAAGTGATGCGCCTGCCTCAGCCTCCCAAAGTGCTGGGATTACAGGCATGAGCCACTGTGCCCTGCTAATTTTTGTATTTTTAGTAGAGACAGGGTTTCACCATGTTGGCCAGGCTGGTCTTGAACTCCTGACCTCAAGTCATCCACCCGCCTCGGCCTCCCAAAACGCTAGGACTACAGGCATGAGCAACCATGCCCAGCCTCACCATCCCCCTTTCATGGATGCAGAAATCATGGACTGAACCCTTAACTCTGCACCGGCCAGCCTCAACACACCAGGTCCTCACCAAGGACTCCAGGACTAGATGCTGGTGTCCTGTCCACTTCATAGATAAGGAGCTGCAAAGTCACAATGACAAATTCACCCCCCTCCTAGCACAGCCCCCAGCCCTGCAGATGTCAGAAAGAAAGACCCTGCTCTGAAAGACAGACAGACAGACAGAGAGAAACAGATGGAGAAACATAGTCAGAGGCAGAGAGACAGGAAATCAGAAAGAGAAAATTCAAGCTCATGCCTGTAATCCCAGCACTTTGGGAGGCCAAGGCAAGTGGATCACCTGAGGCTAGGAGTTCGAGACCAGCCTGGCCAACATATTGAAACCCCGTCTCTACTAAAAATACAAAAAATTAGCCAGGTGTGGTGGCAGGTGCCTGTGATCCCAGTTACTCGGGAGGCTGAGGCAGGAGAATCGCTTGAACCTGGGAGGCGGAGGTTGCAGTGAGCGGAGATAGAGCCATTACACTCCAGCCTGGGCAACAAGAGCAAAACTCTGTCAAAAAAACAAAAACAAAAACAAAACACCAAGAGAGAAAATTCAGAGGCCAGGAGTGGTGGCGTGAACCTATAATCCCAGCTACTTGGGAGGCTGAAGTGTGAGAATCGCTTGAACCCGGGACATGGAGGTTGCAGTGAGCTGAGATTGCGCCACTGCATTCCAGCCTTGGTGACAGAGTGAGACTCCGTCTCCAAAAGGAAAAAAAGAGAAAATTCAGAGACAGAGAGGGCTGCTCTGAACACCCAGACTGAAGTAGGGGTGAGGGTGGGGGGAATGTTACCCCCAGTTTTCCCAGGGACCCCTTGTGGGAGGTGGGGTGGGAAGAGGTTGCAGGTCCCCTCTGGGCATCTCAGGGGTGTCTGAGAATGGTCTCCAGCAGAGGCGAAGGTGGACAGAGGCAGGCATAGGGCTGGTGACAGGTGTCACCTTAGGACGTGCCCTGAGTCCATGGGTATCCCAAAAGTGAGCAGGGCATGGCTGCCACGAGGGCTTCAGCACTGCAGTAAAGAGAGGGTTTCTGTGTGGTCTTAGACTCTGATGCTCTCCTTTCCCTTTTTTCTTTCTTTCTTTTAAAATGTTTGTTTGTTTGTTTGTTTTTTGACACAGAGTCTCGCTCTGTTCCCCAGGCTGGAGTGCAGCGGCGTGGTCTTGGCTCATTGCATCCTCTGCCTCCCAGGTTCAAGCAATTCTCCTGCCTCAGCCTCCCAAGTAGCTGGGATCACAGGCACCTGCCACCATACCCAGCTAATTTTTTGTGTGTTTTTCGCAGAGACGGGGTTTCACCATGTTGGCCAGGCTGGTCTCCAACTACTGACCTCAAGTGATCCTCGGCCTCCCAAGGTGCTGGGATTACAGGTGTGAGCCACCATGCCCGGCCAAAATTGTTGTTGTTGTTATTGTTTTTCTTTTTGGAGGGCTGGGCATGATGGCTCATGCCTGTAACCCCAGCTACGCCGGAGGCTGAGGCACGAGAATCACTTGACCCTGGGAGGTGGAGGTTGCAGTGAGCTGAGATGACAGAGTGCCTGACTGAGCTGAGATGACAGAGTGCCTGAGTGACAGAGTAAGACTCTGTCTCAAAAAAATAATAATTAAAAAAAAGAAAAGAAAAAGAAAAAAACTTCTAAATTTTTTGTAGAGATGATGTCTCACTGTGTTGCCCAGGTTGGTCTCCAACTCCTGGACTTGAGCCATCCTCCCACCTTGGCCTCCCAAAGTGCTGGGATTAGAGCTGTGAGCCACTGCATCCCACCTGTACCCTTTCCTCTGAGGCCTCCTGGAGCTGCAGTCCCTTAATCCCCTCAGCCCCAGCCCCTGTGGGTGAATACTGCTGCCCCCCTCAAAGTGAGAAACTGACACGTAGCAAGGCAAGTGAAGCCCCAGGAGTGGGTGTTACCTGCCAGCCCAAAGCCGGGAGTCCAGAGTCTTGGGTCCAGATCTCTGCTATAGACTCTGGGAGCAACCAAGGACACACTGCTCCCACTGAGACTGGAGATGGTCCCAGGGGGCTTCCTGGAAGAGGCGGCACCTGAGCTGGGCTTGAAGGAGAAGAGCTGGGGCTGGGAGAAAGAACAGGAGGAAGGGCTGGGAAGTGGGGGAAAGAGTCCAGGTGCAGCTCTGAGGGCACTCCCCGAGCAGAGACGGCCCAGGGCTGGGGGAGACAACGTGATTCCAAGGGGACTCTCGCCTCCAGAACCCTGTGCAGGACCTGGCCAGGCCTCTTCTGACTCCACAAGGAGAAAAATGTGTGTGCAAGCGAGGGGACTTGGGATGGGGCCAGTGCAGCTGCGGCTGGAACGTAAACCTGTCGTGGCTTCTGGCGCCATGGCCACCCCCAGCCGGGGAAAGGGCCCCGGCTCGGCTGATGAGAACCAGGAGCCAGGATGGAGCCACAGTGGGGGCATGGGAGGGTGAGGGTGACGGCTCTTGTTTTTCAGCTTGACCCTTGCCCATCCACTACTCCCCCATCCACTACTCCCACAGATCCTGGGCACTGTGGGTAACTGGAACCCTGGCCTCTAGATGCCCCCAGCCCTTGGATCACTGGTGTCCCCCCACCACTTAGCCGTCCCCAGTAGGCCCCCCACCATCCCCCTGCATCTCTGCCTTGGCTCTGCCTGGGATCTTCTGCATGGCTGTTCCCCCATCCCTCCAGTGCCTGACGCCACCCAGTGTCTTGCTAACCCACAATTCTCCGGACTACTCCATGGATGCTTGCTGGATAGACGCGGACATTTTCCATACAGAGAACTGCACAAATATTTTATTTATTTTTTTGAGATAGGGTCTCGCTCCGTTGCCCAGGCTGGAGTGAAGTGGTGTGATCATAGCTCACTGCAGCCTCAATCTCCTGGGCCCAAGCAATCTTTCCACCTCGGCCTCCTAAGTAGCTGGGACTACAGGTGCATGCCAGCATGCTCAGATAATTAAAAAAAAAAATTTTTTTTTTAGAGTCAGGGGGCTCACTATGTTGCTCAGGCTGGTCTCGAACTCCTGGCTTCTAGCAATCTGCCCACCTCAGCCTCTCAAAGTGCTAGGATTCCAGGTGTAAGCCACCACATTCAGCTAAAGTGCACAAATCTTATGTGGACAGCTCGAGGAAGTCTTACACAGGCCTACGACTGCATGACCATCTCCCAGATCAAGAACTAGAACATTCCCAGCCCCAGGTGGCTTCCTTGTGTCCCATACCAGTCATCACCACCTCCAGGAATAACTTCTACCCCAATTTATTGCCATGGATTACTCCCACCTGCTTTTTTGAGATAGGGTCTCACTCTGTTGCCCAGACTGGAGTGCAGTGGCACAATCACAGCTCACTGCAGCCTCCAACTTCTGGGCTCAAGTGATCCTCCTGCCTCAGCCTCCTGAGAAGCTGGGATGATAGGCCTGCACCACCACGCCCGGCTAATTTTTTATTTTTTTTAAGATGGGGTCTTGCTATGTTGCCCAAGCTGGTCTCAAACTCCTGGGCTCAAGCGATTCACCCCCCACAACTGGCCTCCCAAAGTGCTGGGATTACAGGTCTGAGCCACTGTGCCCACCCGGCCCTCCTGCCTGCTTTTGCTCTTTATATAAATGGAATCCTACAGTGTATATTTGCTTGTGCCTGGCTTCTTTGCCAATGTTACATGCAGGGGAGTCACCCATGTTGCTGAATAGCATTCTACGGTGTGGGCGGAGGCCTCACAACCTGCCTCTTCACTAGCCTGTGGATGAACGTCTGTTGTTTCCTGTTTGGGTCTGTTATGAAGAAGGCTGATCTGAATGTTCTTGCACATGTCTTTTTTTTTTTTTTTTTTTTGAGACGGAGTCTCACTCTGTGGCCCAGGCTGGAGTGCAATGGCGCAGTCTTGGCTCAATGCAGCCTTCACCTCCCGGGTTCAAGCGATTCTCCTGCCTCAGCCTCCCGAGTAGCTGGGACTATAGGCACCCACCACCAGGCCTGGCTAATTTTTGTATTTTTAGTAGAGACGGGGTTTCAATATGTTGGCCAGGCTGGTCTCGAACTCCTGACCTCAAGTGATCCGCTCCCCTTGGCCTCCCAAAAGACATGTTTGGGAGGCTCAGTGCTCATTTCTCATGGGGAGATGTCTAGAAGCAGAATTGCTGGGGCCTGGGGCAGGCGTAGAACACTGGATTCTAAACAGGCCGGTTCTTACTGTGCCTCTCCGAGCATTTCACACGCATTCCCACCACCTTCCCAGGGGACCTACCACGTGTCTCCTTCACCTCCCTTTATTCTCCCAGTAACAGAAACTTCAGATCCATCAGCCTCTGTTTTGCAGAGCAGAGCAGCCCTCCTGACCTTGCTCCTGTCCTGGTGGGCCCAGGGCACACCCGTCACAGCTAAAGGGCCCACTGGTTTGGCCAACAAGGAGAGAGCCCTTTCCTGCAGGCTGAGAGCCTCTGTCTCTCTCTCTCTCTTTTTTTTTCTTTTTTTTTTGAGATGGAGTCTCGCTCTGTCACCCAGGCTGGAATGCAGTGACGTAATCTTGGCTCACTTCAGCCTCTGCCTCTGGGGTTCAAGTGATTCTCCTGCCTCAGCCTCCCAAGTAGCTGGGTTTACAGGTGCATGCCACCATGCCCGGCTAATTTTTGTATTATTTATTTATTTATTTATTTATTTATTTATTTATTTTTAGTAGAGATGGAGTTTCACCTTATTGGCCAGGCTGGTCTCGAACTCCTGACCTCAACTGATCCACCCACCTCGGCCTCCCAAAGTGCTGGGATTCCAGGCATGAACCATCACGCCCAGGCCCTGAGAGCTTCTCTCATGGCACTTTGGGACTGTCTGTTTGCAGTCCATCCCTCTGTGGGCTGGTCACCCCTTTACCCCCAGGATAGAGACTGTGGTCAAGCTATTCCTGCACCCAGTGCCCAGCACACAGCTTGATGTGGACAACAGGGAACCGGCGGCTCACAGAAAGGTGGGGTGGGAGAGAACAGCTTAGAGGCAAATGTCTCCTACTTTGAGGACTAAGTCCAGAGATGTAGCTTCAAGGTCCAGTTTCTCTGCTTGGGCCTGGGGAAAGCTTTTCACTTTTTGGGATTTTAGTATGAGCCTGGTGTCCCTCCAGGGTCCAGGTGGGCCCTTCCATTCACCCCAGCCTTAGACCCAAGGCAGATGAGTTGAGTACAACCAAGAACCACTGGCCACACCCTTCCCAGGCCCTGAGAGGTCACTTCCTGGACAGCCCAGGCTGGAACCGGCCCACAGTGGGAAGAGAAGGGGTCTCCCACTGGAGATAAGGCCTCCAGTCAATGTCTCTGACATTCATGGAGATCCCTCTGGGGCTCGGTGGCTGGTCAGAGGGGTCGAGGCAGGGCCCTGGGCAGTGGGTGGACAGGGTCCGTGATCAGAGGGACCGTCACCCAGCCCGCCCTTGGACGTCAGCCCAGACCCAGGTTCCTCTCTTCCCAGAAGTTCATCCCCCTAAATGGACTTACGTGCTTAGCTCTCATTAACCTTCTGAACCTTCCAGAAAGGGAGTGGAAATGTCCTGCCTCATCTCCTGCTGAGGAAGCCTGGGTAGGAGTGGAGGAAGATAAAGGGACCCCCCCAAGGGCTGCTGCTGGGGCCAGAGATGTGGGGGTCCCAGGCAAGGGTGTTGTCCTGAGCAGAGTCTCTGCACCGGCTGGGTCACCAAGGAGGCTCTGCAAGTTCATCCAGCAGAGGTGGGAGAGCTGAACACCCCTGCCTCTCTCTTAGGGATCCTTGACTCCCTCTGCACCAGCCCAGCAGTCCCCCGCCAGCCGCCCCTCACTTCCCTCCTCCAGCAATTCTTTTTATTGTTTTTTTGAGACGGAGTCTTGCTCTGTCGTACAGTGGTGCGATCTCGGCTCACTGCAACCTCCGCCTCCCGAGTTCAAGCAATTGCCCTGCCTCAGGCTCCCGAATAGCTGGGATTACAGGCACTCACCACCACGCCCAGTTAATTTTTGTATATTTAGTAGAGACGAGGGTTTCGCCATGTTGGCCAGGCTGGTCTCGAACTCCTGACCTCAAGTGATCCACCCACCTCAGCTTCCCAAAGTGCTGGGATTACAGGTGTGAGCCACTGCACCCAGCCCAAGGGCCCATCTTAACACTGCTACTGTGCATGAGGCTTGTGCTGGGCAGGGGCTCCCTGGGCTGGGCTGAAGTGACCTGGGTAGCTGGCATGGGTGGTCTGGGTCTCCAGGTCTGTGTTCTCATTTCTCATCTGTCTCCCTCCGTCCCTTCACCCCAGCAGAGACAGATTACAGCCTGCACCATGGGTGGCCAGGAGATAATCTTTCTTTTAATTTTGTATTTTATTTATTTATTTATTTTTTGAGACACAGTCTCGCTTTGTCACCCAGGCTGGAGTGCAGTGGCGCAATCTCAGCTCAGTGCAACCTCCAACACCTGGGTTCAAGCGATTCTCCTGTCTCAACCTCTTGAGTAGCTAGGATTACAGGCGTGTGCCACCATGCCCAGCTAATTTTTGTATTCAAGATATTCCTTTGGATTCGATATACTCTTTTTTTTTTTTTTTTTTTTCGAGATGACGTCTTGCTCTGTCACCCAGGCTGGAGTGCAGTGGCGCTATCTCAGCTCAGTGCAACCTCTGCCTCCCAGGTTCAAGAGATTCTACTGCCTCAGCCTCCTGAGTAGCTCGGATTACAGGTGTAAACTACCACGGCCAGCTAATTTTTGTATTCGAGATATTCTTTTTGTTGTTGTTGTTGTTGAGACAGAGTCTCACTCTGTTGCCCAGGCTGGAGTGCAGTGGCACAATCTTGGCTCACTGCAATCTCCACCTCTCTGGTTCAAGAGATTCTCCTGCCTCAGCCTCCCAAGTAGATGGGATTACAGGCACCCACCATCACACCCGGCTAATTTTTGTATTTTTAGTAGAGACAGAGTTTCACCAAGTTGGCCAGCCTGGTCTCGAACTCCTGACCTCAGGTGATCTACCCGCCTCGGCCTCCCAAAGTGCTGGCATTACAGGTGTGAGACACCGCACCTGGTCGATATTTGAGATATTCTTGAACTCCGTGTGATTTGGAGGTTGACAAACCACTCGAGGTAGAAGAGACAGAAGTGGTGGAAGCATTTGAAGCTGAGCTTGGAGGACCAGAGGACTGGGGCTCCAGGAGAAGGGGTGGGAGGTGGGGGAAGGGTGGCAGGGAGCAGCTGGTGTGAGCCCTCATGCACCATCCTGGAGACCCAGGAGCTTTGGGCCTGACAGCACAGCTCAAACCCGTCCAGCAAGCAAGGGTTCCAGCTCCTGCAACACTGAATCCCCCAAATCCCTACAAGTCCCCAGGGGCATCTGGGGACAGTCTGCATTTCAGCCAGGACCTCACCTATGGGTCCTGGGAGCAAGGGGAAGCCATCCCCTTTGCCTGGAGTGTCCTGCTTGGGAAGGGCCCCCACAGCAGGGTGGCTGGGACCCCAGAGAGACCCCTCTCTCGAACCTTAGCCCTTGCCTTTTTGTGACCCTGCAATGGAAATATCCCCCAGGAAGGTTACTTTGATGGGGTCAGACCGGGTAGCCCCCGACCACTCGCTGCCCCAGACTCTTGGACAAGCTGATTCCCTCCCCAAGGCTTCACAGCCCCCCACTGCCCAAGTCTTCAGACCCCTCAGGTAAACCCTTATTTCCAAGAGCGCCCCGGCTCCCATGTCAAAGAGGGGGTGCAGAGACACACTGTGTGGGTGAGTGGAGGGCTGCCTGGTTTCCAACAGTGGTCCCCTTGGGGCACCTGTGCTCCTGCTGCAGTGGACGGCTGGGTGTCTGGAGGAAGGGCTGGGGTGTGGAGACAGCGGTGGGGCACAGCCAGCAGGGGTGGGGGTTCCAGGCTGACTCCCTCTGCATCTGCCGAGGGATGGGCTGCGAATGGTTTCTGTCCCCTGATATCCACTTGTTCTTTTTCCTTTCTTTTCTCCCTCTCCTCCCCTCCCCTCCCCTTTCCTTCCCTTCCCTCCTTCCTTCCTTCCTCTCTCTCTCCTTCCTTCCCCTCCTTCCTTCCTTCCCCTCTCCTTCCTTCCTTCCTCTTTCCTTTCTTTCTTTCCTTCCTTCTCTTTCATCTCTCTCTCTCTCCCCCCCCCCCTTTCTTTCTCCCTCTCCCTCTCCTCTCTCTTTCTCTCTTTCTTTCTTTCTGACAAGGTCTCAGGGTCTTGCTCTGTGCCCGGGCTGGAGTGCAGTGATGCAATCATAGCTCACTGCAGCCTCGACCTCCTGGGCTCAAGCGATCCTCACACCTCGGCCTCCTGAGTAGCTGGGACCACAGATGCACACTACCATGCCCAGCTAATTTTTAAAACTTTTTTAGAAATGGGGGTCTCCGTATGTTGCCCAGGCTGGTCTTGAACTTCTGGGCTCAAGCGATCCTCCCACCTAGGCCTCCCAAAGCGCTGGGATTACAGATGGGACCCATCACACCCAGCCCCTGTTCTTTCCCTGCTCTTATTTCTGCTGCTTTTTGCCCTTTTCCCCACTGAGTCCAGCCGCGGAACTGACGCCAGCTCTCTGATTTTATCTTGTGTTTATTGGGAAATGGTGGTGCCCATCTCTGGGCCAGTCCAGACAGCTTCCCCCTAGGAAGTGAGCCAAGTTCCCACGGCGTGTCAGAGTTAAAAACAAGGACAAGAGACAGCGTGAGAGACATAAGAGAGGGGGCACAGAGAAAGACAGAAAAGCAGAGAGAGGGACACACAGGTCCCCTGCTTCCTCTTCTGTTTGTTCATTAATCAGGCTGATGTCAGGTGGCACAAGGGGCATTGGACATCATTTCATGGCTCAAGATCATTGTCCCTAAGTCTGTTTTCCCAGGCTGTCCCCTTAAGAGCTGGGCTGCCGCGGCCACACCCTGCAGTCCATGTCACCCTCCAGCCATTGCTCTCCTGTGGGTGTGCCCGGCAGAGCCTCCAGTTCTGTGCCTGCCCCCTGGAATGCCCCTAAAGCCCTCCCAGCCCCTTACCCAGCCTTCAAGGCCACACCTGTGCCCCTCCTTCATGCAGCCCCCAGATGGGATCAGGAGGCAGGGTGTGCCTCTCTGTCCCTTAGGGGCTCCCTGGTCATCTCTGTGCATGTCTAGATGCCACTGAGATGGACTGGCCTTGATGGCCGGGACTCTATGTCTTAGCATCCAGCATGGCTAGCTGAAGTCAGTGGCTGCAGAGTGTGGGAATGAGTGAGTGAGTGAGTGAGTGAATGAATGAATGAATGGGGGAGAACTGAGTGACCCGAGGGAGGCCCAGACCTGGACAGGAGCTTCTGGTGCCTCTTGTCCCTCCTTTTTTTTTTTTTTTTAAGATGGAGTCTGGCTCTGTTGCCCAAGCTGGAGTGCCGTGGCACAATCTCAGCTCACTGCAACTTCTGCCTCTCGGGTTCCAGTGATCCTCCTGCCTCAGCCTCCTAAATAGCTGCAACTACAGGCGTGCACCACCACAACCGGCTAATTTTTGTATTTTTAGTAGAGACAGGGTTTTGCCATGTTGACCAGGCTGGTCTTGAACTCCTGACCTCGTGATCCACCTGCCTCGGCCTCCCAAAGTGCTGGGATTACAGGCGTGAGCCACCGCACCCAGACCCCTCTTGTCCATTCTTTTCATGGATGAGGAGGCTGAGGCCCAAGCTGGTCAGGGGGGTGCCAGGACTGGGGCTCCGACATTTTCTCTCCCAGGGGATTCTCAGGATCCCTCTATGGGAACATGATCAGTGGCTTTAAGGGGCCAGGGGCTTTCCCTCCAGCCAGCCCTGGACTCACAGGCCTCAGAGAACCTGGAGAAGCCAGCCTCACTCACATGGCTGGGATTTTCATCGGGAGAATCCCACTGGCCATGTACTGGGCTCTCTCCCAGTCCCTGAGATTGGGCTCTGGGCTCAGCGCTGAGCAGGACCCAAGGAAGTGGCTTAAGTCTTTGTGGCCAGGCGGTGTCTGCTGTAGAAAGCAGTGTGGCATGTGGCCAGGTGGTACTGTGGTCAGGGAGAGAGGTTGCCTGGGGCTGTCCAGGCTTCAGCCTGGGAAAGGGAGCACCCGGGGAACCAAGACAAGGTGCAGGGCTGGAGACAGCTTTGGGCTCGGCTGTCGGGGAAGCATATTGGCAGGAGGGGCCTCCTAGATGTCTGGTCAGAGATGGCCAGGGGGCCAAGGACATATGAGAGGCAGCTGAGGGTTGCCGGGCGAGCTGCCTCACGCCTGTAATCCCAGCAATTTGGGAGGCTGAGGCGGGCGGATCACCTGAGGTCGGGAGTTCGAGACCAGCCTGGCCAACATGGTGAAACCCCGTCTCTACCGAAATACAAAAATCAGCCGGGCATGGTGGCGGGTGCCTGTAATCCCAGCTATTCAGGAGGGTGAGGCACGAGAATCGCTTGAACCCAGGAGGTGGAGGTTGCAATGAGTCAAGATCGCGCCACTGCACTCCAGCCTGGGTGACAGAGCCAGACTCTGTCTCAAAAACAAAAAAAAAAAAGAAAAAAGAGAGGCAGCTGAGGGGAGGGACAAGGGTCATTAGTCCACATGGGAGCTGGCTGAGGCTGATGCCCAGGGATAGGGGAGCTGAGTGGGTGCAGGCCCAGGAAGTGAGCAATTGCCAGTGACACCGGGTGAAGGGACAGGTGGAGGAGGAGTTGTGAGCTCAGCTGCACAGGACATTACTCCAAATGGGGCTGAGGAGAAGGGGGACCCCCATACTCCCCACCTCCCAATGCTGAGGCATGTGGGTAGGGGGCTACCCAGGAGGGCTTCAGGGAAAAAGTGTTCTGAAGGAAGAGGCAGGAGGGTGGTGAAGGGGACATTTGGGGGCCACCCCTTCTCCAGCTGGCAAAATTGTCCTGTCCCTGCTGGGTGCGGTGGCTCATGCCTGTAATCCCAGCACCTGGGGAGGCTGAAGCGGGAGGATCACTTGAGGTCAGGAGTTTAAGACCAGCTTGGGCCACACGGTGAAACCCGCACCCCACCCCCCACCCCGCCCAATCTCTTCTAAAAATACAAAAATCAGCTGGGCATGGTGGTGCACTCCTGTAATCCCAGCTACTCGGGAGGCTGAGAGATGAGAATCACTTGAACCCAGGAGGCGGAGATTGCAGTGAGCCGAGATCGTGCCATTGTACTCCAGCCTGGGCGACAGAGCAAGACTCCATCTCAAAAAAAAAAAAAAAAAAAAATTTGCCCTGTCCCCTGAGACTCAGAGGTCAGCCCCTGCAGAGTCCCTTCTGCACAACCCCAGCCCCACCCCAGCCTTAGCAGCCCTCTGTCTGGGCAGGACTTTGTGGCCCTCTCTCCAGTCTGGAGACCAGAAGGCCAGGAAGGGAGGCCAGGCATGGTGGCTTATGCTTGTAATTTCAGCACTTTGGGAGGCCAAGGTGGGAGCATCTCTTGAGCTCAGGAGTTCCAAACTAGCCTGGGCAACATGGCGAGACCCCATCTCTACAAAAAATAAAAAAATTAGCTGGGTGGTGGCACATACCTATAATCCCAGCTACTTGGGAGGCTGAGGTGGGAGGATTGCTTGAACCCAGGGGTTCAAGGCTGCAGTGAGCTATGATCGTGCCACTGCACTCAAGCCTGGGTGACAGAGACCCTGCCTCTACAAAAAAAAAGAAAGTTAGCTAGGTGCCTGTAGTGCCTGTAATCCCAGCACTTTGGGAGGCCAAGGTGGGAGGATCGCCTGAGCCCAGGAGTTCAGTGCTACAGTGAGCTATGAAGACGCCACCATACCCCAGCCTGGGCAACAAAGTGAGACCCCATCTCTAAAAAAGGAAAAAAAAAAAAAAAGAAAGAAACAAAAGAAAGAACAGGAAGGATCTAATTCCACTGGATCAGCATGAAAGCGGCGTGTGCCTATGTATGTCCATTTCGCTTTCTCTGTCCTGCTCTGACCCAGCAGATTGGCCTCCAGGGACTGCACCACTGAGACCCCACACTCTCTTGCTTCTCGTGAGGTGTGGCCAGTGGAGGCACTGGCATGAGATCAGGGGGCGGGAAGACAGAGCCCAGTTCCCTCTGGTGGCTTCATCCTTTCACTTACAGCCCCTGCTCCTGCGGGGCCCCTCACCCATGGCTACTGCCTGCTGATCAGGAAACATCACTCCCTCCCTCCCATCAGCAATCAGATCCAGGAGTGCTTAGGCCCCATTACAGCCAAGTCCCAGGTCACCCTCTCTGGTCCATTCCCCTAATGCTGCCCACACCTTTGTAAACGCTCTCAATTGCCCTGTGAGACAGCGTACCATCTGTTTCCTGCCAGGGCCCGACGCATACAGGGTGTGGGCAAGGGTTTGTGAAATGCAGGGTCTTAGAGTTCACCCAGTTCACCTTCCCTTTTAAAAATGTTTCACTTTAGAGACAGGCTCTTGCTCTGTCACAGAGGCTGGTGTCCAGGGGTGCCATCATAGCTCACTGCAGCCTCCAACTCCTGGGCTCAAGCGATCCTCCCACCTCAGCCTCCATAGTAGCTGGGACTGCAGGTTCACACTACCATGTCTGGCTAATTTTTCTTTTGTTTTGTTTTGAGACAGTCTTGTTCTCTGTCACCCAGGCTGGAGTGCAGTGGCATGATCTGGGCTCACTGAAACCTCCTTCACCTGGGTTCAAGTGATTCTCCTGCCTCAGCCTCCACAGTAGCAGGGATTACAGGCATGCACCACCATGGCTGGCTAATTTTTGTATTTTGTGTAGAGACGGGTTTTCACCATGTTGGCCAGGTTGGTCTCAAACTCCTGACCTCAGGTGATCCTCCTGCTTCTGCCTCCCAAAATGCTGGGATTCCAAGTGTGAGCCACCACGCCTGGCCTTAACCACCATGCCCGGCCTTAATTTTTGTATTTATGTTTTGTAGAGATGGGGTGTTGCTATGTTGCCCAGGCTGGACTTGAACTCTTGGTCTCAAGCAATCCTCCCACCTCGGCCTCCCAAAGCACTAGGATTAGAGGTGTGAGCCATCTGCACCTGGCCTAACCATTGCTTTTTATGTAAGGGGAAACTGAGGCCCAGAGAGTGTGAGTGATCTGTCTTGGGTCACTCACCCCAGGGTTGGGGCTCATAGCTGTTCTGAAAAGGTTCTGGAGAGGCCAGGGCTTATCTCACAGAGGTTGGCAGCCTGTCTGCCCCATCCCCTGCCTGCCTCTCCCAGCCTGGTAGCTTCAAGATCATTTGAGCATTTCCTCCACAGCAGGAGCCGGATGCATCTGCTCCACCTAATAACCCCATTAGGGCCATTTGCACCTCTCAGGGGCAGGCGCCTGGGAACCCAGCCAGCGCCCTCCTCCCTGACCTCTTGCCCCAGAGGGCAGGGCCCCTCCACATGGCACAGGGTGTCTTCCGGTCTCCTCTCCATCCCTCACCCTCCCCTACCTGCCCATCAGCAACACATTGCTCCTCCTGCCTGGCACCCTTCCAAGGTCCACCTGGCCCAAGTGTCCTGCTCCTTCTTCAAAGCCACCCCTCCCCAAGATGCTGCCTCTGAAGCTCCAACAGTCCATCTCCCTGACAGTTGTGTCCTCTCCTTCTCTCGTATGTGGTAGTATCACTGTCTTCCCCCTAAAGCAGTGGGCACCTTGAGGGCAGAACCTTGCCGCGGGCATCTCTGGCCCCTGGGGTCCGAGCACTGAGCGGGAATCCTGATGATAAGTGTTGCATGAGCTGGGCACAGTGGCTCACGCCTGTAATCCCAGCAGGAGGATCACTTGAGACCAGGAGTTCGAGACCAGCCTGAGCAACATAGTGAGACCCCGTCGCTAAAGAAATTTAAAAAATTAGCCAGACATAGTGCCATGTACCTATAGTCCAAGCTACTTAGGAGGCTGAGGCGGAAGGATCGCTTGCACCCAGGAGTTTGAGGCTGCAATGAGCTATGATCACACCACTGTTCTTTCCAGCCTGGGCAACAGAGTGAGATTCCATGTCTACAAAAAAATTAAAAATTAGCCGGACGTGGTGTCATGTGCCTGTAGTCCCAGCTACTCTCAGGAGGCTGAGGTGGGAGGATCACCGGAGCCCAGGAATTAGAGACTGCAGTGAGCTATGATGGTGCCACTGCACTCCAGCCTGGGCTATAAGGTGAAACTCCATTTCAAAAAAAAAAAAAAAAGAAACTGCGCCTTTTGCCTTTTGTGTACTCTAGGAAAGGACTGGAGGAAGTGGAGGCAGAGGGCTTGAAGTCCTCCAGCCAACAGGGGGCAGGCTGGGGAGAGGGGCCACAGGGAGGATGCTTGGGTGGAAAGATAGCAAGTGCCAGCCATGCTGCCCCGTGGCCTTTGGTTACCAGGAGGCTGTCTGGGCAGGACAAGAGGAGCACCTATCTCAGGTCCACAGTCCGCCAACAAGCCCAGCTAATTTTTTGTCATTTTTGTAGAGATGGGGTTTCACCATGTTGCCCAGGCTGGTCTCGAACTCCTGGGCTCAAGTGATCCTCCTGCCTCAGCCTCCCAAAGTGCTGGGATTACAGGCCTGAGCCACCGCAACCGGCTTTGGGTCCACAGTCTTCACAGTTCCCAAGGCATGTTCACCTTGGTTTAGCCTTACTGTGGCCTTGTGGGTTCAGGGTTACCATCCTCATTTTACAGATAGGGACAGTAAGGCTGGCAGAGAGGCCTGTCCTGCCCCAGGTGACAATTTCTCTAGGATCCTGAGCCTTGCCCTGGTCCTACACGCCCTTGGGGACCTCCTCAGGAGGAGGAGCCAGGGGCAGTGGTGCAGAAAGACTACCCAGGTGTATGATGTCACGGACAGGCAGGGAGGTTTTGGGGGCATTTATTTCTGATAGAGACTGGCACAAGCTTTGGGCTAAGGACACCCGCCCCCACCCTCATCTAGAAACAATCTCTCTCACCAGACTTGATGGCTCACGCCTGTAATCCCAGCATTTTGGGAGGCCGAGTCGGGCGGATCACAAGGTCAAGAGACGGAGGCCATCCTGGCCAACATGGTGAAACCCCATCTCTACTAAAAATACAAAAATGAGCTGGGCATGGTGGCGTGTGCCTGTAGTCCCAGCTACTCAGGAGGCTGAAGCAGGAAAATCGCTTGAACCCGTGAGGCAGAGGTTGCAGTGAGCCAAGATCGCGCCAGCCTGGCGACAGAGTGAGACTCCGTCTCAAAAAAAAAAAAAAAAATAGTAAAGAAAAGAAACAATCTCTCTCAGGGTCCAGAAGCTTCAGGGCGTGTCCCAGCTCAGGCTCTGCAGCCTGGGCCAGGGAGGAGGTGGAGGGACACGTGGGCCCCTCTGGAACCCCTCAGGAAGCCCCCTCGGCAGGAGTGCTGAACGCGAGGTGCGTGGTGTATCTTCTCACACTCCCTGCCTCCTCTGGGCCTGATAGGGAAGTGCTCCTGCAGCTGTTGAAGCTTGGGAGGGGAGGAGAGAGGGAGAGATGATGGATGCTGAAGAAAGGCTCTGGCCGAGATCCCACAGCCATTGGCTAGCATGCTCTGACCCATCGCATAGGGGAAACTGAGACTCCACTGGCTGGGCAGAATTAACCAAAGGGACTGAGGCGATTCCTTCAAACCTCACAAATCTAGCTCATTGCTCCTGCTCCCCATCACTCTCCCCCTCCACCCTCCACACCTCAGGACCCCGCTCAAACATTATCTGCCTGTCTCCCCTGATCAAAACCCACTCCCGGCTCCCATAGGCTGCAGGATACAGCCCAGTTCCTCAGCTAGGCACCTGGGGCCCCTGGCCTGGCCTGGCTGCATGCACCCCTCCTGCCCCTCCTGCCCCCACACCTCCCCACCCCCTTTTTAGTCACTCCCTCTCCCCCTCCTCCCCAAATCCCAACAGGGCTAGGTCTCCCCTTTTCTCTAGGAAGCCTTGTGGACACTCTCTGTGCCCCAGGCTCAGGCACCTGAGCTCTGTATGAAATCCTGACACCCCCCCCTTTTTTTTTTTAAATGGAGTCTCACTCTGTCACCCAGGTTGGAGTGCAGTGATGCAATCTCAGCTCACTGCAACCTCCACCTCCAAGGTTCAAGCCATTCTCCTTCCTCAGCCTCCTGAGTAGCTGGGATTACAAGCACGTGCCACCACACCCGGCTAATTTTTTGTATTTTTAGTAGAGCTGGGGTTTCACTATGTTGGCCAGGCCGGTCTTGAACTCCTGACCTCAGGTGATCTGCGGGCCTCAGCCTCCCAAAGTGCTGGGATTACAGGCGTGAGCCACCGCACCCGGCCTGTATGGCGTCTTGAGGCAATGCTCAGAGCTTGGTGTGAAAGCAATTCACCTCCTCCTTGGGCGCCTCCCCGACTGGGGTGTCCGCAGGCGGCACCCACTTGCAATCCCAGATGCTGCCACCAGGGGGTGCACAGTGCCCGCTTGGAAGGTGGGCAGGGGCGGGCGGGGAGGAACTAGAGAGGGAGGGGTTAATGCCCAAGGGCCCCGCCCCTCCCAAGAGGCATGGGCGGTCTCAGCCCGGTCCACTCACCAGGTGTATATGAGCACAGCCAGGAGGACCGTGAGGAGGACGGCCAGGAGGATAGACAGGATGGCGATGATGACCACGGTGCCCGGGCTCTGGGGGCCGGGGACAGCCCGAAGTGCCTGGGCTGAGGGCAGTGATGGGGGCCGCACAGGCGGGCAGGAAAAGAAATTTTACCTGACCGGAAGGGGCCCTTGGGCAGAATCCAGACCAATCACCGCCCTGCCTCCCCTACTACCACCCAGGCCTGGGGGAAGGGGGTGGCTGGGGGAGGGGTGCCTGCAGATTGCAAGATGGTTGGCTGCCTCTGACTGAGTGGTGAGCTGACCTGTTCCCCCAGCCCATCCTCAGTCCTCAGGACCCCCAGGCCCCAGCCCCCTGCCCCTACTGTTTGACCGGAGCCTCTGGCCCCTACCTTGCTGCAGGCGAGTGTCGCTGGACCACTTTGTTTCAGCCACGGGTCCTTCGTCATTCATCACCAGGAACTTCACCCTGAATGGGAGACCCAGCATTGGACATGGGGGTCCCCCGGAGTCCTGAAACCATCAGACTTGGTGCCTGCAAGTCTGTCCCCTGGAGTCCCAGGCCCTGGCGAGAGCAGCCCGGGGAGGGGGCCGGAGGCTGGGGCGAAAGAGCCCAACAGAATGGGTTCAAATCTAGGTGTGACATTTCCAGTGGTGTGACGTCCCTCCCCCTCTCTGGGCTTCTGTGTCCTCATTTGGGAAAGGTAGAGGGCGAGTATTAGATGTCTCAGAACTGAACATGCGTGAATCAAGCATTTAGTGAGGGGAGACCCTGTCTGGATGGAGAGACGCCACCTGAGTGGTCCACACAGCCTGTGGGGACTGGGGCTTGAGGTGGGGAACCTTCTGCTCAAGAAAAGCAGGATAGGCCAGGCATGGTGGCTCACGTCTGTAATCCCAGCACTTTGGGAGGCCAAGGTGGGCCTTCAAGATCACTTGAAGCCAGGAGTTGAGACCCGCCTGGCCAACATGGTGAAACCTCATCTCTACTAAAATTACAAAAATTAGCCAGGCATGGTGGCAGGTACCTGGCCAACATGGCGAAACCCTGTCTCTACTAAAAATACAAAAAGTAGTCGGGTGTGGTGTCAGATGCCTGTAATTCCAGCTACTCGTTAGGCTGAGGCTGGAGAATCGCTTGAACCCGGGAGGCACAGGTTGCAGTGAGCCGAGATCACACCACTGTACTCCAGCCTGGGTCACAGAGCAAGACTCCATCTCAAAAAACAAAACAAAAAAAAAAAAAAAAAAAAAGAAGAAAAGGAAAAAAAAAAAAAAGAGAAGAAGGATAATTCATGTAATTCATGAAGGCCTCCCTAGCCCCTGCCTGCTGCTTCCTCTTCCCTTTGGCCAAGCAGGAGCAGGGGACCCAGGCATCCTGCTGGGGCCCTGGTGAGCCTCGTAGGAGCTGCCCCAGGCTCCGGCTTGGGTGCATGCGGGCAGGAGCCAGGGCCTGGCAGAGCTGCTCACCTGTAGGGGCCGGGTCCTGGTAGGGGATGGTTGCAGCCAATTTTTGTTGGTTGGCAGTGGGTATCATTGCCGACGCGGAGGACATGGAGCTGGCCTCTGGTCTGGTACAGCACCCGGTTGGCCCTCAGTGTGAGATAGTAGCCCCTCTGGGAGAAGTTGGCAGGAGCAGGGATGTCCTGGTTTGTCCGTGGGGCCGTGAAGCTCTGGGTGGCTAAGGGTGGCACCATGGTCAGACAGGTCACACAGCAGGATCCCACCCTCACCTTACCAAGCCTGACAGCCCTCCCCGGCCCCATCCCCTGCAGCACCTGCTCCCTGCATCTCCCTGCAACACACCCGCTACTGCCCTTAGGCCCGCAGGCCCATTTCACATAGGGAAAACCGAAGCCTGGCCCCAGCAGCACCCACCGTTGCTGAGGGCCACCACCAGCCAGATGGTATCCAAGTCAGAGATGTTGTGGCTGCTGAACTGGCCTAGAGGCTGCTCCAGCGTGAAGGTGGACAGGGTGAGCCTCCCCGCCAAGGTGTCGTTTGAGAGCTGGGGCACATAGCTGATGTGCTCTGGGGCAGCTGGAAGGGGAGGGCAGAGAGGAGAGGCCAAATGGGGCAACCAAGCCCCAACAGCTCTGGTCTCCCCCCGCCCAGATCCAGACTTAACATGGGAGCCCCAAGTTACGGGCACTTCCTGGGAGGTCAGGTCCGGTATGAACCAGGAAGCTTTCCCGGCAACTCTATGCCCCATGGGCATGGGTGGGAGGCCTGAGTCCAGCCCCTGGCCCCTCTCTTAGGAGCCTACTGGGGGTGGGCACTGTGGGAGGTCTAGGACAATGGTGGCATGGGAGGTCCCACCCTGGCGGTAGGCACAGTTCTCCCGGGCCGGGCCATGTTGGGATGGAACTGGAATTTGGGGGCAGCCTGACCCTAGGCTGAACTCTGTTCCTGACATGCCCAGTGACCTCCAACTTAAGTCCCTCCAGCTCCACCCACATGGTCTAGGTTGTTTTGCTTGATGAGAGGATGCGTGGCTTGGCAGGGGTCGGGGGGATGGCACAGGAAGGTCCTCTTGGCTGAGACCCCAGGCTGGGACACAGACTGCCCAGAGGGTCCGGGGGCTCTGGAGCCAGAGCTTGGTTCCGAGTGAGTCTAGAACGTCCTCTTCAACCTGCCTGGTTCTCTGCCGCCTCCCAACATGGCCCCAAGGCATCTTCGCCTTCAGGACCAGGTCCCCCTCTCAGACTCCCACCTCATCTCTCTGGGGAAGGGTGGGGGACGAGGACAAGCTTCCCAGGTCTGTACCCCAAAGGGGACTCAGGATTGGCAACTTGGCCTGTGTCCAGCCTTGCTGGTTGGAGAGCTCAGACCTCCCCAACCCCAAATACTGGTCTAGGAGAAGCAGAACGATGGAGTGGGTTTCTATGTGAGTCTCCAGCAGCTGCCCCTGTTCAGTTCAGTTCAGTTCAACTTGATTCATTTACGTTGAATTCAACTCAACTCCAAAGGTTCAGGCTAGAGTCTTCCTTGGGGAAGGATTGTCACGATTCCTTTCTTAGAGCTCTCAGTCCTATCTCTGAAGCCCAGGGCACTCTGTGTGCAGGAGGCACGTAATGTTTAGAAAGAGAAGTGGAGGCCGGGCGCGGTGGCTCACGTCTGTAATCCCAGCACTTTGGGAGACTAAGGCGGGCATATCACGAGGTCAGGAGTTCGAGACCAGACTGGCCAATATGGTGAAACCCTGTTTCTACTAAAAATACAAAAATTAGCCAGACATAGTGGCGCACGGCTGTAATCTCAGCTACTCAGGAGGCTGAGGCAGGAGAATTGCTTGAACCCGAGAGGCGGAGGTTGTGGTGAGCCGAGATCGCGCCACTGTACTCCAGCCTGGGTGACAGTGGGAGACTCTGTCTCGAAAAAAAAAAAAAAAAAGAAAGAAAGAAAAAAAAGAAAAAGAAAAAGAAAAAGAGAAGCGGAGCAGTCAGAGATTGGGGTTGGGGGCAGAGATTGTAGGACTGTATCTCTCAGCCTGTCCAGTTTTTCTTTTCTTTTCTTTTTTGAGACAGGGTCTTGCTGTTTGGCCCAGGCTGGAGTGCAGTGGCGCATTCATAGTTCACTGCATGGGCTCAAGCCATCCTCCCGCCTCAGTCTCCCAAGTAGCTGGGATTACAGGTGCACTCCACCACACCCAGCTAATTAAAAACAAAAATCTTAAAAAAAAAAATCTTTTTGAAAAAAGGGGTCTTGTTATGTTGCCCAGGCTGGGCTTACCAGAGCTTCCTGGGGACATGCATTGTCCTGGACATCTGGAAACCTCTCCTCAGGGAAAGGAAGGAGGCAGGAGCCATGTGTGAGAATTTGGAAACAAAGTGAGGTCTTGGGTTTGTCCTGCAGCCTGAGATGCAGCGGGTACCCCTGTGCCAATCCCCACCCTTACTCACCCACGTCTGTCCCAGGCTGGACACGGGTCAGTAGCAGCAACAGCGACACTAGCAGCTGGGACTGTCCCGCAGAGAGCCCTATGGCCGGGCCAAGCCTCCAGCTGTTGTCCATCTGTCTGTCCGTCCGTCTGCAGTGTCTGCAGCCCCAGAGGCTCCCCTGTCTGTAGTCTGTGCTGTGCTAGGGGAAGCTGTTCCTGGCATCTCCTGCTGCCCCTCCCAGCTACCCCCTCCTCTCAAACAACTGGTTGGACAGGTTTGGGGGCAGAATCTGCCAGCCCAGTGAATCTGGCATCGCCAGGGAGGGGTCTGAAGAGAACATACAGTTGCAAGACAAGCCTGGACTACCCCCCCCACCCACCAGGAGCGCCTGACCAGGGAGGGGCTGAGGAAGGAGGCGGGGCAGCCTCAGGATCCAGGCTGCCCCAGGGACAATCCCGCTAAGTCTACCCCGTGGATCTCCTTGTCCAAACAGTCCCCAATGTAGCGACTCTTCCTTTAGGACCTGAGGTGGGAGGATCACTCGAGCCTGGGAGGTTGAGGCTGCAGTGAGCCAAGATGGCACCACTGCACTCCAGCCTGGATGACAGAGTGGGACCCTGCCTCAAAAAAAAAAAAAAAAAAAAAAAAAAAAAAAAAAAAAAAAAAAACCAACCTAGGAGGAGTTGGTGTCTGTTTTTGGTTCATAGGGAGTGCCGGTCAAGCAAACTCCCTGGAGTCTCTTTTATTTATTATTATTTTTTTTTTGGGGGGGCAGGGTCTCACTCTTTCGCCCAGGCTGGAGTGCAGTGGTGCGATCATAGCTCACTGTGGCCTTGACCTCCCAGGCTCAAGGTTCTCAGATTCTCAGGCCCCACCCTGGGGAAGGATGGAGGATGAGGACAAGCTTCCCAGGTCCACATGACAGAGGGACTCAGGATTGGCAATTTGGCCTGTGTCCAGCTTTGCTGCTCAGAGAGCTCAGATCCCCACCCTCAATTCACTCCCTTGTGTGGAAGGGAGTGACCCTCACTTTCTAGCACACACAGGGAAGAGGGCTTGGCTAAGAGCACCCAGGAGGTCAGGGCAGGACTGGGGATTAGATCACACCCAAATGCAAGCTCTGTGGCACTCCTGGTATAGCCCTGCTGTCCCCCTGTAGCCTGGCCCTGGGAGGGGGGCTCCCAGACTTCACACCCCCTCACCTCTTTATCCAGGGGACCGGCTGTCTCTTCCTCCTTCATCCCCAGCCTCTGTCAGGGCAGGGTAGTTCCTCCTCGAGACAGAAAATTACCAGATGGAAGTCCAGGCATGGTGGCTCACGCCTGTAATCCCAGCATTTTGAGAGGCCGAGGTGGGTGGATCACCTGAGGTCAGGAGTTCGAGACCAGCCTGGCCAACACGGCGAAACCCCATCTCTACTAAAAATACAAAATTAGCTGGACGTGGTGGCTTGTTCTTGTAACTCCAGCTACGCAGGAGGCTGAGGCAGGAGAACCACTTGAACCCAGGAGGCAGAGGTTGCAATGAGCCGAGATCGCACCACTGCATTCCAGCCTGGGCAACAAGAGTGAAACTCCCCCTCAAAAAAAAAAAAAAAAAAAAAAAAGATGAGATGGGGCTCAGGGCAGGTGGAGCGAGACCTGTGACCACCTCTCCCCTGGATCGGGGTGCTAGCCCCCGTCAGCCTGACCTTCACGCTCTAATTATGCCAGATGTCTTCATTCTGGGAAACCCAACAGATTATCACCTGTGGGCCCCATTTTTGGATGAAGAGGGACCATTCCCTGAAGGGGACATACCTCAGTTCCCCGAGGGGATTCAGATGTTCACCTCAACTCACAAGAAAAACTTCTGGCCGGGCGCAGTGGTTCACACCTGTAATCCCAGCACTTTGGGTGGCCAAGGTGGGCGGATCATCTGAGGTCAGAAGTTTGAGACCAGCCTGACCAATGTGGAAAAACCCCGTCTCTACTAAAGATACAAAATTAGTCAGTCGTGGTGGCACGCGCCTGTAATTCCAGCTACTCGGGAGGTTGAGGCACAAGAATCGCTTGGACCCAGGATGGGGAGGCCGTAGTGAGCCGAGATCACACCACTGCACTCCAGCCTGGGTGACAAAGTGAGACTCCATCTTAAAAAAAAAAGAACAAGAACAAAAACAAAAACTAGGAAGAGTTGGTGTCTGTTTTTGGTTCGTAGAGAGTGCCTTCTAGCTGTGTCCTCATATGGTGGAAGGGTCAAGGAAGCTCTCTGGGGTCTCTTTTATTTATTATATTATTATTATTTTTTGAGACGGGTCTCACTCTGTTGCCCAGGCTGGAGTGCAGTGGTGTGATCATAGCTCACTGCAGCCTTGACCTCCCAGGATCAAGTGATCCTCCCACTTCAGCCTCCCTAGTAGCTGAGACTGCAGGTATAAGGCACCATGCCCAGCTAATTTTTTGTTTGTTTGTTTGTTTGTTTTGAGACAGAGTCTCACTGTCGTTCAGGCTGGAGTGCAATGGCACGATCTCGGCTCACTGCAACCTCCACCTCCTGGGTTCAAGTGATTCTCCTGCCTCAGCCTGCTGCGTAGCTGGGATTACTGGCGTGCACAACCACTCCTGGTTAATTTTTGTATTTTTGGTAGAGACGGGGTTCGCCATGTTGGCCAGGCTGGTCTTGAACCCCTGACCTCATGTGATCTGCCTGCCTCGGCCTCCCAAAGTGCTGAAATTACAGGCGTGAGCCACTGTGTCCGGCTGCCCAGCTAATTTTTTAACTTTTTGTAGAAAGAGAGTCTTACTGTGTTGCCCAGGCTGGTCTCAAATTCCTGGGCTCAAGTGATCCTCCCACCTCAGCCTCCTGAAGTTCTGGGATTCCAGGTGTGAGCCACCATGTCCGGCCTGTATAATACAATTTTTCCCTCTCTCACTCCCTTTCAAAAGGCAGTTGAAAGCAGACATCAGAATGTGGGAAGGGCTTGTTTCCCCTTTTTGAAAACACGTTCTTGCTCATCGACTCATCCTCTCCTTGGGTCCCCAGAGATGGGCAGGGCAGGTGTTATGACTAATCTCATTATATGGATGAGAAGAAACCTGGGGCCCGGCAGGGAAAGAAACTTCCTGCAGTCCCAGGGCAGGTCAGCGGCAGGGCTGGGACCCAACCCCAGGTCTCCTGTACCCAGGCAGGACTCCCTCTTTGCCTTTTTTTTTTAAATTTAATTAATTAATTTGAGTTGGAGTCTCGGTCTGTCACCCAGGCTGGAGTGCAGTGGCACAATCTCAGCTCACTGCAGCTTCTGCCTCTGGGGTTCCAGTGATTCTCCTGTCTCAACCTCCCAGGTAGCTGAGATTACGGGCACACGCCACCACGCCTGGCCAACTTTAGTATTTTTAGTAAAGACAGGGTTTCACCATGTTGGCCAGGCTGGTCTCAAACTCCTGACTTCAGGTGATCCACCTGCCTCGGCCTCCCAAAGTGCTGGGATTACAGGTGTGAGCCACTGCACCCAGCCTGTCACCTTTTTTTTTTTTTTTTTGAGACTGAGTCTCCCTTTGTCACCCAGGCTGCCATGCAGTGGTGCCATCATAGCTCACTGCAATCTGTCTCCTGGGCTCAAACAATGATCCCGCCTCAGCCTCCTGAATAGCAGAGACGACAGGTGTGCACCACCATGCCTGGCTCATTTTTAAATTTTTTGTAGAGATGTGGTCTCACTATGTTGCCCAGGCTGGTCTCGAACTCCTGGGCTCAAGTGATCCTCCCACCTTGGCTTCCCAAAATGCTGGGATTACAGGTGTGAGCCACTGCACCCGCCCTTGAATGGATTTTAAAAACCCACCTAGGCTGGGCGTGGTGGTGCATGTTTGTAGTTCCAGTACTTTGAGAGGCTGAGGCCGGAGGATCATATGAGGCCAGGAGTTTAAGGTTGCAGTGAACCATGATCATACCACTGCACTCCAGCCTAGGCGACGGAGTGAGACCCTGTCTCTAAACTAATAATAATTTTTGAAAGTGTTAAAATCCACCTAGAATTTATTTTTGGTGTGATGTGTGATTCAAATTATTTTTTTCTCAAGTTAGCCCGTTATTCAAACACTAAAATATTGAAAAATGCATCCTAAGCCGGGTGCAGTGGCTCACACCAGCACTTTGGGAGGCCAACGCAGGCGGATCACCCGAGGTTGGGAGTTCAAGACCAGCCTGACCAACATGGAGAATAATAATAAGCCGAGATCGCACCATTGTACTCCAGCCTGGGCAGCGAGAGTGAAACTCCATCTCAAAAAGAAAGAGAGAAAGAGAGAGAGAGAGATAAAGGAAGGGAGGAAAGAAAAAGAAAGAAAGGAAAGAAAGAAAGAAAGAAAGAAAGAAAGAAAGAAAGATGTATCCTTTCCCTATTTGAACTGAAATGCCTTTTTTTTTTTTTTTTTTTTTTTTTTTTGAGACGGAGTCAGGCTGGAGTGCAGTGGTGCAATTTCGGCTCGTTGTAGCCTCCGCCTCCCAGGTTCAAGTGATTCTCCTGCCTCAGCCTCCCAAGTAGCTGGGATTACAGGCGCACACCACCAACCCACATAATTTTTGTTTTTTTAGTACAGATGAGTTTTCACCATGTTGGCCAGGCTGGTCTCAAAGTCCTGACCTCATATGATCTGCCCACCTCGGCCTCCCAAGGTGCTGGGGTGACAGGCATGAGCCACCACGCCTGGCCTGAAATGCCGTTTTTATCATACGCTGCAGACTAATGCATCCTCAGTGTCACCTCCCAGCTTGATGTGGGACAAGCCACCAAGGGTGTCCTCACCATGGCCCTGCTCAGGCCACCAGTTGGCTATGTTTGCCCCTGCCACCCCAGGCACACAGGAGTTCAGGAGTCCTCTCTGGCCTTGCCTTTATCCTGGGGCAGCTGCAGGTGACAACCTCTGGAAGAGGTGGTAAGAGGAGCCAGGACACAGGCCAGTCTGAGGGACACACTCCTCCCACAGTCCTGGAGAGGGGCCTGCATGTTTCTGCACCTGGAGGGCCGGGCCAGGGTGGGGAAGACTGGGGATGGGGGGGAGGCTGGACCCTGCAGGTTCTTGGACCTGTGGTCAACCGGGAAGCCAAGTCCCTGATCTGCAGTGAGGCTGCGGCTGCCAGCCCCTTGAATAGGCACAGTAAGCACCTCCCAGCAATGCCACTGTGCAGAAGAGATGCCAACAGTGACAAGGGGGGCCAGGATGGTCCCCAAACCAGACACCCCATCTTCACCCTCTGCCATTTTCCTTCTCCAGGTCAGCCCTGGGGCCCTGGCACAAGCTCAGGAGGGGAGAGAGGCCATGCAAAGTGATCACACTGGACCCTCTGCCCTGAGAGCCTGGGCACTGGGAACCAGATGTACTGTGATTTAGAAGAATGCGGCCGGGTGCGGTGGCTCACAGCTGTAATCCGAGCACTTTGGGAGGTTGAGGCAAGAGGATCGCTTGAGCTCAGGAGTTCGAGACCAGCCTAGGCAATATGGTTAGACCCATCTCTACTAAAAATACAAAAAATTAGCTGCGCATGGTGGTGCACGCCTGTAGTCCCAGTTACTCATGAGGCTGAGGGTTGAGGCATGAGAATTGCTTGAGCTCAGGGTGGTTGGGGGAGGTTGGGGGGATGGAGGGTAGAACTGAGCTGGGATAGTGCACCACTGCATCCAGTCTGGGTGACAGAGTGAGACCCTGTCTCAAAAAAAAAAAAAAATGCATCTTATACCTTGAGGGTCATGGAGTCTTTCACGCCTTCGTGTGTGTGTGTGTGTGTGTGTGTGTGTGTGTGTGTGTGTTCAGGTCAACTTCTGGAATTTCTGTTTCATTTCTTGGATCAATCTGTCTGTTCAGGTGTCAGTACTAGACTATTTTAATCCCTGTATGTATGTATGCATGTATGTATGTATGTATTTATTTTGAGACGGAGTTTTGCTCTTGTTGCCCAGGCTAGAGTGCAATGGTGCGGTCTCGGCTCACTGCAACCTCCACCTCCTGGGTTCAAGCGATTCATTCTCCTGCCTCAGCCTCCCAAGTAGCTAGGATTACAGGTGCCCACCACCACGCCTGGTTAATTTTTGTGTTTTTAGTAGAGATGGGGTTTCACCATTTTGGCCAGGCTGGTTGAGAACTCCTGACCTCAAGTCATCCGCCCGTCTCTGCCTCCCAAAGTGCTGGGATTACAGGCGTGAGCCACTGCACCCAGCCAATCGCTGTATTTTTATAATCTGCTTTGTTCTGTAAATGATCCCTCTCGAGTGTAACTCACTAGTGGGCTGTGTCCTTCTTTGGTGAATGTCTCTTTTTCCCATTAAACTGTAACTCTCTGAGGGCGGGGACTGGATCTGTTTATCTGTTTAGTTCTCCCACTGAATCCTCACTGTTAACCTAGGGGTCTGGCACAATAATTGTGCAGCCTCGAACTCCTAGGCTCAAGTCATCCTCCTACCTCAGCTTCCTTAGTACCTGGGATTACAGGCACATGTCACCATGCCCATCTAATTTTTAAATTTTTTACTTTTTCTTTTCTTTTTTTTTTGAGATGGAGTCTAGCTTTGCTGTCCAGGCTGGACTGCAATGGCATGATCCTAGCTCACTACAACCACCGCCTCCTGGGTTCAAGCGATTCTCCTGCCTCAGCCTCCCAAGTAGCTAGGATTACAGGTGCCCACCACCATGCCCGGCTAATTTTTGTATTTTTAGTAGAGATGGGGTTTCACCATGTTGGCCAGGCTGGTCTCAAACTCCTGACCTCAAATGATCCATCCCCCTCGGCCTCCCAAAGTGCTGGGATTACAGGCATGAGCCACTGCGCCCAGCCAAGTTTTAAATTTTTTCTGGAGATGGGGTGCTCGCTATGTTGCCCAGGCTGGTCTCAAACTCTAGGCCTCAAGTCCTCCTGCCCCGACCTCCCAAAGTGCTGAGATTACAGGCATGAGCCACTGTGCTCAGCCCCAACAATTATTTTTGACAGATAATAGGGATGTCTCCTTGCTCTCTGTGTCTGGCCAAGTAGCCCCAGGTGACACTCTTTTTTTTTTGTTTGTTTTTGAGATGGAGTCGTGCTCTGTTGCCCAGCCTGGAGTCCAATGCCGTGGTCTCGGCTCACTGCAATCTCCGCCTCCTGGGTTTAAGTGATTCTCCTGCCTCAGCCTCCAGAGGAGCTGGGACTACAGGTATGTGCCACCACACCTGGCTAATGTTCTTATTTTTAGTAGAGACGGGATTTCGCCATGTTGGCCAGGCTGGTCTCGAACTCCAGACCTCATGATCCACCCGCCTTGGCCTCCTAAAGTGCTGGGATTACAGGTGTGAACCACCATGCCCGGCCGTGACACTCGTTTTATAGCATCAGGCTGGTGACCAGAATGTCATGGCTTCTGGGCAGAGGCCAGCTTCCATGCCGTGTCCTGTCTTCCTAGTGCAGATGTCCCCAGCTGCAGTGAGTACCAGTGTGAGGGAATGGGCTCCAGACTCCCAGAGGGGCCACAGGGATGGCCACGCCAAGCTCTGGGGAGTAGCCGATTCCCCAGCACCTGCCTGCCCATGCACCTTTGGGGTGACTCATGAGACAGGGTGGGGCTCCCACCTCCCCTCTCCCAAAAGGCAATCAGCTATAAAGGCTCTCAGAGGCCCACCCAGCCCCAGGTCATCAAACAAGCCCCAGTTCCATGGCAACCATTATACCCATTCATCAAGGAGATGAAGAAGGAGGTGCTTCCTGGTTCACCCCACCCTCAGCAGAGACAGACCCCAGATCTGGGCCCAGGACTTTGTGCAGGGAGGGGAAATGCAGGTGACTCAGCCCCTATTCCTCCATCAAACCAGCCTTGAAGATGGGTTAAATCAGAGCTTTTCATTCCACAAAAGAGAAATTTTAATGGGGTCAGAACATTGATCTTCTAATATTTGAAAGCCTGTTAACTAGGAGAGAGAGAGCAAACTATTTTGTTGTAGGAGGACCCACCCAGCTCTGACGGTTTAAAGCGTCATGAATGCGAATTTGAACTCCAGAAAAGCAGAGCTTCCTAACAATGGGACTTCCACAGCAATGGGATCTGCTTCCTCTTTCAGTTTGTGCCTTTTCTATGAGCGAGAGACTCCTAGGAAAGCAGCAGCCCATTAGGAAAACGTGTGGGAACTCACTCGCAGGTTCTTTATTTTTTTTGAGATGGAGTTTTGCTCTTGTTGCCCAGGCTGGAGCACAATGGTGCCATCTTGGCTCCCTGCAACCTGCGCACCATGAGTTCAAGTGATTCTCCAGCGCCCTCTCCTGAGTAGCTGCGATTACAGGCATCCACCACCATGCCTGGCTAATTTTTTGTATTTTTAGTAGAGATGGGGTTTCACCATGTTGTCCAGGCTGGTCTCAAACTCCTGACCTCAAGTGATCCACCCACTTTGGCCTCCCAAAGTGCTGGGATTACAGGCATGAGCCACTGAGCCCAGCCGGGAACCCACAGGTTTTTTGGATGGTCTCTGAATGTCATGTAACTCTTTTATTTTTTATCAAAAAAAATTTTTTTGACACAGTATCTTGCTGTGTTGCCCAGACTGGAGTGCAGTGGCAAGATCACGGCTCACTGCAGCTTCTAACTCCTGGGCTCAAGTGATCTTCCTGTCACATGAGTCTCCCAAGTAGTTGGAACACAGGTGCCAGCCACCACACCTGGCTAATTTGGTTTGGTTTTGTTTTTTTAGAGATGGGCTCTTGCTATGTTGCCTATACTGGTCTCGAACTGCTGGCCTCAGGCAATCTTCCTCCCTTGGCCACCCAAAGTGCTGGGATTACAAGCATGAGCCACTGTGCACAGCTGAAATTTTTTGACTTAGTCTTTTTGTACATGTGATATTTTATTCATAGAATCCATAAATGGAAGGGAAATTTCTGAGTTCAGAGCAATACATATGATACAAAACTTGATATATAGACTAGAGTTTCTTAGCCGAACTGGAGGGGCTGGCTTAGGTAATCCATGGATTCCCTGAAACTGGGGACACCATTGGAAATATGTGTGAGCTCAGGGGCAGTTTCCTATGATTTTTAGGCCTCAAAATGTCTCTTGGACTCAAAATTGCCTTAGGGCAGAGGACGTGTGTACCCCCAGTATAGAATCTCGGACAGTGAATGTGAGTAAACATTCGGCAGAAAAGCTCTGCCAAACTGAGTGCTCTGATGTGACTTTTTCATCAAGTCAGTATTCCTGGGATCTCTTGTACGTGATAATCTCACTCTTGTACATGATAATCTCACTCTTGTACATGATACTCTCACTCTTATAAGGTTTCATCGTTTCTGCTTACCCTAGTTTTCTTTCCCACTCTGTTCCCTCTCCCACCAGACTGGACTCTGAAATGGGCATGTACAGAGACGAAGAGACCCCAACATGCTTCAGGCTTTGAGTGGAGAGGACACAGCCTCTGCTGGGACAGGGAATAGAGGGATGTGGAGTCCCTGAAGATGCTTTTGGACAATGGTCTGAGGTTGGGACAGTGGCAGGAGATACCATTCACCCAGGATCTCCAGGACAAGAGATCAGCCTGGCAGTTACATGTGTTTTTTTTCAAACTGGTTGCCAGGTTGGCATGAACGATGACATCAGAGATTCCGACCTTCCTGATTGGAGGGACCGGACTCCGTGGTGCCTGGAGATCAGTTGGACAACAGTATCTTCTCAGAGCTGTTCTCTACTCCTGACTTCTCCTAGGCTTGAGAATTGATAACATACTCTTCTGGATCCTAGAAGTGTCCAGAAGAAGGCCATGGACAGAACGGAGACTAGGTTCCGTAAGAGGGGACAGATTACGGGAAAGATCACGACCAGCCGTCAACCGCACCCCCAGAATGAGCAGAGTCCCCAGCGGAGCACCTCGGGGTACCCCCTCCAGGAGGTGGTGGATGATGAAATGTTGGGACCATCAGGTGAGGGGACTGGTGGAAGAAGAGGTGGGATAGGATTGACTAAGACGAAGGAAGGGGGCCGGGTGCGGTGGCTCACGCCTGTAACCCCAGCACTTTGGGAGGCCGAGGCGGGCGGATCACCTGAGGTCAGGAGATCAAGGCCAGCCTGGCCAATATGGTGAAACCCCATCTCTACTAAAAGTATAAAAATTAGCCAAGTTGTAGTGGTGCACACCTGTAATCCCAGCTACTCAGGAGGCTGAAACAGGAGAATCACTTGAGACTGGGAGGAAGAGGTTGCAGTGAGCTGAGAGCACGCTACTGCACTCCAAAAAAAGAAAAAAAAGAAAAGAAGGGTCAGTGGTCAGGAAGGAGAACCTGAGGAGGGTGTGTGGGAAGAATGGAGAAATTCAGGCTGGGTGCAGTGGCTCACACCTGTAAGCCCAGAACTTTGGGAGGCCAAGGCAGGCGGATCACTTGAGGCCAGGAGTTTGAGACCAGCCTGGCCAACATGGTGAAACCCTGTCTCTACTAAAAGTACAAAATTGAGCTGGGCATTATGGCAGGCACCTGTAATCCCAGCTACCTGAGAGGCTGAGGCAGAAGAATAAATGGAATCCAGGAGATGGATGTTGCAGTGAGCTGAGATTGCACCACTACACTCCAGCCTGGGTGACAAAGCAAGATTCTGTGTCAAAACAAAACAAAACAAAAAAGGAGGGACTCAGAGAGCCAGGGACCAGGGAAGGACATGAAGCAGTGTTCGGAGGACAGAGAGAGAGAAGAATGGGGAGGGGAAGGAGCGGCACATGGGGTTGAGCAGAGGAGAAAATCAGAAAGATGGCTTAGAGAAGCCAGCAGTCTGCAAGTCTGGGGAGGATGGAGAGTGGTTTGGGGTTTGGGGTCGGGGTCTAAGGTGATCAGATGCAGAAGCATTACACGGTGGCCTGGTTTCTTTACTCAGCCCCTGGGGTAGATCCCAGCCCCCCATGTAGGTCCCTTGGCTGGAAAAGGAAGAGGGAGTGGTCAGATGAATCTGAGGAGGAGCCGGAGAAGGAGCTCGCCCCTGAGCCTGAGGAGACCTGGGTAGTGGAGATGCTGTGTGGGCTCAAGATGAAGCTGAAGCAACAGCGAGTGTCACCCATCCTCCCTGAGCACCACAAGGACTTCAACAGTCAGCTTGGTAGGAGGATACCCCAGAGAGCACCTCCAATCCTGTTCTTTCTAAAAAGAGGAAACTTCCAATAACCACACTTTTCCAATGGGAAAGATACGCCCCCAGTGGCTGAGCTCTCCACGCAGGAGGACTCAGAAGTGATCACTCATGAGGGACACTTAGGAGACGATAGAAGACTAGGCTAGACTTGATAAAGGTTGGCGCTTGGGATGAGAAAGCTTGGTTTCGGGCCAGGTGCAGTGGCTCATGCCTGAGATGCTAGCACGTTGGGAGGCTGAGGCAAGAGGATTGCTTGAACTCAGGACTTTGAGGCTGCAGTGAGCTATGACTGCACCACTGCACTCCAGCCTGGGTGACAGAGCAAAACCCTGTGTCAAAAGAAAAACGAAGGCCAGGTGTGGTAGCTCATGCCTGTAATCCCATTACTTTGGGAGGCTGAGATGGGTGGATCACTTGAGGTCAGTTGTTCGAGACCAACCAGACCAATATAGCGAAACCTCATTTATACTAACAATACAAAAATTAGCCAGGCATGCCTGTTATCCCAGCTACTCAGGAGGCTGAGACAGGATAATCGCTTGAACCCAGGTGGAAGAGGTTGCTTTGAGCCAAGATAGCGCCACTGCATTCCATTCTGGGTGAGAGAGTGAGACGCTGTCTCAAAAAAAAAAAAAAAAAAAAAAAAAAAAGAAGGAAGGAAGGGCCCAGAAGTCAGGAAGGAGCACATGAGGAGGGTGTGTGGGAAGAATGGAGGTACTGAGGCAGGGTGCAGTGGCTCACACCTGTAATCCCAGCACTTTGGGAGGCCAGGCAGGCAGATCACTTGAGGCCAGGAGTTGGAGACCAGCCTGGCCAACATGGTGAAACCCTGTCTCTTCTAGAAGCACAAAAATGAGCTGGGCGTTCTGGTGGGCACCTGTAATCCCAGCTACTTGGGAGGCTTAGGCAGGAGAATCACTGGAACCCGGGAGGCAGAGGTTGCAGTGAGCCAAGATCGCACCACTACACTCCAGCCTAGGCCACAAAGCAAGACTGTTTCTCAACAACAACAACAACAACAACAAAAAAAAAAAAAAAAAGGGACTCAGAGAGCCAGGGACCAGGGAAGGATATGAGGAAGTGTTCTGAGGACAGAAAAACGGGAGAATGGGGAGGAGAAGGAGCGGCACATGCAGCTCAGCAGAGGAGACAGACAGAAGGAAAGATGGCTTGGAGAAGCCAGCAGTCTGCGAGGCTGGGGAGGATGGAGAGTGGTTTGGGGTTTTGGGTCGGGCTCTAGTGTGATCAACTGCAGAAGCATTACACCGTGGCCTGGTTTCTTTACTCAGCCCCTGGGGTAGATCCCAGCCCCCCGCATAGGTCCTTTTGCTGGAAAAGGAAGATGGAGTGGTGGGACGAATCTGAGGAGTCGTTGGAGGAGGAGCCACGGAAGGTGCTCGCCCCTGAGCCTGAGGAGATCTGGGTGGCGGAGATGCTGTGTGGCCTCAAGATGAAGCTGAAGCGACGGCGAGTGTCGCTCGTGCTCCCTGAGCACCACGAGGCCTTCAACAGGCTGCTTGGTAGGAGGACACCCCAGAGAGCACCTCCAATCCTGTTCTTTCCAAAAACAGGAAACTTCCAATAACCACACTTTTCCAATGGGAAAAATAGGCCCCAGTGGGTGAGCTCTCCATGTGGGAGGAATGTGAAGTGATCACTCATGAGGGACACTTAGGAGATGATAAAGGATTAGGTCAACTTGATAAAGGTCAGCGCTTGGGATAAGAAAGCTTGGTTTCGGGCCAGGCGCAGTGGCTCCCGCCTGAGATCCCAGCACGTTGGGAGGCTGAGGCAAGAGGATTGCTTGAACTCAGGACTTTGAGGCTGCAGTGAGCTATGACTACACCACTGCACTCCAGCCTGGGTGACAGAGCAAAACCCTGTCTCAAAAGAAAAACCAAGGCTGGGCACAGTAGCTCATGCATGTAATCCCAGCTACTCGGGAGGCTGAGACAGGAGAATCGCTTAAACCCGGGAGGCAGAGGTTGCAGTGAGCCAAGATCAGGCCACTGCATTCCAGCCTGGCCCACAGAGCAAGACTCTGTCTCAAAATAAATTAATAAATAAATAAAAATAAAAATCCAATAAAGAAAAACAAAATCAATAAACAAAGAAAGTGGTTTCAGCTGTGCCCTCTGAAACTTAATGTCTCTTACTGACTTTTCTAAACCTAAGTGTCTCCATCCATAGTGGGGGATACCAAGGCCATGGTCACACCCTGATGTGACTGTCTCATGAGGAAATGATGGGAATTCCTTTATGACTCTGCAGTGGTCCCTCCGTGTCTGCTGGAGGGGGTCCTGGCTGATTCCCAGCTCTACATCCTGTAGATTCTCACACCCAGGGCCTCCTTCGGCCTCTTCTCAGGGGAGTCTCAGAGCGGGAGCCTCTCTCCCTTGCCCAGTGAAAGTCATTCTCCCCTCTCCCATCCACCTCACCCGCGGCCACAATCCTGAGACTTCCCCCCGGGAGGCACACTTCTCCTCCCTGCCCTGCTGCTCCCACGGAAACCCTGTCCTGCTTCTCACACTGACATCTGCTCTCTAATCACAGAGGATCCTGTCATTAAAAGATTCTTGGCCTGGGACAAAGATCTGAGGGTGTCGGACAAGGTAAGGTTGTTCTCCATGTAACTGTTCCTGTTCCAACGCATGGCTGGGGGGAGGGCGCAGCTTCCAAACCCACAGTTCTCCCTCCACCACCTCCCACCAGATGCTCCTACAGTCTTTTTTTTTTTTTTTTGTGTGTGTGTGTGTGTGTGTGTGTGTGTGAGACAGAGTCTTGCTCTGTTGCCCAGGCTGGAGGGCAGTGTCTCGATCTTGACTCACTGCAGCCGATGCGTCCTGGGTTCAAGCGATTCTCCTGCCTCAGCCTCCAAGCAGCTGGGATTACAGACATGAACCACCACGCCTGGCTAATTTTTGTGTTTTTAGTAGAAACGGGGTTTTGCCATGTTGGCCAGGTTGGTCCTGAACACCTGACCTCAGGCGATCCACCCGCCTTGGCCTCCCAAAGTGCTGAGATTATAGACGTCAGCCACTGTGCCCGACCAGCTCCCATGGTCTTGAGTCTTGGCACCCACAAATTTTTTTTTTGTGAGACAGAGTCTAGCTCTGCTCCCCAGGATGGAGTGCAGTGGCATGATCATAGCTCATTGCAGCCTCTAATTCCTGGGCTCAAGCAATCTTCTTTCCTCAGCCTCCTGAGGAGCTGGGACTAGGCACATGCCACCATGCTCAACTAATTTTTGAAATGTTTGTAGAAACAGGGTCTCACTATGTTGCCCAGGTTGTTCTCGAACTGTTGGGCTCACATGATCCTCCTGTCTCCACCTCTCAAAAAGTACTGGGATCACAGGCTTGAGCCGCCACTCCCGGCTATTCTTGGTCTTTTTATGATTTGTCAGCATCTCCCTCAGGATTCTGCTGGTCTCTTGCAGAGTGAATGAGTGGCCCCTGCCTCTCCTATGGGTCCTTTGGGATCTGAGCTCTGGGCCACAGTCTGGCCGCAGCCCCGAAGATCCTGGCCCCTCTACTCTCAGCTCTTCGGGACAGTTCTCTGCCTGGCACACAAAAGACCCTCCTGACACCAGCCGACCTAGACACACCCCCTCCAAAGATCCCATCGGAGCCCACCATCCTGGGAGCATCACCCAAAACCCTTCCTCTGGCTTCTCGGATTTGCATCCGACCTTCGAATACCCCTCCATCCCGCAATTTCCAAATGAGTAGTCACCCCAACACTGAGGTCCCTTCTCTGATGGGCAGCCCCTCCCCAGACCCTCATTCCCCCTCTCCACAATCTTCCTCTTCCAAGATGTGACCTCTCCCTCTCTGTGTTCCTTTCTCTCCATCAGTATCTCCTGGCTATGGTCATAGCGTATTTCAGCCGGGCCGGCTTCCCCTCCTGGCAATACCAACGCATTCATTTCTTCCTGGCTCTGTGAGTGGTTTGCTGCCTCCTATCCGTCAATATCCAATGCCCTGGGACAGCGGGGGAAGTGGGATTCCAGCCTTTCATTTATTCTTTCACCTATTTGTCCTCTTTACTCTGTGTACAAAAAAGAGAGGATTATACTATCATAGACTGTTGTTTCTAAACAGAAACTCAGGCTGGGCACAGTGGAATACGCCTGTAATCCCAGCACTTTGGGAGGCCGAGGCAGGCGGATCACCTGAGGTCAGCAGTTCGAGACCAGCCTGGCCAACATGGCCAAATCCCGTCTCTACTAAAAATAGAAAAATTAGCTGGGCGTGGTGGTGTGCATCTGTAATCCCAGCTACTCGGGAGGCTGAGGCAAGAGAACCCTTTGAACCCAGGAGGTGGAGGTTGCAGTAAGCTAAGGTCGAGCCACTGTACTCCAGCCTGGGTGACAGAGTGAGACTTTTTCTCAAAAAAAAAAAAAAAAAAAAAAAAAAAGCCAAAAAAACAAACTCCAATGCCAGTGTACAAATAAAAGAATAAAACAAAAGGAACCATAAACCGCTCCTAAGGGGAAAAGAAAAGGAGTGGAGGAGCGGACATGCCGCTTCCTCCAGCAAGCAGACGTTTCTGGTTCTTCTCTCTCTCTCCTTCCCACATCAACCACAAACGCCATCGACCTCCTCTGGGTTCCCATGACAGAGGCCACAGTTCAGGTCCCCCTCGCATCACTCGAATTTACTGTCAAATGCTCCCCGCTGGGGTCTCCTGGAGTCTCTCCCCAAGCCAGGGGGCTTCCTAGTGCAGCCTGAACATCTTTCCAAAGCACGACAACCTCACTGCCCACCTGAACAACTTCCTTAGCTGATGCCTTTCTCTATCGAGGCCAGGGTCCACAGTGTCAATTCTACCCTCTCTACAATCTCTACAAGCACACTGGCTCGCCATCTTGGTATTTCCTGGCTCGGCTTCACTGCTCCTTCCAAATGCCCTCCACTCGACTTTGTGTTTGTGTTTTCTGTCTGGGTGTCCCGCACACATGTGGCTCTGAAGGGAAGGACCCATTCCTTGAAATCAGTTCACCCCACAGCCTCTGTGATGCCTTCCCTCATCTTCCAACTTCTGCATGCCCGTAGCTCTCTAGTTACATCCTGGACACTGGGATTAGGTCATCTGCCTTGATTACTCCCAGTCCCATTAGACTAGATGCCTGTAGAAGGCAGGGTCCTGGCAAAATATCAATGTATTCAATTTCTTTTATTTTTTTGAGACAGACTTGCCCTGTCCCCCAAGCTGGAGTGCAGTGGTGAGATCATAGCTCACCGCAGCCTCCATATCCTGGGCTCAAGCGATCCTCCCACCTCAGCTTCATTAGCTCCGACTACAGGGCTGTGCCACCACACCTGGACAGTTTGTTTGTTTGTTTGTTTATTGAGACAGAGTCTTGTTCTGCCTCTCAGGCTGGAATGGAGTGGCCCAATCTCAACTCACTGCAACCTCCGCCTCCTGGGTTCACACAATTCTTATGCTTCAGCCTCCTGAGTAGCTAGGCCTAACAGGTGTGCCACCGCACCAGGCTCATTTTTGTATTTTTAGTAGAGATGGGGTTTCTCCGTGTTGACCAGGCTGGTCTCCAACTCCTGGTCTCAAGCGATCCACCTGCTTCAGCCTTCTAAAGTGCTGGGATTACAGGCATGAGCCACCGCGTCTGGCATATTTCTTACATTTTTAATAGAGACGAGGGTCTTGCTATGTTGCCCAGGCCCGTCTCAAACTCCTGGCCTCAAGTGATCCTCCTGCTTTGGCCTCCCAGTGTGCTGGGATTCCAGGCGTAAGCCACCACTCTCGGCCACCAGTTGGGTTTTTGTCTCCATCCTGAAGGAGTGGGAGACGCCCTTGATCAGGTCTCTGTCCAGCAGAGCCCTCCTGAGGAAGGCATGGCTCTCTGCAGGGTGGGTGCCAGTCCTGAGCTAGGGACGGTCCCTTACCTTCCTCTCTGGGAAGCTGACCTCAGCCGGAGGCCTCTCCTGGTGGTGCCCCTGAGCAGCAACCTGATTTCTGTCCTCAGCTACCTGGCCAATGACATGGAGGAGGACGACGAGGACTCCAAACAAAACATCTTCCACTTCCTGTATAGGAAGAACCGCTCTCGCATACCCTTGCTCCGTAAGCCTTGGTTCCAGTTAGGCCATTCCATGAACCCGAGGGCCAGGAAGAACCGCTCTCGCATACCCTTGCTCCGTAAGCGTCGGTTCCAGTTATACCGTTCCACGAACCCGAGGGCCAGGAAGAACCGCTCTCGCATACCCTTGCTCCGTAAGCGTCGGTTCCAGTTATACCGTTCCATGAACTCGAGGGCCAGGAAGAACCGCTCTCAGATAGTCCTGTTCCAGAAACGACGGTTCCACTTCTTCTGTTCCATGAGCTGCAGGGCTTGGGTTTCCCCAGAGGAGTTGGAGGAGGTGAGTGGGGCCTGGGGAGGTGGAGGAGGTGGGGAGGAATTGGGTGGGCTGGAGGCTGGATGAGGGGAGAGAGGGGTATCCTGGCGAGTCCCCGTCTTCTCAAAGGGCGTTTGTTTTTCCAGATCCAGGCTTATGACCCAGAGCACTGGGTGTGGGCGCGAGATCGCGCTCACCTTTCCTAGAGCTCCAGGGACCGGGGAGGCCTGAGGTCATCGGCCTGAGAGAAGGTACATCTGCATCCTCTGGGGTAAAGGCAGAATATTGGGGTCTATTTCGGAAATCCGAAGAACCCAATTGCTTGATCTGGCTTCAAGCCTGGGCAACGTGGCGAGATCCCCTCTCCACAAAAATACAAAAACTAGCCAGGCGATGTGGGACGCATCTCTACTCCCAACTACTCAGGAGGCTGAGGCGGGAGGATCGCTGGAGCCTGGAAGGTCGGGGCCGCACGGAGCCCTGATCCTGCCACTGCACTCCAGTCTGGGCGACAGAGTGAGACCCTGCCTCAAAAATAATCATAAAAACTGAGTTTGGGGAGGTTCATTATGATTGACGCACTTGAGTTACTGATTTGGGTCGAGGGTTCAGTGAAGCTTTGGTTTACATCTTGTGCAGCTAACCACGTTGAGCACAGAGCATGAGACTTCATCATGAGGAGGTAGGATTAAGGATTAGGCTTCTGGACTCGTGGTTCGTGATGTTGTCACATTAGAAACACATCTAGCATGGTTACAAGTTTAGATCTTAAGTGACACAAAAGGCCCCAGCTGTGATAAAGTCCAAAGCCACATTCTCTGAGGGTGCCCTACTCCCTGGGCAGACCCACCCAAAGTCCTTGCTATGAAGCAGATCACTGGGGCTGACCTTGGGTGTATTAAGTGAGTTTTGGAGTCGTGGTCACCAAAGTGTGAGTTTCACAGTTGAACACGATGGTTCAGAAGCAGGGTATAGAATGAAAGGCAGCAGATAAAATTGCATTTCTCAATTGACATGGGACGTGAATAACTTTCCTGTCTAGAGAGCTGCCTCCTTGAAGTGTGACATTGTCTCTCTCGCTTCCAGAACACCGGACCCAGGGGAGATGTGGATTTTCAGCGGGAACTTTATTCCAATGCTAATGGCAGACACCAGGCAGGAGGAGAGGAACCATTTGTGCAGATCATCTAGAAGAACCTGGACCATTCTTGATGGAGCTGAATACAGTGATCACGTTGTCCTCCTAGGAGCAGGGGTGGGGGGAGGGGGGTGGGGTCCTTCTAGGAGTCCTTGGAGAAAAGTAAGAAACCAGGAGCGTTTCCAGTTCCACCCTTTCCTGCGGCACCACCACCCTTTTTATATTGCTGAATTCCAACCTCCCTGGGGCGGAACCTGGAGGTCCTGTTTCTTACGGACTTGCAGTCCAGGAGGATTTGAAGGCACAATGCAGGGGCTCAGATTGGGACAGAATTCTTTTGTGAAATATCAGTGCCACAGATTGTAACAGATAGCTTCATGCACACTCTGCATTTTATTGGTTTGTATGGAAAATGTCGGCCATTGAATTATTCATAGATTTATTTCAAATAGTTTGGAAATTGTTGTACTTTTGAAAACATGCTGTTCCTGTAGTTTTTTGATGAGAGTTATAGTTGTTATATATACATAAAGCTAATTTTCTTTTCATTTTTAAGAGACAATTCTTTTTATCCTAAATATTTTATTATCTTTAAATTTGTTTCTGTATTATTACATGTGCTCCTGAAGCGAGCACTCTTTTTATCTATGATACTTCCATAATAATCTCTTCTATTTATAGCTATTGGTAGTTCCCCACCAGAAAAAAACATAATTCTGGTGATAGAAATTTTTATTTGCTGTTTAGGTTTGTGACTGAATTGTGAGAATTCAGTTGTGATTTTTAACATGCCTCAGATATATATACTAACACGTCTAATATATACTATCTATTTTATTGGTTTATTTTGAAAAACATGGGTATAGAATTATTTAAATATTATTTTATTTATTTAAATATTTATTAAATATATTTATTTATTTAAATATTATTATTACTTTAAATATTATTTTAAATATTTTGGAAATACTGGTATTTTTGAATAGATGCTGTTTCTATAAAGCTGTGTGATGGATATTATAACTGTTATATACACATACATATAATTTTGTTTTCCTTTTTAAGAGAGGATTCTTTTCATCCTAAATCTTTTACCTTTCAATCTTTGTATCTATTATTACACGTGCTGCTGAAGGGAGCATGGTTTTTATCTATGATACTTAGTTAACATATATATTACATTTATAGCTATGTAGTAGTTCCCCTAAATTCTTGTAAAAATAAATTTTTATTTGATATTTCATATATATTTGAAATGTGAGAATTCAGATGTAATTTTTTACCTTGTTTTGGCATGTTTGTATGTTACTTTAAAGAGGATGTGTGTTCTAAAGGAGGACATGAGCTGTGTGTTTTCAAGAGAACAATAGAGTGCGTCTCTTGGGGAAACATAATAAAAATGAACTTTTCTCACCTTCACAGCAATTGTGATCATATTGGTCTGGATTGATTATTTGCTGCCCAGTGATATTTTTCCTTAATGGGGTTGTGGTTATTTGAACATATTTATTAGCTCTGGAAGATAATCCTGTGCTGTTTTTTATGTAGAAAAAAACATAAGGCTGGGTGCAGTGCTCACACCTACAATCCCTGTGGTTTTGGAGGTCATGGCGGGAGGATCACCTGAGGCCAGGAGTTTGAGGCCAGCCTCAGCAACATAGCATCTACATCTATTTTTAATTTTTATTTTTTAAAGAAAAACAATAGAAGAGAAGGCTGATCCCAAGCTACAGGGTTTTTTTGTTTGTTTGTTTGTTTTGGAGACAGAGTCTTGCTCTGTCTCCCAGGCTGGAGTGCAGTGGCACAACCTCGGCTCCCTGCAACTTTCACCTCTGGGTTCAAACAAATTCTCCTGCCTCAGCCTCCCAAGTAGCTGGGACTACAGGCACCCGTCTGTACGTCCGACTAACTTTTGTAAAAATAGTAGAGACAAGGTTTCACCATGTTGGCCAGGCTGGTCTCGAACTCCTGACTTCAAGTGATCCACCTACCTCGGCCTCCCAAAGTGCTGGGATTACAGGCATGAGCTACTGCGCCCAGATGCCAAGCTAGAGTTTTAAGGCAGGAAATGAGAGAAAGATATTGAGAGAGGAAAACCAGGTGGTAAGAAAACTCTAAAGGTGGCCGGGCGTGGTGGCTCACGCCCATGATCCCAGCAGGAGTTTGAGACCAGCCTGGCCAACATGGTGAAACCCTGTCTCTACTAAAAATACAAAAATTAGGCAGGCGTGGTGGTGCACGCCTATAATCCCAGCTATTTGGGAGGCTGAGGCAGGAGAATCACTAGCAGAGATTGTGTCTCCTCACCCCCTCTCAAAAAAAAAAAAAAAAAAAAAGTTCGTTCCTGCAGCAGTTAAAGCTGTGAAAGACAGGCACTCTGACATGCAATTCCTTGTGATTTTTCTTTTTCCTTTTTGGAGTTGGGGTCTTGCGCTGTCACCCAGACTGGGGTGCAGTGGTGTGGTCATAGCTCACTGCGGCCTCAGACTCAAGCTCAAGCGATCCTCTTACCTTGCCTTTCAAATTGCTGGGATTATAAGCATGAGCCACTGCATCTGGCCTGTGTGACACAATTTTTTTTTTGTCTTTTTTCTTTTTGGGGGGGATGGAGTCTCGCTCTGTCACCCAGGCTGGAGTGCGGTGGCGTGATCTTGGCTCAATGCAAGCTCTGCCTCCTGGGTTCACGCCATTCTCCTGCCTCAGCCTCCCGAGTAGCTGGGACTACAGGCGCCCGCCACCATGCCTGGCTAATTTTTTGAATTTTTAGTAGAGACGGGATTTCACTGTCTTAGCCAGGATGGTCTCGATCTCCTGACCTCGTGATCTGCCCGCCTTGGCCTCCCAAAGTGCTAGGATTACAGGCGTGAGCCACCGCGCCCAGCCTATGTGATGCAATTCTGATGTCAACTCCCTGATGTTACCTCAAATGCCACAGGTTAAGGCCACCAGTCCCCACTAGGCTGCCCTCGCTTTAGACACACCTGCAGGCTTGGGTGTCCTCAGACCACATGTACTTCTCACCAACTGGCTGCAAATTTGGAGGTTCCCACCATGCCCTCAAGTTCGATAACTCACTAAAACAATTCACAGAATGCAGAAAAGCATGATACTTTCTTTCTCTTTTTTTTTTTTGAGACGGAGTCTTGCTCTGTCACCCAGGCTGGAGTACAGTGACCACCATGCTTGGCTAATTTTTGTATTTGTATTAGAGACGGGGTTTCGCCATGTTGGTCAGGCTGGTCTTGAACTCCTGACCTCAGGTGATCCACCCGCCTTGGCATCCCAAAATGCTGGGATTATAGGCATAGCCACCATGCCCGGTTGACTTCTAGAGTTTCAATAACAGAGATGTGATTCAAGAAGGGAGACATGTTTTGTAGATGGCAGGAGCTTCATGAAAAGAAGCCAATGAAGGGCAGGACGTGTAGCTGTCTACCTACAGGAAACCAGCCAGGAGCCTCCCCACAGGGACTTCAGCACAGATGGCCGGGAAAATCTGCATTCACCTGAGCTCTGGACCTAAGAGAGGACAAGGCCTTGACCATTTCTACAGACTCACAAGATGCAATCTCTGTGGTCCATGCCCGTGGTGTGATCTGGGAAGCAGGGGGCCTTCTAAATGCCAACAACAAGGAAATCAAATGTGCAACAAACAGAAATAACGGCATTGACGTGGGCCATGGAAAGGCCTAAACAGATGACTGCAGTTCACTGCCAAGGTCATCAAAGGGGTGACTCTGAAATAATAAATTTCAGACGCCATGGCCCAAATAGCTGCATGAGGTGGGGAAGTCCTCCACATGCCTCTGCTTCCTTCGGTACCTGTTTATGAAATCAGCCGAGGTACTTCCCTGGGGAATTTCCTTTCTTTCTTTCTTTCTTTCGAGACGGAGTCTTGCTCTGTCGCCCAGGCTAGAGTGCAGTGGTGCAATCTCGGCTCACTGCAACCTCTCCCTCCTGGGTTTTAGCAATTCTCCTGCATCAGACTTCTGAGTAGCTGAGATTACAGGTGCATGCCACCATGCCCAGCTAATATTTGTAGTTTTAGTAGAGACAGGGTTTCACCATCTAGGCCAGGCTGGTCTTGAACTCCTGACCTCGTGATCCACCCGTCTTGGCCTCCCAAAGTGCTGGGATTACAGGTGTGAGCCATCAAGCCCGGACCTTTTTTTTATTTTTTGAGACGACGTTTCACTCTTGTTGCCCACGCTGGAGTGCAATGGCACGATCTCAGCTCACTGCCACCTCCTCCTCCCAGGTTCAAGCGATTATCCTGCCTCAGCCTCTCGAGTAGCTGGGATTACAGGCACCCAACACCAAACCCAGCTAACTTATTGTATTTTTAGTAGAGATGGGATGTCACCATGTTGGCCAGGATGGTCTTGAACCCCTGACCTCTAACGATCCACCTGAATTGGTTTCCCAAAATGTTGGGATTACAGGCACAAGCCACTGCGCCCAGCCCCTCCCATACCTCTTTTGGCCAAGGCAGCACAATTCAGAAGAATCTTGCCAGGGAAGACTGGTAAATGGATGTCAACGTGATGCCTATGGCTCCTGGTGGATTTAGATACCTCCTGGTGCTTATTGATATCTTTACCAGTTGCACAGGGGCTTTTCCATGCCAGACTGAAAACGCAGAAGATCAATGATCAACCTTCAACTATTTACTAGCAGAACACTGAGGGGACTGTGCGGTCACCAATACCTCCTATTGCACTTGGATAAACACCTCCCAGGAAATAGAGATGAATAGAAAGGACATAGTCAAACAAGCAGAATGGCTGCATTCCTTCAACCAGAAGGGTCCATTAGTCTGTTTTCACACTGCTATAAAGAACTATGAGAAACTGGGTAATTTATGAAGAAAAGAGGTTTAATTGACTCACAGTTCTGCAGGCTGTACAGGAAGCGTGGCTGGGGAGGCCTCAGGAAACTGACAATCACGGCAGAAGGCGAAGGGGAAGCAGGCACGTCTGGCCATGTTGGAGCAGGAGAGACAGAGAGAGTGAAGTGGGAGGGCTGCACGCTTTTAAACAACCAGATCCCACAAGCGCTCACTCAATATCACGAGAACAGCAAGGGGGAAGTCGGCCCCCATGAGCCAATCACCTCCCACCAGGTCCCTCCCACAACACTGGGAATTACAATTTGACATGACATTTGGGTGTGGATACAGAGCTGAACCATGTCAAGGGTAGTTCAACCGCTGAGATTGATTGATTGATTGATTGACTGAGATGGAGTCCTGCTCTGTTACCTAGGCTGGAGTGCAGTGGCACAATCTCGGCTCACTGCAACCTCCGCCTCCCGGGTTCAAGCGATTCTCCTGCCTCAGCCTCCCGAGTAGCTGGGACTACAGCACATGCCACCATGCCTAGCTAATTTTTGTATTTTTAGTAGAAACAGGGCTTCACCATGTTTGCCAGGCTGGTCTTGAACTCCTGACCTCGTGATCACCCTGCCTCGGCTTTTCTTTGCTGTGGCTCTTTCCCCTCTAAACTGTTCTAGATTCCCAGGCGCCCTGCTAGGAACAGGTGTGGGCCACCCTGGGGTGAGCTGCCTCCCAGAGGCCTGGAAGGACCAGGCCTTGCCAATCACCGACAAGGGACGTAGAAGAGCACCCCCAAAGGACAGTAGGTCCCCGCCCGGATCTGGCCCACAGCACCCGAGGGACCCTGCAGCACTACAGAAGTCCCATGGGGCAGACGGGAGCCACAGGCCCAGACTCCACAGCCCCTCAGTCCACATGTCCTGGAGCCTGTGGTGGAAGTCCCTGTTCTTCCATCACCGCCGCCTCTCCCTGAGGACCTCCGAAGAAACAGGCCAGGGCTGTCCCAGGCCTGGGCACACGGGCCAGTGTCCAGCCCACCCCGTCTGCCCCTCCAGGCCCCGCCCTCACCCGGAAGCGCTCCTCCAGCAGGGACAGCTCACTGATGAGGTCGGTGATGGCGTTGGTAAAGGCTTCCTGGGGGCTGTAGTCCGGCGTGGTCTGCACTCGGATGATGATCTTGTGCTCCAAGGGGTGGGGGACTTTGTAGCCAGCAAATAGCACTTGCGGGTCTTTTAGGAGTTGTCTGAGGTCCAGGGACAGACAGTGTGAGGGTCTAGCCTCATGCCCAAGCTGGGTAGCAGCCAGCTCAGAGCAGAAGAACAGACTTTCTAGCCAAAAATCCCCCCCAACTTTTTTCCCAAAAAGTCTTCAAGGAAAGTAACACTTTTAGGAAGATACCTCATGTGGGGACACCCTATCCCCGCCACACACACACACTCTGCATCCATGAGGTTGAAGGACCCGAGCTGGAAAGAGATTCCAGCAACCTCTTCCCACCGGGCACCGCAGTGCTGGCAAAGAGATCTCCCAGGCAGTGAATGTCCAGCCAGTGTTCAGTGACTCAGACCCAAAAAGCCCACAAAGAGCCTCCACGCAGCAAATAAAGGCAGCAGGAGAGGAGGGCCAGCTCCCGGCAGTGAGTGGAATGCAAATGGAACTCTGCCCTCCGAGCAGCACAGCCGCCAGCGGCTGGCCACGCACACTGGGCCTTGTGCCATGGGGCTGCATCGCGTACTGTGCCCTGGGCATGCAGGGGTCTCCTCTAGAGTGGCTCAGAGTGGCGTGAGCACCACAAGGGGGACCCGTGCATAGGTGGCAACACTGAGCTCAAGAGCAGGGGAGCAGCAGGGCCCCAGGAGAGCTTGGGTGCCCCACTGGCTGGGCTCCGGGCAGGATTCCTCCATCCCCGTGCCTGACCACACCAGGAGACTGGGCAGACCCCACTCACAGACGGGGAAAAGCCTGGCTTCGCTGGTGGCACCAGAGGGAAGAGCCAAGTCTACAGTAAAATGGCAAGTCCCTGGGCCAGAATGGCAGACACATCCCTGACCAACCACCTGGCTAGGACCTCACTGGTATAAACAAACACCCACCAACCAATGCAGGGTGCCCATTAGGGGCACTGGATAGCCACAGAACTCCTACTTCTTTCTCTTGTTAAATAGAAGTTCTAGTCTCTGCCACATACATCTTAGAGGCCCAGGTGGCACTGAGGTCACAAACGGGTGGCATGAGGGGAGCTAATCTTGACTGCTTTTCAATGTCCCTCAGCATGAATAACAAACAGGCCTACTGTGCTGGAATCTGCTGCTCGTTCATTTACAGAATGTGCACTTAATGGTGAATGTAAGGCCGGGCGCAGTAGCTCACGTCTCTAATCCCAGCACTTTGGGAAGCCAGCAGGTGGATCACCTGAGGTCAGGAGTTCGAGACCAGCCTGGCCAACACAGTGAATCCCCGTCTCTACTAAAAACACAAAAATTAGCCGGGCATCGTGGCGTGGGCCTGTAGTCCCAGCTACTAGGAAGGCTGAAGCAGGAGAATCACTTGAACCCGGGAGGCGGAGGTTGCAGTGAGCAAGATCGTGCCATTGCACTCCAGCCTGGGCAACAAAGAGAGAAAATTCCATCTCAAAAACAAACAAACAAACAAACAGTGAATGTAAATGCACGTGTTCATCTACAGAATAAGCCACTACAGAAGTGTGGCTTATGTGAAGACATGGAGGTCGGTGTCATTTTGATAAAAAGGTACCAAGATTATAAAATGCCCAGAGCAAGCCCCCAGAAGGACTTCCTGTAGCTCAGAGAGACTGAGGAAGACTTGGAACTTGTGCTTTGCCCAGAGGGGCCCATTAAACATAGCCCCTGAGAGCCTGTGACGGGAAACTTACGATTTAATGATGTTTCCCAGTGTGTGGTCTTCTTTGTTGATGGTGAATAAACAGGCATTGGGTACCTTGGTGTCCTTGTTAATGGTGATCCTAGGAAGACACAGAGGCCACAGATGAGGAGCAGGGGCTCCCCTCCTCCCACCCTGAGTCTAAACCCTGTCTCCTCCCGGCCAGGTGTGGTGGCTCGTGTCTGTAATCCCAACACTTTGGGAGGCTGAGGTGGATGGATGACCTGAGGTCAGAAGTTCAAGACCAGCCTGCCCAACATGGCAAAACCCTGTCTGTACTAAAAATACAAAGAAAAAAAAAAAATTAGCTGAGTGTGGTGATCCATGCCTGTAGTCCTAGCTACTTGGGAGACTGAGGCAGGAGAATCACCTGAACCTGGGAGGTGGAGTTGCAGTGAGCCGAGATCATGCCACTGCACTCCAGCCTGGGCAACAGAGTGGAACTCTGTATCAAAAATATAAAAATAAAAAGGAAAAATAAGCTCTGCCTCTTCCTGAAGGCCTTTCTCAATCTCTTCATCCCATAAAGGCCTCGCCAACCCGGTCCCCTACTTCCTGCTACCCCAGGTCTATGGAACCTTGGCCTTTTCTGAATTCCTCCTTTTTTTTTTCCGGTAGAGATGGGGTTTTGCCTTGTTGTCCTCGCTGGTCTTGAACTCCTCGCCTCAAATGATCTCTCCTGCTGCCCAGGCTGGAGTGCAGTGGTGTGATCATAGCTCACTGCAGCCTCCAACTCCTCGGCTAAAGTGATCCTCCCGCCTTAGCCTCCTGAGTAGCTGGGACCACAGGCGCACGTCATCATGCCTGGCCTGTTCCTTTTTTCTTACGCCAACATAATGAAGCAACCAAAAGGTGAAGAAGAGAGGCCCTGAAGTTACACGGTGAGGCTGGTCCTGACCCTGTGAGTTCCGAAAGCAACCATCCCCCTGGCTGGAGTGTGCAGTCCTTCCATCCATTCCCCAAAACAAGTCATGCTCTGGCATTTACTATGATTTTAGTGAACGCTTAGATGGACAAAGACAGGAAACTTCCATTGGATTTTCCAAGACAAGGGGTTTTCAGAGTGCAGTTCCCAGATAAGCAGCATCAGAATCCCCTGGGAACTTGTTAAGAGTCTCCCACCTCCCACTTACTGGACCCAGAACTCTGGAGGTGGGGCGCAGGGATCTATGGTTTAAGAAGCCCTTCAGGTGATTCTAATGCACACTCAATTTGAGGGCAACTATGCTGACAGTAAAATCTCACACAGGTGAGAGGTATCAAGTTGAATATCCTTTTTTCTAAGGTGGTTTCTCCAGGCTGACACCACACACATTTTAGGGTGCATCATTCTTTCCTGTGGGGTGCTGTCTTGTGGACATTGTAGGACATCAGCAGCATCCCTGACCTCTACCCAGTAGATTCCAGTCATAACCCCCTTTGACAACCAATAATGTTCTCAGTTATTGCCACATGTCCCTTGTGGGGCCAAATGGTCCCCAGTTGAGAGTCTGCTCTAAAGGAGGCCGAAGTGGCTGGCAAGGGCCAGACCAAGACCTCTGCACGCCAACCTGGGAACAATAAGAGCCAATGGTTATGAGGTTTTCCAGGGGCTGAGCTTTGGACCAAGAGTTTTACACAAATTACCTCATCCAATTCTTTTTATTTTGAGACAGGATTGCGCTCAGTCGCCCAGGCTGGAGTGCAGTGATGCGATCAAAGCTCACTGCAGCCTGGAACTCCTGTGCTCAGCTCAAGCAATCCTCCCACCTGAGCCTCCCAAAGTGCCGGGATTAAAAGCGTGAACCAGCGCACCTGGCCAGATCCCTTTTTTTGTTTTTTGAAACGGAGTTTCGCTCTTGTTGCTCAGGCTGGAGTGCAATGGCGTGATCTCCGCTCACCTCAACCTCCACTTCCCAGGTTCAAGTGATTCTCCTGCCTCAGCCTTCTGAGTAGCTGGGATTACAGGCATCTGCCACCACGCCCGGCTAATTTTGTATTTTTAGTAGAGACAGGGTTTCTCCATGTTGGTCAGGCTGGTCTTGAACTCCCGACCTCAGGTGATCCGCCCGCCTCGGGCTCCCAAAGTGCTGGGATTACAGGTGTCAGCCACCGCACCCGGCCTGAATCCCACGTTTAAGTACAGTAATAAACTCATTTTCCAGATGAGGAAACAGGGCCTCCGACAGATCAAGCCACTCGCCCACAGATACAGAGTGAGCCCAAGCTCTCTCCCCTGGACTCCTTCAACCCGCAGGCAGCGAGGAGCCACTGCGGCTTTTACGCAGGCCGCTGACAGATCGGAGGGGATGAAGGATGGAGGTGGCGGGCGAGAGACAAAAAGAGGAAGCTGCCAGATCCCAGAGGAAAAGGGCTATGGAGAACCAGACACTCTGGGTTCGAATACAAGCGCCGCCACTTCCTGTGTCCGGGGCAACTTGCTCGCCTCCAAGCCTCAGTGTCCTCATCTGCAAAATGAACACACTCGCGACTGCCTCGCGGAACGGCCTTAAATTTGGCTGACACAGGCCGAGCAGACGATCAAGCAAAAGCTGTTTCCCTCCCGGGGCAAGAGATGGGCAGGAGACACCCCAGAATGCGACAGCCGCAGGCCCGCGCACCTCGGCCCTCCGCAGCCGGCGTCACTTACTTCTCGCCCTCGAAGAGCAAGAACGACTCGAAGGCTGGAGGGGCGTTCATGCTCCCGCCGCCGTTGCGTCCAGACCCCAAGTGTCCGCCACCGCCGCCACCAGAGCCCTAATAAGAGGCCTCTTCCGGATTACTCCGGCGGGGCAAACCCGCGCAAGGATCGGCTCATCGCCCCCTGTTGGGCTGGAGGATCTTGCGCAGGCGCGAGAAAACCCCGAGCGAGACCAGTGTCTCTGCGCATGCGTCAGTGGCGAGCGCACCGCCCCCCCCCCCCCCCACCCCCCCACCCCGCACCCCGGCATGGCTTTCCCCGTGGGCGCTTTTCGGCGCATGCTCAGAGCGCCGGCAGGGCTGTTCTGCCCCTACAGAGGCCTCCTAGTCCTGGCTGAGCGGGAACCTCAAGCTGTACCTTTCTCCTTTCCCCATGTCCCTTGATCTCTCTTTGGAAACGTGCACCCCCTTGGAGTGCGCAGCAGGAGGCCCCTGAATAGAGAGAATAAAGCTAAGGGGTAGTGGACAGCTGCGGCTAGCAGCCGTAGGGGGAGCAGAAGATCTCGTGGCCAGAGGCAGATCTATGACAAGCCCCCTGCCCAGGCTGCCTATACCGACTGCTGCAGGACCTCTGCCTGGGGGGTGCAGCTGGCTTGTTAGCCGGGAGGGACAATTGGGTGAGGGATGCAGAAGGAGGCAGGTGTATACAGCAGTGAGAGGGGAGCCCGTAGGGTTACGTATATCTTTTTATATATTATTATTATTATTTAGAGACAGCGTCTCCCTCTGTCGCCCAGGCTGAAGTACAGTGGCGCCATCATGCAGCCTCCAACTCCTGGGCTCCAGAGATCCTCCTGCCTCAGCCTCCCGATAGTTAGGACTGCAGGCATGTGCCATCACACTTAGCTATTTTTTTTTTTATTTTTGGAGATGGTGGGGGGGGGGGTCTCCCTATGTTGCCCAGGCTGGTATTGAACTCCTGGCCTCCAGCAGTCCTCCAGCCTCAGCCTCCCAAAGTGCACTTGGTGGATGTGGGCAGCAAGCCACCCAGGTGCCGAGGCAAGAGACCGAGGGCACGAGCTGTTCCAGTATAATAAAATATATAAAATAAGAATAGTTATACTAGATATAGATCTGAGATATGATTATATATGAATCATTAATCATTAGTTTGTAGTAATTATTCTTTATTCCAATATTATAATAATCCTCGCTCTACAATCATAACCTAGGAAAAACCAGGCCATACAGAGATGGGAGCTGAGGGGACAGTGAGGAGTGACCAGAAGACAAGAGTGCAAGCTTTCTGTTATGCCCGGACAGGGCCACCAGAGGGCTCCTTGGTCTAGCGGTAACGCCAGCATCTGGGAAGACACCTGTTGCCAAGCCCACCGTGGTCTAGCTGTAGCGTTAGTGTCAAGGAAAAACACCCGCTACTTAGCAGACCGGGAAAGGGAGTCTCCCTTTCCCCGGGGGAGTTTAGAGAAGACTCTACTCCTCCACAGGCCCGCCCACAGTTACCCGGAGGCATAACCGTCTCCCTGTGATGCTGTGCTTCAGTGGTCACGCTCCTAGTCCACCTTCATGTTCCATCCTGTACACCTGGCTCTGCCTTCTAGATAGCAGTAGCAAATTAGTGAAAGTACTAAAAGTCTCTGATAAGCAGAAATAATGGTGTAAGCTGTCTCTCTCTCTTTCTCCTCTCTCTCTCTGCCTCGGCTGCCAGGCAGGGAAGGGCCCCTGTCCAGTGGACACGTGACCCATGTGGCCTTACCTATCATTGGAGATGGCTCACTCTCCTTATCCTGCCCCTTTGTCTTGTATCCAATAAATATCAGCGCAGCCTGGCATTCAGGGCCACTACTGGTCTCTGCGTCTTGGTGGTAGTGGTCCCCCCAGCCCAGCTGTCTTTTATCTCTTTGTCTTGTGTCTTTATTTCTGCGCTCTCTCGTCTCTGCACATGGAGAGAAACCCACCGACCCTGTGGGGCTGGACCCTACAGGTGGATAAGTGTATCTTACCCTTTTTGGTTTGGTTGCTTTGCAGACTACAGTTTAGCATAAAGGCCCTCCTTAAGCTGTTTGAAGCAACAGGGACTGGGGTCTCAGAGGAGCTACCAGGGCCCTAACAGTTTGGCAGCTGTTTCTCCAAGGCTGGGCAGCAGCTACAGTGCTGAGGAAATCTGGAGCATCTACCCCTTCTGGGAAGGCCCATTTCCTACTTGAGTTCTTGCACCCTGGCAGGAGGAAATCTCATTCTGCAACAGCCCCACACAGAATCTGACTTTCCAGGCGAAGTGGGTGGGCACCTCTTTAACTGCTGAGGAACAGAAAGTGATATGGGTAGGCTGGGTGCGGTGACTCACGCCTGTAATCCTAGCACTTTGGCACTTTGAGAGGCTGAGGCAGGCGGATCACTTGAGGTCAGGAGTTAGAGACCAGCCTGGCCAACATGGTGAAACCTCATCTCTACTAAAAATACAAAAAATTAGTCGGGCGTGGTGGTGGGCACCTGTAATCCCAGCTACTTGGGAGGCAGAGGCAGGAGAATCGCTTGAACCCGGGAGGCGGAGGTTGCAGTGAGCCGAGATTGCGCCACTGCACTCAGCCTCCCAAAGTACTGGGATTACAGGCGTGAGCCACTGTTCCTAGCCAAGGGTAGCATCCTTGACCCAAGCTTTTCCAGGGTGACCCAGAAGTGTGGAGGTTATATCCTCAGGGAATTATTACCCTTATCACTTTTTTTCTTTTTTTCTCTTTTTTTCTTTTTTTTTTTGAGATAGCATCTCGCTCTGTCGCCCAGGCTGGAGTGCAGTGGCATGATCTCGGCTCTGTTGTCTAGGCTGGAGTGCAGTGGTGAGATCATAGCTCACTGCAGCTTCAAGCTCCTGGGCTCAAGCAGTCCTCCTGCCTCAGCCTCCCCAGTACCTGGGACCACAGGCAGGCACCACGGCGCCCTGCTAGTTTTTTTCTTTTTACTTTTTGTAGCGATGGGGTCCAACTTTATTGCCTAGGCTGGTCTCGAACTCCTGACCTCAAGCAATCTTCTCGCCTTGGCCTCTCAAAGTGCTGGGATTATAGGCATGAGCCCTGCCCCTGGCCACACATACCATGCTAATTTGTTACACATTGGCTGTGGTTGCTTTCATGCTACATGGCATGGTGGTTGTGACTGAGAGCTGCATGTCTGGTCCTTTACAGAAAACGTTTGCTGATCCTAATCTTGGGGATTGTGCCTGTGTTGACTTTGCTATTTATTGTTTGGTTACAGCCCAGACACTGAAGTTACTTATTAGCTTGTGGGTGTCTATCCCGTAGAAAAGAAAACTTCATGGCCGGGCGCAGTGGCTCACACCTGTAATCCCAGCACTTTGGGAGGCCGAGGTGGGCAGATCACGAGGTCAGGAGATGGAGACGATCCTGGCCAACATGGTGAAACCCCATCTCTACTAAAAATACAAAAATTAGCTGGGTGTGGCGGTGAGCACCTGTAATCCCAGCTACTCGGGAGGCTGAGGCAGGAGAATTGCTTGAACCCGGGAGGCAGAAGTTGCAGTGAGCCAAGATCGCACCACTGTACTCCAGCCTGGACGACAGAATGAGCCTCCGTCTCAAAAAAAACAAAAAACAAAAAAAAAAAAAAAGAAAAGAAAACTTCATTAATTAACCACTTTCGTATGTAATATCACAATCTTATTCTAGCATTCTTCTCTTAAAGTGTTTACGGGCCAGGCACAGTGGCTCACATCTGTAGTCCCAGCACTTAGGGAGGCTGAGGGAGGATTGCCTGAGCCCAGGAGTTTGAAACTAGCCTGGGCAATATAGCAAGATCTTGTCTCTACTAAAAATTTAAAAAATCAGCAGGGCATAGTAGTGTGTGCCTGTAGTTGCATTTACTTGGGAGGCTGAAGCAATAGGATTGCTTGAGCCCAGGAGGAACAGGCTACAATGAGCTATGACTGCACCACTGCATTCCAGCCTGGGTGGCAGAGCGAGACCCTGTCTCAAAAACAAAACAAAACAAAAGAATGCTTACAAATACATGAAATACATGTACCCAGCTTCTCAGAATGATCCATGAATCAGAGTTCCCACTCTTTTTCTGAATTGATGCGTAGTAGATCTTTGATATGTGTTCATGATATATATGAGTCATCTTTTTTACATGTTTGAAAATTATACTTTGAAAAGGCCTTGTCCGGAGGTGGTTGCTGCATACCTGTTCAGATTTCCTAAGAGGTTGAGAGAAACAGGTACTGGGTGAGCTAGGTCCAGTCAAGCCTTCCCAGGGTGCCTGCCCTGCCCTGTGGTGAACACCAGCCCCCTGGGCTGCAGATATCTGCCTGGGGGTCCAATCAGATCCTCAAGACATCTGGGACTGGGCATGGTGGCTCATGCCTGTAATCCTAGCACTTTGTGAGGATGAGGTGGGCGGATCACTTGAGTTCAGGAGTTCAAAACCAGCCTGGCCAACATGGTGAAACCCCATCTCTACTAAAAAATACAAAAATTAGTCAGGCGTGGTGATGGGCACCTGTAATTCCAGCTATTCGGGAGGCTGAGGTGGGATAATCACTTGAACTTGGAAGGCAGAGGTTGCAGTGAGCCGAGAATGTTCCACTATCCTCCAGCTTGGGTAACAGAGGGAGACTCTGTCTCAAAAAAAAAAAAAAAAAAAAATAGGCCAGGTGCGGTGGCTTACACCTGTAATCTCAGCACTTTGGGAGGCTGAGGCAGAAGGATCATCTTAGGTCAGGAGTTTAAGACCAGCATGGCCAATATGGTGAAACTCCATGAAACCCCATCTCTGCTAAAAAAAAAAAAAAGACAAAATATTAGCTGGGAGTGGTGGCATGTGCCTGTAAATCCCAGCTACTCAGGAGGCTGAGGCAGGAGAATCGCCTCAACCTGGGAGGTGGAGGTTGCAGTGAGTTGAGATCACACCACTGCCCTCCAGCCTGGGCGACAGAACCAGATTCCATCTCAAACAAAAACAAAAACAAAAACAAACAAACAAAACATCTGGGAACCTGCCCCAGGCCCCAGTTGAATGCCAGGGCTTGAAGTCTCTGGGAGGGGGTGGTATAGACTTGTGGGACAGATGGAAGGTATACCCTCTCCTGCTCCTCTCGCTTTTCCAGGTGGCCTCCAGAAACAATGTGGCATGATGGACTATGGGCAGCTCTGCTCAGGGCCTGAGAGGAGAACCAGGGGGCAGTGCCAGGCATGCACTGATGTTAACTTCCCTTCCAGCTGCAGTGGTCAGGATCTGGGGAGGGGAGGAGAGGCATGGTGGATGCTGCCAGAAGGGTGGCTGTGTGTGTGCACTCAAGATCCAGGTTTCCACTTGTAGCCCTAATAAGTCCACGGCTCCTTCCCTTTCACTGCCTGCGTTTAGGCTCAGGAGACCCTGGAGGCCATACTTCCTAGAGAGAAGGTCCTTGAAACCCAAGGAGATCCAACAGGCATGAGGATTTTTGTGTACCCCTAAGGAAGTAGCCAGAGAACCAGGTGCTGGTGATTTGGGGTGGGGTAGGGGCTGCATCAGGCTCAGCTGTCCCTGGACCCAGGGCCTTGGGCCAGGAAGGGAGGGGAGGGACCCAATCCAGCAAAAAGGCTTAGTTGCCCATAGGACGGCAGAGCACAGCAGGCTATGAAGCTCTAAGGGGTCGGGCTGGTGGGCTGCCTATGGGGGAAATGGTATCCACCAAGGCCACAGCCAGGAGAAAAGGTTGGTATGGCCCCAAAAGCCACAGGGAAGAGGGAGAGGGCAGGCCCCTTGAATCTTAATTTCCCCTTGACCTTTTTATTTTTTTTTTTGAGACAGCGTCTCTCTGTCACCCAGGCTGGAGTGGAGTGGCCCGATCTCGGCTCACTGCAACCTCCACCTCCTAAATTCAAGCAATTCTCCTGCCTCAGCCTCTCAAGTAGTGATTACAGGCACCTGCCACCATGTCCAGCTAATTTTTGTATTTTTAGTAGAGACAGGGTTTCACCATGTTGACCAGGCTGGTCTCTAACTCCTGACCTCAGGTGATCCACCCACCTTGGCCTCCCAAAGTACTGGGATTACAGGCATGAGCCACCGTGCCCAGCCCTCTTTGCCTTTCCCTACTATTCCTGGAAGAGCCAAGGTATACAGGATGCCCCACTGGCCCTGCCCCAGAACCTAGCTGGGCAGCCAGGTCAGGGGTCATGTCTGAGCCCTGGGACACTGGGGGCTGTCCTAGGCTAAGGACAAAGGGGAGGCTCAGAGCTTGCTTGGATGAGCGTTGAGAATGTGTTCGTGGCTGGGTGCGGTGGTCCTGTAATCCCAGCGCTCTGGGAGGCTGAAGTGGGAGGATGGCTTGAGCCCAGGAGTTGGAGACCAACCTGGACAACATGGTGAGACCCTGTCTCTACCAAAAGTACAAAAAATTAGCTGGGCATGATGGTGCACACCTGTAGTCCCAGCTACTCAGAAGGCTGAGGCAGGAGGATCACTTGAACTCAGGAGTTGGAAGCCGCAGTGAGTTATGATCACTCCACTCCACTCCAGCCTGGGCAACACAGTAAGACTCTGTCTCAAAAAAAAAAAAAAAAAAAAAAAAAAAAAAAAAAAAAAAAGATGTTCTGGAAGACTCTGCCCCTCCTCTCCTCTGTCTTGTTGTTTTTTTTTTTTTTTTTGAGATGGAGAATCACTCTGTCACCCAGGCTGGAGTGCAGTGGTGCGATCTCAGTTCACTGCAACCTCCGCCTCCCGGGTTCAATCCAATTCTCCTAAGTAGTAGGGGTTACAGATGCGCACCACCGCACCTGGCTAATTTCTGTGTTTTTAGTAGAGACTGGGCTTTGCCATGTTGGCCATGGTTTGCCAGGCTGGTCTCGAACTCCTGAACTCATGTGATCTGCCGGCCTCAGCCTCCCAAAGTGCTGGGATTACAGGTATCCTCAGTCTTGTTAATTACACTGGGGTTTACATTGCTGTGTACAGTGAGATCAGGATGAGGGTGGTGAGGTGGTGATCAGGGGGACCCATGCTTCTGCTCAGGGGGTTGGCAGAAGCCAGCAAGGCTTGGGGTTTCCCTGTTTGGAGCGCTCCAAGTTGAGAGTGCAGAGGAGTGTGAGATGCGTGTGAAAATGCAAACTTGGCTCTCCCTGGCTGGAGGCTGGCATTGGGTGAGTCTCTGGTAGGACCAGGCCATGTATACTTTTTAAGCTTTTTTATTCTTGAAAAGTTCAAAGATATACAAAGATAGACTATGCAGGATAATGAGCCCCCACATACTCCGCATCTCTTGTCTGTAATTATCAGCTCGTGGCTACCTCTACCTCTCCCCTCTACCTCTTGTCTCATCTCTACCTCTCCCCCTGACCCCTGCCTCTGGGTCATTTTGCAGCAAATCCCAAATGCCTATATCATTTATCCTAAATATTCCATAAACATTCCACTATGTAGCTCTGAAAGATAAGGACGCTTACAACACAACTGCAATATCTTTTTTGTTTGTTTGTTTGTTTTTGTAAAGACGGGGATTTCGCCACGTTGCCCAGGCTGGTCTCGAACTCCTGAGCTCAAGCGATTCTCCCACCTCAGCCTGCCAAGTAGCTGGGATTACAGGCATGTGCCACTGTGCCCAGCCAAGTGCAGTATCTTATCACACCTTTAAAAATTAATAATTCCAATCATCCTATAGTTGATCAGTGTTCAAATTTCCAATTGCCTCATAAAAAGATCATTTCTTAACATTTTGTTTTGTTGCAATTGGTTGCTGTAAGTCACCTAAATATCTTCTCTTTTTTATACTTTTTATTGTAGTAAAATAGGTATAACATACAATTTGCCATTTTAACCATTTTAAGTGTTTAACTCAGTGGTGTTAATTACATTCACAATGTGTAGCCATCACCACTATTTAGTTCAAAAATTTCAAGTCTCCTTTATTTTCCTTTTTTTTTTTTTTTTTTTTTTAATTTTAGGGACTAGGTTTTGCTATGTTGCCCAGGCTGGCCTTAAACTCCTGGCCTCAAGGTGATCCTTCTGTCTTGGCCTCCCGAGTAGCTGGGACTAGAGGTGTGCACCGTCACACCCAGCTTCAAGTCTCTTATTATAAAGTTCTGGCCACGCACAGTGGCTCGCAACTGTAATCTCAGCACTTTCGGAGGCCAAGGCGGTCAGATCACCTGAGGTCAGGAGTTCGAGACCAGTCTGGCCAACATGGAGAAACTCCGTCTCTACTAAAAATACAAGAATTAGCTGGGCATGGTGGCACACGCCTTTAGTCCCAGCTACTCGGGAGGCTGAGGCAAGAGAATTGCTTGAACCTGGGAGGCAGAGGTTGCAGTGAACCAAGATCAAGCCATTTGCACTCCAGCCTGGGCAACACAGTGAGACTCTGTCTCAAAAAAAAAAAAAAAAAAAAAACTATAAAGTTCCCCTTCATCTGAAAATTGAATGTGATTTTAAACAACCTATTTGAGCTCTGAGGTAGATGTCTAAGTTCAAAGCCCACTCCTCCTTTCTGGGGGTCCCAGTTTCGTGATCTCTTCTTCCCTTTCCTTCCTGGTAGCTTAAAAAAATAGAGATAACAGGATAAAGGTGAGGAATGAAGGAATGAATGGATGCAGGCAGACGTGAAAACAGCGCCCACCTGGAGAGCTAGAAACATCTGGAGGGCTGGGACCACCTGGAGACGCCCCGTGTCTATGAGCTGCTGTTGTGAGGAGCCTGGAGCCAGTGGACGCTGGGAGGGAGGAGGCTTTAGAGTGGGGGGCAACCGGGGGAGGAAGGAGGTTGGCTGAGCCAGGTCTGGGGGCCTCAGGGACTTCTGTGTCCTCATAACCCACAAAAGCCCTGCCCACCCTGCCCCGGGGCGGCCCACAGTAGCAGCGGCTGGTGGTCCCTACAGCCGGTCAGCCCCAAGAGCGGGCACAACGTGTGGCCTGGGTACCACAGGGCCAGAAGAGAGGGACAGGGGCCCTGCTCCTGTCACCTGCTGCTTCTGCCACCCCAGGACCAAGTCATTGGTGTGAGCCGGTGGCCAGACATCACTGCCCCGCAGGCAGTGGGGGCTCCTCTTGGGCTGGGGGCAGGGCTTGGTGGGCAGCCCTATGGGAGGGGGAGCTGGTGGGGGACCACAGGGACTGACCAAAGAAAGGCAGGCCAGATCCCAGGACAGCAGGGGTTCTAAGTCCCCAAGAGTGGGGACTGGGCCGGAGTCAAGTTTTGCCAACCATCGGACCAGCCCCGGGCCTCTATGATGAAGGCATCAGAGAAACCCCATGGGGCCAGAAAGGGGCTGGGGCAACGGTGCACCTTTGGGATCTGGGGTCAGAGGGGGAAGGAGGTGACTGCATGGCAAGGCAAGAGCTGAAGGCCTTCTGGAGAAGGAGGGTCCAGTCCTTGTCCCCACCCTGATCCAGGTCACTGTGGACGCAGCTGGGAGCTGAGCCTGGCAGCCCATGTGACACAATGGTGGGGGGATGGGAGCCCCTACGTGGCCAACACTGCCAGCCACACAGCTAGAGGGCTTGGGGTAAGGGCTGCGTGAAGAGGAATGGGGTCTCTGAGTCCCGCCTCTGTGCTGTCCTCAGGGACACCCTAGAGAAGGGACTTGCTTGGGGGCTGCTTTGAGGAGAGAACAGCTGGTTGGACACACTGGGCTCTGTGGCCTGTGGGACATGAAAGAGGGGACCCAGGGACAGCAACTGGGAAGGGAAAGGAACCCCCGACCCCAGAAGAGTGGGGGGAAGAAAGAGGGGGGAACAGGGATGCCCAGAGCCCATACTGTCAGCCCCATCATCGGCACATCCACCGACAGCCTCCGGGGTCCCCCCGGGCCCACTTTCTCCCCAGACCCTCATCACAAGACCCCAGAGCCTGGACAGTAAGAGCAGGTTTACTGTTGGCAACAGCACAGCCCTGTGGCACCCAAGGGTAGCGGGTGGGGTGGCGGCCGGGTCTCCTGGGGCCCCGTTCTCCCTCCCATTCTCTAGGTCCCTGGAGGCCAGACCCCTGGGTGCGGCCCATCCTAGCAGTGGTTCTGGCTGGGTCTGTCCTGGGCAGGAGAGGAGGGTCCCTGGAGAGGCAGTGATGGCTACAGCGTCTGTAGGGAGCTGGGGACACTTCCGGCCAGCCATGACAGGCCCAAGCCTGCTCAGCTCTGCACTTCTGGGGATCCCCTTATTCCTGACTCTCCCCCCTCCCCCACCTGGAAGAGACCTAGGCCCTGCACCCTAATGAGGAGGACCGGGGTGAGGGGGTGCAGAGTGTCCTGGGGGGGCTCCGAGCGCTTGGCAGGGGACTCAGCAAGGGGAGCGTAGGGCGGGCCTCACGTCTGCAGCTCCAGGAGGCAGTTGGGCTCTGAGGGTGGGGAGCCGGCCGGGCTGGAGCTATGGGCCTCGCGGAGGTCCTGCAGCACCCGGAGCAGCCGGGCCAATGAGTCCTCGGGGACTGTGGGCAGAGGCAGCCGTGAGGGCCCCTGGGAGTGAGCCCGAGGACCCCACCCGTGCATCTCTGGAGGGGGCTCGGGCCACGAGCAAGTCCCAGGTGGGCAAGACCTACCTTTGCCAGGGCTCGTGGGCACCGTGCCTGCCTCTGCGCCCCCGCTCAGCTCCCGGTGCCTCTCCCTGTGGGGGAGGTCAGAGTGAGGGCCAGCAGCCTCCACTCTCCCTGCCAGACCTTCTGGTGTCCTTGTGGGAAGGCTGGGGGTGGCCCAGCATGGGCCTCCTGGGCTAGAGGTGGCTCTGGGGGTGATGGCAGGGCTGACTCTTTCAGTCTGTGAAGAGGCTGGGCCAAGGCCCACCAGGGCACCTTCCACCTTCTCCCTCCCCGTGTCTCCTCCTCCTCCCCATCCCACTGTGGGTTGACCAGAAGGCCCTTTGCATTTGTTTTGTTTTGTTTTTGAGACAGAGTCTTGTTCTGCGGTCCAGGCTGGAGTGCAGTGGCGCAATCTAAGCTCACTGCAACTTCCACCTCCTGGGTTCAAGCAATTCTCCTGCCTCAGCCTCCTGAGTAGCTGGGATTACAGGCACCCTCCACCACATCAGTTAATTTTTGTATTTTTAGTAGAGAAGAGGTTTCGCCATGTTGGCCAGGCTGGTTTCAAACTCCTGATCTCCAACAATCTGCCTGCCTCCACCTCCCAAAGAGCTGGGATAACAGGCATGAGTCACCGCACCCCACCTTCGTGGGTTTTGAGGGCAGAGATAAACCCTGGAAGAGTCGATGAGGAATGGGGAGGACCACACCCTTCCTCCTTGCAGAGTGTAGGGGTGTGACAGATGAATGAGCTCCAGCTCCAGTTGGCTCAGGGGAAGCTGAGCGCATGGGAAGCACTGGATCACCTTGAAGTATCCTGGCACCAGCCACATCTCCAGAGACCCTGAGTGATGGGGCCTTGGCATCCTGTTTTTTAAAGCTGATCTTTAAAAGCATCTTGTTTTTTCTAAGCTTCTGCCAAGGCTGAGAACCACTGGATGAAGCAAGATGGCCAGGGAACTCAGGGAATTGGCTGAGGCTGTGCCTGTACTCCAAGGGCCCAGGGGAACAGCTGGGCAGGTTGCAAGGTGGGCTCAGTCAGCACATGGCATGAAGCAGGCATGGCCCTGACCCTTGGGGCCTCTGTCCTAACCTGAGCTGGCCTCGTGCTGCAGAGAGGTACTCCTGGTGCCCTCCCCAGATGTGGCCAATTACAAGAGAGGTGACCAGCCACCATGGAGCAGCCCCAAGCCTGGCACGTTCCCCAGGCTGCACAGGCTCTCCTGGGTGGGACTCACCACAGCATGGCCTCCACGCCCAGCAGGTGCCGGTAGATGAGCTGGGCCTCAAGGTCATGGTCAAGAGGGTCATTCCACTCCTGCAGGGTCACCCGTGACCGGGTCTTATCGCAGCCCTGACCTGGGGGCACAGAGAGGGCAAAGTTACGAGCAGACACTTGGGACTACCATGTCCAACACTGTGGTTGCACAGATGGAGAAACAGAGGCCTGGAGAGGAGAGAGATGCACTCGGGGGTCCCTAGTGAGGGCTGGGCTGGGAGCATAGCCTGGTAAGTCTGACCCAGGCCCTGCCTCGGCTCCCCACCCTCTGTGGGCAGCAGCTCCTCTTGGGGTCAGCCCCTGCACCACGGGATGCGTGACTGAGGAGCATGGATATCATCAGGATATGACTCGGGTTGCTGGGTAACTTTTGGTTTTTTTTGAGACGGAGTCTCGCTCTGTCGTGCAGGCTGCAGTGCAGTGGCGCGATCTTGGCTCACTGCGAGCTCTGCCTCCCAGGTTCACGCCATTCTCCTGTTTCAGCCTCCTGAGTAGCTGGGACTGCAGATGCCCGCCACCACGCCCAGCTAATTTTTTATATTTTTAGTAGAGACGGGGTTTCATTGTGTTAGCCAGGATGGTCTCGATCTCCTGACCTCGTGATTTGCCCGTCTCGGCCTCCCAAAGTGCTGAGATTACAGGCGTGAGCCACCGCGCCCAGCCAGGGAGCCGGGTAACTTTCTGGAAGACTGTCTGCCTGGAAGGGAGCAGGCTGAAATGTTAACATCATGGTGAGGTGGGCCACAGGGGGTTCATGCCTTAGAATGAGCTGGTCCTGCAGCTTGCTGTCTTTATGACCTTGCCAAGTCATCTGCCTTCCCTAAGCCTCAGCTTCTCCTCCATACAGTGGAATAACAGGCCCTGTCTCTTGGGCCAGGGTGGGTCCCACCTTGCCGATAATGAGAGTATCGCTCTGATGGTTACAGGCAGAGGCTGCAGGCCATATCAGCCAGCCAGCAATGCCCTTGCAAAGAGTCACCAAGAGGCCAGGCACAGTGGCTCACACCTGTAATCCCAGCACTTTGGGAGGCTGAGGCAGGAAGATAGCTTGAGGCCAGGAGTTCAAGACCAGTCTGGGCAACACAGTGAGACCCTGACTCTACAAAAAAATAAAATAAAAAATAGCTGGGTGTGGTGGCATGTGCCTGTAGTCCCAGTTCTGCAGGAGGCTGAGGCAGGAGGATGGCTTGAGCCCAGGAGGTCAAGGCTACAGTGAGCTATGATTATGCCACTGCACTCCAGCCTGGGTGAGAGAGTGAGAGACCCAACTCAAAACAAAAACAAAAACAAAAGAGTCACCCATCCCTATACAGTGCTTGGCTGTAAATCCAGGGCTGGGCTAGAGTGCGTGGGTCAGTTTTCGATGGCCTCTGCCACACTGGGCTCTGGGGACCAAGATTTGGCCTGGCCTGAAGGACAGGGGACTCGAAGTGCTGAGTCTACTCTGTAAAGTAAGTGTGGATAACAGGGAGAAGGTCTCGAAAGTTCTAGAACTGTGCTGTTCTACAGGGCGGCAGCTAGCCACATGAAGCTATTTGAGTTAATTAAAATTAAAACAACGTTTTTTGTTTCTTTTCTGTTTTTTTTTTTGTTTTTTTGTTTTTTTTTTTTTGAGATGGAGTCTCGCTCTGTCGCCAGGCTGGAGTGCAGTGGCACCATCTTGGCTTACTGCAACCTCTGCCTCCCAGGTTCAAGCAGTTCTCCTGCCTCAGCCTCCTGAGTAGCTGGGACTACAGGCCCACGCCGCCATGCCTGGCTAATTTTTTTTTTGTATTTTAGCAGAGATGGGGTTTCACCATGTTGCCTAGGCTCGTCTCTAACTCCTGAGCTCAGGCAATCCGCCTACCTTGGCCTCCCAAAGTGCTAGGATTACAGGCGTGAGCCACCACACCCGGCCAAAACAACATTTTTAAAAATGTGAAACTCAGGCCAGATGTGGTGGCTCACTCCTACAATCTCAGCACTTTGGGAGGCCGAGGCAGGAGGATTGCTTGAGCCTGGGAATTCAAGACCAGCCTGAACAACATAGCAAGACCCCACCTCTAAAACAATTTTTTTTAAATGAGCCAGGTGTGGTGATGCATGCCGGTAGTGCCAGCCTACTCAGAGGCTGAGGCAGGAGGATTGCTTGAGCCCAGGAGTTGGAGGCTGCAGTGAGCTATGATCGTGCCACTGCACTCCAGCCTGGGCAACAGAGCAAGACCCTGTTTTAAAAAATTAAACAAAAAAAACCCCTCAGCTCCTCAAGCCACATTTCAAGTGCTCAAGAACCACAGGTGCTAGAACCTAGAGTACTACACAGTATGGAGTCCTTCTAGAAGCTCCTCTATGCCATCCCTCTAGTGCCCAAGGCTCAGGGTCCCCTCCCACCCACAGCTCCGGATTCAGATGGCCAGCATTGGAGTGTGCGAACCCAGGGGCTCTCTGGCTCTCATTAGCAGGGGGCTCCTCGAATGTGTTCCTGAGAACACCTGTTCTGTAAGAAGCTCCTTGGGGAAGAGAAGGGTTCCCTGTCAAAAGAGTTTGGGAAGTGCTGGGTTAAACCACGTTAGAAATGGAATTCTAGGCCGGGCGTGGTGGCTCACACCTGTAATCCCAGCACTTTGGGAGGCCGAGGAGGGCAGATCACGAGGTCGGGAGTTCAAGACCAGCCTGGCCAACATGGTAAAACCCCGTCTTTACTGAAAATACAAAACTTAGCTGGGTGCAGTGGCTTGCGCCTGTAGTACTTGGGAGGCTGAGGCAGGAGAATCACTTGAGCCTGGGAAACGGAGATTGCAGTGAGCCGAGATTGCACCACTGCACTCCAGCCTGGATGATAGAGCGAGACTCAGTATCAAACAACAACAACAACAACAACAACAACAACAACAAAACAAGAGCAGCTTGACTAACATGGTGAAACCCCATCTCTAGTCAAAATACAAAAAAATTAGCTAGGCTTGGTGGCGAGTGCCGGTCATCCCAGCTACTGGGGAGGTTGAGGCAGGAGAATTGCTTGACCCTGGGAGGTGGAGATTGCAGCGAGCTGAGATCGTGCCATTGCACTCCAGTCTGGGGGACAGAGTGAAAGTCTGTGTCTGAAAAAAAAAAAAAAAGAAGAAGAAGAAATAAAAAGAAATGGGATTCTAACGTGTTTTCGGGCCTCCTTAGAGCCTTCAGCGAATTCACTCATATGCATCACACACATCACGTGGCATTTCCCAAACCACCTGGTCCACGGGACCCTTTCTGCCCAGAGCTCCTGGAGGGGCCAGCATTCCTTGGGTTAGGTCCCTGCAGGTGCACAGCAGGGCTCAGGGTCCCATCGTTCAGCCAGAGGCCCGATCTCGCAGTGGACGGATGCAGAGCCCGGGACCCAGGCCTCCTCTCCCACCTGTCTTCTCTTTTTGGTGGCAGCAGCTCCACTTGTCCCCACGGAAGACGCCAGGGTGGTAGGAGCCCAGCAGTCCGGTGTTGTTGATGCTCACCTTCCGCAGCGCAGACAGCCACTGGTTAAGCTCATTCACACACTGCAGGGGACACGGAGGGGGAGGCCTGTTCAGACGTCACCTCCTCCAGGAAGCCCTCCTAACCCGGAGCTCCTGTACCACGCCAGACGCCATGTTCCCCACCATACCAACCCAGCAGCTTTGAGTGAATTAGGAGAAGCTGCCCTTCCTCCAGTGGAACATGACCCATGCCCGGGCGCATGGCCTGGAGAGCAGGTGCAGTGGCTCACTCCTATAATCCCAGTGGCTCACTCCTATAATGCCATCATGGCTGGCTAATTCCTTTTTTTTAGAGATGGGGTCTTGCTACATTGGCCAGGCTGTTCTCAAACTCCTGGCCTCCAGTGATCCTCCCACCTCAGCCTCCCAAAGTGCTGGGACTACAGCTGGGATTATAGGGGGCCGAGGTGGGAGGATCGCTTGAGCCCAGGAATTCAAGACCAGCCTGGGCAACACAGCAAGACTTCATCCTCTCCTCTCCCACCTGTCTCGTCTTTTTGGTGGCAGCAGCTCCACTTGTCCCCACGGAAGGCACCGGGATGGTAGGAGCCCAGGAGGCTGGTGTGGGCTGGATTTCAGCCGCCGCTGGCCCCTTGGCCACGCTCGTAGGTATTCCAGAACCCGCCAAATATATTTGGTGGCCCTGATATCACTACTTTTCCCAGTGGCTCTGGACCCTGACACAAAAGGGAACTCCTAGAGGGAAGGGCACAGAGGGACAGGTCTGTGACTTCCTCCCCACAGGCCAGGACGGTCAAGCCCGGAAGAAACCAACCCCCCTCCAGCTGCAGGCTTCTTACTTGTCCCACATGTCCCTGCCCTAGATACACATCTGGGTCACCCTCCTACAAGGTCCCTGCTCGAATGCCACCCATCAGAGGTCCTCCCTGACCACTCTTTAATTAATTTACTAATTAATTTATTTATTTATTTTGAGATGGAGTCTTGCTCTGTCACCAGGCTGGAGTGCAGTGGCTCGATCTCAGCTCACTGCAACCTCCACCTCCCAGGTTCAAGCGATTCTCCTGCCTCAGCCCCCCAAGTAGCTGGGACTACAGGCGCACACCACCACACCCAGCTACTTTTTGTACTCTCCCTGACCACTCTTAATAGGACAGACCGCTCCCTGCTATACCCCACTCTCTTCCCTCCCTTGCTCCCTTAGTCCCTTCTGGTTCCCTTCAAGTCACTATCACAATTTGCTTTTTTTTTTTTTTTTTTTTTTTTAAGAGACAGGGTCTCACTCTGTAGCCCAGGCTGGAGTGCAGTGGTGTGATCATAGTTCACTGCAGCCTCCAACTCCTGGGTTCAGGCTATCTTCCTGCCTCAGCCTCCCAAGTAGCTGGAATCACAGGTGCATGCCATCATGGCTGGCTAATTTTCTTTTTGTAGAGATGGGGTCTTGCTACATTGGCCAGGCTGTTCTCAAACTCCTGGCCTCCAGTGATCCTCCCACCTCAGCCTCCCAAAGTACTGGGACTACAGGCATGAGCCGACATTTGAAACATGTATTTATTGGCCCATCTTCTCCCAGGGATATCAGCTCCATGAGGGCAGGACTCTGCCTCATCTGCCACTGTATCCCCTCACCTAGAATCATGCCTGGAACCTAGGAGGTGCTCAGTAAGTATTTTTTAAATAAATGAATGAATGAGTTAATGAAGGAACAGATGAGAAGGTTACTTGAGAACATGCACCCAGAGCCACACACAGCATAATGTTTGATTATTAGGCATTGATACAGACACAGAACCACACAGGTGCCAGCTCAGACTTTCTGTTTTAGAGAAAGGGTCTTGCTCTGTTGCCCTGGCTAGAATGCTGGGATTATCCGTGTGAACCAGCGTGCCTGGCCCCCATCTCAGTTATCTGGAAATAGTTTCCAACAAACGGGTGCAACGTGCAAATTTCACATCACGGGGATGCACCTGTCTGTGCACTGGCCCACACACAGACCTACACATGGATGCCCAGGGAAAGACATGGGCCATGGCCTCCTGGGGGCTCAGGCCCCTGGACAACACACACACACCTGTCCCTGACACCTCCCAGATTAGACACACCCTGCGGTGCCTGATGTAGCTGGTAGCGGGGCGAGAAGCTCAATCAACTCTTTTCTCATCCAGTCCACTCAGGCCCCTCCCACAGCACCCAGGCCACTCCCACAGAGCTCAGGCCACTCCCATAGCACCCAGGCCATTCCCACAGCACCCAGGGCATTCCCATAGCATCCAGGGCACTCCCACAGCACCCAGGCCACTCCCATAGAGCTCAGGCCTCTCCCACAATACCCAGGCCACTCCCACAGGACTCATGCCACTCCCACAGTACCCAGGCCTCTCCCACAGCACCCAAGCCACTCCCACAGTGTTCAGGCCACTCCCACAGCACCCGCTCCCCTCCCCGCACCTTGCACTGCAGGTAGGCAGTCTGGGGCCTGCCGGCGTCGTCCGTGTAGATGACCTGCATGACGTGCGAGCCGCCAAAGCTCTTTTCCTCAACCTTTTCCGCTGCCCGGATGTTGGCTAACTTGATGAGGGCGCTTTTCTGGGGCAGGCAGGGAGGAGGAGGCTCAGGGACCTAGCCAGGGGCATTCCATTCCCCATCTCTGGGCCTCAGTCTCCCCTTCTGCAGCACCAGGGGTAGGCATGGGAGACCTAGAGTGACCTCAGCCAGGGCAGAGCACAGACTGATGGTGACCAAGTGCCCAGCAACTGGGAGAGGAGGACCTGGCCTCTCTGGGGGGCACTCCCAGAAGGCCTCGGAGGTGTGAGCTTTGGGGTAGTGTCGGGACAGCCAGCATTCCCTGGGCTACAAAGTCAATCCGGCCGTGGCCAAGGCTTTGTGACTTTGCATTTATTAATTTTCCAACTTGCTTTTGTAGTCCCAGGCTCTAATAGTCATATCCTGACCGGGCGCAGTGGCTCACACATGTAATCCCAGCATTTTGGGAGGCCGAGGAAGGCGGATCACCTGAGGTTGGGAGTTCGAGACCAGCCTGACAAACATGGAGAAACTCTGTGTCTACTAAAAATACAAAATTAGCCGGGCATGGTGGCGCATGCCTGTAATCCCAGCTACTTGGGAGGCTGAGGCAGGAGAATCGCTTGAACCCGGGAGGCGGAGGTTGCGGTGAGCCAAGATCGCACCATTGCACTCTGGCCTGGGCAACAAAAGCGAAACTCCATCTCAAAAAAAAAAAAAAAAATGGGACCAGAATTAAATAATGCCCATGTAGTCAAATCTTTCAACCCTGGCAAGGAAGATGTATAATAATCATCTGAGTGCTTTGGGAGGCTGGGGCAGGAGGATTGCCTGAGGCCAGGAGTTTGAGAACAGCCTGGGCAGCATAGCAAGACCCCATCTCCGCAAAAAAAAAAGTTAAAGAAAATTAGCTGGGCTTGGTGGCACGTGCCTGTAGTCCCAGCTACTCGGGAGGCTGAGGTAGGAAGATTGCTTGAGCCCAGGAGTTTGAGGCTGCGGTCAGCTATGATCGCACCACTGCACTACAGCCTGGGTGACAGAGCAAGACCCTGTCTCAAAAAATAATTATCATCATCTGAGGGGTCTTTGGTCGGAAGGGGCGGGCCCCTCATCTGGTGGGACCCCTGAGCTGGTTGAGAACAGGGTGGGTGATGAGCTCCTTCACCTACTCCTAGCCCGCTCTCACCTGCCCAGGGCTAGGCTGGGTACTCCTGGAAGATCATCCCCATAGCCTGCATGACTGGGGGCAGGTGTACAGCAAGCAGTCACCAGGTCCATGGAGGAAGTATGTCCTCAGCCCTTCCTGGGAGAAGAGAGCTTGCAGGAGAGGTGACCCATGACTCAGAGAGGGCTGTACAAGGTGATCTTTGAGATCCCTTCCCACGCCAAGATTCCGTGCTTCTATATTCCTGCCTCTTCCAGGAAGCCTCCCCTGTTTGCCCTAGCCTCCTACTCATCTAGCAGCCCAGGTGATATACTATCTTTAATAATATCATTTGCCTAAATAGTACTACCTGCCAGGCCCTGGGTCAGGACCCTTAGGGAGATCATCTCATTTAATCCTCAACAACCTGGTAAGGTCGGATCAACTTCCTCCATATTCATTTTTTTTTTTTTTGAGATGGAGTCTTGCTCTGTTGCCCAGGTTGGAGTGCAGTGGCACGATCTCGGCTCACTGCAACTTCTGCCTCCCAGGTTCAAGCGATTCCCGTGCCTCAGCCTCCCGAGTAGCTGGGACTACAGGCACCCACCACCACACCCGGCTGATTTTTTGTATTTTTAGTAGAGACGGGGTTTCTCCATGTTGGCCAGGCTGGTCTCAAACTCCTAACCTCAAGTGATCCACCCGCCTTGGCCTCCCAAAGTCCTGGGATTACAGGCGTGAGCCACCGTGCCCGGCCCTCCTAGGTTCTGACAAGCAGTACAGATGCCACACACCTGGCTTTCTTCTCTGACCCCGGGGGTACCTCAAGTGGGCTCCAAGGAAGGGGACAGGTGCCCCACTTGCCGGCCTCTCAGAGCCCCACTTGCCGGCCTCCCTCCTTACCCACCTTGGAGCTGGGCGTCTTCGCGAAGCTGAGGGCCTCGGTAGTGAGGGAGAAGTAGAGCTTCTTGAAGGAGGAGGACATGAGGGGGCCCTTGCCCTTGGTCCTGTGGATGAAGAGTGGCCCCTCCTTCACAGGTGGCGCCTGCAAACTCAGCGTCCGCTGCAGGTCCAGCTCTGCCAGGCCAGGGAGGGAGGGGAATAGAGAGCCCAGTGAATGAGGGCGGGACTGGGGGGAGCGGAGCAGTGGGAGGGGCCATGGGGCTCAAGGGCTGAGCAAATCTGAACAGCAGGCAGTGGACGTAGTCATGGGGCTCAAGGGCGGAGCAAACATCAACAGCTGGTGGTGAGCGGGGTGACAGGTGGACTGAGGAAGGCAGGGCCATGGGCTTGGAGGCGGGACACGCGTCAGTAGCAGGTGGCGGCGGGGCTATGGAGCTCAAGGATGGAGCAAATGTCAACAGGCGCAGATGATGGGGGGGTGAGGCCATGGGTCTAGGGGTGGGGCAAACGTCAACGGCAGGCAGTGGGCAGGGTCACAGGAAGCACAAACAGTGGTGCGTGGGTCTATGGCCTGGGGGCCTGGCAAATGCCAACAGCAGGCGGTGGGTGGGGCCACGAGAGGAACAAACAGCGATGGGTGGGGCCGTGGGGCTCAAGGGCGGAGCAAACGTCAGCAGTAGGCTGTGGGCGGGTCTGTGCAGGGCGGCGCTCACCGTCCTTCTCCTCGATGTCCACGAGCTTGGTGATGAAGTCCTTCAGCTGCGCCACGCCCTGGCGCACGGTGGGCTGCAGCGGCTCCATCCAAGCCTCCTTGGCCCTGGAAGCCGGCGTGTCCATGTTGCCCACGTTCTGGACTGCCTGGAGGTGACAGCAGGAAGGACCAGGTTCTGCTAGGTTAGGGGCCTAGCCACTGCACCCCCTCCCACCCCCCCTCCCCAAGTCTTTGCTACTCAGCTGTAGCGATGGAGGCAGAGGCGACAGAGGCCATGCCCACGGGCCCCCTCCAGCCCCACTAGGGATCAGGGAGGAGAGGATCATGAAGTTTGATGCCTTATGATAACTGAGACCACTTGGGCCTTCCTCTGTAGGTTTAACTGACGCTGCTGCACTGGATACCCCACCCCGGTGCCGGGCACATAGGTGCAGCCTGAGAGTAAGCAGACCCGGGTTGGAAGGTCCCGCGATTCACCACCGACAGGATGGGCGGCCTTGGCAACCCCCGACCCCTCGCAGGCCTGTTCCCTTATCCATGAGATGGAGCTCGGACAAGGTGGCCACAGGAAGGCTTTGCAAACTGTGAAGTGCAGTGCCTACGTGGGCGTGCCAGTGGCCTCGCCGGAGCCGGTAGGGAACACTCTGCAGTCCAGGCCAGGGCCCCGGTAGGACACCCAGCTGTGCATCCCGCCCGTGGCCGCAAGGCCCGCACCTTGGCCAACAGGAGCAGGGTGCGGCTGGTGCGGGCGTCCGCGTGGCGCTCCCGCAGGTGGAAGAGCTTGGGCGACATGATGGCGGGAGAGAAGAAGCGCAGGCACAGGAAGCTGGTGACGGCGATGAACGGTACATTCTGGAGGGGTGCGGAAGAGCGCGGGCTGGAGTCCCCCAGACCAGGGCTCCTGGCAGCCCCCTCCCCTTAGGCTCCGTCCCTGACCCTCGCTGGGACACAGCCTCCCTGGTCCTCCCCAGCGCTCCCTGGTTCCCCACCGCTCTTCACCCCTCGCCCCAGCCCAGTCCAACCCGGCCCAGCCTAGCCCAGCGGGTGGAGGGCGCACCTCGTGCTGGGCGCCGGGGAAGCGCTCGCGCACGCGCCGGAAGAGCTGGCGGAAGGTGGCGCGCACCACGGCGGGGCACGCGCGAACCGAGCGGCTGAGCGCGCTCAGCAGGGCCCCCAGGTGGGCGCGCAGCGTCTGCGCGCTCTGCTCCAGCACCTCGGCCTCGGTCTGCGGGCGGTGCAGCCCGGAGCACCTGCGTGGAACGGGGCGGGTTGGCAGAGGAGGTCGCGGTCAGCGCCAGGGCCACGACAGGAACAGTGGCTCTCACAGCAGCCAGGACACGGACACAGGGGACAATACACGGGTGGGCAGAAGCACAAACACACATGCTGACAGGGCCTGATCCCAACCCGCTGCCGCTGCACCCCGCAACCCCCGGAGTTACCCCCGGCCTCACCCTACATCCTTAACTTCCACTTTGCTGGGGTCCAGCTCCACGTACTTCTTCTCCTCAAACACCTTGTTGATGATGGGGCCCAGGACGCCGTGCAGGTACTGCATCCCGGCCACCTGGGGACCACCGCAGGTCACATTGATCCTGTCTCCCCCAGTCCCACTCCAGCTGCCCACCTTCTCCCGGCAGCCGCCCTTGCACCGTTTGCCTGCCGTATCCGCCCAGGAGGGGGCCAGGTACACATGCAGGGCAAACTGTTTATTCATGAATGAATGAATGAGTGAGTGAATGAATGACTAGAATTCTTAGCCCTTGTAATCCTAGCACTTTGGGAGGCCAAGGCAGGAGGATCACTTGAGGCCAGGAGTTTGAGACCAGCCTGGGCAACATAGTGAGACTGTCTCTAACTTAAATTTTAATCACACACACATTCTCTTTGGGGGGGGGGGGTGCGGGGCACGGAGTCTAGCACGGGGCCCAGGCTAGAGTGCAGTGGCGTGAGCTCACTACAACCTCTGGCTCCTGGTTCAAGTGAGTCTCCTGCCTCAGCCTCCCCAGTAGCTGGGATTACAGGTGCCCACCACCATGCCAGGCTAATTTTTGTATTTTTAGTAGAGATGGGGTTTCGCCATGTTGGCCAGGCTGGTCTCGAACTCCTGACCTTAAGTGATCCGCCCGCCTCAGCCTCCCAAAGTGCTGCAATTACAGGCATGAGCCACTATGCCCAGCCACATTCTTAACCTTAAAGGGCTCTGAATATGGAGATAGAACACTGGAGTCGAAGTCCCAGCCCCCTCTGTCGCTCTCTGAAGCTCAGTGTTGTCATTTGCAAGATGAGGACAATATAGCATGCAACCTCACCTTCAGAAAAGACTCCATGGACTTTGAGGCCAGAGAGTTGCTCCGGAACAGGGTGTTGGTCTCACCTACAAACAGAGGTCCCAGTGGGTAGGGGGCTGGCACAAAGCTTTTGGGGGAGGGGGAGGACAGAGGACCTTGGGGCTGGGGGATCTAAGCTGGCCCCTCAATAAAGGGCCTCCTCGCCACCTCCCAGCCCACTGTCCCACCTCTGCCCTTGGCTCTGTTCCTTGCCTCCCTCCTCTCTGACCCCATCTGCCTCCTACAGGAGGAGCCCACCCACCCCCAAACACCTCCCAGTGTTCTGGGCCCAGCTCCTTCCCAGGCCTCACTGGTGCGACTCAGCTCCAGCTGGAAGAGCAGGTCCAGGAAGTCCTTGGCCAGCCCCTGCCCCAGGAAGAGCTTGAGCAGGTTCGTGGCCACGTCCTGGCGACACTCGGTGCTGGTTGTCTCCTCGATGAGTGGGATCAGCTGCCCTGGGCCCTGCAGGGAGAGGCACGGGGGATCCCGAACCTTTCCCTCTGAGGACCTCAGAGCATCCCAGGGAAAGAGGACATTTTCCCAAGGGGTGGCTGGGGACGGGGCCCTGGACACTGGCCAGCTCCTCACATCCCCAGACCTCAGGTTTCTGCTCTGCAGAATGGGTTTAGAAGGACAGGCGCACAGGCCTACTGCCACTGGACCCTCCCACCCTGCCCAGGCCCCCTCACCTGCATGCCCAGCTTGACCTCGTGGCACAGCAGGTGCACCAGTGGCTGGTAGTAGCTGGAGGGCAGCACCGTCTCGTCCCGCAGCCGCACCTCCAGCTGCAAGGAGCCCAGGTTGCCCCTGGAATGGGCAGCCTGTGACCTCTCCACCAGGGACTCAGGCCACCCTGGACCACACCACTCCCACGGCCTCCAGTTTTTTCCCTTGGGGCCGGCTTCCCATCTCTCTGCTCATGCCCTCCATCCGGGTGCCCTGCATAGCTCTGCCTCCCAGGCTCTGCCCGGGCTATTTATTTTCTGTTTTTGGAAAGCCCTTCCTGTCTCTGCACTCAAGGCACCTCTATCTGTCTTCGAGGTCTGGCTCCCTGCCACCTCCAAGCTTGGGTATGTGGAGCTGCCAGCCTTGAATCGATCAACTCCCAGATAATGGCACCATCATGGGTACACTTTACAGCAGAAGCAAATCCCCAACCCTCATAACAACCTAATAGGGAAACTGAGACCCGAGCCAGTTCAGCAACTTGCCACATTAGATTGAGCTTCCCAGCTTCCCTGTTCTGATAGGGAAGTTCAGAACAGAGGAGGGTGTGGACCAAGTGGGAACCTCTAAGGCTCCCACTGCCCCTGCTCAGCACAAGCCTCATGCACAGAGCAGCGTTAAGATGGGCCCCTGGGCCTGGCGCAGTGGCTCATGCCTGTAATCTCAGCACTTTGGGAGGCCAAGGCAGGCAGATCACTTGAGGTCATGAGTTCAAGACCAGCCTGGCTGACACGGCAAAACCCCATCTCTATTAAAATATATATATAAAAATTAGCCAGGCATTGTGGCAGGTGCCTGTAATCGCAGCTACTCGGGAGACTGAGGCAGGAGAAGCGCTTCAACCCAGGAAGCAGAGGTTGCAGTGAGCCAGGATTGCACCACTGCACTCCAGCCTGACTCTGTCTCAAAAAAAATAAATAAATAAAAAATAAGATGGCAAGATGGGCCTTGGCTGGTTCTATGGAAACACCTTGTGCTGGACACACAGCCGTCCACCTGCTCCTACCCTGTTAAGGATGGGAACTGGGGGAATGGGGGTCTGGGGCCTTCCACAGAGACACAAAGCTGAACCACTGAGGGCTGTGGGCCACAGCAAACAAGCCAGAGGGCTTCCTAGACAGGCTGCCAGATTTAGCAAAACGACCCAAGACACCCAGTTAAATGTGAATATTTTATTTACTTATTAACTATTTTTTTTAGAGATGGGGTCTTGCTATGTTGCCCAGGCTGGTCTTGAACTCCTGGGCTCAAGTGATCCTCCTGCCTTGGCCTCCCAAAGTGCTGAGATTACAGGCATGCGCCACCATACCCGGCCTAAATTTGAATATTTTTAGTATAGGTATGTCTCAAATAGTGCATGGTCATTCTTCTTCTTTATTTATTTTTTTTTTTGCTGAGATGGAGTCCTGCTCTGTCACCCAGGCTGGAGTGCAGTGGCGCGATCTCGGCTCACTGCAACCTCCACCTCCCAGGTTCAAGCAATTCTCCATCCTCAGCCTCCCAAGTAGCTGAGATTAGAGGTGCCCGCCACCACATCCGGGTAATTTTTGTATTTTTAGTACAGACGGGATTTCACCATGTTGGCCAGGCTGGTCTTGAACTCCTGATCTCATGATCCACCCGCCTCGGCCACCCAAAGTGCTGAGATTACAGGCATGAGCCACCGCACCCGGCTGTTTTCTTGAGACGGAGTTTCGCTCTTGTCACCGAGGCTGGAGTGCAGTGGTGGGATCTCGGCTCACTGCAACCTCCGTCTCCTGGGTTCCAGCAATTATCCTGCTTCAGTAGCTTGGATTACAGGTGCCCACCACCATTTTTTGTACTTTTAGTAGAGACGGTGTTTCACCATGTTGGCCAGGCTGGTCTCGAACTCGTGACCTCAAGTGATCCACCCACCTCAAACTCCCAAAGTGTTGGGATTACAGGTGTGAGTCACCACGCCCAGCGGTTATTTTTATACTAAAAATGTATTCACAGCCGGGCACAGGTCAGGAGTTCAACATCAAGCCCGGCCATCACGGTGAAACCCCATCTCTACTAAAACTACAAAAATTTAGCCAGGTGAGGTGGTCCTAGCTACCTGGAACGTTGAGATGGGAGGATTGCTTGCACCCAGGAGGTGGAGGCTACAGTGAGCTATGATCACCACTGTACTGGTGGTACAGGTGCATGCCTGTAATCCCAGCTACTCGGGAGGCTGAGGCATGAGAATTGCTTGAACCTGGGAGGCGGAGGTTGCAGTGAGCCAAGACCGTGCCACTGCACTCCATCCAGCCTAGGTGACAGAGTGAGATTCTGCTCAAAAAAAAAAAATATATATATATATATTCACTTTTATCTGAAATTAAGTTTTAACTGGGTGTTCTTTTTTTTTTTTGAGACAGAGTCTAGCTTTGTCACCCAGGCTAGAGTGCAATGGCGCAATCTTGGCTCACTACAACCTCTGCCTCCGGGGTTCAAGCAATTCTGCCTGCCTCAGCCTCCCGAGTAGCTGGGATTACAGGTGCCCGCCATCTGGCCAGGCTGGTCTCAAACTCCTGACCTCAGGTGATCCGCCCACCTCGACCTCCCAAAGTGCTGGGATTACAGGCGTGAGCCACCGCGCCTGGCCTAATTTTTATTTCTTTGTAGAGACGGAGTCTCACTTTCTTGCCCAGGCTGGTCTCAAACTCCTTGCCCCAAGTGATCCTCCCACCTTGGCCTCCCAAAGAGCTGGGATTACAGGCATGAGCCACCGCTCCTGGCCAATGGTGTCCTATCTTATCTCACAACCCTATTCCTGGAGAATCTGGCATAGGGAGTTGGAGCTATGGCTCAGGGACACTGACCTTGGAGACTTGAACCCTGGTCTGAGGTCTGCAGGGAAATTTTCAAAGGGAAAATGTCTGAGTACTTGTTTCAGAAACTTCCAGAGGCAGAAAGCAGGAGACCTGTACAACCTGTGAGCTAAGAAGACAGACCTGGCCGGGTGCGGTGGCCCATGCCTGTAATCCTAGCACTTTGGCAGGCTGAGGCGGGTGGATCACTTGAGGTCAGGTGTTCGAGACCAACTTGGCCAACATGGTGAAACCCTGTCTCTACTAAAAATACAAAAATTAGCCGAGCATGGTGGTACACAGTTGTAATCCCAGCTAATCAGGAGGTTGAGGCAGGAGAATCACTGGAACCCAGGAGGTGGAGGTTGCAGTGAGCCAAGATTGTGCCGCTGCACTCCAGCCTGGGTGACAGAGCAAGACTCCATCTCAAAAAAAAGACAGAAGACAGAGCTGAGCTGAATGCAGAACTGTGGGGAAAAATAAAGGGGAGGGGCCGGGCGCGGTGGCTCATGCCTGTAATCCCAGTACTTGGGGAGGCCGAGGCGGGTGGATCACAAGGTCAGGAGATCGAGACCATCCTGGCTAACATGGTGAAACCCTGTCTCTACTAAAAATGCAAAAAATTAGCCAGGCGCGGTGGCGGGTGCCTGTAGTCCCAGCTACTTGGGAGGCTGAGGCAGGAGAATGGCGTGAACCCGGGAGGCGGAGCCTGCAGTGAGTCGAGATCACGCCATTGCACTCCAGCCTGGGGACAGAGTGAGACTCCATCTCAAAATAAATAAATAAATAAATAAATAATAAATAAAGGGGAGGTGGAGCCCAGCCAGGATGAGAAGGATGCTGGCTAGGTGGGCAGGGGCTGAGGGGACCCTGGAGCTGTGTCTCCTGACCTCTCACCCTGAGCAGCCCCCCTGCCCTGCCTGCCTGTAGCCAATTCCCAAATGTCAGCCCCCACCCCACCCCTTGAGGCCGGCTGCCCAGCTCCATGCACTTACTCGTCATGCCGCCGGCTCTTGGACTGGTCGGGCTGCAGCCGGAACCAGCCCTCCTCCTGCTGCACCACCCGCAGTCTCTGGACATCAATCACCACCTGGGGACATAGTGGCAGTTTTCCTGGAGCTGGGAGACTTACGTCTCCTCCTTGCCAACTACTGTTCTTAGTGGGGAGGGGCCCCTTCCAAGGGTCCCTGAGTGCCAGTGGTGGTGGGGGGAAGTTGCTGGTTCTGGCAGACGGTGGAGGTGGGGGGGTAGTCCCAGGCTTCCTGAGTGTCCCTCTTTGGGGAAGCCGGAGGGAGGTCCCTGAGGATGGGATGGCTGCAATGGAACCAGGTGCTGGGGGACAGCAGGTGCAGCCTGCCGGGGGAGGAGGGGGGGCGGGGCGGTGGTGCTCACTTTGCCCAGGAAGTCGTTTCGGCTGACAAGGTCCCAGTCCCAGGCCTCCACGCACAGCGCCTCCATGGCCCCCTCCTGCAGCTCAAATTCAAACGTCTCATTCCAGCGTGGGTAGCATGACTTCTTCACGATCTGCCCAGAGGAGGGTGGGAGGGGGTTAGGCTGATGCCACTGGACTCCCCAGGCTGGGCAAAAGGCAGAGCTGCCCTAGACACCTCCCCTGGGTTCCCCACAGCCTCCTCGCCTTGGAGGTTCTGCCACAGCAGAGGTTAAAATGTCCTGTCCAAGCTCCCACCCATTTCTGAGATAGGGAGAACTGAGGCCCAGGGTGGGGAAAAGATGTATCCAAGGCCACACAGCAAAACAGTACTGACTATGAGGATGTGGTGAACAGGGAATACCTCTACACTGCTGGTGGGAATGTGAACTAGTACAACCACTATGGAAAACAGCAGAGATTCCTTAACTAACTAAAAGTAGAACTACCATTTGATTCAGCAATCCCACTACTGGGTATCTACCCAGAGGAGAAGTCATTATACAAAAAAGATACTTGCACACATATGTTTTTGTTTTGTTTGTTTTGTTTTGTTTTTGAAACAGTCTTGCTCTGTCGCCCAGGCTGGAGTGCAGTGGCACGATCTCAGCTCACTGCAACCTCCGCCTTCTGGGTTCAAGTGATTCTCCTGCCTCAGCCTCCCAAGTAGCTGGGATTTCAGGGGCCTGCCGCTACGCCCGGCTAATTTTTGTATTTTTAGTAGAGACGGGGTTTCACCATGTTGGCCAGGCTGGTCTCAAACTCCTGGCCTCAAGCAATCTGCCAGCCTTGGCCTCCCACAGTGCTGGGATTACAGGTGTGAGCCACTGTGCCTGGCCAAGATACTTGCAGACGCATGTTTATAGCAGCACAATTCGCAATTGCAAAAATGTGAAACCAGCCCAAATGTCCATCAATCAACAAGTGGATAAAGAAACTGTGGTATATATATACGATGGAATACTACTCAGCCATAAAAAAGGAATGAATTAATGGCATTCACAGCAACCTGGATTGGATTGGAGACTATTATTCTAAGTGTAGTAACTCAGGAATGGAAAACCAAACATCGTTATGTTCTCACTCATATGTGGGAGCTAAGCTATGAGGACGCAAAGGCATAACAATGACACAGTGGACTTTGGGGACTCGGGGGGGAAGGGCGGGAAGGGGGTGAGGGATAAAAGACTACAAATTGGGTGCAGTGTATACTGCTCGGGTGATGGGTGAACCAAAATCTCATAAATCACCACTAAGAACTTATGTAACCAAACACCACCTGTTCCCCAATAACCTATGGAAATAAAATATTTAAAAACAGAGCAAAACAAACAAAAAACACAGGGCTGGGCGTGGTGGCTCATGCCTGTAATCCCAGCACTTTGGGAAGCCGAGGCGGGAGGATCACTTGAGGCCAGGAGTTCGAGACCAGCCTGGCCAACATGGTGAAACCCCATCTCTACTAAAAATACAAGAAATTAGCCTGGTGTGGTGGTGTGTGCCTGTAATCCTAGCTACTCGTGTGGCTGAGGCAGGAGAATCTCTCGAACTGGGAAGCCAGAGCCTGCAGTGAGCTGAGATCCAGCCACTGCACTCCAGCCTGGGTGACAGGGTGGGACTTGGCCTCAAAAAAAAAAAACACCACGAAACACAAAACAAAAACAGTAGCGACTATACTGAGAAAGCAGACCTTGGTGTCTTCGTGCCCAGGACTGGGCCCTCGACTCTGGACATTTCCTGGGGGTGGGGAAGGCAGCATGGGTGTTCCCAAATAAACCCCACTCCGGCTGTCTCAATCCCCTCCTTACCCCCAAGCATGGCCGGGAGTGAGCGAAGTTGGCCCCAGAGGTCCTGGGACCTATTATGTCCCCTCAGAGAGGTCGCCCCTTTCCCTGGGCCTCCTCTGTAAGACTGTGGCCCCCAATCTGTCCCACCAGCGGATGGTGAGCAGGTGGTGAGGTGAGCAATGGGGGCGTGGCTGGCACGTCCCCCGAGCCCCCTGCCCCTTCCCTGCCCTCTGGCCTCCTCACCGAGGTCTCCCGTGTCCGGCCCTTGTAGCGCACTCGGACGAAGGGGTCAGATGTGCCATTGCGGTCCTTTGGGGCCAGATCCCTGGTGGGGGTGGAGGAAGATTGGATCATCGACTTGTCCCTGAGCCCCCCCTCCCCCACTTGTCACCACCATTATGTAACCACAGCGGGCCAAAAGGCCTGGGCACATTCCGTCCCTGGCAAGCTGACTGTGGACAGTGCGCCTCTGCCCTTTCTGGGCCCTGCTCCCATAGCCATCTCCCCAGGATCGCCCATGTGGCCAAGAACCCCCCAAGGTAGAGGCCATGGGTCCTTCCCACCAGGCAGCTGCAGGCCAGTGGCTGCACCTTGCTCTGGGGGTGGCAGGGGGGTGGTGTGAGTGCTGCCAGGGAACCGCCGGGGCAATGTTCCTGGCCCTCCATTCCCAGGGCTGCCCTAAGCCTCGGTTTCCTCATCAGGAAAATGGAAAAGTGAATCGCTACTGGGCTCAGGTTTAGGGAGAGAGTGTGCTTCTGGAAGGTCTGCCCCAGTAATGTCGCTCTACTTGGTGGAGGAGTGAGGTGCAGCCCTGATGGGCGGCCCTGCCCTTTCTCCATAGATGGGTCTTTACACAGCCCTAGTCTAGTCACGGTACCTCCAGCTTTTTTTTTTTTTTGAGACGGAGTCTCGCTCTGTCGCCCAGGCTGGAGTGTAATGGTGCAATCTTAGCTCACTGCAACCTCCGCCTCCTGGGTTCAAGTAATTCTCCTGCCTCAGCCTCCTGAGTAGCTGGGATTACAGGTGCCTGCCACCACGCCCAGCTAATTTTCGTATTTTCAGTAGAGATGGGGTTTCACCAGGTTGGCCAGGCTGCCGTCGAACTCCTGACCTCAGGTGATCCGCCTGCCTTGGCCTCCCAAAGTGCTGGGATTACAGGCGTGAGCCACCGCGCCTGGCCCTTTTATTCTTTTCTTTTTTTTTTTTAAACAGGGTCTTGCTCTGTTGCTCAGGCTGGAGTACAGTGATGCAATCATAGCCCACTGCAGCCTTCACCTCCTGGGCTCAAGCAATCCTCCCACGTCAGCCTCCCAAGTAGTTGGCACTATAGGTGTGCCCCACCACACCTGGCTAATTTTTAAATTTTTTTGTAGAGACAGGATCTTGCTGTTGCCCAGGCTGGTCTCGAAATCTGGGCCTCAAGAGATCCTCCCACCTCTGCTTCCCAAAGCATTGGGATTACTGGAGTGAGCCACTGCACCCTGCCAGTATCCCCTACTTAGAACTCTTTGTGGAAGAACACCAAAGCCCACTCATCTTTGATATTTTAAGCCTCTCATACCTGCCTTTCTTCCCCCTCAAGACTGTCTAATAAAACCCCAACATTGAGGCTGGGTGCAGCGGCTCATTCCTATAATCCCAGCACTTTGGGAAGGAGGCTGAGGCAGGAGAATTGCTTGAACCTGGGGAGGCAGAGGTTGCAGTGAGCCAAGAAAACGCCACTGCACTCCAGCCTGGGCGACAGAGCCAGACTGCCTCAAAAAAAAAAAAAAAAAAAAAACCACCAAAAAAAAAAAAACAGCCCGGGTGCAGTGGCTCACGCCTGTAATCCCAGTACTTTGGGAGGCCGAGGCAGGCAGATCACCTGAGGTCAGGAGTTTGAGACCAGCCTAGCCAACATAGTGAAGTCCCGTCTCTACTAAAAATACAAAAAATTAGCCGGGCGTGGTGGTGCACACCTGTAATCCCAGCTACTAGGAAGGCTGAGGCAGGAGAATTGCTTGAACCCAGAAGGTGGAGGTTGCAGTGAGCTGAGATCGGGCCACTGCACTCCAGCCTGGATGATGGAGCGAGATTGTCTCAAAAACAAAAAACAAAAAAACCCCAAGGTTTTACTGAAATATTGAGAATCTCCCCAGAAAAAATGAGGAAATGTTCTTTCTTTCTCCGCAGCAAATGGACCTTCTTAGGCTGACTTGGAATTGCAGCAGGAGTCTCATTGCCGAGGACAACGGGGGACAAGTCCCCTCACTCTGAGAGAGGCCTGGACATTCCTCTCCCCTGCTAGGACTCACTAGAAGGCCAACCACTGTGGCCCCAGAGGATGGGACAGGGGAGATTCCTGGAGAGAGGGGAGGGCCAGGGAGACATGCTTCCATGCCTCCCATCTCCGTGGGTGACGATGGGTGCCTGGGAGAAGTGGCCCCGAGGTCCCAGAGCCCGGCCACGTGTGTGAGCGGGTGCACACGTGTGCATGCCTGTCCCCCAGACAGCCTGGTGCCTGGAAAGGATAAGGATGGAGGAAGCGGGTGAGTTGGGGTGGGGCGGGGGGGAATGAATGGCAGAGGCCAGAGAGTGAGCGAGTGTGGGGGTGTGGCTGAGGCTCGGCCCAAGCCCAGACATTTTCCATCCATTTCTATTTTCCCAGGACAGAAAATAACTCCCGGGAAGCCAGAGTGAGCAACATGGGCATCATCCGACCCACACCCCTCTGCCCAAGGGAAGTCTTCCTCTTAGACAGGCTGACCCCTCAAGGGTGGGGGGAACACTGGCTCCATAGGGCTGCCTGGCTGGGGGCCACCCTCCTGCCTCACAGGCAGGGAGCGACTTGGGGAGGTGGCTTTGGAGCCGGAAGGGAAGACGCTTCTCACGGACAGAGTGTGACTCAGACCCAGGCCCAGACGGGAGTGCAGCCTGCAGCTAAAAATACCCTGGGGGTTGGGGGGTGGCCCTGTCACAGGTGACTCAGGCCCATGGAACCATCCAAACCACTGTCCCTCCTTGGGGGAACCCTCAATTTGCCCATCGGGAGATTTTCAGCAACTCTTTTCACCCCCCCAGCCCCACGAGGGACCCACTTACACACACTCCCACCAGGCCAAGTTCACACTGGCGTTAAACATTGGGAAGCCGGCCTTAGCACTGGGGGACTGAGGCTGTGTGATCAGAGTTCGGGGTCTCCTCACCCGTACCCCCTACTCCACTCCTCTGTGATGGCTCCAGTTCCTCCATGAGAACATTAGACTGTCCCTTAAGGGACATATCCCCTTGAGTGGAAATCACCCAAGAAGCATCTTCAAGTCCAGAAAACCTCCCCAGACCCTCTCTTTTTTCTTTCTTTTTTATTTTTTTTGAGACACAGTCTCGCTTGTCACCCAGGCTGGAGTGCAGTGGCGCCATCTCGGCTCACTGCAACCTCTGCCTCCTGGGTTCAAGACTCCTGCCTCAGCCTCCTGAGTAGCTGAGATTACAGGCACCTGCCACCATGCCCGGCTAATTGTTGTATTTTTAGTAGAGACAGGGTCTCACCATGGTGGTCAGGCTGGTCTTGAACTCCTGGCCTCAGGTGAACCACCTGCCTCGGCCTCCCAAAGTGCTGGGATTACAGGTGTGAGACGCCGTGCCTGGCGAGACCCTCTCTTGAGAGCAGGCTTTGATGGGAGGTGGCCAGCTCTGGGACCAGGAGGTAGAGGTGGGGCGAGGGGGGGCTCAGCTTCCTCATTGGGTTTCTCTAGTTGCAGGGGACCCACTGCCCGCCCCCAGGCCCCTGAGTCTCACCTGGCCTCCAGCACAGAGCAGCGTAGCCGGCAGGCCCGGGCCCCTGGCCACACTTCCAGCCGCAGGTGGATCTCGCCCTGCACCTCCTCATCGGGGTCGACCTCCGTCAGGTGGGCCCACCCGCTGAAACCTGTGGGGTCAGCTCAGCCAGGGACCCGGCCCTGAACCCCCATACCCTCCACCCTCAGCCCCACCAGGCACCTTGAGGCACCTCCATAATCTGGGAATCCCCTAGGCACCCGTGAAGCAGGGGCTGGTATCCCCAATGACAGATGGGGAAACTGAGGCTCCGCAGGTGAAGAAACAGCAGTTGGAAGAGCTGGGATTAGAATCTAAGTCAGTGACCTGGGGCCTGTGCCCTCACTATTGTGTCATTTTTGTCGTTGTTGTTTTTAGAGACAGGGTCTCACCCTGTGAGCCAGGTGTGGTGGCGCATGCCTGTAATCCCAGCTCCTCAGGAGGCTGAGGCAGGAGAATTGCTTGAACTCAGATCGCGCCATTGCACTCCAGACTGGGTGACAGAGCAAGACCCCATCTCAAAAAAAAAAAAAAAAAAAAAAAAAAAAGATGGAGTCTTGCTATGTTGCTCAGGCTGGTCTCAAACTCCTGACCTCAAGCAATCCTCCCACCTCAGCCTCCCAAGGTGCTGGGATTATAAGCGTGGGCCGCTGTACCCAGCCAGATTCCCCATCTTAAAACGGGAAGAGAGTGGCCCTCCCCTAGGGCTGCTGGGAGGAGGGTCTGAGGCCCAGATGGAGAAGCTACAAGATTGCGCCATTGCACTCCAGACTGGGTGATAGAGCAAGACCCCATCTCAAAAAAAAAAAAAAAAAGATGGAGTCTTGCTATGTTGCTCAGGCTGGTCTCAAACTCCTGACCTCAAGCCATCCTCCCACCTCAGCCTCCTAAGGTGCTGCGATTATAAGTGTGGGCCGCTGTACCCAGCCAGATTCCCCATCTTAAAACAGGAAGAGAGTGGCCCTCCCCTAGGGCTGCTGGGAGGAGGGTCTGAGGCCTGGATGGGGAAGCTACAAGGCACCCGGAGGAATAGCCTCACTGGGGCCACTAGACCCCAGAGACGCTGGCTAAGGCTGCAGGTGGGAAAGGCCTTTGGCCTGGCAGGGGCCAAGAAGCCCCATGAGTCAGCAGAACCTGCCTTCGCCCTGCCCCCATCCCTGGCCCAGCGTCACAGACAGGAGCAGGTGTGTGTGGGGGGAAGCCAGTAAGCGGGACACAAAGGCTCTGATGGCAGAGCCCATAGCATCCAAGAACTGGTTTGAACCCTCAGAGAAGCCCAGAGAAGGCAGGAGCTGCCCAAGGTCACACACAGTGAGGCTGGCACAGGGCTGAACCCTCAAAATCATGTCTGGGCAGAGCATGGTGGTTCACACCTGTAATCCTAGCACCTTGGGGAGGCCAAGGCGGGAGGATCTGTCAAAGCCAGGAGTTCAAGACCAGCCTGGGCAACAGAGTGAGACCCCCATCTCCATTTTTTTTTTTTTTTTTTTGAGACAGAGTCTTGCTCTGTCACCTAGGCTGGAGTGCAATGGCGCAATCTTGGCTCACTGCAACCTCTGCCTCCCAGGTTCAAGAGATTTTCCTGTCTCAGCCTCCCCAGTAGCTGGGATTACAGGTGAGTGCCACCATGCCCAGGTAATTTTTATATTTTTAGTAGAGACAGGGTTTCACCATGTTGACGAGGCTGGTCTTGAACTCCTAATCTCAAGTGAATTGCCACTGGGATTACAGGTGTGAGCCACCATGCCCGGCCTCCATCTTTGTTTTTCTTTTGGAGATGGAGTCTTGCTCTGTCATCCAGGTTGGAGTGCAATGGCGTGATCTTGACTCACTGCAACCTCCGCCTCCTGGATTCAAGCGATTCTCCTGCCTCAGCCTCCTGAGTAGCTGGGATTACAGGTGCCCACCACGACGTCTAGCTAATTTTTTGTATTTTTAGTAGAGACAGAGTTTTGCCATGTTGGCCAGGCTGGTCTTGAACTCCTGACCTCAGGTGATCCACCTGCCTCGGCCTCCCAAAGTGCTGGGATTATAGGTGTGAGCCACTGCACCCGGCCTCTATTTTATTTTTTATTTTTATTTTTTATTCATTTATTTATTTATTTATTTTTGAGGTGGAGTCTTGCTCCGTTGCTGAGGCTGGAGTGCAGTGGCGCGATCTCGGCTTACTGCAAGCTCTGCCTCCCAGGTTCACGCCATTCTCCTGCTTCAGCCTGCCAAGTAGCTAGGACTACAGGTGCCTGCCACCACGCCCAGCTAATTTTTTTGTACTTTTAGTAGAGACGGGGTTTCACCGTGTTAGCCAGGATGGTCTCGATCTCCTGACCTCGTGATCCACCCGTCTCGGCCTCCCAAAGTGCTGGGATTACAGGTGTGAGCCACCGTGCCCGGCCTTTTTTTTAAAAAAAAACTATATAAAAATTGTAAAAACAATAACACAAAACAATGTCTGCATCCCAGAAATAATTGAAAGGGATCTCCAGCCTGGACTGGCTCTAGGCCAACCCTTCAGACTTAGGACACAGTAGTACTAGGGCCCAGATGGAGGCGACCCCATGGGTTACAGAAGGAGCTGGCCTGATTTGGAGAAGGGGTCCCTATGCTTCAGCAATAGAGTGTAAGGAGGCCCCTTCTTCTGCCAGCAGAGGCCTCAGATTCCACCCATAGCAGCCCCTCTTCACCCTAGGGAAGAGGCAGTAACAACCAGGCTTGGGAACATGCTGCAGAACAGAGGCCAGGAGTACAGAACGTGGCCCCGGCTTCTGGGGAGAGTAGAAATGGCTTTCCCTGAGCAGGAGACCAGACGGAGCCTAGAGGGGAGGTCTCCGAGTGGGAGGGAGGCCAGGGACTGGGCAGACCAGTGTGGGAGGGAAGGGAGAACTTACCCTTAGGGTGAGAGGCTATGGTGTCCCTTGTAAGGCAGACCTTTCCGATAACGTCGTCCCGGCTAGAGGAGGGAGACGGAGGCAGAGCTGGGCAGGGCTTCAGTATCTGCCCTCTGGGACCTCCCACCAAGTTCAGGGCCCCCCCGGGGGGAGCAGGGTGGTGGACACCGCTGTCATTTCCAGAGTAACCCAACAGAGCTGGACCTGTGGCCCTTCTGTAGGCTGTGGGTTCTGGACCCTCTAGGGGGATGTGATAGGTTTCTCACATGCCCACACATGCCAAGCTCACACTCTCTGGGTGCCCATCTCACAGCTCACACCTGCACGCACACGTGTAGTCCATGCACACTTGTGCCTGCATGCCTGCACACACACGTGTGTATGTGGCGCATGCACCATGGAGCCACGCATGTGCACACCCACACGCTCAAGCTTTTCGCCCTCCCAGGCCCCCAGGCTCTGCCTCCCTCCAGGCTGCAAAGAGGATGCCAAAAAGGACCCAGGAGTCCTGGTGGTGAAATGGGCCAGGGAGCAATCAGATGGCCAGGTCTGGGTCCCAGCTGGAGAGGGGGGCACTCACCTGAGGGCATCCTCATCCATGACATAGAAAGCCACAGCGTGGAAGGTGGGCGGCAGGTGCACTTGGTACTCCTCACCCCAGAAGGGGCACAGGGTCTTCCACACTGTGGCTGTCCTGCAGGAGAGAACCCTCAGCATGTGCCCAGGCCACTCCCAGGCCCTGGGCTGGGACCTTCCTTGTATCTTCCCCTACCCCTATAACAACTGGCTCTGCCACTGATGTGTTTTCCCTGTGCCAGACCCTACTGTTCACCACCAATCACTACCCCCTGACATTCCTCTCTGCTCTGGATGGGGCACAGGGCTGCCTCTCTCTGGCTGTTATTTATTTTATTTTATTTTTTTGAGACGGAGTCTCGCTCTGTCGCCCAGGCTAGAGTGCAGTGGCGTCATCTCGGCTCACTGCAACCTCTGCCTCCCAGGTTCAAGCAATTCTCCCTGCCTCAGCTTCCTGAGTAGCTGGGATTACAGACGCCTGCCACCACGCCCAGCTAATTTTGTCATTTTCGTAGAGACAGGGTTTCACCCTGTTGGCCAGGCTGCTCTCGAACTCCTGACCTCAGGTGATCTGCCCACCTCGGACTTCCAAAGTGCCGGGATGACAGGCGTGAGCCACCGTGCCCAGCCTCTCCAGCTGTTTTACATTTGGGGAAACTGAGATCACAGTTGGCAGGCATTGGCCTCAGGTCACAGGGTAGCTGCCTCAGGGCGACTGGTGAGCCTGGCCTCACATCCTCACCCAGCTCTGGTCAACCCCCTTTGGATCAGAGCCTTCAACTCATGGGACTCAGTGGGCTAGCGGGTGGGGAGACGCTGAAGCCCCCAAGGACCCGGATGAAAGTTCAGGGGACCACCTCATGCCAACCACTTCTCAGACAGGTCATCTGTTTCCCTTCTGTATCAAGAGCATCAGAGCCATCACACCCCTCTCCCTCTTGCTGTCTGTGGTTTGCAGACCCTCGAGAAAGGCTGGGAGCCTGCTTGCAGGTAGGGAAGGACTGGGCTCCGAGTAGGCCACGGGCACTCAGGTGGGCAGAACAGTAGGGCAGCTCTGGCCATGAACTTGGAAGCAGGAGTCTGGGTGAAGGAAGGGAGAGGACAGCAAAGACCCTGCCCAGAGATCATGGGGACCATGGAGGAAGGGACATCCGGAGGAAGTGACTCTTCAGGGTGCAGGCTGGGGTTGCCCAGCCTCGAGGGATATTACTATGGGACTCTCAGGGGACAGGACCCAAGTTAGAGCCAGGACCAGGGAGGGGAAGGGAGCTCAGGCTCTGGGGTGGCCAGACTTGGGCTCCAGTGTGGCTCTGCCACTTTTACTAGGCATGTGACCTTGGCCAGGGTAGTTAGTCTCCCTGAGCCTCAGTTTCCTTGTCTGTAAATGGGGTCTAATGATATCGTATCTCGTTAATTGCAAGAACTAAACGGGCTGGAAAAGGGCTGGCTCCACAAATGAGAGTTGTTGTTACAAATCGTCAGCATCTGTCTCTCCCGGAGGTTGTGATGATTGCAAAGATGAACAGAGTCCGGTGAGAGGCCCTTGGCCAGGCCAGTTCCCTGAAGGTCTTTCTCGTCTCCTAGCTGGGGTGTCAGGGCGAGGTGGGGAATCCCAGGCAGGGGACCAGGTGCTCCAAGCCCCCTCCCATCTCCGTACAAAATTCACAACAAAATTCACACCCCTTTGCGGGGAGAGCGCGGGCCGATGAGAGGCTGAGCGCCCCTCGGTCCTGGGGGTGGGGGCGGTACCTGATGATGGGCTCATTGTCCACCTTCACGATGCAGTAGGGGTCGCTGCTGCCAGTGCTGCAAGACAAATAGGCAGGGGCGGGGCTGGAGGGCGGGATCGGGGCGGGGACTCGCGGCAGGCTCCTCTCTCTTTTGGCCCCTCGGGAGGAGTGCGGGGGAAGAGAGCGGAGGCTGAGTCTCCGCGTCCTGGTTTGGAGACCGCAGGCTCCTCCGGCCAAACACGGGTCCCCGCCCTCAGCCCGGGAGCGGATGGTGAGGGAAGGGCAGGAACCCGCACCAGGGCTCCCCTTTCGCGGGCAGGGGTGGGAGTAGATGGAGGGAGAGTTGTGGGGGAGGGAGAAGGAGGGGGAGGAGACAGGGATGGGTAGAGAGAGAAAGGAGAAGAAAGGAGGGGGAAGGAGGAAGGGGAGAGACTGGGAGAGGGACAGAGGGAGGGGCAGAAAGGGAAGGGGACGGACAGGGAGGGGAGAGAGAGGGAAGAGGAGACAGAGGGAGGGGGCTGAGAGGGAGGAGGAGAGAGGTGGGGGTTAAGAGGGAAGGGGGATGATAGGGAGGGGGAGAGAGAGGGAGGAGAGTAAGAGGGAGGGAGTTAAGAGGGAGGGGGAGACTGAGTGAGGGGGTGAGAGGGAAGGGGTGAGAGGGAGGGGGAGAGAGGGAGAAGAGTAAGAGGGAGGGGGAGAGAGGGAGGAGAGTAGGAGGGGGAGAGAGGGAGGAGAGTAAGAGGGAGGGAGTAAAGAGGGAGGGGGAAACTGAGGGAGGGGGTGAGAGGGAGGGGTAGAGAGGGAGAGGGGAAAGACAGGGAGGGGAGGGAGAGGGACAGAGGGAGGGGGTACTGGAAACCTCCTGTTCCTCCCGCAGGGGATAGAATGTTCCTCCTTTCTATGCCCTCCTACCCCATCCCTGCCTCCCCCCAGAACAGCTCCAAGCAACAGCCGCAGGCAAGCTCCTGGGACCCCTACCCTCCACACCAAAGTCGAGCCCCTTACTCTCCCTGGAGCCTTTGCTCCTGCTCTCCCCAACACCGACACCGCTGTCCCTCCTGCCCAGTCGGCCTTCAGCCCTGCCAGAGCCCTCCCTCGCCCCAGGACGGGACGGGGAGGAAGGCCTCCCTGGACTCACACTGCCTGCCCACTTCATCCAGCCTGGTAGTGATCAGCTGCCTCCCACCTGCTCTGAGCTACCTGGGGGCGGGGAGCATGCCTGTGTCCCCAGGGCCCCCACAGGGCTTGGCACAAGACAGGCAGCCCATGAGTGTTTGCCGAATGAACAGACGAATGAATGAACTGATGAGTGAATGAATGAATAAATGTAACAGCTATCTGGGGAAAGAGGGATGGGGGAAGGCAAACACGCGCTCAGTTCCAAGGGTCTCAGGTGTTGGGGGGCTCCTGGGGCTGGGAGAGGCCTGCAGCCAGGCCTAGGGCTGGTACTGGGTAAAAGTGGGGAAGTGAGGGCTGTCTCTAGAGCTGTTCCTCCAGTGAGTGTCCATAAAAAGGAAGTGTGTTTCTATGGTGGAGGGTGGGGAATTCCAAGCTCTGCTTCCCTTCTCAAAAGGGGCTCTTCCGGCAGAGGAAGGCATTTGGGGCCAACAGCTCCAGAAGCTCCTGGACACAGACAGGAAATGTCTGCCAAGACTCAGTTTTCCTACCTATAAAGTGGGAAGTGTAACCCCGGCTCACAAGGGAGCTTCCCTGGGTCCTGAGACGATAGAGAAGGTCTTGGAGGTGCTCAGTAAATGTTAGCACTGCCTGCATCTCTGACTGTAACCTCCCCCTGCCATCATTTGAGAGCCCCCGCCTCCTGGCCAGGTGTGGTGGCTCACACCTGTAATCCCAGCACTTTGGGAGGCCGAGGTGGGCAGATCACGTGAGGCCAGGAGTTCCAGACCAGCCTGGCCAACATGGTGAAACCCCGTCTCTACGAAAAATACAAAAATTAGCCGAATGTAGTGGTGGTGTACAACTGTAATCCCAGCTACTGGGGAGGCTGAGGTAGGAGAATCCCTTGAACCCCGGAGGAGGAGGTTGCAGTGAACCAAGATCGCGCCACTGCACTCCAGCCTGGGCAACAGAGCAAGACTCTGTCTCAGAAATAAATAAAATAAAATAAAGAGCCCCCCCACCTCCAGGGAGCCCCCTGTGAATACCCCAGCTTGCATCCCATCAACCCAAAGCCAGGGGACTCCAGGTGCTAAGAAATCAGGCCTCTGAACACCCCAGGTGCTGGGCTGGGCTGCAGGATCCAGGAGCCATACAAGGAGCTCAGAGGAGGCAGGGAGAGGTCAGTACTGACTGAGGCAACAGGGGACCTCCGTGGGCTGTCCCCCACTACTGGGCTGCTACTGCTTCCAAAGGCCTGGAAGCAGGACCCGAGTCCTGGTGTGCAAGGACTATGAAGAGCCGGGTGGCTGGATCAGAGGTGGGGCAAGAGGACGGTATTGAGAGCAGGCCGAGGCCAGATTTAAGGACCTGGGCCCAACCATGGTCCCCAGTGGGCTGCTGGGACCCAAGCCCTGCCCAGTTCCTTCTTCGCTAGTGTTGAGGCCCCTAGGCTGCCCACCTCTCTCATTTCTCCTTTCCCGAGCCAGTTGCCACTGGCCTGTCTGGCTACTTTCGGGGCCTCTATATTTAGGGCCTTGGCAGTTTCTAGGCTGTGGAAGGAGGAGGATCAGGGAAAACCCCAAAATAGCCTTGGGCCAGTCCCCAAGGCCACTTGGTGTGGGAGGCAGTGGGTCACTGGTCATCGTGAGACTTGGCTCATGCCTAGGTACGTGGGGACGAGAGACAGTGGGAAGAGGCAGGGCAGGAACAGGCAGGCTCTGAAAGCTAGCAGTGATGGGGAATGCAGCTGCGCTCTGTGCCCTTTAGAGGAATAAAAACCCATGAGTAGAAGTGGCAGGAAGGCAGCTGGCAGCTGTGTGAGGACAGCTTCCTCCTTGGAACTGTCTCAGTCAAGATGAGCCACTATGAGAGGTGGTAAGCTCCCCGTCCTCAGAAGTATGCAAGCCCTGGCTGGAGGAGATGCTACTCAGAAGATAGGCGGGGTGCTGGTGAGGCACAGTGAAACTCCAGTACTCAGTGAGGGCCTCCCATGATCTCCAAACCCCTGCCCGACTCTGCAGCCAAATGCTTTGCATAGGATTTCCGAGGCTCAGTCTCACTGAGCCCAGCCGCAAGCTTACAGCCGCGGGCAGGCTAGAATTCTCAGCCTGTCGGCAGCAAAGGCAATCTGAATCCTGACTTCTCTACCTACCCTCTTGGCAAATGGCTTTCACTTCCTGAGCCTCAGTTTCCCAATGTGCAAACCGAGGATGTCTATCTTATAAAGCTAAGAAGAGGATTAAGTGGGGGAAGTCCTCAACACCTCTTATTCTCCCTACTATGGACCCGGTGCCAGGATGAATGAGTCACAGTCCCTGCCCTCACAGTCAGCTGGGACAGGCACCACTTGACGGAGGAACTGCCACACCAGGGGCTTCCTCCTGCCACCCAGAGTGCTGGGGGGCGAGCCCAGGAGCCAGGAACTCTGCCCAAGTGCACCAGGGAATGCCCTGGAGAGGAGAAGTTTGAGAGGAGTCCTGAACATTGAATAGGAGTTTTCTGGAGGACTGAAGTGGAGTGCTTGAAGGCAGAAGTCCCCACACATGGGCGAAAGCAGAGATGTGAAGGGTAGTAGCCCAAATGTGAGGGACTGTTTATGGGATGGTTTAAGAGGCGGCTGACAGGTCAGAGCTGTGTATGCAAGCCACAGGGGAAGATGGGGGGTTGCAAAGGAGACGTGAGTAGGGCAGGCAGGGGGGCAGGGTGAGGATCGAGATCCCAAGGCACCCCTCCACTGTAGATGGAACCCCTTTGCCCAGAGGCAAAGCACTGAGCAGGGAACCAGGCACTGGGCTCCCAGGTGGGCATACTCCAAGAGCTTGGCTGCCCTGGGCTGGAGAGAGCCTGGAGCCAGGCACTAGGGCCAGCTGCTGTGGGGATGAGGAGGGAGGCGACAGACGGAGGGGCTGCTCCTCCCAGCTGCCACCAGCCAGAAGAGGCCAAGATGACCTAGTTCCTAGTGCCAGTGGTGGCAGGGGGTGGGGGATGCTTAAAGGCTGGGCCTGGAGGCTGAGACCCTTCTCAGAGCTCCTCTGCCTTCCCAGCCCACAGACCTCACTGCCAGCTCCCACTCCACCTCCCTCCAAGCCTCCAAGCACAGAAACCCACCTAGGGATGCCCACCGCCCTCCCTTCCCCATTGTCATGGTAACTGCTGAGCTGGGCCTCATCAGACCCAGGGGGCCTGGAACTGGCACTGCTCTCGGTGGTGGCGCGCTGAGCTTGCTGGGAAGCTCACAGGGGCCACCACACATATGTGTGAGCAGAGTGCCTGCCCCCCACCCTGCTCCACCCCCTCGCCCATGCTAGCCACTTCTCTGCATCCAGGAGCCCGGGGCGCCCAAGGGGTGGGGAACTGCAGCTCCGCAGACTTTGGACTCTGTTTCCTCCAGGCTCCACTTTTCCCCCTCCCACCCTCCTCCTCCAGGCAGCCAGTGCCCCTTGACCTTTGAGCTTTCCCCCTCTTCCTCTAGAGGGATTTCAACCCCTAGTTTAAAGAGGGGAAACTGAGGCTCTAGGAGCAGGGAGCTGCCTAAACCCTGTACATGAGGAAGGTGGTGGCAAGACCAAGATGGTGGGCCAGGGGTCAGGCAGCTCAGCCCTGGGACCTACTGAGAAGAGTGGAACAAGGGGCCCCTGAAACCTCCCCAAATCGAGCCAGGGACCAGGGGAATCCCCAGATGTCAGTGCCTGTGAGAAGCCCTAGACTCAAGACCCTGCTCTGCCTGCCACTTGGAGCCAGCATTTCACTTCTCTGAACCTCAGTTTTCTCATCTGTAAAATGGAACGGTGAGAACTGCCTTTCGGGGTGGTTGAGAGGATTAACGGGATGGCTCAGGTGTAAAGCCCAAGGCACAAGCGACAGTTACTACCCTCCTTCCCTCCCCCACAGTCCTGCACCTGTCCTGGCCTCCTGACCTGTTCTCACTTTTCATGCCAGTCCCTCCTACCCGAGTGCACAGCAGGAAGCCCGGGGACAGCCCCTGGGCCCCAGCATGTGCTTCAGGTGCACACTCCGGGGCATTAAGGGCTCTGGAACTACTGAGGAAGACCCTTCCTTTGCGGGGGACACCCCACCCCCTCCAACCCCACCCCGGGGGCAGATCACCAAGACGTCTCCCCTGGCATGTCACCAGGCTCCAGCTCCTGTCGTATCAAAGCCCCTTCCCCTCGTGAGCCGCGGATCGCTGACAAATTCTCGCCCCCTCCCTAGTTCCCAGCCCCCAGCCCTCGGTGACACTTCCCCGCCCCCCGGTTGTCACCCCGTCTGGTGCTCGCAGAAAATGTCACTGTCCCCATTTTCCCCGCCGATCCCCCACCACGGCCGCACTCCCGCACCCTCTCCGCTGCTCTTGTGGGTGGACCCCGGAAAGGTCAGGCGTCCTGGGGGGCAGTGCCCCTCCCCGGAAAGTTGGGGCTCCCACCCCCGGCCGCGCTCACATGTCCTTGGCGGGAAGGTTCTTCCCCTCCACGATGCGGATGTACAGCGAGCTGCGCTTGGCCATCGCGGGGTCCCGGCTCGGGGGAAGCCAGACACCGGGGTCCGGGGTGGCGGGCGGCGGGCGCTGGACTGGGCGCCGCAGGTGGGGCGGGCCGGGGAGGAGGCGGGGGCGGGGGCGGGGCGGCGGGGGCGGGGCTTCGCTGCCACTCCACTCACCCCGCCCCCGCCCCACGTGCGGGGGACACTGCGCCCGGGCCGGCCAATCCGCGACCGGGGTTCCCCAGGGCGGGGAGGGGCCGGCCGGGGCCGCAGCTCTCATTGGCCGTCTGGGGCGTGAGGGGCGGGGCCTGTGAGGAGGCGCTGACACTCGCCGGGCAGCCGGCGCGGTGGCTCGAGGGGGGCGCCCCTGGAGGAGCGGGTGGGGGACACTGCAACCTCCACCTCCCGGTTTCAAGCAATTCTTCTGTCTCAGCCTCCCAAGTAGCTGGGATTGCAGACACGCGCCACCACGCCCAGCTAATTTTTGTATTTTCGGTAGATACGGGGTTTCACCATGTTGGCCAGGCTGGTCTTGAACTCCTGACCTCAGGTAATCTGCCCACCTCGGCCTCCCAAAGTGCTGGGAATACAGGCATGAGCCATCGTGCCTGGCTGTTTTTATGTTTTTTAGAATCAGAAGAAAAAAAATATGTATTTTTTGTATTGGTTGGTTTGTGTGTGTATGTATGTATGTATGTATGTATGTATGTATGTATGTATGCATGCATTTGAAACAGGGGCTTGCTCTGTTGGCTGAAGTGCAGTGGTGCAATCATAGCTCACTGCAGCCTCAATCTCCTGGGTTCAAGCAATCCTACCACCTCAGCCTCCCATGTAGCTGGGACTACAGATGCATACCACCACGACTGGCTAATTTTTTTTATTTTTAGTAGAAATGGGGGGGTCTCATTATGTTGCCCAGGCTGGTCTAGAACTCCTGGCCTCAAGTTATCCTCCTGCCTTGGCCTCCCAAAGGGCTGGGACCACAGATGTGAGCCCACCATGCCTAGTCAAACAGGAGTATAATAGTAATGAATATGTAATAATGAATCTGACCTGACTGGTATCAGTCAGTCTTTATGCCAAAGCAGTTGTAAAATACACATTTGAATATCTTTTTTTTTTTCTTTTTTTTGGGGTGGAGTCTCGCTCTATCACCCAGGCTGGAGTGCAGTAGCGCAATCTCAGCTCACTGCAACCTCTGCCTCCCTGACTCAAGGCATTCTCCTGCCTCAGCCTCCCGAGTAGCCAGAGCTTCAGGGACCTGCCACCACGCCTGGGTAATTTCTATATTTTTAGTAGAGATGGAGTTTCACCAGGTTGGCCAGGCTGGCCTCAAACACCTGACCTCAGGTGAGCTGCCCACTTCGGTCTCCCAGAGTGTTAGGATTACAGGCGTGAGCCACCGTGCCTAGCCGTATTTGAATATCTTAACCCATATAAGTCAAACATGCCTAGGGCTCACAAAAGTTACAGTGCATCCTGGCACAGGAGAGGAGGCAGCTCTTGAGTTTCAGTGCATGCTTTTGATATTCACTATAGGTCAATGTCGTTGAAAGAAAAAGTGTTTGAGGCTGGGCACAGCGGCTCACGCCTATAATCCCAGCACTTTGGGAGGCTTGAGATGGGAGGATCACTTGAGGCCAGGAGTTCAAGCCCAGCCAGGGCAACATAATGAGACCCCCCCCCACCTTTGCTACAAAAAATAAAAATATTAGCCAGGCATGGTAGTGTGTGTCTGTAGTTCGAGCTACTCAGAAAGCCGAGGCAGGAAGATTGCTTGAGCCTAGGAGGGGAGGCTGCAGTGAGGTATGATCGCACCACTGCACTCCAGCGTGGGCGACAGAGCAAAACTCTGTCTCCAAAAACAAAAACAAAAACGAGGCCAGGCGTGGTGGCTCACACCTGTAATCCCAGCACTTTGGGAGGCCGAGGTGGGTGGATCACCTGCGGTCAGGAGTTCGAGACCAGCCTGGCCAACATGGCGAAACCCCATATCTACTAAAAATACAAAAATTAGCCGGGCGTGGTGGCAGGCGCCTGTAATCCCAGCTACTCTGGAGGCTGAGGCAAGAGAATTGCTTGAGAACCCGGGAGGCAGAGGTCGCAGTGAGCCAAGTTCGCACCATCGCACTCTAGCCTGGGTGACAAGAGTGAAACTCAGTCTCAACAAACAAACAAACAAACAAAAAAAGCAAGGAAGGAAATTCTTACACATGCTAAAAGATGGATGAAACTTGAAGACATAATGCTAAGTGAAATGAGCCAGTTACAAAGAAAGACAAATAGTGGTTGCTTCCACCTATGGGAGGTATCTGGAATAGTACAATTCACAGAAGCAGAAAGGAGAGTAGAAGTTTTCAGGGGCTGGAGCGGGGCAGGGAAAGCGAGTTGTTTGTTGAGTGTAGGGTTTCAGTATTGCAAGGTGAAAAAGTTCCAGAGATGTGCATATAGTTAATACTACTGTGCTGTCCACTTAAAAATAGTGAAGATGGGCCAGGGGCGGTGGCTCACGCCTGGAATCCCAGCACTTTGGGAGGCCGAGGTGCGTGGATCGCCTGAGGTCGGGAGTTTGAGACCAGCCTGGCCAACATGGTGAAACTCTGTCTCTACTATAAATATAAAAATTAGCTGGGCGTGGTGGTGCACGCCTGTAGTCCTAGCTATTCAGGAGGCTGAGGCAGGGAGAATCGCTTGAACCTGGGAGGTGGAGGTTGCGGTGAGCTGAGATGGCACCACTGTACTCCAGCCTGAGCGACAGAGAGAGACCTCGTCAAAAAAAAAAAAAGCTTAAGATGGGCTGGGTGTGGTGACTCATGCCTGTAATCCCAGCACTTTGGGAGGCTGAGGCGGGCAGATCACTTGAGCTCAGGAGTTCAAGACCAGCCTGGGCAACATGATAAAATTTTAAAAAATAAAGAAATAAGGCCGGGCGTGGTGGCTCACACCTGTAATCCCAGCACTTTGGGAGGCCGAGGCGGGAGGATCACTTGAGGTCAGTAGTTGGAGACCATCCTGGCCAACATGGTGAAACCCCGTCTCTACTAAAAATACAAAGATTACCTGGGCGTGGTGGTGCACACCTGTAGTCCCACTACTCGGGAGGCTGAGGCAGGAGAATCACTTGAACCCAGGAGGCGGAGCTTGCAGTGAGACCAGATGGCACCACAGCACTCCAGGCTGGAGACACAGTGAGACTCCGTCTCAAAATAATAACAATAAATAAATAAAATAGTTAAGATGGTAAACCTTATGTGTTTTTTTACCAGAATAAAAAAAATGCACCCATACCCCAACTTTGTAATATATTTTGGCAATATAAAACAATTGAAAAGAATTTTATAACAACTTTCAAAGCGGTTTGGGGGCAAGTAACTCATTTGATTTGCTCCTGGCCTTGACTTCTCTACCAACATCATGCATTCTTGAGAATCTTAGGATTCTTCCAAAGTGAGAAAATGTGACCTACGAATTGTTTTCATGCGCAGTGATGCATTTTGAAATACTAAATTTAACAATGGATGAAACTGACATAAAGTTATATTTAGAAGACATTTCAGTAAACATTTACTATTTTTTAATGTTGCAGTTTTAATATTTTGGAGCCAAAGCATTTCCCGCTCTTAAACCTCGAGGAGTTTTAGGAGCTGGAGGCCTCACACCTCTCCTGGAAAAAATTGTCCCTGCCCTAAGGAAGGACTCCTGAGCCACCTTCCGTCCTCACCCATCAGACTCTGACAGTGGCTTCTGGTGGCTGTCCTGCTGTGCCATGGCCCAGAGCCCCCAGAGAGGACTTTGGGAGGAGGCAGGTCCTGGAAGAATGAGACCGAAGGCATTGCTGGAGGAAGAAGGAGAAGCCCAGAAAACTGGATAGGAGGCAGGAGCAGGGGATGAGGAGGAAGTTGGGTGGCAGGTGCAGAGGGTGGCAAGGGCAGCCCTCTCCGAAGGCCAGAGGAGTCCAGCTGTGAACCCGCAAAAGCTGGGCACAGGAGCCAGGGACACAAGGATCCCTGGCAGGCTCTGGGCCAAGTGACAGCTGTATGTTAAGAAGTCCTGGCCGGGAGCGGTGGCTCATGCCTGTAATCCCAGCACTTTGGGAGGCCAAGGCAGGTGGATCACGAGGTCAGGAGTTCAAGACCAGCCCGGCCAAGATGATGAAACCCCGTCTCTACTAAAAATACAAAAATTAACCCGAAATGGTATTGCTTGCCTGTAATCCCAGCTACTCGGGAGACTGAGGCAGAGAATCACTTGAACCCGGGAGGCAGAGGTTGCAGTGAGTCGAGATCATGCCACTGCACTCTAGCCTGGGCAACAGAGCAAGACTCTGTCTCAAAAACAAAAAAAATCCTGGCTGGCCAGAGGGGCAGGCTGGGAGTCATCAGAGGCCAGATGGGGCTCTATCCCCAGCTTCCCCCTACCCCACCAATCTTGACACTCCTACTGCACCATTTAGACAGATACCATTGAATAACAGTTTTAAAGCCAAGGTCCACAGGCTGGGCTTGGTGGCTCAATGCCTGTCATCCCAGCACTTTGGGAGGCCAAGGCAAAGGATCGCTTGAAGCCTGGAGTTCAAGACCAGCCTAGGCTACATAGCGAGACCCTGCCTTTACGAAAAATAAAAAAGTTAGCCAGGCATGGTGGTGCACACCTGTAGTCCCAGCTACTCGAGAGGCAGAGGTGGGAGGATCGCTTGAGCTCAGAGGTCACGGCTGCAGTGAGCTGTGATTGTGCCACTGCACTCCAGCCTGGGTGATAGAGCAAGACCCTGTCTCCAAAAACAAAAAGCAAAAACCACAAAAAAACGAGGTCCACAGTGAAGATCGCAGGCTCTGGAGCCAGACAATTGAGTTCAAATCCTACCTCCACTGCTATGATAGGAGCTGCTGTGTGACTGGGCCAGTTATTCAGCCTCTCTGGGCTTCATCTGCCTAATCTGTAGAGTGGGGCAATGGTGGCTGCACCCCGCAGAGTGGCTGGGAACAGAGTGTGCTGGTGAGCCACTTGGTCACCAGACCGCAGAGGGCACCTCCCTGGGGCAAGCACTCAGGACATCCTCACGTTAATCCCCAGAAGCAGAGGAGCAGGGCTGTTCTTACCATCCACCCCCCACCCCCCCCCTTTTTTTTTTTTTGAGACGGAGTTTCGCTCTGTGGCCCAGGCTGGAGTGCAATGGTGCAATCTCGGCTCACTGCAACCTCCACCTCCCGGGTTCAAGTGATTCTCCTGCCTCAGCCTCCCGAGTAGCTGGAATTACAGGTGTGTGCAACCACACCCTGCTAATTTTTGTATTTTTAGTAGAGACAGGGTTTTGCCATGTTGGCCAGGCTGGTCTTGAACTTCTGACCTCAAGTGATGCGCCTGCCTCAGCCTCCCAAAGTGCTGGGATTACAGGCATGAGCCACTGTGCCCTGCTAATTTTTGTATTTTTAGTAGAGACAGGGTTTCACCATGTTGGCCAGGCTGGTCTTGAACTCCTGACCTCAAGTCATCCACCCGCCTCGGCCTCCCAAAACGCTAGGACTACAGGCATGAGCAACCATGCCCAGCCTCACCATCCCCCTTTCATGGATGCAGAAATCATGGACTGAACCCTTAACTCTGCACCGGCCAGCCTCAACACACCAGGTCCTCACCAAGGACTCCAGGACTAGATGCTGGTGTCCTGTCCACTTCATAGATAAGGAGCTGCAAAGTCACAATGACAAATTCACCCCCCTCCTAGCACAGCCCCCAGCCCTGCAGATGTCAGAAAGAAAGACCCTGCTCTGAAAGACAGACAGACAGACAGAGAGAAACAGATGGAGAAACATAGTCAGAGGCAGAGAGACAGGAAATCAGAAAGAGAAAATTCAAGCTCATGCCTGTAATCCCAGCACTTTGGGAGGCCAAGGCAAGTGGATCACCTGAGGCTAGGAGTTCGAGACCAGCCTGGCCAACATATTGAAACCCCGTCTCTACTAAAAATACAAAAAATTAGCCAGGTGTGGTGGCAGGTGCCTGTGATCCCAGTTACTCGGGAGGCTGAGGCAGGAGAATCGCTTGAACCTGGGAGGCGGAGGTTGCAGTGAGCGGAGATAGAGCCATTACACTCCAGCCTGGGCAACAAGAGCAAAACTCTGTCAAAAAAACAAAAACAAAAACAAAACACCAAGAGAGAAAATTCAGAGGCCAGGAGTGGTGGCGTGAACCTATAATCCCAGCTACTTGGGAGGCTGAAGTGTGAGAATCGCTTGAACCCGGGACATGGAGGTTGCAGTGAGCTGAGATTGCGCCACTGCATTCCAGCCTTGGTGACAGAGTGAGACTCCGTCTCCAAAAGGAAAAAAAGAGAAAATTCAGAGACAGAGAGGGCTGCTCTGAACACCCAGACTGAAGTAGGGGTGAGGGTGGGGGGAATGTTACCCCCAGTTTTCCCAGGGACCCCTTGTGGGAGGTGGGGTGGGAAGAGGTTGCAGGTCCCCTCTGGGCATCTCAGGGGTGTCTGAGAATGGTCTCCAGCAGAGGCGAAGGTGGACAGAGGCAGGCATAGGGCTGGTGACAGGTGTCACCTTAGGACGTGCCCTGAGTCCATGGGTATCCCAAAAGTGAGCAGGGCATGGCTGCCACGAGGGCTTCAGCACTGCAGTAAAGAGAGGGTTTCTGTGTGGTCTTAGACTCTGATGCTCTCCTTTCCCTTTTTTCTTTCTTTCTTTTAAAATGTTTGTTTGTTTGTTTGTTTTTTGACACAGAGTCTCGCTCTGTTCCCCAGGCTGGAGTGCAGCGGCGTGGTCTTGGCTCATTGCATCCTCTGCCTCCCAGGTTCAAGCAATTCTCCTGCCTCAGCCTCCCAAGTAGCTGGGATCACAGGCACCTGCCACCATACCCAGCTAATTTTTTGTGTGTTTTTCGCAGAGACGGGGTTTCACCATGTTGGCCAGGCTGGTCTCCAACTACTGACCTCAAGTGATCCTCGGCCTCCCAAGGTGCTGGGATTACAGGTGTGAGCCACCATGCCCGGCCAAAATTGTTGTTGTTGTTATTGTTTTTCTTTTTGGAGGGCTGGGCATGATGGCTCATGCCTGTAACCCCAGCTACGCCGGAGGCTGAGGCACGAGAATCACTTGACCCTGGGAGGTGGAGGTTGCAGTGAGCTGAGATGACAGAGTGCCTGACTGAGCTGAGATGACAGAGTGCCTGAGTGACAGAGTAAGACTCTGTCTCAAAAAAATAATAATTAAAAAAAAGAAAAGAAAAAGAAAAAAACTTCTAAATTTTTTGTAGAGATGATGTCTCACTGTGTTGCCCAGGTTGGTCTCCAACTCCTGGACTTGAGCCATCCTCCCACCTTGGCCTCCCAAAGTGCTGGGATTAGAGCTGTGAGCCACTGCATCCCACCTGTACCCTTTCCTCTGAGGCCTCCTGGAGCTGCAGTCCCTTAATCTCCTCAGCCCCAGCCCCTGTGGGTGAATACTGCTGCCCCCCTCAAAGTGAGAAACTGACACGTAGCAAGGCAAGTGAAGCCCCAGGAGTGGGTGTTACCTGCCAGCCCAAAGCCGGGAGTCCAGAGTCTTGGGTCCAGATCTCTGCTATAGACTCTGGGAGCAACCAAGGACACACTGCTCCCACTGAGACTGGAGATGGTCCCAGGGGGCTTCCTGGAAGAGGCGGCACCTGAGCTGGGCTTGAAGGAGAAGAGCTGGGGCTGGGAGAAAGAACAGGAGGAAGGGCTGGGAAGTGGGGGAAAGAGTCCAGGTGCAGCTCTGAGGGCACTCCCCGAGCAGAGACGGCCCAGGGCTGGGGGAGACAACGTGATTCCAAGGGGACTCTCGCCTCCAGAACCCTGTGCAGGACCTGGCCAGGCCTCTTCTGACTCCACAAGGAGAAAAATGTGTGTGCAAGCGAGGGGACTTGGGATGGGGCCAGTGCAGCTGCGGCTGGAACGTAAACCTGTCGTGGCTTCTGGCGCCATGGCCACCCCCAGCCGGGGAAAGGGCCCCGGCTCGGCTGATGAGAACCAGGAGCCAGGATGGAGCCACAGTGGGGGCATGGGAGGGTGAGGGTGACGGCTCTTGTTTTTCAGCTTGACCCTTGCCCATCCACTACTCCCCCATCCACTACTCCCACAGATCCTGGGCACTGTGGGTAACTGGAACCCTGGCCTCTAGATGCCCCCAGCCCTTGGATCACTGGTGTCCCCCCACCACTTAGCCGTCCCCAGTAGGCCCCCCACCATCCCCCTGCATCTCTGCCTTGGCTCTGCCTGGGATCTTCTGCATGGCTGTTCCCCCATCCCTCCAGTGCCTGACGCCACCCAGTGTCTTGCTAACCCACAATTCTCCGGACTACTCCATGGATGCTTGCTGGATAGACGCGGACATTTTCCATACAGAGAACTGCACAAATATTTTATTTATTTTTTTGAGATAGGGTCTCGCTCCGTTGCCCAGGCTGGAGTGAAGTGGTGTGATCATAGCTCACTGCAGCCTCAATCTCCTGGGCCCAAGCAATCTTTCCACCTCAGCCTCCTAAGTAGCTGGGACTACAGGTGCATGCCAGCATGCTCAGATAATTAAAAAAAAAAATTTTTTTTTTAGAGTCAGGGGGCTCACTATGTTGCTCAGGCTGGTCTCGAACTCCTGGCTTCTAGCAATCTGCCCACCTCAGCCTCTCAAAGTGCTAGGATTCCAGGTGTAAGCCACCACATTCAGCTAAAGTGCACAAATCTTATGTGGACAGCTCGAGGAAGTCTTACACAGGCCTACGACTGCATGACCATCTCCCAGATCAAGAACTAGAACATTCCCAGCCCCAGGTGGCTTCCTTGTGTCCCATACCAGTCATCACCACCTCCAGGAATAACTTCTATCCCAATTTATTGCCATGGATTACTCCCACCTGCTTTTTTGAGATAGGGTCTCACTCTGTTGCCCAGACTGGAGTGCAGTGGCACAATCACAGCTCACTGCAGCCTCCAACTTCTGGGCTCAAGTGATCCTCCTGCCTCAGCCTCCTGAGAAGCTGGGATGATAGGCCTGCACCACCACGCCCGGCTAATTTTTTATTTTTTTTAAGATGGGGTCTTGCTATGTTGCCCAAGCTGGTCTCAAACTCCTGGGCTCAAGCGATTCACCCCCCACAACTGGCCTCCCAAAGTGCTGGGATTACAGGTCTGAGCCACTGTGCCCACCCGGCCCTCCTGCCTGCTTTTGCTCTTTATATAAATGGAATCCTACAGTGTATATTTGCTTGTGCCTGGCTTCTTTGCCAATGTTACATGCAGGGGAGTCACCCATGTTGCTGAATAGCATTCTACGGTGTGGGCGGAGGCCTCACAACCTGCCTCTTCACTAGCCTGTGGATGAACGTCTGTTGTTTCCTGTTTGGGTCTGTTATGAAGAAGGCTGATCTGAATGTTCTTGCACATGTCTTTTTTTTTTTTTTTTTTTTTTTTTGAGACGGAGTCTCACTCTGTGGCCCAGGCTGGAGTGCAATGGCGCAGTCTTGGCTCAATGCAGCCTTCACCTCCCGGGTTCAAGCGATTCTCCTGCCTCAGCCTCCCGAGTAGCTGGGACTATAGGCACCCACCACCAGGCCTGGCTAATTTTTGTATTTTTAGTAGAGACGGGGTTTCAATATGTTGGCCAGGCTGGTCTCGAACTCCTGACCTCAAGTGATCCGCTCCCCTTGGCCTCCCAAAAGACATGTTTGGGAGGCTCAGTGCTCATTTCTCATGGGGAGATGTCTAGAAGCAGAATTGCTGGGGCCTGGGGCAGGCGTAGAACACTGGATTCTAAATAGGCCGGTTCTTACTGTGCCTCTCCGAGCATTTCACACGCATTCCCACCACCTTCCCAGGGGACCTACCACGTGTCTCCTTCACCTCCCTTTATTCTCCCAGTAACAGAAACTTCAGATCCATCAGCCTCTGTTTTGCAGAGCAGAGCAGCCCTCCTGACCTTGCTCCTGTCCTGCTGGGCCCAGGGCACACCCGTCACAGCTAAAGGGCCCACTGGTTTGGCCAACAAGGAGAGAGCCCTTTCCTGCAGGCTGAGAGCCTCTCTCTGTCTCTCTCTCTCTCTTTTTTTTTCTTTTTTTTTTGAGATGGAGTCTCGCTCTGTCACCCAGGCTGGAATGCAGTGACGTAATCTTGGCTCACTTCAGCCTCTGCCTCTGGGGTTCAAGTGATTCTCCTGCCTCAGCCTCCCAAGTAGCTGGGTTTACAGGTGCATGCCACCATGCCCGGCTAATTTTTGTATTATTTATTTATTTATTTATTTATTTTTAGTAGAGATGGAGTTTCACCTTATTGGCCAGGCTGGTCTCGAACTCCTGACCTCAACTGATCCACCCACCTCGGCCTCCCAAAGTGCTGGGATTCCAGGCATGAACCATCACGCCCAGGCCCTGAGAGCTTCTCTCATGGCACTTTGGGACTGTCTGTTTGCAGTCCATCCCTCTGTGGGCTGCTCACCCCTTTACCCCCAGGATAGAGACTGTGGTCAAGCTATTCCTGCACCCAGTGCCCAGCACACAGCTTGATGTGGACAACAGGGAACCGGCGGCTCACAGAAAGGTGGGGTGGGAGAGAACAGCTTAGAGGCAAATGTCTCCTACTTTGAGGACTAAGTCCAGAGATGTAGCTTCAAGGTCCAGTTTCTCTGCTTGGGCCTGGGGAAAGCTTTTCACTTTTTGGGATTTTAGTATGAGCCTGGTGTCCCTCCAGGGTCCAGGTGGGCCCTTCCATTCACCCCAGCCTTAGACCCAAGGCAGATGAGTTGAGTACAACCAAGAACCACTGGCCACACCCTTCCCAGGCCCTGAGAGGTCACTTCCTGGACAGCCCAGGCTGGAACCGGCCCACAGTGGGAAGAGAAGGGGTCTCCCACTGGAGATAAGGCCTCCAGTCAATGTCTCTGACATTCATGGAGATCCCTCTGGGGCTCGGTGGCTGGTCAGAGGGGTCGAGGCAGGGCCCTGGGCAGTGGGTGGACAGGGTCCGTGATCAGAGGGACCGTCACCCAGCCCGCCCTTGGACGTCAGCCCAGACCCAGGTTCCTCTCTTCCCAGAAGTTCATCCCCCTAAATGGACTTACGTGCTTAGCTCTCATTAACCTTCTGAACCTTCCAGAAAGGGAGTGGAAATGTCCTGCCTCATCTCCTGCTGAGGAAGCCTGGGTAGGAGTGGAGGAAGATAAAGGGACCCCCCCAAGGGCTGCTGCTGGGGCCAGAGATGTGGGGGTCCCAGGCAAGGGTGTTGTCCTGAGCAGAGTCTCTGCACCGGCTGGGTCACCAAGGAGGCTCTGCAAGTTCATCCAGCAGAGGTGGGAGAGCTGAACACCCCTGCCTCTCTCTTAGGGATCCTTGACTCCCTCTGCACCAGCCCAGCAGTCCCCCGCCAGCCGCCCCTCACTTCCCTCCTCCAGCAATTCTTTTTATTGTTTTTTTGAGACGGAGTCTTGCTCTGTCGTACAGTGGTGCGATCTCGGCTCACTGCAACCTCCGCCTCCCGAGTTCAAGCAATTGCCCTGCCTCAGGCTCCCGAATAGCTGGGATTACAGGCACTCACCACCACGCCCAGTTAATTTTTGTATATTTAGTAGAGACGAGGGTTTCGCCATGTTGGCCAGGCTGGTCTCGAACTCCTGACCTCAAGTGATCCACCCACCTCAGCTTCCCAAAGTGCTGGGATTACAGGTGTGAGCCACTGCACCCAGCCCAAGGGCCCATCTTAACACTGCTACTGTGCATGAGGCTTGTGCTGGGCAGGGGCTCCCTGGGCTGGGCTGAAGTGACCTGGGTAGCTGGCATGGGTGGTCTGGGTCTCCAGGTCTGTGTTCTCATTTCTCATCTGTCTCCCTCCGTCCCTTCACCCCAGCAGAGACAGATTACAGCCTGCACCATGGGTGGCCAGGAGATAATCTTTCTTTTAATTTTGTATTTTATTTATTTATTTATTTTTTGAGACACAGTCTCGCTTTGTCACCCAGGCTGGAGTGCAGTGGCGCAATCTCAGCTCAGTGCAACCTCCAACACCTGGGTTCAAGCGATTCTCCTGTCTCAACCTCTTGAGTAGCTAGGATTACAGGCGTGTGCCACCATGCCCAGCTAATTTTTGTATTCAAGATATTCCTTTGGATTCGATATACTCTTTTTTTTTTTTTTTTTCGAGATGACGTCTTGCTCTGTCACCCAGGCTGGAGTGCAGTGGCGCTATCTCAGCTCAGTGCAACCTCTGCCTCCCAGGTTCAAGAGATTCTACTGCCTCAGCCTCCTGAGTAGCTCGGATTACAGGTGTAAACTACCACGGCCAGCTAATTTTTGTATTCGAGATATTCTTTTTGTTGTTGTTGTTGTTGAGACAGAGTCTCACTCTGTTGCCCAGGCTGGAGTGCAGTGGCACAATCTTGGCTCATTGCAATCTCCACCTCTCTGGTTCAAGAGATTCTCCTGCCTCAGCCTCCCAAGTAGATGGGATTACAGGCACCCACCATCACACCCGGCTAATTTTTGTATTTTTAGTAGAGACAGAGTTTCACCAAGTTGGCCAGCCTGGTCTCGAACTCCTGACCTCAGGTGATCTACCCGCCTCGGCCTCCCAAAGTGCTGGCATTACAGGTGTGAGACACCGCACCTGGTCGATATTTGAGATATTCTTGAACTCCGTGTGATTTGGAGGTTGACAAACCACTCGAGGTAGAAGAGACAGAAGTGGTGGAAGCATTTGAAGCTGAGCTTGGAGGACCAGAGGACTGGGGCTCCAGGAGAAGGGGTGGGAGGTGGGGGAAGGGTGGCAGGGAGCAGCTGGTGTGAGCCCTCATGCACCATCCTGGAGACCCAGGAGCTTTGGGCCTGACAGCACAGCTCAAACCCGTCCAGCAAGCAAGGGTTCCAGCTCCTGCAACACTGAATCCCCCAAATCCCTACAAGTCCCCAGGGGCATCTGGGGACAGTCTGCATTTCAGCCAGGACCTCACCTATGGGTCCTGGGAGCAAGGGGAAGCCATCCCCTTTGCCTGGAGTGTCCTGCTTGGGAAGGGCCCCCACAGCAGGGTGGCTGGGACCCCAGAGAGACCCCTCTCTCGAACCTTAGCCCTTGCCTTTTTGTGACCCTGCAATGGAAATATCCCCCAGGAAGGTTACTTTGATGGGGTCAGACCGGGTAGCCCCCGACCACTCGCTGCCCCAGACTCTTGGACAAGCTGATTCCCTCCCCAAGGCTTCACAGCCCCCCACTGCCCAAGTCTTCAGACCCCTCAGGTAAACCCTGATTTCCAAGAGCGCCCCGGCTCCCATGTCAAAGAGGGGGTGCAGAGACACACTGTGTGGGTGAGTGGAGGGCTGCCTGGTTTCCAACAGTGGTCCCCTTGGGGCACCTGTGCTCCTGCTGCAGTGGACGGCTGGGTGTCTGGAGGAAGGGCTGGGGTGTGGAGACAGCGGTGGGGCACAGCCAGCAGGGGTGGGGGTTCCAGGCTGACTCCCTCTGCATCTGCCGAGGGATGGGCTGCGAATGGTTTCTGTCCCCTGATATCCACTTGTTCTTTTTCCTTTCTTTTCTCCCTCTCCTCCCCTCCCCTCCCCTTTCCTTCCCTTCCCTCCTTCCTTCCTTCCTCTCTCTCTCCTTCCTTCCCCTCCTTCCTTCCTTCCCCTCTCCTTCCTTCCTTCCTCTTTCCTTTCTTTCTTTCCTTCCTTCTCTTTCATCTCTCTCTCTCTCTCTCTCTCTCTCTCTCTCTCTCTCCCCCTCCCTTTCTTTCTCCCTCTCCCTCTCCTCTCTCTTTCTCTCTTTCTTTCTTTCTGACAAGGTCTCAGGGTCTTGCTCTGTGCCCGGGCTGGAGTGCAGTGATGCAATCATAGCTCACTGCAGCCTCGACCTCCTGGGCTCAAGCGATCCTCACACCTCGGCCTCCTGAGTAGCTGGGACCACAGATGCACACTACCATGCCCAGCTAATTTTTAAAACTTTTTTAGAAATGGGGGTCTCCGTATGTTGCCCAGGCTGGTCTTGAACTTCTGGGCTCAAGCGATCCTCCCACCTAGGCCTCCCAAAGCGCTGGGATTACAGATGGGACCCATCGCACCCAGCCCCTGTTCTTTCCCTGCTCTTATTTCTGCTGCTTTTTGCCCTTTTCCCCACTGAGTCCAGCCGCGGAACTGACGCCAGCTCTCTGATTTTATCTTGTGTTTATTGGGAAATGGTGGTGCCCATCTCTGGGCCAGTCCAGACAGCTTCCCCCTAGGAAGTGAGCCAAGTTCCCATGGCGTGTCAGAGTTAAAAACAAGGACAAGAGACAGCGTGAGAGACATAAGAGAGGGGGCACAGAGAAAGACAGAAAAGCAGAGAGAGGGACACACAGGTCCCCTGCTTCCTCTTCTGTTTGTTCATTAATCAGGCTGATGTCAGGTGGCACAAGGGGCATTGGACATCATTTCATGGCTCAAGATCATTGTCCCTAAGTCTGTTTTCCCAGGCTGTCCCCTTAAGAGCTGGGCTGCCGCGGCCACACCCTGCAGTCCATGTCACCCTCCAGCCATTGCTCTCCTGTGGGTGTGCCCGGCAGAGCCTCCAGTTCTGTGCCTGCCCCCTGGAATGCCCCTAAAGCCCTCCCAGCCCCTTACCCAGCCTTCAAGGCCACACCTGTGCCCCTCCTTCATGCAGCCCCCAGATGGGATCAGGAGGCAGGGTGTGCCTCTCTGTCCCTTAGGGGCTCCCTGGTCATCTCTGTGCATGTCTAGATGCCACAGAGATGGACTGGCCTTGATGGCCGGGACTCTACGTCTTAGCATCCAGCATGGCTAGCTGAAGTCAGTGGCTGCAGAGTGTGGGAATGAGTGAGTAAGTGAGTGAGTGAATGAATGAATGAATGGGGGAGAACTGAGTGACCCGAGGGAGGCCCAGACCTGGACAGGAGCTTCTGGTGCCTCTTGTCCCTCCTTTTTTTTTTTTTTTTTTAAGATGGAGTCTGGCTCTGTTGCCCAAGCTGGAGTGCCGTGGCACAATCTCAGCTCACTGCAACTTCTGCCTCTCGGGTTCCAGTGATCCTCCTGCCTCAGCCTCCTAAATAGCTGCAACTACAGGCGTGCACCACCACAACCGGCTAATTTTTGTATTTTTAGTAGAGACAGGGTTTTGCCATGTTGACCAGGCTGGTCTTGAACTCCTGACCTCGTGATCCACCTGCCTCGGCCTCCCAAAGTGCTGGGATTACAGGCGTGAGCCACCGCACCCAGACCCCTCTTGTCCATTCTTTTCATGGATGAGGAGGCTGAGGCCCAAGCTGGTCAGGGGGGTGCCAGGACTGGGGCTCCGACATTTTCTCTCCCAGGGGATTCTCAGGATCCCTCTATGGGAACATGATCAGTGGCTTTAAGGGGCCAGGGGCTTTCCCTCCAGCCAGCCCTGGACTCACAGGCCTCAGAGAACCTGGAGAAGCCAGCCTCACATGGCTGGGATTTTCATCGGGAGAATCCCACTGGCCATGTACTGGGCTCTCTCCCAGTCCCTGAGATTGGGCTCTGGGCTCAGCGCTGAGCAGGACCCAAGGAAGTGGCTTAAATCTTTGTGGCCAGGCGGTGTCTGCTGTAGAAAGCAGTGTGGCATGTGGCCAGGTGGTACTGTGGTCAGGGAGAGAGGTTGCCTGGGGCTGTCCAGGCTTCAGCCTGGGAAAGGGAGCACCCGGGGAACCAAGACAAGGTGCAGGGCTGGAGACAGCTTTGGGCTCGGCTGTCGGGGAAGCATATTGGCAGGAGGGGCCTCCTAGATGTCTGGTCAGAGATGGCCAGGGGGCCAAGGACATATGAGAGGCAGCTGAGGGTTGCCGGGCGAGCTGCCTCACGCCTGTAATCCCAGCAATTTGGGAGGCTGAGGCGGGCGGATCACCTGAGGTCGGGAGTTCGAGACCAGCCTGGCCAACATGGTGAAACCCCGTCTCTACCGAAATACAAAAATCAGCCGGGCATGGTGGCGGGTGCCTGTAATCCCAGCTATTCAGGAGGGTGAGGCACGAGAATCGCTTGAACCCAGGAGGTGGAGGTTGCAATGAGTCAAGATCGCGCCACTGCACTCCAGCCTGGGTGACAGAGCCAGACTCTGTCTCAAAAACAAAAAAAAAAAAGAAAAAAGAGAGGCAGCTGAGGGGAGGGACAAGGGTCATTAGTCCACATGGGAGCTGGCTGAGGCTGATGCCCAGGGATAGGGGAGCTGAGTGGGTGCAGGCCCAGGAAGTGAGCAATTGCCAGTGACACCGGGTGAAGGGACAGGTGGAGGAGGAGTTGTGAGCTCAGCTGCACAGGACATTACTCCAAATGGGGCTGAGGAGAAGGGGGACCCCCATACTCCCCACCTCCCAATGCTGAGGCATGTGGGTAGGGGGCTACCCAGGAGGGCTTCAGGGAAAAAGTGTTCTGAAGGAAGAGGCAGGAGGGTGGTGAAGGGGACATTTGGGGGCCACCCCTTCTCCAGCTGGCAAAATTGTCCTGTCCCTGCTGGGTGCGGTGGCTCATGCCTGTAATCCCAGCACCTGGGGAGGCTGAAGCGGGAGGATCACTTGAGGTCAGGAGTTTGAGACCAGCTTGGGCCACACGGTGAAACCCGCACCCCACCCCCCACCCCGCCCAATCTCTTCTAAAAATACAAAAATCAGCTGGGCATGGTGGTGCACTCCTGTAATCCCAGCTACTCGGGAGGCTGAGAGATGAGAATCACTTGAACCCAGGAGGCGGAGATTGCAGTGAGCCGAGATCGTGCCATTGTACCCCAGCCTGGGCGACAGAGCAAGACTCCATCTCAAAAAAAAAAAAAAAAAAAAAATTTGCCCTGTCCCCTGAGACTCAGAGGTCAGCCCCTGCAGAGTCCCTTCTGCACACCCCCAGCCCCACCCCAGCCTTAGCAGCCCTCTGTCTGGGCAGGACTTTGTGGCCCTCTCTCCAGTCTGGAGACCAGAAGGCCAGGAAGGGAGGCCAGGCATGGTGGCTTATGCTTGTAATTTCAGCACTTTGGGAGGCCAAGGTGGGAGCATCTCTTGAGCTCAGGAGTTCCAAACTAGCCTGGGCAACATGGCGAGACCCCATCTCTACAAAAAATAAAAAAATTAGCTGGGTGGTGGCACATACCTATAATCCCAGCTACTTGGGAGGCTGAGGTGGGAGGATTGCTTGAACCCAGGGGTTCAAGGCTGCAGTGAGCTATGATCGTGCCACTGCACTCAAGCCTGGGTGACAGAGACCCTGCCTCTACAAAAAAAAAGAAAGTTAGCTAGGTGCCTGTAGTGCCTGTAATCCCAGCACTTTGGGAGGCCAAGGTGGGAGGATCGCCTGAGCCCAGGAGTTCAGTGCTACAGTGAGCTATGAAGACGCCACCATACCCCAGCCTGGGCAACAAAGTGAGACCCCATCTCTAAAAAAGGAAAAAAAAAAAAAGAAAGAAACAAAAGAAAGAACAGGAAGGATCTAATTCCACTGGATCAGCATGAAAGCGGCGTGTGCCTCCGTATGTCCATTTCGCTTTCTCTGTCCTGCTCTGACCCAGCAGATTGGCCTCCAGGGACTGCACCACTGAGACCCCACACTCTCTTGCTTCTCGTGAGGTGTGGCCAGTGGAGGCACTGGCATGAGATCAGGGGGCGGGAAGACAGAGCCCAGTTCCCTCTGGTGGCTTCATCCTTTCACCTACAGCCCCTGCTCCTGCGGGGCCCCTCACCCATGGCTACTGCCTGCTGATCGGGAAACATCACTCCCTCCCTCCCATCAGCAATCAGATCCAGGAGTGCTTAGGGCCCCATTACAGCCAAGTCCCAGGTCACCCTCTCTGGTCCATTCCCCTAATGCTGCCCACACCTTTGTAAACGCTCTCAATTGCCCTGTGAGACAGCGTACCATCTGTTTCCTGCCAGGGCCCGACGCATACAGGGTGTGGGCAAGGGTTTGTGAAATGCAGGGTCTTAGAGTTCACCCAGTTCACCTTCCCTTTTAAAAATGTTTCACTTTAGAGACAGGCTCTTGCTCTGTCACAGAGGCTGGTGTCCAGGGGTGCCATCATAGCTCACTGCAGCCTCCAACTCCTGGGCTCAAGCGATCCTCCCACCTCAGCCTCCATAGTAGCTGGGACTGCAGGTTCACACTACCATGTCTGGCTAATTTTTCTTTTGTTTTGTTTTGAGACAGTCTTGTTCTCTGTCACCCAGGCTGGAGTGCAGTGGCATGATCTGGGCTCACTGAAACCTCCTTCACCTGGGTTCAAGTGATTCTCCTGCCTCAGCCTCCACAGTAGCAGGGATTACAGGCATGCACCACCATGGCTGGCTAATTTTTGTATTTTGTATAGAGACGGGTTTTCACCATGTTGGCCAGGTTGGTCTCAAACTCCTGACCTCAGGTGATCCTCCTGCTTCTGCCTCCCAAAATGCTGGGATTCCAAGTGTGAGCCACCACGCCTGGCCTTAACCACCATGCCCGGCCTTAATTTTTGTATTTATGTTTTGTAGAGATGGGGTGTTGCTATGTTGCCCAGGCTGGACTTGAACTCTTGGTCTCAAGCAATCCTCCCACCTCGGCCTCCCAAAGCACTAGGATTAGAGGTGTGAGCCATCTGCACCTGGCCTAACCATTGCTTTTTATGTAAGGGGAAACTGAGGCCCAGAGAGTGTGAGTGATCTGTCTTGGGTCACTCAGCCCCAGGGTTGGGGCTCATAGCTGTTCTGAAAAGGTTCTGGAGAGGCCAGGGCTTATCTCACAGAGGTTGGCAGCCTGTCTGCCCCATCCCCTGCCTGCCTCTCCCAGCCTGGTAGCTTCAAGATCATTTGAGCATTTCCTCCACAGCAGGAGCCGGATGCATCTGCTCCACCTAATAACCCCATTAGGGCCATTTGCGCCTCTCAGGGGCAGGCGCCTGGGAACCCAGCCAGCGCCCTCCTCCCTGACCTCTTGCCCCAGAGGGCAGGGCCCCTCCACATGGCACAGGGTGTCTTCCGGTCTCCTCTCCATCCCTCACCCTCCCCTACCTGCCCATCAGCAACACATTGCTCCTCCTGCCTGGCACCCTTCCAAGGTCCACCTGGCCCAAGTGTCCTGCTCCTTCTTCAAAGCCACCCCTCCCCAAGATGCTGCCTCTGAAGCTCCAACAGTCCATCTCCCTGACAGTTGTGTCCTCTCCTTCTCTCGTATGTGGTAGTATCACTGTCTTCCCCCTAAAGCAGTGGGCACCTTGAGGGCAGAACCTTGCCGCGGGCATCTCTGGCCCCTGGGGTCCGAGCACTGAGCGGGAATCCTGATGATAAGTGTTGCATGAGCTGGGCACAGTGGCTCACGCCTGTAATCCCAGCAGGAGGATCACTTGAGACCAGGAGTTCGAGACCAGCCTGAGCAACATAGTGAGACCCCGTCTCTAAAGAAATTTAAAAAATTAGCCAGACATAGTGCCATGTACCTATAGTCCAAGCTACTTAGGAGGCTGAGGCGGAAGGATCGCTTGCACCCAGGAGTTTGAGGCTGCAATGAGCTATGATCACACCACTGTTCTTTCCAGCCTGGGCAACAGAGTGAGATTCCATGTCTACAAAAAAATTAAAAATTAGCCGGACGTGGTGTCATGTGCCTGTAGTCCCAGCTACTCTCAGGAGGCTGAGGTGGGAGGATCACCGGAGCCCAGGAATTAGAGACTGCAGTGAGCTATGATGGTGCCACTGCACTCCAGCCTGGGCTATAAGGTGAAACTCCATTTCAAAAAAAAAAAAAAAAAGAAACTGCGCCTTTTGCCTTTTGTGTACTCTAGGAAAGGACTGGAGGAAGTGGAGGCAGAGGGCTTGAAGTCCTCCAGCCAACAGGGGGCAGGCTGGGGAGAGGGGCCACAGGGAGGATGCTTGGGTGGAAAGATAGCAAGTGCCAGCCATGCTGCCCCGTGGCCTTTGGTTACCAGGAGGCTGTCTGGGCAGGACAAGAGGAGCACCTATCTCAGGTCCACAGTCCGCCAACAAGCCCAGCTAATTTTTTGTCATTTTTGTAGAGATGGGGTTTCACCATGTTGCCCAGGCTGGTCTCGAACTCCTGGGCTCAAGTGATCCTCCTGCCTCAGCCTCCCAAAGTGCTGGGATTACAGGCCTGAGCCACCGCAACCGGCTTTGGGTCCACAGTCTTCACAGTTCCCAAGGCATGTTCACCTTGGTTTAGCCTTACTGTGGCCTTGTGGGTTCAGGGTTACCATCCTCATTTTACAGATAGGGACAGTAAGGCTGGCAGAGAGGCCTGTCCTGCCCCAGGTGACAATTTCTCTAGGATCCTGAGCCTTGCCCTGGTCCTACACGCCCTTGGGGACCTCCTCAGGAGGAGGAGCCAGGGGCAGTGGTGCAGAAAGACTACCCAGGTGTATGATGTCACGGACAGGCAGGGAGGTTTTGGGGGCATTTATTTCCGATAGAGACTGGCACAAGCTTTGGGCTAAGGACACCCGCCCCCACCCTCATCTAGAAACAATCTCTCTCGCCAGACTTGATGGCTCACGCCTGTAATCCCAGCATTTTGGGAGGCCGAGTCGGGCGGATCACAAGGTCAAGAGATGGAGGCCATCCTGGCCAACATGGTGAAACCCCATCTCTACTAAAAATACAAAAATGAGCTGGGCATGGTGGCGTGTGCCTGTAGTCCCAGCTACTCAGGAGGCTGAAGCAGGAAAATCGCTTGAACCCGTGAGGCAGAGGTTGCAGTGAGCCAAGATCGCGCCAGCCTGGCGACAGAGTGAGACTCCGTCTCAAAAAAAAAAAAAAAAAAATAGTAAAGAAAAGAAACAATCTCTCTCAGGGTCCAGAAGCTTCAGGGCGTGTCCCAGCTCAGGCTCTGCAGCCTGGGCCAGGGAGGAGGTGGAGGGACACGTGGGCCCCTCTGGAACCCCTCAGGAAGCCCCCTCGGCAGGAGTGCTGAACGCGAGGTGCGTGGTGTATCTTCTCACACTCCCTGCCTCCTCTGGGCCTGATAGGGAAGTGCTCCTGCAGCTGTTGAAGCTTGGGAGGGGAGGAGAGAGGGAGAGATGATGGATGCTGAAGAAAGGCTCTGGCCGAGATCCCACAGCCATTGGCTAGCATGCTCTGACCCATCGCATAGGGGAAACTGAGACTCCACTGGCTGGGCAGAATTAACCAAAGGGACTGAGGCGATTCCTTCAAACCTCACAAATCTAGCTCATTGCTCCTGCTCCCCATCACTCTCCCCCTCCACCCTCCACACCTCAGGACCCCGCTCAAACATTATCTGCCTGTCTCCCCTGATCAAAACCCACTCCCGGCTCCCATAGGCTGCAGGATACAGCCCAGTTCCTCAGCTAGGCACCTGGGGCCCCTGGCCTGGCCTGGCTGCATGCACCCCTCCTGCCCCTCCTGCCCCCACACCTCCCCACCCCCTTTTTAGTCACTCCCTCTCCCCCTCCTCCCCAAATCCCAACAGGGCTAGGTCTCCCCTTTTCTCTAGGAAGCCTTGTGGACACTCTCTGTGCCCCAGGCTCAGGCACCTGAGCTCTGTATGAAATCCTGACACCCCCCCCTTTTTTTTTTTAAATGGAGTCTCACTCTGTCACCCAGGTTGGAGTGCAGTGATGCAATCTCAGCTCACTGCAACCTCCACCTCCCAGGTTCAAGCCATTCTCCTTCCTCAGCCTCCTGAGTAGCTGGGATTACAAGCACGTGCCACCACACCCGGCTAATTTTTTGTATTTTTAGTAGAGCTGGGGTTTCACTATGTTGGCCAGGCCGGTCTTGAACTCCTGACCTCAGGTGATCTGCGGGCCTCAGCCTCCCAAAGTGCTGGGATTACAGGCGTGAGCCACCGCACCCGGCCTGTATGGCGTCTTGAGGCAATGCTCAGAGCTTGGTGTGAAAGCAATTCACCTCCTCCTTGGGCGCCTCCCCGACTGGGGTGTCCGCAGGCGGCACCCACTTGCAATCCCAGATGCTGCCACCAGGGGGTGCACAGTGCCCGCTTGGAAGGTGGGCAGGGGCGGGCGGGGAGGAACTAGAGAGGGAGGGGTTAATGCCCAAGGGCCCCGCCCCTCCCAAGAGGCATGGGCGGTCTCAGCCCGGTCCACTCACCAGGTGTATATGAGCACAGCCAGGAGGACCGTGAGGAGGACGGCCAGGAGGATAGACAGGATGGCGATGATGACCACGGTGCCCGGGCTCTGGGGGCCGGGGACAGCCCGAAGTGCCTGGGCTGAGGGCAGTGATGGGGGCCGCACAGGCGGGCAGGAAAAGAAATTTTACCTGACCGGAAGGGGCCCTTGGGCAGAATCCAGACCAATCACCGCCCTGCCTCCCCTACTACCACCCAGGCCTGGGGGAAGGGGGTGGCTGGGGGAGGGGCGCCTGCAGATTGCAAGATGGTTGGCTGCCTCTGACTCAGTGGTGAGCTGACCTGTTCCCCCAGCCCATCCTCAGTCCTCAGGACCCCCAGGCCCCAGCCCCCTGCCCCTACTGTTTGACCGGAGCCTCTGGCCCCTACCTTGCTGCAGGCGAGTGTCGCTGGACCACTTGGTTTCAGCCACGGGTCCTTCGTCATTCATCACCAGGAACTTCACCCTGAATGGGAGACCCAGCATTGGACATGGGGGTCCCCCGGAGTCCTGAAACCATCAGACTTGGTGCCTGCAAGTCTGTCCCCTGGAGTCCCAGGCCCTGGCGAGAGCAGCCCGGGGAGGGGGCCGGAGGCTGGGGCGAAAGAGCCCAACAGAATGGGTTCAAATCTAGGTGTGACATTTCCAGTGGTGTGACGTCCCTCCCCCTCTCTGGGCTTCTGTGTCCTCATTTGGGAAAGGTAGAGGGCGAGTATTAGATGTCTCAGAACTGAACATGCGTGAATCAAGCATTTAGTGAGGGGAGACCCTGTCTGGATGGAGAGACGCCACCTGAGTGGTCCACACAGCCTGTGGGGACTGGGGCTTGAGGTGGGGAACCTTCTGCTCAAGAAAAGCAGGATAGGCCAGGCATGGTGGCTCACGTCTGTAATCCCAGCACTTTGGGAGGCCAAGGTGGGCCTTCAAGATCACTTGAAGCCAGGAGTTGAGACCCGCCTGGCCAACATGGTGAAACCTCATCTCTACTAAAATTACAAAAATTAGCCAGGCATGGTGGCAGGTACCTGGCCAACATGGCGAAACCCTGTCTCTACTAAAAATACAAAAAGTAGTCGGGTGTGGTGTCAGATGCCTGTAATTCCAGCTACTCGTTAGGCTGAGGCTGGAGAATCGCTTGAACCCGGGAGGCACAGGTTGCAGTGAGCCGAGATCACCCCACTGTACTCCAGCCTGGGTCACAGAGCAAGACTCCATCTCAAAAAACAAAACAAAAAAAAAAAAAAAAAAGAAGAAGAAGAAAAGGAAAAAAAAAAAAAAGAGAAGAAGGATAATTCATGTAATTCATGAAGGCCTCCCTAGCCCCTGCCTGCTGCTTCCTCTTCCCTTTGGCCAAGCAGGAGCAGGGGACCCAGGCATCCTGCTGGGGCCCTGGTGAGCCTCGTAGGAGCTGCCCCAGGCTCCGGCTTGGGTGCATGCGGGCAGGAGCCAGGGCCTGGCAGAGCTGCTCACCTGTAGGGGCCGGGTCCTGGTAGGGGATGGTTGCAGCCAATTTTTGTTGGTTGGCAGTGGGTATCATTGCCGACGCGGAGGACATGGAGCTGGCCTCTGGTCTGGTACAGCACCCGGTTGGCCCTCAGTGTGAGATAGTAGCCCCTCTGGGAGAAGTTGGCAGGAGCAGGGATGTCCTGGTTTGTCCGTGGGGCCGTGAAGCTCTGGGTGGCTAAGGGTGGCACCATGGTCAGACAGGTCACACAGCAGGATCCCACCCTCACCTTACCAAGCCTGACAGCCCTCCCCGGCCCCATCCCCTGCAGCACCTGCTCCCTGCATCTCCCTGCAACACACCCGCTACTGCCCTTAGGCCCGCAGGCCCATTTCACATAGGGAAAACCGAAGCCTGGCCCCAGCAGCACCCACCGTTGCTGAGGGCCACCACCAGCCAGATGGTATCCAAGTCAGAGATGTTGTGGCTGCTGAACTGGCCTAGAGGCTGCTCCAGCGTGAAGGTGGACAGGGTGAGCCTCCCCGCCAAGGTGTCGTTTGAGAGCTGGGGCACATAGCTGATGTGCTCTGGGGCAGCTGGAAGGGGAGGGCAGAGAGGAGAGTCCAAATGGGGCAACCAAGCCCCAACAGCTCTGGTCTCCCCCCGCCCAGATCCAGACTTAACATGGGAGCCCCAAGTTACGGGCACTTCCTGGGAGGTCAGGTCCGGTATGAACCAGGAAGCTTTCCCGGCAACTCTATGCCCCATGGGCATGGGTGGGAGGCCTGAGTCCAGCCCCTGGCCCCTCTCTTAGGAGCCTACTGGGGGTGGGCACTGTGGGAGGTCTAGGACAATGGTGGCATGGGAGGTCCCACCCTGGCGGTAGGCACAGTTCTCCTGGGCCGGGCCATGTTGGGATGGAACTGGAATTTGGGGGCAGCCTGACCCTAGGCTGAACTCTGTTCCTGACATGCCCAGTGACCTCCAACTTAAGTCCCTCCAGCTCCACCCACATGGTCTAGGTTGTTTTGCTTGATGAGAGGATGCGTGGCTTGGCAGGGGTCGGGGGGATGGCACAGGAAGGTCCTCTTGGCTGAGACCCCAGGCTGGGACACAGACTGCCCAGAGGGTCCGGGGGCTCTGGAGCCAGAGCTTGGTTCCGAGTGAGTCTAGAACGTCCTCTTCAACCTGCCTGGTTCTCTGCCGCCTCCCAACATGGCCCCGAGGCATCTTCGCCTTCAGGACCAGGTCCCCCTCTCAGACTCCCACCTCATCTCTCTGGGGAAGGGTGGGGGACGAGGACAAGCTTCCCAGGTCTGTACCCCAAAGGGGACTCAGGATTGGCAACTTGGCCTGTGTCCAGCCTTGCTGGTTGGAGAGCTCAGACCTCCCCAACCCCAAATACTGGTCTAGGAGAAGCAGAACGATGGAGTGGGTTTCTATGTGAGTCTCCAGCAGCTGCCCCTGTTCAGTTCAGTTCAGTTCAACTTCATTCATTTACGTTGAATTCAACTCAACTCCAAAGGTTCAGGCTAGAGTCTTCCTTGGGGAAGGATTGTCACGATTCCTTTCTTACAGCTCTCAGTCCTATCTCTGAAGCCCAGGGCACTCTGCGTGCAGGAGGCACGTAATGTTTAGAAAGAGAAGTGGAGGCCGGGCGCGGTGGCTCACGTCTGTAATCCCAGCACTTTGGGAGACTAAGGCGGGCATATCACGAGGTCAGGAGTTCGAGACCAGACTGGCCAATATGGTGAAACCCTGTTTCTACTAAAAATACAAAAATTAGCCAGACATAGTGGCGCACGGCTGTAATCTCAGCTACTCAGGAGGCTGAGGCAGGAGAATTGCTTGAACCCGAGAGGCGGAGGTTGTGGTGAGCTGAGATCGCGCCACTGTACTCCAGCCTGGGTGACAGTGGGAGACTCTGTCTCGAAAAAAAAAAAAAAAGAAAGAAAAAAAAGAAAAAGAAAAAGAAAAAGAGAAGCGGAGCAGTCAGAGATTGGGGTTGGGGGCAGAGATTGTAGGACTGTATCTCTCAGCCTGTCCAGTTTTTCTTTTCTTTTCTTTTTTGAGACAGGGTCTTGCTGTTTGGCCCAGGCTGGAGTGCAGTGGCGCATTCATAGTTCACTGCATGGGCTCAAGCCATCCTCCCGCCTCAGTCTCCCAAGTAGCTGGGATTACAGGTGCACTCCACCACACCCAGCTAATTAAAAACAAAAATCTTAAAAAAAAAAATCTTTTTGAAAAAAGGGGTCTTGTTATGTTGCCCAGGCTGGGCTTACCAGAGCTTCCTGGGGACATGCATTGTCCTGGACATCTGGAAACCTCTCCTCAGGGAAAGGAAGGAGGCAGGAGCCATGTGTGAGAATTTGGAAACAAAGTGAGGTCTTGGGTTTGTCCTGCAGCCTGAGATGCAGCGGGTACCCCTGTGCCAATCCCCACCCTTACTCACCCACGTCTGTCCCAGGCTGGACACGGGTCAGTAGCAGCAACAGCGACACTAGCAGCTGGGACTGTCCCGCAGAGAGCCCTATGGCCGGGCCAAGCCTCCAGCTGTTGTCCATCTGTCTGTCCGTCCGTCTGCAGTGTCTGCAGCCCCAGAGGCTCCCCTGTCTGTAGTCTGTGCTGTGCTAGGGGAAGCTGTTCCTGGCATCTCCTGCTGCCCCTCCCAGCTACCCCCTCCTCTCAAACAACTGGTTGGACAGGTTTGGGGGCAGAATCTGCCAGCCCAGTGAATCTGGCATCGCCAGGGAGGGGTCTGAAGAGAACATACAGTTGCAAGACAAGCCTGGACTACCCCCCCCACCCACCAGGAGCGCCTGACCAGGGAGGGGCTGAGGAAGGAGGCGGGGCAGCCTCAGGATCCAGGCTGCCCCAGGGACAATCCCGCTAAGTCTACCCCGTGGATCTCCTTGTCCAAACAGTCCCCAATGTAGCGACTCTTCCTTTAGGACCTGAGGTGGGAGGATCACTCGAGCCTGGGAGGTTGAGGCTGCAGTGAGCCAAGATGGCACCACTGCACTCCAGCCTGGATGACAGAGTGGGACCCTGCCTCAAAAAAAAAAAACAAAAAACAAAAAACAAAAAACCAACCTAGGAGGAGTTGGTGTCTGTTTTTGGTTCATAGGGAGTGCCGCTCAAGCAAACTCCCTGGAGTCTCTTTTATTTATTATTATTTTTTTTTGGGGGGGGCAGGGTCTCACTCTTTCGCCCAGGCTGGAGTGCAGTGGTGCGATCATAGCTCACTGTGGCCTTGACCTCCCAGGCTCAAGGTTCTCAGATTCTCAGGCCCCACCCTGGGGAAGGATGGAGGATGAGGACAAGCTTCCCAGGTCCACATGACAGAGGGACTCAGGATTGGCAATTTGGCCTGTGTCCAGCTTTGCTGCTCAGAGAGCTCAGATCCCCACCCTCAATTCACTCCCTTGTGTGGAAGGGAGTGACCCTCACTTTCTAGCACACACAGGGAAGAGGGCTTGGCTAAGAGCACCCAGGAGGTCAGGGCAGGACTGGGGATTAGATCACACCCAAATGCATCTCTGTGGCACTCCTGGTATAGCCCTGCTGTCCCCCTGTAGCCTGGCCCTGGGAGGGGGGCTCCCAGACTTCACACCCCCTCACCTCTTTATCCAGGGGACCGGCTGTCTCTTCCTCCTTCATCCCCAGCCTCTGTCAGGGCAGGGTAGTTCCTCCTCGAGACAGAAAATTACCAGATGGAAGTCCAGGCATGGTGGCTCACGCCTGTAATCCCAGCATTTTGAGAGGCCGAGGTGGGTGGATCACCTGAGGTCAGGAGTTCGAGACCAGCCTGGCCAACACGGCGAAACCCCATCTCTACTAAAAATACAAAATTAGCTGGACGTGGTGGCTTGTTCTTGTAACTCCAGCTACGCAGGAGGCTGAGGCAGGAGAACCACTTGAACCCAGGAGGCAGAGGTTGCAATGAGCCGAGATCGCACCACTGCATTCCAGCCTGGGCAACAAGAGTGAAACTCCCCCTCAAAAAAAAAAAAAAAAAAAAAAGATGAGATGGGGCTCAGGGCAGGTGGAGCGAGACCTGTGACCACCTCTCCCCTGGATCGGGGTGCTAGCCCCCGTCAGCCTGACCTTCACGCTCTAATTATGCCAGATGTCTTCATTCTGGGAAACCCAACAGATTATCACCTGTGGGCCCCATTTTTGGATGAAGAGGGACCATTCCCTGAAGGGGACATACCTCAGTTCCCCGAGGGGATTCAGATGTTCACCTCAACTCACAAGAAAAACTTCTGGCCGGGCGCAGTGGTTCACACCTGTAATCCCAGCACTTTGGGTGGCCAAGGTGGGCGGATCATCTGAGGTCAGAAGTTTGAGACCAGCCTGACCAATGTGGAAAAACCCCGTCTCTACTAAAGATACAAAATTAGCCAGTCGTGGTGGCACGCGCCTGTAATTCCAGCTACTCGGGAGGTTGAGGCACAAGAATCGCTTGGACCCAGGATGGGGAGGCCGTAGTGAGCCGAGATCACACCACTGCACTCCAGCCTGGGTGACAAAGTGAGACTCCATCTTAAAAAAAAAAGAACAAGAACAAAAACAAAAACTAGGAAGAGTTGGTGTCTGTTTTTGGTTCGTAGAGAGTGCCTTCTAGCTGTGTCCTCATATGGTGGAAGGGTCAAGGAAGCTCTCTGGGGTCTCTTTTATTTATTATATTATTATTATTTTTTGAGACGGGTCTCACTCTGTTGCCCAGGCTGGAGTGCAGTGGTGTGATCATAGCTCACTGCAGCCTTGACCTCCCAGGATCAAGTGATCCTCCCACTTCAGCCTCCCTAGTAGCTGAGACTGCAGGTATAAGGCACCATGCCCAGCTAATTTTTTGTTTGTTTGTTTGTTTGTTTTGAGACAGAGTCTCACTGTCGTTCAGGCTGGAGTGCAATGGCACGATCTCGGCTCACTGCAACCTCCACCTCCTGGGTTCAAGTGATTCTCCTGCCTCAGCCTGCTGCGTAGCTGGGATTACTGGCGTGCACAACCACTCCTGGTTAATTTTTGTATTTTTGGTAGAGACGGGGTTCGCCATGTTGGCCAGGCTGGTCTTGAACCCCTGACCTCATGTGATCTGCCTGCCTCGGCCTCCCAAAGTGCTGAAATTACAGGCGTGAGCCACTGTGTCCGGCTGCCCAGCTAATTTTTTAACTTTTTGTAGAAAGAGAGTCTTACTGTGTTGCCCAGGCTGGTCTCAAATTCCTGGGCTCAAGTGATCCTCCCACCTCAGCCTCCTGAAGTTCTGGGATTCCAGGTGTGAGCCACCATGTCCGGCCTGTATAATACAATTTTTCCCTCTCTCACTCCCTTTCAAAAGGCAGTTGAAAGCAGACATCAGAATGTGGGAAGGGCTTGTTTCCCCTTTTTGAAAACACGTTCTTGCTCATCGACTCATCCTCTCCTTGGGTCCCCAGAGATGGGCAGGGCAGGTGTTATGACTAATCTCATTATATGGATGAGAAGAAACCTGGGGCCCAGCAGGGAAAGAAACTTCCTGCAGTCCCAGGGCAGGTCAGCGGCAGGGCTGGGACCCAACCCCAGGTCTCCTGTACCCAGGCAGGACTCCCTCTTTGCCTTTTTTTTTAAAATTTAATTAATTAATTTGAGTTGGAGTCTCGGTCTGTCACCCAGGCTGGAGTGCAGTGGCACAATCTCAGCTCACTGCAGCTTCTGCCTCTGGGGTTCCAGTGATTCTCCTGTCTCAACCTCCCAGGTAGCTGAGATTACGGGCACACGCCACCACGCCTGGCCAACTTTAGTATTTTTAGTAAAGACAGGGTTTCACCATGTTGGCCAGGCTGGTCTCAAACTCCTGACTTCAGGTGATCCACCTGCCTCGGCCTCCCAAAGTGCTGGGATTACAGGTGTGAGCCACTGCACCCAGCCTGTCACCTTTTTTTTTTTTTTTTTGAGACTGAGTCTCCCTTTGTCACCCAGGCTGCCATGCAGTGGTGCCATCATAGCTCACTGCAATCTGTCTCCTGGGCTCAAACAATGATCCCGCCTCAGCCTCCTGAATAGCAGAGACGACAGGTGTGCACCACCATGCCTGGCTCATTTTTAAATTTTTTGTAGAGATGTGGTCTCACTATGTTGCCCAGGCTGGTCTCGAACTCCTGGGCTCAAGTGATCCTCCCACCTTGGCTTCCCAAAATGCTGGGATTACAGGTGTGAGCCACTGCACCCGCCCTTGAATGGATTTTAAAAACCCACCTAGGCTGGGCGTGGTGGTGCATGTTTGTAGTTCCAGTACTTTGAGAGGCTGAGGCCGGAGGATCATATGAGGCCAGGAGTTTAAGGTTGCAGTGAACCATGATCATACCACTGCACTCCAGCCTAGGCGACGGAGTGAGACCCTGTCTCTAAACTAATAATAATTTTTGAAAGTGTTAAAATCCACCTAGAATTTATTTTTGGTGTGATGTGTGATTCAAATTATTTTTTTCTCAAGTTAGCCCGTTATTCAAACACTAAAATATTGAAAAATGCATCCTAAGCCGGGTGCAGTGGCTCACACCAGCACTTTGGGAGGCCAACGCAGGCGGATCACCCGAGGTTGGGAGTTCAAGACCAGCCTGACCAACATGGAGAATAATAATAAGCCGAGATCGCACCATTGTACTCCAGCCTGGGCAGCGAGAGTGAAACTCCATCTCAAAAAGAAAGAGAGAAAGAGAGAGAGAGAGATAAAGGAAGGGAGGAAAGAAAAAGAAAGAAAGGAAAGAAAGAAAGAAAGAAAGAAAGAAAGAAAGAAAGAAAGAAAGAAAGATGTATCCTTTCCCTATTTGAACTGAAATGCCTTTTTTTTTTTTTTTTTTTGAGACGGAGTCAGGCTGGAGTGCAGTGGTGCAATTTCGGCTCGTTGTAGCCTCCGCCTCCCAGGTTCAAGTGATTCTCCTGCCTCAGCCTCCCAAGTAGCTGGGATTACAGGCGCACACCACCAACCCACATAATTTTTGTTTTTTTAGTACAGATGAGTTTTCACCATGTTGGCCAGGCTGGTCTCAAAGTCCTGACCTCATATGATCTGCCCACCTCGGCCTCCCAAGGTGCTGGGGTGACAGGCATGAGCCACCACGCCTGGCCTGAAATGCGGTTTTTATCATACGCTGCAGACTAATGCATCCTCAGTGTCACCTCCCAGCTTGATGTGGGACAAGCCACCAAGGGTGTCCTCACCATGGCCCTGCTCAGGCCACCAGTTGGCTATGTTTGCCCCTGCCACCCCAGGCACACAGGAGTTCAGGAGTCCTCTCTGGCCTTGCCTTTATCCTGGGGCAGCTGCAGGTGACAACCTCTGGAAGAGGTGGTAAGAGGAGCCAGGACACAGGCCAGTCTGAGGGACACACTCCTCCCACAGTCCTGGAGAGGGGCCTGCATGTTTCTGCACCTGGAGGGCCGGGCCAGGGTGGGGAAGACTGGGGATGGGGGGGAGGCTGGACCCTGCAGGTTCTTGGACCTGTGGTCAACCGGGAAGCCAAGTCCCTGATCTGCAGTGAGGCTGCGGCTGCCAGCCCCTTGAATAGGCACAGTAAGCACCTCCCAGCAATGCCACTGTGCAGAAGAGATGCCAACAGTGACAAGGGGGGCCAGGATGGTCCCCAAACCAGACACCCCATCTTCACCCTCTGCCATTTTCCTTCTCCAGGTCAGCCCTGGGGCCCTGGCACAAGCTCAGGAGGGGAGAGAGGCCATGCAAAGTGATCACACTGGACCCTCTGCCCTGAGAGCCTGGGCACTGGGAACCAGATGTACTGTGATTTAGAAGAATGCGGCCGGGTGCGGTGGCTCACAGCTGTAATCCCAGCACTTTGGGAGGTTGAGGCAAGAGGATCGCTTGAGCTCAGGAGTTCGAGACCAGCCTAGGCAATATGGTTAGACCCATCTCTACTAAAAATACAAAAAATTAGCTGCGCATGGTGGTGCACGCCTGTAGTCCCAGTTACTCATGAGGCTGAGGGTTGAAGCATGAGAATTGCTTGAGCTCAGGGTGGTTGGGGGAGGTTGGGGGGATGGAGGGTAGAACTGAGCTGGGATAGTGCACCACTGCATCCAGTCTGGGTGACAGAGTGAGACCCTGTCTCAAAAAAAAAAAAAAATGCATCTTATACCTTGAGGGTCATGGAGTCTTTCACGCCTTCGTGTGTGTGTGTGTGTGTGTGTGTGTGTGTGTGTGTGTGTTCAGGTCAACTTCTGGAATTTCTGTTTCATTTCTTGGATCAATCTGTCTGTTCAGGTGTCAGTACTAGACTATTTTAATCCCTGTATGTATGTATGCATGTATGTATGTATGTATTTATTTTGAGACGGAGTTTTGCTCTTGTTGCCCAGGCTAGAGTGCAATGGTGCGGTCTCGGCTCACTGCAACCTCCACCTCCTGGGTTCAAGCGATTCATTCTCCTGCCTCAGCCTCCCAAGTAGCTAGGATTACAGGTGCCCACCACCACGCCTGGTTAATTTTTGTGTTTTTAGTAGAGATGGGGTTTCACCATTTTGGCCAGGCTGGTTGAGAACTCCTGACCTCAAGTCATCCGCCCGTCTCTGCCTCCCAAAGTGCTGGGATTACAGGCGTGAGCCACTGCACCCAGCCAATCGCTGTATTTTTATAATCTGCTTTGTTCTGTAAATGATCCCTCTCGAGTGTAACTCACTAGTGGGCTGTGTCCTTCTTTGGTGAATGTCTCTTTTTCCCATTAAACTGTAACTCTCTGAGGGCGGGGACTGGATCTGTTTATCTGTTTAGTTCTCCCACTGAATCCTCACTGTTAACCTAGGGGTCTGGCACAATAATTGTGCAGCCTCGAACTCCTAGGCTCAAGTCATCCTCCTACCTCAGCTTCCTTAGTACCTGGGATTACAGGCACATGTCACCATGCCCATCTAATTTTTAAATTTTTTACTTTTTCTTTTCTTTTTTTTTTGAGATGGAGTCTAGCTTTGCTGTCCAGGCTGGACTGCAATGGCATGATCCTAGCTCACTACAACCACCGCCTCCTGGGTTCAAGCGATTCTCCTGCCTCAGCCTCCCAAGTAGCTAGGATTACAGGTGCCCACCACCATGCCCGGCTAATTTTTGTATTTTTAGTAGAGATGGGGTTTCACCATGTTGGCCAGGCTGGTCTCAAACTCCTGACCTCAAATGATCCATCCCCCTCGGCCTCCCAAAGTGCTGGGATTACAGGCATGAGCCACTGCGCCCAGCCAATTTTTAAATTTTTTCTGGAGATGGGGTGCTCGCTATGTTGCCCAGGCTGGTCTCAAACTCTAGGCCTCAAGTCCTCCTGCCCCGACCTCCCAAAGTGCTGAGATTACAGGCATGAGCCACTGTGCTCAGCCCCAACAATTATTTTTGACAGATAATAGGGATGTCTCCTTGCTCTCTGTGTCTGGCCAAGTAGCCCCAGGTGACACTCTTTTTTTTTGTTTGTTTTTGAGATGGAGTCGTGCTCTGTTGCCCAGCCTGGAGTCCAATGCCGTGGTCTCGGCTCACTGCAATCTCCGCCTCCTGGGTTTAAGTGATTCTCCTGCCTCAGCCTCCAGAGGAGCTGGGACTACAGGTATGTGCCACCACACCTGGCTAATGTTCTTATTTTTAGTAGAGACGGGATTTCGCCATGTTGGCCAGGCTGGTCTCGAACTCCAGACCTCATGATCCACCCGCCTTGGCCTCCTAAAGTGCTGGGATTACAGGTGTGAACCACCATGCCCGGCCGTGACACTCGTTTTATAGCATCAGGCTGGTGACCAGAATGTCATGGCTTCTGGGCAGAGGCCAGCTTCCATGCCGTGTCCTGTCTTCCTAGTGCAGATGTCCCCAGCTGCAGTGAGTACCAGTGTGAGGGAATGGGCTCCAGACTCCCAGAGGGGCCACAGGGATGGCCACGCCAAGCTCTGGGGAGTAGCCGATTCCCCAGCACCTGCCTGCCCATGCACCTTTGGGGTGACTCATGAGACAGGGTGGGGCTCCCACCTCCCCTCTCCCAAAAGGCAATCAGCTATAAAGGCTCTCAGAGGCCCACCCAGCCCCAGGTCATCAAACAAGCCCCAGTTCCATGGCAACCATTATACCCATTCATCAAGGAGATGAAGAAGGAGGTGCTTCCTGGTTCACCCCACCCTCAGCAGAGACAGACCCCAGATCTGGGCCCAGGACTTTGTGCAGGGAGGGGAAATGCAGCTGACTCAGCCCCTATTCCTCCATCAAACCAGCCTTGAAGATGGGTTAAATCAGAGCTTTTCATTCCACAAAAGAGAAATTTTAATGGGGTCAGAACATTGATCTTCTAATATTTGAAAGCCTGTTAACTAGGAGAGAGAGAGCAAACTATTTTGTTGTAGGAGGACCCACCCAGCTCTGACGGTTTAAAGCGTCATGAATGCGAATTTGAACTCCAGAAAAGCAGAGCTTCCTAACAATGGGACTTCCACAGCAATGGGATCTGCTTCCTCTTTCAGTTTGTGCCTTTTCTATGAGCGAGAGACTCCTAGGAAAGCAGCAGCCCATTAGGAAAACGTGTGGGAACTCACTCGCAGGTTCTTTATTTTTTTTGAGATGGAGTTTTGCTCTTGTTGCCCAGGCTGGAGCACAATGGTGCCATCTTGGCTCCCTGCAACCTGCGCACCATGAGTTCAAGTGATTCTCCAGCGCCCTCTCCTGAGTAGCTGCGATTACAGGAATCCACCACCATGCCTGGCTAATTTTTTGTATTTTTAGTAGAGATGGGGTTTCACCATGTTGTCCAGGCTGGTCTCAAACTCCTGACCTCAAGTGATCCACCCACTTTGGCCTCCCAAAGTGCTGGGATTACAGGCATGAGCCACTGAGCCCAGCCGGGAACCCACAGGTTTTTTGGATGGTCTCTGAATGTCATGTAACTCTTTTATTTTTTATCAAAAAAACTTTTTTTGACACAGTATCTTGCTGTGTTGCCCAGACTGGAGTGCAGTGGCAAGATCACGGCTCACTGCAGCTTCTAACTCCTGGGCTCAAGTGATCTTCCTGTCACATGAGTCTCCCAAGTAGTTGGAACACAGGTGCCAGCCACCACACCTGGCTAATTTGGTTTGGTTTTGTTTTTTTAGAGATGGGCTCTTGCTATGTTGCCTATACTGGTCTCGAACTGCTGGCCTCAGGCAATCTTCCTCCCTTGGCCACCCAAAGTGCTGGGATTACAAGCATGAGCCACTGTGCACAGCTGAAATTTTTTGACTTAGTCTTTTTGTACATGTGATATTTTATTCATAGAATCCATAAATGGAAGGGAAATTTCTGAGTTCAGAGCAATACATATGATACAAAACTTGATATATAGACTAGAGTTTCTTAGCCGAACTGGAGGGGCTGGCTTAGGTAATCCATGGATTCCCTGAAACTGGGGACACCATTGGAAATATGTGTGAGCTCAGGGGCAGTTTCCTATGATTTTTAGGCCTCAAAATGTCTCTTGGACTCAAAATTGCCTTAGGGCAGAGGACGTGTGTACCCCCAGTATAGAATCTCGGACAGTGAATGTGAGTAAACATTCGGCAGAAAAGCTCTGCCAAACTGAGTGCTCTGATGTGACTTTTTCATCAAGTCAGTATTCCTGGGATCTCTTGTACGTGATAATCTCACTCTTGTACATGATAATCTCACTCTTGTACATGATACTCTCACTCTTATAAGGTTTCATCGTTTCTGCTTACCCTAGTTTTCTTTCCCACTCTGTTCCCTCTCCCACCAGACTGGACTCTGAAATGGGCATGTACAGAGACGAAGAGACCCCAACATGCTTCAGGCTTTGAGTGGAGAGGACACAGCCTCTGCTGGGACAGGGAATAGAGGGATGTGGAGTCCCTGAAGATGCTTTTGGACAATGGTCTGAGGTTGGGACAGTGGCAGGAGATACCATTCACCCAGGATCTCCAGGACAAGAGATCAGCCTGGCAGTTACATGTGTTTTTTTTCAAACTGGTTGCCAGGTTGGCATGAACGATGACATCAGAGATTCCGACCTTCCTGATTGGAGGGACCGGACTCCGTGGTGCCTGGAGATCAGTTGGACAACAGTATCTTCTCAGAGCTGTTCTCTACTCCTGACTTCTCCTAGGCTTGAGAATTGATAACATACTCTTCTGGATCCTAGAAGTGTCCAGAAGAAGGCCATGGACAGAACGGAGACTAGGTTCCGTAAGAGGGGACAGATTACGGGAAAGATCACGACCAGCCGTCAACCGCACCCCCAGAATGAGCAGAGTCCCCAGCGGAGCACCTCGGGGTACCCCCTCCAGGAGGTGGTGGATGATGAAATGTTGGGACCATCAGGTGAGGGGACTGGTGGAAGAAGAGGTGGGATAGGATTGACTAAGACGAAGGAAGGGGGCCGGGTGCGGTGGCTCACGCCTGTAACCCCAGCACTTTGGGAGGCCGAGGCGGGCGGATCACCTGAGGTCAGGAGATCAAGGCCAGCCTGGCCAATATGGTGAAACCCCATCTCTACTAAAAGTATAAAAATTAGCCAAGTTGTAGTGGTGCACACCTGTAATCCCAGCTACTCAGGAGGCTGAGACAGGAGAATCACTTGAGACTGGGAGGAAGAGGTTGCAGTGAGCTGAGAGCACACTACTGCACTCCAAAAAAAAAAAAAAAGAAAAGAAGGGTCAGTGGTCAGGAAGGAGAACCTGAGGAGGGTGTGTGGGAAGAATGGAGAAATTCAGGCTGGGTGCAGTGGCTCACACCTGTAAGCCCAGAACTTTGGGAGGCCAAGGCAGGCGGATCACTTGAGGCCAGGAGTTTGAGACCAGCCTGGCCAACATGGTGAAACCCTGTCTCTACTAAAAGTACAAAATTGAGCTGGGCATTATGGCAGGCACCTGTAATCCCAGCTACCTGAGAGGCTGAGGCAGAAGAATAAATGGAATCCAGGAGATGGATGTTGCAGTGAGCTGAGATTGCACCACTACACTCCAGCCTGGGTGACAAAGCAAGATTCTGTGTCAAAACAAAACAAAACAAAAAAGGAGGGACTCAGAGAGCCAGGGACCAGGGAAGGACAGGAAGCAGTGTTCGGAGGACAGAGAGAGAGAAGAATGGGGAGGGGAAGGAGCGGCACATGGGGTTGAGCAGAGGAGAAAATCAGAAAGATGGCTTAGAGAAGCCAGCAGTCTGCAAGTCTGGGGAGGATGGAGAGTGGTTTGGGGTTTTGGGTCGGGGTCTAAGGTGATCAGATGCAGAAGCATTACACGGTGGCCTGGTTTCTTTACTCAGCCCCTGGGGTAGATCCCAGCCCCCCATGTAGGTCCCTTGGCTGGAAAAGGAAGAGGGAGTGGTCAGATGAATCTGAGGAGGAGCCGGAGAAGGAGCTCGCCCCTGAGCCTGAGGAGACCTGGGTAGTGGAGATGCTGTGTGGGCTCAAGATGAAGCTGAAGCAACAGCGAGTGTCATCCATCCTCCCTGAGCACCACAAGGACTTCAACAGTCAGCTTGGTAGGAGGATACCCCAGAGAGCACCTCCAATCCTGTTCTTTCTAAAAAGAGGAAACTTCCAATAACCACACTTTTCCAATGGGAAAGATACGCCCCCAGTGGCTGAGCTCTCCACGCAGGAGGACTCAGAAGTGATCACTCATGAGGGACACTTAGGAGACGATAGAGGACTAGGCTAGACTTGATAAAGGTTGGCGCTTGGGATGAGAAAGCTTGGTTTCGGGCCAGGTGCAGTGGCTCACGCCTGAGATGCTAGCACGTTGGGAGGCTGAGGCAAGAGGATTGCTTGAACTCAGGACTTTGAGGCTGCAGTGAGCTATGACTGCACCACTGCACTCCAGCCTGGGTGACAGAGCAAAACCCTGTGTCAAAAGAAAAACGAAGGCCGGGTGTGGTAGCTCATGCCTGTAATCCCATTACTTTGGGAGGCTGAGATGGGTGGATCACTTGAGGTCAGTTGTTCGAGACCAACCAGACCAATATAGCGAAACCTCATTTATACTAACAATACAAAAATTAGCCAGGCATGCTTGTTATCCCAGCTACTCAGGAGGCTGAGACAGGATAATCGCTTGAACCCAGGTGGAAGAGGTTGCTTTGAGCCAAGATAGCGCCACTGCATTCCATTCTGGGTGAGAGAGTGAGACGCTGTCTCAAAAAAAAAAAAAAAAAAAAAAGGAAGGAAGGGCCCAGAAGTCAGGAAGGAGCACATGAGGAGGGTGTGTGGGAAGAATGGAGGTACTGAGGCAGGGTGCAGTGGCTCACACCTGTAATCCCAGCACTTTGGGAGGCCAGGCAGGCAGATCACTTGAGGCCAGGAGTTGGAGACCAGCCTGGCCAACATGGTGAAACCCTGTCTCTTCTAGAAGCACAAAAATGAGCTGGGCGTTCTGGTGGGCACCTGTAATCCCAGCTACTTGGGAGGCTTAGGCAGGAGAATCACTGGAACCCGGGAGGCAGAGGTTGCAGTGAGCCAAGATCGCACCACTACACTCCAGCCTAGGCCACAAAGCAAGACTGTTTCTCAACAACAACAACGACAACAACGAAAAAAAAAAAAAAAAAGGGACTCAGAGAGCCAGGGACCAGGGAAGGATATGAGGAAGTGTTCTGAGGACAGAAAAACGGGAGAATGGGGAGGAGAAGGAGCGGCACATGGAGCTCAGCAGAGGAGACAGACAGAAGGAAAGATGGCTTGGAGAAGCCAGCAGTCTGCGAGGCTGGGGAGGATGGAGAGTGGTTTGGGGTTTTGGGTCGGGCTCTAGTGTGATCAACTGCAGAAGCATTACACCGTGGCCTGGTTTCTTTACTCAGCCCCTGGGGTAGATCCCAGCCCCCCGCATAGGTCCTTTTGCTGGAAAAGGAAGATGGAGTGGTGGGACGAATCTGAGGAGTCGTTGGAGGAGGAGCCACGGAAGGTGCTCGCCCCTGAGCCTGAGGAGATCTGGGTGGCGGAGATGCTGTGTGGCCTCAAGATGAAGCTGAAGCGACGGCGAGTGTCGCTCGTGCTCCCTGAGCACCACGAGGCCTTCAACAGGCTGCTTGGTAGGAGGACACCCCAGAGAGCACCTCCAATCCTGTTCTTTCCAAAAACAGGAAACTTCCAATAACCACACTTTTCCAATGGGAAAAATAGGCCCCAGTGGGTGAGCTCTCCATGTGGGAGGAATGTGAAGTGATCACTCATGAGGGACACTTAGGAGATGATAAAGGATTAGGTCAACTTGATAAAGGTCAGCGCTTGGGATAAGAAAGCTTGGTTTCGGGCCAGGCGCAGTGGCTCCCGCCTGAGATCCCAGCACGTTGGGAGGCTGAGGCAAGAGGATTGCTTGAACTCAGGACTTTGAGGCTGCAGTGAGCTATGACTACACCACTGCACTCCAGCCTGGGTGACAGAGCAAAACCCTGTCTCAAAAGAAAAACCAAGGCTGGGCACAGTAGCTCATGCATGTAATCCCAGCTACTCGGGAGGCTGAGACAGGAGAATCGCTTAAACCCGGGAGGCAGAGGTTGCAGTGAGCCAAGATCAGGCCACTGCATTCCAGCCTGGCCCACAGAGCAAGACTCTGTCTCAAAATAAATTAATAAATAAATAAAAATAAAAATCCAATAAAGAAAAACAAAATCAATAAACAAAGAAAGTGGTTTCAGCTGTGCCCTCTGAAACTTAATGTCTCTTACTGACTTTTCTAAACCTAAGTGTCTCCATCCATAGTGGGGGATACCAAGGCCATGGTCACACCCTGATGTGACTGTCTCATGAGGAAATGATGGGAATTCCTTTATGACTCTGCAGTGGTCCCTCCGTGTCTGCTGGAGGGGGTCCTGGCTGATTCCCAGCTCTACATCCTGTAGATTCTCACACCCAGGGCCTCCTTCGGCCTCTTCTCAGGGGAGTCTCAGAGCAGGAGCCTCTCTCCCTTGCCCAGTGAAAGTCATTCTCCCCTCTCCCATCCACCTCACCCGCGGCCACAATCCTGAGACTTCCCCCCGGGAGGCACACTTCTCCTCACTGCCCTGCTGCTCCCACGGAAACCCTGTCCTGCTTCTCACACTGACATCTGCTCTCTAATCACAGAGGATCCTGTCATTAAAAGATTCTTGGCCTGGGACAAAGATCTGAGGGTGTCGGACAAGGTAAGGTTGTTCTCCATGTAACTGTTCCTGTTCCAACGCATGGCTGGGGGGAGGGCGCAGCTTCCAAACCCACAGTTCTCCCTCCACCACCTCCCACCAGATGCTCCTACAGTCTTTTTTTTTTTTTTTTTTTTTTGTGTGTGTGTGTGTGTGTGTGTGAGACAGAGTCTTGCTCTGTTGCCCAGGCTGGAGGGCAGTGTCTCGATCTTGACTCACTGCAGCCGATGCGTCCTGGGTTCAAGCGATTCTCCTGCCTCAGCCTCCAAGCAGCTGGGATTACAGACATGAACCACCACGCCTGGCTAATTTTTGTGTTTTTAGTAGAAACGGGGTTTTGCCATGTTGGCCAGGTTGGTCCTGAACACCTGACCTCAGGCGATCCACCCGCCTTGGCCTCCCAAAGTGCTGAGATTATAGACGTCAGCCACTGTGCCCGACCAGCTCCCATGGTCTTGAGTCTTGGCACCCACAAATTTTTTTTTTGTGAGACAGAGTCTAGCTCTGCTCCCCAGGATGGAGTGCAGTGGCATGATCATAGCTCATTGCAGCCTCTAATTCCTGGGCTCAAGCAATCTTCTTTCCTCAGCCTCCTGAGGAGCTGGGACTAGGCACATGCCACCATGCTCAACTAATTTTTGAAATGTTTGTAGAAACAGGGTCTCACTATGTTGCCCAGGTTGTTCTCGAACTGTTGGGCTCACATGATCCTCCTGTCTCCACCTCTCAAAAAGTACTGGGATCACAGGCTTGAGCCGCCACTCCCGGCTATTCTTGGTCTTTTTATGATTTGTCAGCGTCTCCCTCAGGATTCTGCTGGTCTCTTGCAGAGTGAATGAGTGGCCCCTGCCTCTCCTATGGGTCCTTTGGGATCTGAGCTCTGGGCCACAGTCTGGCCGCAGCCCTGAAGCTCCTGGCCCCTCTACTCTCAGCTCTTCGGGACAGTTCTCTGCCTGGCACACAAAAGACCCTCCTGACACCAGCCGACCTAGACACACCCCCTCCAAAGATCCCATCGGAGCCCACCATCCTGGGAGCATCACCCAAAACCCTTCCTCTGGCTTCTCGGATTTGCATCCGACCTTCGAATACCCCTCCATCCCGCAATTTCCAAATGAGTAGTCACCCCAACACTGAGGTCCCTTCTCTGATGGGCAGCCCCTCCCCAGACCCTCATTCCCCCTCTCCACAATCTTCCTCTTCCAAGATGTGACCTCTCCCTCTCTGTGTTCCTTTCTCTCCATCAGTATCTCCTGGCTATGGTCATAGCGTATTTCAGCCGGGCCGGCTTCCCCTCCTGGCAATACCAACGCATTCATTTCTTCCTGGCTCTGTGAGTGGTTTGCTGCCTCCTATCCGTCAATATCCAATGCCCTGGGACAGCGGGGGAAGTGGGATTCCAGCCTTTCATTTATTCTTTCACCTATTTGTCCTCTTTACTCTGTGTACAAAAAAGAGAGGATTATACTATCATAGACTGTTGTTTCTAAACAGAAACTCAGGCTGGGCACAGTGGAATACGCCTGTAATCCCAGCACTTTGGGAGGCCGAGGCAGGCGGATCACCTGAGGTCAGCAGTTCGAGACCAGCCTGGCCAACATGGCCAAATCCCGTCTCTACTAAAAATAGAAAAATTAGCTGGGCGTGGTGGTGTGCATCTGTAATCCCAGCTACTCGGGAGGCTGAGGCAAGAGAACCCTTTGAACCCAGGAGGTGGAGGTTGCAGTAAGCTAAGGTCGAGCCACTGTACTCCAGCCTGGGTGACAGAGTGAGACTTTTTCTCAAAAAAAAAAAAAAAAAAAAAAAAAAAAAAGCCAAAAAAAGAAACTCCAATGCCAGTGTACAAATAAAAGAATAAAACAAAAGGAACCATAAACCGCTCCTAAGGGGAAAAGAAAAGGAGTGGAGGAGCGGACATGCCGCTTCCTCCAGCAAGCAGACGTTTCTGGTTCTTCTCTCTCTCTCCTTCCCACATCAACCACAAACGCCATCGACCTCCTCTGGGTTCCCATGACAGAGGCCACAGTTCAGGTCCCCCTCGCATCACTCGAATTTACTGTCAAATGCTCCCCGCTGGGGTCTCCTGGAGTCTCTCCCCAAGCCAGGGGGCTTCCTAGTGCAGCCTGAACATCTTTCCAAAGCACGACAACCTCACTGCCCACCTGAACAACTTCCTTAGCTGATGCCTTTCTCTATCGAGGCCAGGGTCCACAGTGTCCATTCTACCCTCTCTACAATCTCTACAAGCACACTGGCTCGCCATCTTGGTATTTCCTGGCTCGGCTTCACTGCTCCTTCCAAATGCCCTCCACTCGACTTTGTGTTTGTGTTTTCTGTCTGGGTGTCCCGCACACATGTGGCTCTGAAGGGAAGGACCCATTCCTTGAAATCAGTTCACCCCACAGCCTCTGTGATGCCTTCCCTCATCTTCCAACTTCTGCATGCCCGTAGCTCTCTAGTTACATCCTGGACACTGGGATTAGGTCATCTGCCTTGATTACTCCCAGTCCCATTAGACTAGATGCCTGTAGAAGGCAGGGTCCTGGCAAAATATCAATGTATTCAATTTCTTTTATTTTTTTGAGACAGACTTGCCCTGTCCCCCAAGCTGGAGTGCAGTGGTGAGATCATAGCTCACCGCAGCCTCCATATCCTGGGCTCAAGCGATCCTCCCACCTCAGCTTCTTTATTAGCTCCGACTACAGGGCTGTGCCACCACACCTGGACAGTTTGTTTGTTTGTTTGTTTATTGAGACAGAGTCTTGTTCTGCCTCTCAGGCTGGAATGGAGTGGCCCAATCTCAACTCACTGCAACCTCCGCCTCCTGGGTTCACACAATTCTTGTGCTTCAGCCTCCTGAGTAGCTAGGCCTAACGGGTGTGCCACCGCACCAGGCTCATTTTTGTATTTTTAGTAGAGATGGGGTTTCTCCGTGTTGACCAGGCTGGTCTCCAACTCCTGGTCTCAAGCGATCCACCTGCTTCAGCCTTCTAAAGTGCTGGGATTACAGGCATGAGCCACCGCGTCTGGCATATTTCTTACATTTTTAATAGAGACGAGGGTCTTGCTATGTTGCCCAGGCCCGTCTCAAACTCCTGGCCTCAAGTGATCCTCCTGCTTTGGCCTCCCAGTGTGCTGGGATTCCAGGCGTAAGCCACCACTCTCGGCCACCAGTTGGGTTTTTGTCTCCATCCTGAAGGAGTGGGAGACGCCCTTGATCAGGTCTCTGTCCAGCAGAGCCCTCCTGAGGAAGGCATGGCTCTCTGCAGGGTGGGTGCCAGTCCTGAGCTAGGGACGGTCCCTTACCTTCCTCTCTGGGAAGCTGACCTCAGCCGGAGGCCTCTCCTGGTGGTGCCCCTGAGCAGCAACCTGATTTCTGTCCTCAGCTACCTGGCCAATGACATGGAGGAGGACGACGAGGACTCCAAACAAAACATCTTCCACTTCCTGTATAGGAAGAACCGCTCTCGCATACCCTTGCTCCGTAAGCCTTGGTTCCAGTTAGGCCATTCCATGAACCCGAGGGCCAGGAAGAACCGCTCTCGCATACCCTTGCTCCGTAAGCGTCGGTTCCAGTTATACCGTTCCACGAACCCGAGGGCCAGGAAGAACCGCTCTCGCATACCCTTGCTCCGTAAGCGTCGGTTCCAGTTATACCGTTCCATGAACTCGAGGGCCAGGAAGAACCGCTCTCAGATAGTCCTGTTCCAGAAACGACGGTTCCACTTCTTCTGTTCCATGAGCTGCAGGGCTTGGGTTTCCCCAGAGGAGTTGGAGGAGGTGAGTGGGGCCTGGGGAGGTGGAGGAGGTGGGGAGGAATTGGGTGGGCTGGAGGCTGGATGAGGGGAGAGAGGGGTATCCTGGCGAGTCCCCGTCTTCTCAAAGGGCGTTTGTTTTTCCAGATCCAGGCTTATGACCCAGAGCACTGGGTGTGGGCGCGAGATCGCGCTCACCTTTCCTAGAGCTCCAGGGACCGGGGAGGCCTGAGGTCATCGGCCTGAGAGAAGGTACATCTGCATCCTCTGGGGTAAAGGCAGAATATTGGGGTCTATTTCGGAAATCCGAAGAACCCAATTGCTTGATCTGGCTTCAAGCCTGGGCAACGTGGCGAGATCCCCTCTCCACAAAAATACAAAAATTAGCCAGGCGATGTGGGACGCATCTCTACTCCCAACTACTCAGGAGGCTGAGGCGGGAGGATCGCTGGAGCCTGGAAGGTCGGGGCCGCACGGAGCCCTGATCCTGCCACTGCACTCCAGTCTGGGCGACAGAGTGAGACCCTGCCTCAAAAATAATCATAAAAACTGAGTTTGGGGAGGTTCATTATGATTGACGCACTTGAGTTACTGATTTGGGTCGAGGGTTCAGTGAAGCTTTGGTTTACATCTTGTGCAGCTAACCACGTTGAGCACAGAGCATGAGACTTCATCATGAGGAGGTAGGATTAAGGATTAGGCTTCTGGACTCGTGGTTCGTGATGTTGTCACATTAGAAACACATCTAGCATGGTTACAAGTTTAGATCTTAAGTGACACAAAAGGCCCCAGCTGTGATAAAGTCCAAAGCCACATTCTCTGAGGGTGCCCTACTCCCTGGGCAGACCCACCCAAAGTCCTTGCTATGAAGCAGATCACTGGGGCTGACCTTGGGTGTATTAAGTGAGTTTTGGAGTCGTGGTCACCAAAGTGTGAGTTTCACAGTTGAACACGATGGTTCAGAAGCAGGGTATAGAATGAAAGGCAGCAGATAAAATTGCATTTCTCAATTGACATGGGACGTGAATAACTTTCCTGTCTAGAGAGCTGCCTCCTTGAAGTGTGACATTGTCTCTCTCGCTTCCAGAACACCGGACCCAGGGGAGATGTGGATTTTCAGCGGGAACTTTATTCCAATGCTAATGGCAGACACCAGGCAGGAGGAGAGGAACCATTTGTGCAGATCATCTAGAAGAACCTGGACCATTCTTGATGGAGCTGAATACAGTGATCACGTTGTCCTCCTAGGAGCAGGGGTGGGGGGAGGGGGGTGGGGTCCTTCTAGGAGTCCTTGGAGAAAAGTAAGAAACCAGGAGCGTTTCCAGTTCCACCCTTTCCTGCGGCACCACCACCCTTTTTATATTGCTGAATTCCAACCTCCCTGGGGCGGAACCTGGAGGTCCTGTTTCTTACGGACTTGCAGTCCAGGAGGATTTGAAGGCACAATGCAGGGGCTCAGATTGGGACAGAATTCTTTTGTGAAATATCAGTGCCACAGATTGTAACAGATAGCTTCATGCACACTCTGCATTTTATTGGTTTGTATGGAAAATGTCGGCCATTGAATTATTCATAGATTTATTTCAAATAGTTTGGAAATTGTTGTACTTTTGAAAACATGCTGTTCCTGTAGTTTTTTGATGAGAGTTATAGTTGTTATATATACATAAAGCTAATTTTCTTTTCATTTTTAAGAGACAATTCTTTTTATCCTAAATATTTTATTATCTTTAAATTTGTTTCTGTATTATTACATGTGCTCCTGAAGCGAGCACTCTTTTTATCTATGATACTTCCATAATAATCTCTTCTATTTATAGCTATTGGTAGTTCCCCACCAGAAAAAAACATAATTCTGGTGATAGAAATTTTTATTTGCTGTTTAGGTTTGTGACTGAATTGTGAGAATTCAGTTGTGATTTTTAACATGCCTCAGATATATATACTAACACGTCTAATATATACTATCTATTTTATTGGTTTATTTTGAAAAACATGGGTATAGAATTATTTAAATATTATTTTATTTATTTAAATATTTATTAAATATATTTATTTATTTAAATATTATTACTTTAAATATTATTTTAAATATTTTGGAAATACTGGTATTTTTGAATAGATGCTGTTTCTATAAAGCTGTGTGATGGATATTATAACTGTTATATACACATACATATAATTTTGTTTTCCTTTTTAAGAGAGGATTCTTTTCATCCTAAATCTTTTACCTTTCAATCTTTGTATCTATTATTACACGTGCTGCTGAAGGGAGCATGGTTTTTATCTATGATACTTAGTTAACATATATATTACATTTATAGCTATGTAGTAGTTCCCCTAAATTCTTGTAAAAATAAATTTTTATTTGATATTTCATATATATTTGAAATGTGAGAATTCAGATGTAATTTTTTACCTTGTTTTGGCATGTTTGTATGTTACTTTAAAGAGGATGTGTGTTCTAAAGGAGGACATGAGCTGTGTGTTTTCAAGAGAACAATAGAGTGCGTCTCTTGGGGAAACATAATAAAAATGAACTTTTCTCACCTTCACAGCAATTGTGATCATATTGGTCTGGATTGATTATTTGCTGCCCAGTGATATTTTTCCTTAATGGGGTTGTGGTTATTTGAACATATTTATTAGCTCTGGAAGATAATCCTGTGCTGTTTTTTATGTAGAAAAAAACATAAGGCTGGGTGCAGTGCTCACACCTACAATCCCTGTGGTTTTGGAGGTCATGGCGGGAGGATCACCTGAGGCCAGGAGTTTGAGGCCAGCCTCAGCAACATAGCATCTACATCTATTTTTAATTTTTATTTTTTAAAGAAAAACAATAGAAGAGAAGGCTGATCCCAAGCTACAGGGTTTTTTTGTTTGTTTGTTTGTTTTGGAGACAGAGTCTTGCTCTGTCTCCCAGGCTGGAGTGCAGTGGCACAACCTCGGCTCCCTGCAACTTTCACCTCTGGGTTCAAACAAATTCTCCTGCCTCAGCCTCCCAAGTAGCTGGGACTACAGGCACCCGTCTGTACGTCCGACTAACTTTTGTAAAAATAGTAGAGACAAGGTTTCACCATGTTGGCCAGGCTGGTCTCGAACTCCTGACTTCAAGACCTACCTCGGCCTCCCAAAGTGCTGGGATTACAGGCATGAGCTACTGCGCCCAGATGCCAAGCTAGAGTTTTAAGGCAGGAAATGAGAGAAAGATATTGAGAGAGGAAAACCAGGTGGTAAGAAAACTCTAAAGGTGGCCGGGCGTGGTGGCTCACGCCCATGATCCCAGCAGGAGTTTGAGACCAGCCTGGCCAACATGGTGAAACCCTGTCTCTACTAAAAATACAAAAATTAGGCAGGCGTGGTGGTGCACGCCTATAATCCCAGCTATTTGGGAGGCTGAGGCAGGAGAATCACTAGCAGAGATTGTGTCTCCTCACCCCCTCTCAAAAAAAAAAAAAAAAAAAAAAGTTCGTTCCTGCAGCAGTTAAAGCTGTGAAAGACAGGCACTCTGACATGCAATTCCTTGTGATTTTTCTTTTTCCTTTTTGGAGTTGGGGTCTTGCGCTGTCACCCAGACTGGGGTGCAGTGGTGTGGTCATAGCTCACTGCGGCCTCAGACTCAAGCTCAAGCGATCCTCTTACCTTGCCTTTCAAATTGCTGGGATTATAAGCATGAGCCACTGCATCTGGCCTGTGTGACACAATTTTTTTTTTGTCTTTTTTCTTTTTGGGGGGGGATGGAGTCTCGCTCTGTCACCCAGGCTGGAGTGCGGTGGCGTGATCTTGGCTCAATGCAAGCTCTGCCTCCTGGGTTCACGCCATTCTCCTGCCTCAGCCTCCCGAGTAGCTGGGACTACAGGCGCCCGCCACCATGCCTGGCTAATTTTTTGAATTTTTAGTAGAGACGGGATTTCACTGTCTTAGCCAGGATGGTCTCGATCTCCTGACCTCGTGATCTGCCCGCCTTGGCCTCCCAAAGTGCTAGGATTACAGGCGTGAGCCACCGCGCCCAGCCTATGTGATGCAATTCTGATGTCAACTCCCTGATGTTACCTCAAATGCCACAGGTTAAGGCCACCAGTCCCCACTAGGCTGCCCTCGCTTTAGACACACCTGCAGGCTTGGGTGTCCTCAGACCACATGTACTTCTCACCAACTGGCTGCAAATTTGGAGGTTCCCACCATGCCCTCAAGTTCGATAACTCACTAAAACAATTCACAGAATGCAGAAAAGCATGATACTTTCTTTCTCTTTTTTTTTTTTTGAGACGGAGTCTTGCTCTGTCACCCAGGCTGGAGTACAGTGACCACCATGCTTGGCTAATTTTTGTATTTGTATTAGAGACGGGGTTTCGCCATGTTGGCCAGGCTGGTCTTGAACTCCTGACCTCAGGTGATCCACCCGCCTTGGCATCCCAAAATGCTGGGATTATAGGCATAGCCACCATGCCCGGTTGACTTCTAGAGTTTCAATAACAGAGATGTGATTCAAGAAGGGAGACATGTTTTGTAGATGGCAGGAGCTTCATGAAAAGAAGCCAATGAAGGGCAGGACGTGTAGCTGTCTACCTACAGGAAACCAGCCAGGAGCCTCCCCACAGGGACTTCAGCACAGATGGCCGGGAAAATCTGCATTCACCTGAGCTCTGGACCTAAGAGAGGACAAGGCCTTGACCATTTCTACAGACTCACAAGATGCAATCTCTGTGGTCCATGCCCGTGGTGTGATCTGGGAAGCAGGGGGCCTTCTAAATGCCAACAACAAGGAAATCAAATGTGCAACAAACAGAAATAACGGCATTGACGTGGGCCATGGAAAGGCCTAAACAGATGACTGCAGTTCACTGCCAAGGTCATCAAAGGGGTGACTCTGAAATAATAAATTTCAGACGCCACGGCCCAAATAGCTGCATGAGGTGGGGAAGTCCTCCACATGCCTCTGCTTCCTTCGGTACCTGTTTATGAAATCAGCCGAGGTACTTCCCTGGGGAATTTCCTTTCTTTCTTTCTTTCGAGACGGAGTCTTGCTCTGTCGCCCAGGCTAGAGTGCAGTGGTGCAATCTCGGCTCACTGCAACCTCTCCCTCCTGGGTTTTAGCAATTCTCCTGCATCAGACTTCTGAGTAGCTGAGATTACAGGTGCATGCCACCATGCCCAGCTAATATTTGTAGTTTTAGTAGAGACAGGGTTTCACCATCTAGGCCAGGCTGGTCTTGAACTCCTGACCTCGTGATCCACCCGTCTTGGCCTCCCAAAGTGCTGGGATTACAGGTGTGAGCCATCAAGCCCGGACTTTTTTTTTATTTTTTGAGACGACGTTTCACTCTTGTTGCCCACGCTGGAGTGCAATGGCACGATCTCAGCTCACTGCCACCTCCTCCTCCCAGGTTCAAGCGATTATCCTGCCTCAGCCTCTCGAGTAGCTGGGATTACAGGCACCCAACACCAAACCCAGCTAACTTATTGTATTTTTAGTAGAGATGGGATGTCACCATGTCGGCCAGGATGGTCTTGAACCCCTGACCTCTAACGATCCACCTGAATTGGTTTCCCAAAATGTTGGGATTACAGGCACAAGCCACTGCGCCCAGCCCCTCCCATACCTCTTTTGGCCAAGGCAGCACAATTCAGAAGAATCTTGCCAGGGAAGACTGGTAAATGGACGTCAACGTGATGCCTATGGCTCCTGGTGGATTTAGATACCTCCTGGTGCTTATTGATATCTTTACCAGTTGCACAGGGGCTTTTCCATGCCAGACTGAAAACGCAGAAGATCAATGATCAACCTTCAACTATTTACTAGCAGAACACTGAGGGGACTGTGCGGTCACCAATACCTCCTATTGCACTTGGATAAACACCTCCCAGGAAATAGAGATGAATAGAAAGGACATAGTCAAACAAGCAGAATGGCTGCATTCCTTCAACCAGAAGGGTCCATTAGTCTGTTTTCACACTGCTATAAAGAACTATGAGAAACTGGGTAATTTATGAAGAAAAGAGGTTTAATTGACTCACAGTTCTGCAGGCTGTACAGGAAGCGTGGCTGGGGAGGCCTCAGGAAACTGACAATCACGGCAGAAGGCGAAGGGGAAGCAGGCACGTCTGGCCATGTTGGAGCAGGAGAGACAGAGAGAGTGAAGTGGGAGGGCTGCACGCTTTTAAACAACCAGATCCCACAAGCGCTCACTCAATATCACGAGAACAGCAAGGGGGAAGTCGGCCCCCATGAGCCAATCACCTCCCACCAGGTCCCTCCCACAACACTGGGAATTACAATTTGACATGAGATTTGGGTGTGGATACAGAGCTGAACCATGTCAAGGGTAGTTCAACCGCTGAGATTGATTGATTGATTGATTGACTGAGATGGAGTCCTGCTCTGTTACCTAGGCTGGAGTGCAGTGGCACAATCTCGGCTCACTGCAACCTCCGCCTCCCGGGTTCAAGCGATTCTCCTGCCTCAGCCTCCCGAGTAGCTGGGACTACAGCACATGCCACCATGCCTAGCTAATTTTTGTATTTTTAGTAGAAACAGGGCTTCACCATGTTTGCCAGGCTGGTCTTGAACTCCTGACCTCGTGATCACCCTGCCTCGGCTTTTCTTTGCTGTGGCTCTTTCCCCTCTAAACTGTTCTAGATTCCCAGGCGCCCTGCTAGGAACAGGTGTGGGCCACCCTGGGGTGAGCTGCCTCCCAGAGGCCTGGAAGGACCAGGCCTTGCCAATCACCGACAAGGGACGTAGAAGAGCACCCCCAAAGGACAGTAGGTCCCCGCCCGGATCTGGCCCACAGCACCCGAGGGACCCTGCAGCACTACAGAAGTCCCATGGGGCAGACGGGAGCCACAGGCCCAGACTCCACAGCCCCTCAGTCCACATGTCCTGGAGCCTGTGGTGGAAGTCCCTGTTCTTCCATCACCGCCGCCTCTCCCTGAGGACCTCCGAAGAAACAGGCCAGGGCTGTCCCAGGCCTGGGCACACGGGCCAGTGTCCAGCCCACCCCGTCTGCCCCTCCAGGCCCCGCCCTCACCCGGAAGCGCTCCTCCAGCAGGGACAGCTCACTGATGAGGTCGGTGATGGCGTTGGTAAAGGCTTCCTGGGGGCTGTAGTCCGGCGTGGTCTGCACTCGGATGATGATCTTGTGCTCCAAGGGGTGGGGGACTTTGTAGCCAGCAAATAGCACTTGCGGGTCTTTTAGGAGTTGTCTGAGGTCCAGGGACAGACAGTGTGAGGGTCTAGCCTCATGCCCAAGCTGGGTAGCAGCCAGCTCAGAGCAGAAGAACAGACTTTCTAGCCAAAAATCCCCCCCAACTTTTTTCCCAAAAAGTCTTCAAGGAAAGTAACACTTTTAGGAAGATACCTCATGTGGGGACACCCTATCCCCGCCACACACACACACTCTGCATCCATGAGGTTGAAGGACCCGAGCTGGAAAGAGATTCCAGCAACCTCTTCCCACCGGGCACCGCAGTGCTGGCAAAGAGATCTCCCAGGCAGTGAATGTCCAGCCAGTGTTCAGTGACTCAGACCCAAAAAGCCCACAAAGAGCATCCACGCAGCAAATAAAGGCAGCAGGAGAGGAGGGCCAGCTCCCGGCAGTGAGTGGAATGCAAATGGAACTCTGCCCTCCGAGCAGCACAGCCGCCAGCGGCTGGCCACGCACACTGGGCCTTGTGCCATGGGGCTGCGTCGCGTACTGTGCCCTGGGCACGCAGGGGTCTCCTCTAGAGCGGCTCAGAGTGGCGTGAGCACCACAAGGGGGACCCGTGCATAGGTGGCAACACTGAGCTCAAGAGCAGGGGAGCAGCAGGGCCCCAGGAGAGCTTGGGTGCCCCACTGGCTGGGCTCCAGGCAGGATTCCTCCATCCCCGTGCCTGACCACACCAGGAGACTGGGCAGACCCCACTCACAGACGGGGAAAAGCCTGGCTTCGCTGGTGGCACCAGAGGGAAGAGCCAAGTCTACAGTAAAATGGCAAGTCCCTGGGCCAGAATGGCAGACACATCCCTGACCAACCACCTGGCTAGGACCTCACTGGTATAAACAAACACCCACCAACCAATGCAGGGTGCCCATTAGGGGCACTGGATAGCCACAGAACTCCTACTTCTTTCTCTTGTTAAATAGAAGTTCTAGTCTCTGCCACATACATCTTAGAGGCCCAGGTGGCACTGAGGTCACAAACGGGTGGCATGAGGGGAGCTAATCTTGACTGCTTTTCAATGTCCCTCAGCATGAATAACAAACAGGCCTACTGTGCTGGAATCTGCTGCTCGTTCATTTACAGAATGTGCACTTAATGGTGAATGTAAGGCCGGGCGCAGTAGCTCACGTCTCTAATCCCAGCACTTTGGGAAGCCAGCAGGTGGATCACCTGAGGTCAGGAGTTCGAGACCAGCCTGGCCAACACAGTGAATCCCCGTCTCTACTAAAAACACAAAAATTAGCCGGGCATCGTGGCGTGGGCCTGTAGTCCCAGCTACTAGGAAGGCTGAAGCAGGAGAATCACTTGAACCCGGGAGGCGGAGGTTGCAGTGAGCAAGATCGTGCCATTGCACTCCAGCCTGGGCAACAAAGAGAGAAAATTCCATCTCAAAAACAAACAAACAAAAAAACAGTGAATGTAAATGCACGTGTTCATCTACAGAATAAGCCACTACAGAAGTGTGGCTTATGTGAAGACATGGAGGTCGGTGTCATTTTGATAAAAAGGTACCAAGATTATAAAATGCCCAGAGCAAGCCCCCAGAAGGACTTCCTGTAGCTCAGAGAGACTGAGGAAGACTTGGAACTTGTGCTTTGCCCAGAGGGGCCCATTAAACATAGCCCCTGAGAGCCTGTGACGGGAAACTTACGATTTAATGATGTTTCCCAGTGTGTGGTCTTCTTTGTTGATGGTGAATAAGCAGGCCTTGGGTACCTTGGTGTCCTTGTTAATGGTGATCCTAGGAAGACACAGAGGCCACAGATGAGGAGCAGGGGCTCCCCTCCTCCCACCCTGAGTCTAAACCCTGTCTCCTCCCGGCCAGGTGTGGTGGCTCGTGTCTGTAATCCCAACACTTTGGGAGGCTGAGGTGGATGGATGACCTGAGGTCAGAAGTTCAAGACCAGCCTGCCCAACATGGCAAAACCCTGTCTGTACTAAAAATACAAAGAAAAAAAAAAAATTAGCTGAGTGTGGTGATCCATGCCTGTAGTCCTAGCTACTTGGGAGACTGAGGCAGGAGAATCACCTGAACCTGGGAGGTGGAGTTGCAGTGAGCCGAGATCATGCCACTGCACTCCAGCCTGGGCAACAGAGTGGAACTCTGTATCAAAAATATAAAAATAAAAAGGAAAAATAAGCTCTGCCTCTTCCTGAAGGCCTTTCTCAATCTCTTCATCCCATAAAGGCCTCGCCAACCCGGTCCCCTACTTCCTGCTACCCCAGGTCTATGGAACCTTGGCCTTTTCTGAATTCCTCCTTTTTTTTTTCCGGTAGAGATGGGGTTTTGCCTTGTTGTCCTCGCTGGTCTTGAACTCCTCGCCTCAAATGATCTCTCCTGCTGCCCAGGCTGGAGTGCAGTGGTGTGATCATAGCTCACTGCAGCCTCCAACTCCTCGGCTAAAGTGATCCTCCCGCCTTAGCCTCCTGAGTAGCTGGGACCACAGGCGCACGTCATCATGCCTGGCCTGTTCCTTTCTTCTTACGCCAACATAATGAAGCAACCAAAAGGTGAAGAAGAGAGGCCCTGAAGTTACACGGTGAGGCTGGTCCTGACCCTGTGAGTTCCGAAAGCAACCATCCCCCTGGCTGGAGTGTGCAGTCCTTCCATCCATTCCCCAAAACAAGTCATGCTCTGGCATTTACTATGATTTTAGTGAACGCTTAGATGGACAAAGACAGGAAACTTCCATTGGATTTTCCAAGACAAGGGGTTTTCAGAGTGCAGTTCCCAGATAAGCAGCATCAGAATCCCCTGGGAACTTGTTAAGAGTCTCCCACCTCCCACTTACTGGACCCAGAACTCTGGAGGTGGGGCGCAGGGATCTATGGTTTAAGAAGCCCTTCAGGTGATTCTAATGCACACTCAATTTGAGGGCAACTATGCTGACAGTAAAATCTCACACAGGTGAGAGGTATCAAGTTGAATATCCTTTTTTCTAAGGTGGTTTCTCCAGGCTGACACCACACACATTTTAGGGTGCATCATTCTTTCCTGTGGGGTGCTGTCTTGTGGACATTGTAGGACATCAGCAGCATCCCTGACCTCTACCCAGTAGATTCCAGTCATAACCCCCTTTGACAACCAATAATGTTCTCAGTTATTGCCACATGTCCCTTGTGGGGCCAAATGGTCCCCAGTTGAGAGTCTGCTCTAAAGGAGGCCGAAGTGGCTGGCAAGGGCCAGACCAAGACCTCTGCACGCCAACCTGGGAACAATAAGAGCCAATGGTTATGAGGTTTTCCAGGGGCTGAGCTTTGGACCAAGAGTTTTACACAAATTACCTCATCCAATTCTTTTTATTTTGAGACAGGATTGCGCTCAGTCGCCCAGGCTGGAGTGCAGTGATGCGATCAAAGCTCACTGCAGCCTGGAACTCCTGTGCTCAGCTCAAGCAATCCTCCCACCTGAGCCTCCCAAAGTGCCGGGATTAAAAGCGTGAACCAGCGCACCTGGCCAGATCCCTTTTTTTGTTTTTTGAAACGGAGTTTCGCTCTTGTTGCTCAGGCTGGAGTGCAATGGCGTGATCTCCGCTCACCTCAACCTCCACTTCCCAGGTTCAAGTGATTCTCCTGCCTCAGCCTTCTGAGTAGCTGGGATTACAGGCATCTGCCACCACGCCCGGCTAATTTTGTATTTTTAGTAGAGACAGGGTTTCTCCATGTTGGTCAGGCTGGTCTTGAACTCCCGACCTCAGGTGATCCGCCCGCCTCGGGCTCCCAAAGTGCTGGGATTACAGGTGTCAGCCACCGCACCCGGCCTGAATCCCACGTTTAAGTACAGTAATAAACTCATTTTCCAGATGAGGAAACAGGGCCTCCGACAGATCAAGCCACTCGCCCACAGATACAGAGTGAGCCCAAGCTCTCTCCCCTGGACTCCTTCAACCCGCAGGCAGCGAGGAGCCACTGCGGCTTTTACGCAGGCCGCTGACAGATCGGAGGGGATGAAGGATGGAGGTGGCGGGCGAGAGACAAAAAGAGGAAGCTGCCAGATCCCAGAGGAAAAGGGCTATGGAGAACCAGACACTCTGGGTTCGAATACAAGCGCCGCCACTTCCTGTGTCCGGGGCAACTTGCTCGCCTCCAAGCCTCAGTGTCCTCATCTGCAACATGGACACACTCGCGACTGCCTCGCGGAACGGCCTTAAATTTGGCTGACACAGGCCGAGCAGACGATCAAGCAAAAGCTGTTTCCCTCCCGGGGCAAGAGATGGGCAGGAGACACCCCAGAATGCGACAGCCGCAGGCCCGCGCACCTAGGCCCTCCGCAGCCGGCGTCACTTACTTCTCGCCCTCGAAGAGCAAGAACGACTCGAAGGCTGGAGGGGCGTTCATGCTCCCGCCGCCGTTGCGTCCAGACCCCAAGTGTCCGCCACCGCCGCCACCAGAGCCCTAATAAGAGGCCTCTTCCGGATTACTCCGGCGGGGCAAACCCGCCCAAGGATCGGCTCATCGCCCCCCGTTGGGCTGGAGGATCTTGCGCAGGCGCGAGAAAACCCCGAGAGAGACCAGTGCCTCTGCGCATGCGTCAGTGGCGAGCGCACCGCTCCCCCCCACCCCGCACCCCGCACCCCGGCATGGCTTTCCCCGTGGGCGCTTTTCGGCGCATGCTCAGAGCGCCAGCAGGGCTGTTCTGCCCCTACAGAGGCCTCCTAGTCCTGGCTGAGCGGGAACCTCAAGCTGTACCTTTCTCCTTTCCCCATGTCCCTTGATCTCTCTTTGGAAACGTGCACCCCCTTGGAGTGCGCAGCAGGAGGCCCCTGAATAGAGAGAATAAAGCTAAGGGGTAGTGGACAGCTGCGGCTAGCAGCCGTAGGGGGAGCAGAAGATCTCGTGGCCAGAGGCAGATCTATGACAAGCCCCCTGCCCAGGCTGCCTATACCGACTGCTGCAGGACCTCTGCCTGGGGGGTGCAGCTGGCTTGTTAGCCGGGAGGGACAATTGGGTGAGGGATGCAGAAGGAGGCAGGTGTATACAGCAGTGAGAGGGGAGCCCGTAGGGTTACGTATATCTTTTTATATATTATTATTATTATTTAGAGACAGCGTCTCCCTCTGTCGCCCAGGCTGAAGTACAGTGGCGCCATCATGCAGCCTCCAACTCCTGGGCTCCAGAGATCCTCCTGCCTCAGCCTCCCGATAGTTAGGACTGCAGGCATGTGCCATCACACTTAGCTATTTTTTTTTTTATTTTTGGAGATGGTGGGGGGGGGGTCTCCCTATGTTGCCCAGGCTGGTATTGAACTCCTGGCCTCCAGCAGTCCTCCAGCCTCAGCCTCCCAAAGTGCACTTGGTGGATGTGGGCAGCAAGCCACCCAGGTGCCGAGGCAAGAGACCGAGGGCACGAGCTGTTCCAGTATAATAAAATATATAAAATAAGAATAGTTATACTAGATATAGATCTTAGATATGATTATATATGAATCATTAATCATTAGTTTGTAGTAATTATTCTTTATTCCAGTATTATAATAATCCTCGCTCTACAATCATAACCTAGGAAAAACCAGGCCATACAGAGATGGGAGCTGAGGGGACAGTGAGGAGTGACCAGAAGACAAGAGTGCAAGCTTTCTGTTATGCCCGGACAGGGCCACCAGAGGGCTCCTTGGTCTAGCGGTAACGCCAGCATCTGGGAAGACACCTGTTGCCAAGCCCACCGTGGTCTAGCGGTAGCGTTAGTGTCAAGGAAAAACACCCGCTACTTAGCAGACCGGGAAAGGGAGTCTCCCTTTCCCCGGGGGAGTTTAGAGAAGACTCTACTCCTCCACAGGCCCGCCCACAGTTACCCGGAGGCATAACCGTCTCCCTGTGATGCTGTGCTTCAGTGGTCACGCTCCTAGTCCACCTTCATGTTCCATCCTGTACACCTGGCTCTGCCTTCTAGATAGCAGTAGCAAATTAGTGAAAGTACTAAAAGTCTCTGATAAGCAGAAATAATGGTGTAAGCTGTCTCTCTCTCTTTCTCCTCTCTCTCTCTGCCTCGGCTGCCAGGCAGGGAAGGGCCCCTGTCCAGTGGACACGTGACCCATGTGGCCTTACCTATCATTGGAGATGGCTCACTCTCCTTATCCTGCCCCTTTGTCTTGTATCCAATAAATATCAGCGCAGCCTGGCATTCAGGGCCACTACTGGTCTCTGCGTCTTGGTGGTAGTGGTCCCCCCAGCCCAGCTGTCTTTTATCTCTTTGTCTTGTGTCTTTATTTCTGCGCTCTCTCGTCTCTGCACATGGAGAGAAACCCACCGACCCTGTGGGGCTGGACCCTACAGGTGGATAAGTGTATCTTACCCTTTTTGGTTTGGTTGCTTTGCAGACTACAGTTTAGCATAAAGGCCCTCCTTAAGCTGTTTGAAGCAACAGGGACTGGGGTCTCAGAGGAGCTACCAGAGCCCTAACAGTTTGGCAGCTGTTTCTCCAAGGCTGGGCAGCAGCTACAGTGCTGAGGAAATCTGGAGCATCTACCCCTTCTGGGAAGGCCCATTTCCTACTTGAGTTCTTGCACCCTGGCAGGAGGAAATCTCATTCTGCAACAGCCCCACACAGAATCTGACTTTCCAGGCGAAGTGGGTGGGCACCTCTTTAACTGCTGAGGAACAGAAAGTGATATGGGTAGGCTGGGTGCGGTGACTCACGCCTGTAATCCTAGCACTTTGGCACTTTGAGAGGCTGAGGCAGGCGGATCACTTGAGGTCAGGAGTTAGAGACCAGCCTGGCCAACATGGTGAAACCTCATCTCTACTAAAAATACAAAAAATTAGTCGGGCGTGGTGGTGGGCACCTGTAATCCCAGCTACTTGGGAGGCAGAGGCAGGAGAATCGCTTGAACCCGGGAGGCGGAGGTTGCAGTGAGCCGAGATTGCGCCACTGCACTCAGCCTCCCAAAGTACTGGGATTACAGGCGTGAGCCACTGTTCCTAGCCAAGGGTAGCATCCTTGACCCAAGCTTTTCCAGGGTGACCCAGAAGTGTGGAGGTTATATCCTCAGGGAATTATTACCCTTATCACTTTTTTTCTTTTTTTCTCTTTTTTTCTTTTTTTTTTTTGAGATAGCATCTCGCTCTGTCGCCCAGGCTGGAGTGCAGTGGCATGATCTCGGCTCTGTTGTCTAGGCTGGAGTGCAGTGGTGAGATCATAGCTCACTGCAGCTTCAAGCTCCTGGGCTCAAGCAGTCCTCCTGCCTCAGCCTCCCCAGTACCTGGGACCACAGGCAGGCACCACGGCGCCCTGCTAGTTTTTTTCTTTTTACTTTTTGTAGCGATGGGGTCCAACTTTATTGCCTAGGCTGGTCTCGAACTCCTGACCTCAAGCAATCTTCTCGCCTTGGCCTCTCAAAGTGCTGGGATTATAGGCATGAGCCCTGCCCCTGGCCACACATACCATGCTAATTTGTTACACATTGGCTGTGGTTGCTTTCATGCTACATGGCATGGTGGTTGTGACTGAGAGCTGCATGTCTGGTCCTTTACAGAAAACGTTTGCTGATCCTAATCTTGGGGATTGTGCCTGTGTTGACTTTGCTATTTATTGTTTGGTTACAGCCCAGACACTGAAGTTACTTATTAGCTTGTGGGTGTCTATCCCGTAGAAAAGAAAACTTCATGGCCGGGCGCAGTGGCTCACACCTGTAATCCCAGCACTTTGGGAGGCCGAGGTGGGCAGATCACGAGGTCAGGAGATGGAGACGATCCTGGCCAACATGGTGAAACCCCATCTCTACTAAAAATACAAAAATTAGCTGGGTGTGGCGGTGAGCACCTGTAATCCCAGCTACTCGGGAGGCTGAGGCAGGAGAATTGCTTGAACCCGGGAGGCAGAAGTTGCAGTGAGCCAAGATCGCACCACTGTACTCCAGCCTGGACGACAGAATGAGCCTCCGTCTCAAAAAAAAAAAAAACAAAAACCAAAAAAAAAAAAAAAGAAAAGAAAACTTCATTAATTAACCACTTTCGTATGTAATATCACAATCTTATTCTAGCATTCTTCTCTTAAAGTGTTTACGGGCCAGGCACAGTGGCTCACATCTGTAGTCCCAGCACCTAGGGAGGCTGAGGGAGGATTGCCTGAGCCCAGGAGTTTGAAACTAGCCTGGGCAATATAGCAAGATCTTGTCTCTACTAAAAATTTAAAAAATCAGCAGGGCATAGTAGTGTGTGCCTGTAGTTGCATTTACTTGGGAGGCTGAAGCAATAGGATTGCTTGAGCCCAGGAGGAACAGGCTACAATGAGCTATGACTGCACCACTGCATTCCAGCCTGGGTGGCAGAGCGAGACCCTGTCTCAAAAACAAAACAAAACAAAAGAATGCTTACAAATACATGAAATACATGTACCCAGCTTCTCAGAATGATCCATGAATCAGAGTTCCCACTCTTTTTCTGAATTGATGCGTAGTAGATCTTTGATATGTGTTCATGATATATATGAGTCATCTTTTTTACATGTTTGAAAATTATACTTTGAAAAGGCCTTGTCCGGAGGTGGTTGCTGCATACCTGTTCAGATTTCCTAAGAGGTTGAGAGAAACAGGTACTGGGTGAGCTGGGTCCAGTCAAGCCTTCCCAGGGTGCCTGCCCTGCCCTGTGGTGAACACCAGCCCCCTGGGCTGCAGATATCTGCCTGGGGGTCCAATCAGATCCTCAAGACATCTGGGACTGGGCATGGTGGCTCATGCCTGTAATCCTAGCACTTTGTGAGGATGAGGTGGGCGGATCACTTGAGTTCAGGAGTTCAAAACCAGCCTGGCCAACATGGTGAAACCCCATCTCTACTAAAAATACAAAAATTAGTCAGGCGTGGTGATGGGCACCTGTAATTCCAGCTATTCGGGAGGCTGAGGTGGGATAATCACTTGAACTTGGAAGGCAGAGGTTGCAGTGAGCCGAGAATGTTCCACTATCCTCCAGCTTGGGTAACAGAGGGAGACTCTGTCTCAAAAAAAAAAAAAAAAATAGGCCAGGTGCGGTGGCTTACACCTGTAATCTCAGCACTTTGGGAGGCTGAGGCAGAAGGATCATCTTAGGTCAGGAGTTTAAGACCAGCATGGCCAATATAGTGAAACTCCATGAAACCCCATCTCTGCTAAAAAAAAAAAAAGACAAAATATTAGCTGGGAGTGGTGGCATGTGCCTGTAAATCCCAGCTACTCAGGAGGCTGAGGCAGGAGAATCGCCTCAACCTGGGAGGTGGAGGTTGCAGTGAGTTGAGATCACACCACTGCCCTCCAGCCTGGGCGACAGAACCAGATTCCATCTCAAACAAAAACAAAAACAAAAACAAACAAAACATCTGGGAACCTGCCCCAGGCCCCAGTTGAATGCCAGGGCTTGAAGTCTCTGGGAGGGGGTGGTATAGACTTGTGGGACAGATGGAAGGTATACCCTCTCCTGCTCCTCTTGCTTTTCCAGGTGGCCTCCAGAAACAATGTGGCATGATGGACTATGGGCAGCTCTGCTCAGGGCCTGAGAGGAGAACCAGGGGGCAGTGCCAGGCATGCACTGATGTTAACTTCCCTTCCAGCTGCAGTGGTCAGGATCTGGGGAGGGGAGGAGAGGCATGGTGGATGCTGCCAGAAGGGTGGCTGTGTGTGTGCACTCAAGATCCAGGTTTCCACTTGTAGCCCTAATAAGTCCACGGCTCCTTCCCTTTCACTGCCTGCATTTAGGCTCAGGAGACCCTGGAGGCCATACTTCCTAGAGAGAAGGTCCTTGAAACCCAAGGAGATCCAACAGGCATGAGGATTTTTGTGTACCCCTAAGGAAGTAGCCAGAGAACCAGGTGCTGGTGATTTGGGGTGGGGTAGGGGCTGCATCAGGCTCAGCTGTCCCTGGACCCAGGGCCTTGGGCCAGGAAGGGAGGGGAGGGACCCAATCCAGCAAAAAGGCTTAGGAGCCCATAGGACGGCAGAGCACAGCAGGCTATGAAGCTCTAAGGGGTCAGGCTGGTGGGCTGCCTATGGGGAAAATGGTATCCACCAAGGCCACAGCCAGAAGAAAAGGTTGGTATGGCCCCAAAAGCCATAGGGAAGAGGGAGAGGGCAGGCCCCTTGAATCTTAATTTCCCCTTGACCTTTTTATTTTTTTTTTTGAGACAGCGTCTCTCTGTCACCCAGGCTGGAGTGGAGTGGCCCGATCTCGGCTCACTGCAACCTCCACCTCCTAAATTCAAGCAATTCTCCTGCCTCAGCCTCTCAAGTAGTGATTACAGGCACCTGCCACCATGCCCAGCTAATTTTTGTATTTTTAGTAGAGACAGGGTTTCACCATGTTGACCAGGCTGGTCTCTAACTCCTGACTTCAGGTGATCCACCCACCTTGGCCTCCCAAAGTACTGGGATTACAGGCATGAGCCACCGTGCCCAGCCCTCTTTGCCTTTCCCTACTATTCCTGGAAGAGCCAAGGTATACAGGATGCCCCACTGGCCCTGCCCCAGAACCTAGCTGGGCAGCCAGGTCAGGGGTCATGTCTGAGCCCTGGGACACTAGGGGCTGTCCTAGGCTAAGGACAAAGGGGAGGCTCAGAGCTTGCTTGGATGAGTGTTGAGAATGTGTTCGTGGCTGGGTGCGGTGGTCCTGTAATCCCAGCGCTCTGGGAGGCTGAAGTGGGAGGATGGCTTGAGCCCAGGAGTTGGAGACCAACCTGGACAACATGGTGAGACCCTGTCTCTACCAAAAGTACAAAAAATTAGCTGGGCATGATGGTGCACACCTGTAGTCCCAGCTACTCAGAAGGCTGAGGCAGGAGGATCACTTGAACTCAGGAGTTGGAAGCCGCAGTGAGTTATGATCACTCCACTCCACTCCAGCCTGGGCAACACAGTAAGACTCTGTCTCAAAAAAAAAAAAAAAAAAAAAAAAAAAAAAAAGATGTTCTGGAAGACTCTGCCCCTCCTCTCCTCTGTCTTGTTGTTGTTTTTTTTTTTTTTGAGATGGAGAATCACTCTGTCACCCAGGCTGGAGTGCAGTGGTGCGATCTCAGTTCACTGCAACCTCCGCCTCCCGGGTTCAATCCAATTCTCCTAAGTAGTAGGGGTTACAGATGCGCACCACCGCACCTGGCTAATTTCTGTGTTTTTAGTAGAGACTGGGCTTTGCCATGTTGGCCATGGTTTGCCAGGCTGGTCTCGAACTCCTGAACTCATGTGATCTGCCGGCCTCAGCCTCCCAAAGTGCTGGGATTACAGGTATCCTCAGTCTTGTTAATTACACTGGGGTTTGCTTGCTGTGTACAGTGAGATCAGGATGAGGGTGGTGAGGTGGTGATCAGGGGGACCCATGCTTCTGCTCAGGGGGTTGGCAGAAGCCAGCAAGGCTTGGGGTTTCCCTGTTTGGAGCGCTCCAAGTTGAGAGTGCAGAGGAGTGTGAGATGCGTGTGAAAATGCAAACTTGGCTCTCCCTGGCTGGAGGCTGGCATTGGGTGAGTCTCTGGTAGGACCAGGCCATGTATACTTTTTAAGCTTTTTTATTCTTGAAAAGTTCAAAGATATACAAAGATAGACTATGCAGGATAATGAGCCCCCACATACTCCGCATCTCTTGTCTGTAATTATCAGCTCGTGGCTACCTCTACCTCTCCCCTCTACCTCTTGTCTCATCTCTACCTCTCCCCCTGACCCCTGCCTCTGGGTCATTTTGCAGCAAATCCCAAATGCCTATATCATTTATCCTAAATATTCCATAAACATTCCACTATGTAGCTCTGAAAGATAAGGACGCTTACAACACAACTGCAATATCTTTTTTGTTTGTTTGTTTGTTTTTGTAAAGACGGGGATTTCGCCACGTTGCCCAGGCTGGTCTCGAACTCCTGAGCTCAAGCGATTCTCCCACCTCAGCCTGCCAAGTAGCTGGGATTACAGGCATGTGCCACTGTGCCCAGCCAAGTGCAGTATCTTATCACACCTTTACAAAATTAATAATTCCAATCATCCTATAGTTGATCAGTGTTCAAATTTCCAATTGCCTCATAAAAAGATCATTTCTTAACATTTTGTTTTGTTGCAATTGGTTGCTGTAAGTCACCTAAATATCTTCTCTTTTTTATACTTTTTATTGTAGTAAAATAGGTATAACATACAATTTGCCATTTTAACCATTTTAAGTGTTTAACTCAGTGGTGTTAATTACATTCACAATGTGTAGCCATCACCACTATTTAGTTCAAAAATTTCAAGTCTCCTTTATTTTCCTTTTTTTTTTTTTTTTTTTTTTTAATTTTAGGGACTAGGTTTTGCTATGTTGCCCAGGCTGGCCTTAAACTCCTGGCCTCAAGGTGATCCTTCTGTCTTGGCCTCCCGAGTAGCTGGGACTAGAGGTGTGCACCGTCACACCCAGCTTCAAGTCTCTTATTATAAAGTTCTGGCCACGCACAGTGGCTCGCAACTGTAATCTCAGCACTTTCGGAGGCCAAGGCGGTCAGATCACCTGAGGTCAGGAGTTCGAGACCAGTCTGGCCAACATGGAGAAACTCCGTCTCTACTAAAAATACAAGAATTAGCTGGGCATGGTGGCACACGCCTTTAGTCCCAGCTACTCGGGAGGCTGAGGCAAGAGAATTGCTTGAACCTGGGAGGCAGAGGTTGCAGTGAACCAAGATCAAGCCATTTGCACTCCAGCCTGGGCAACACAGTGAGACTCTGTCTCAAAAAAAAAAAAAAAAAAAAAACTATAAAGTTCCCCTTCATCTGAAAATTGAATGTGATTTTAAACAACCTATTTGAGCCTGAGGTAGATGTCTAAGTTCAAAGCCCACTCCTCCCTTCTGGGGGTCCCAGTTTCGTGATCTCTTCTTCCCTTTCCTTCCTGGTAGCTTAAAAAAATAGAGATAACAGGATAAAGGTGAGGAATGAAGGAATGAATGGATGCAGGCAGACGTGAAAACAGCGCCCACCTGGAGAGCTAGAAACATCTGGAGGGCTGGGACCACCTGGAGACGCCCCGTGTCTATGAGCTGCTGTTGTGAGGAGCCTGGAGCCAGTGGACGCTGGGAGGGAGGAGGCTTTAGAGTGGGGGGCAACCGGGGGAGGAAGGAGGTTGGCTGAGCCAGGTCTGGGGGCCTCAGGGACTTCTGTGTCCTCATAACCCACAAAAGCCCTGCCCACCTTGCCCCGGGGCGGCCCACAGTAGCAGCGGCTGGTGGTCCCTACAGCCGGTCAGCCCCAAGAGCGGGCACAACGTGTGGCCTGGGTACCACAGGGCCAGAAGAGAGGGACAGGGGCCCTGCTCCTGTCACCTGCTGCTTCTGCCACCCCAGGACCAAGTCATTGGTGTGAGCCGGTGGCCAGACATCACTGCCCCGCAGGCAGTGGGGGCTCCTCTTGGGCTGGGGGCAGGGCTTGGTGGGCAGCCCTATGGGAGGGGGAGCTGGTGGGGGACCACAGGGACTGACCAAAGAAAGGCAGGCCAGATCCCAGGACAGCAGGGGTTCTAAGTCCCCAAGAGTGGGGACTGGGCCGGAGTCAAGTTTTGCCAACCATCGGACCAGCCCCGGGCCTCTATGATGAAGGCATCAGAGAAACCCCATGGGGCCAGAAAGGGGCTGGGGCAACGGTGCACCTTTGGGATCTGGGGTCAGAGGGGGAAGGAGGTGACTGCATGGCAAGGCAAGAGCTGAAGGCCTTCTGGAGAAGGAGGGTCCAGTCCTTGTCCCCACCCTGATCCAGGTCACTGTGGACGCAGCTGGGAGCTGAGCCTGGCAGCCCATGTGACACAATGGTGGGGGGATGGGAGCCCCTACGTGGCCAACACTGCCAGCCACACAGCTAGAGGGCTTGGGGTAAGGGCTGCGTGAAGAGGAATGGGGTCTCTGAGTCCCGCCTCTGTGCTGTCCTCAGGGACACCCTAGAGAAGGGACTTGCTTGGGGGCTGCTTTGAGGAGAGAACAGCTGGTTGGACACACTGGGCTCTGTGGCCTGTGGGACATGAAAGAGGGGACCCAGGGACAGCAACTGGGAAGGGAAAGGAACCCCCGACCCCAGAAGAGTGGGGGGAAGAAAGAGGGGGGAACAGGGATGCCCAGAGCCCATACTGTCAGCCCCATCATCGGCACATCCACCGACAGCCTCCGGGGTCCCCCCGGGCCCACTTTCTCCCCAGACCCTCATCACAAGACCCCAGAGCCTGGACAGTAAGAGCAGGTTTACTGTTGGCAACAGCACAGCCCTGTGGCACCCAAGGGTAGCGGGTGGGGTGGCGGCCGGGTCTCCTGGGGCCCCGTTCTCCCTCCCATTCTCTAGGTCCCTGGAGGCCAGACCCCTGGGTGCGGCCCATCCTAGCAGTGGTTCTGGCTGGGTCTGTCCTGGGCAGGAGAGGAGGGTCCCTGGAGAGGCAGTGATGGCTACAGCGTCTGTAGGGAGCTGGGGACACTTCCGGCCAGCCATGACAGGCCCAAGCCTGCTCAGCTCTGCACTTCTGGGGATCCCCTTATTCCTGACTCTCTCCCCTCCCCCACCTGGAAGAGACCTAGGCCCTGCACCCTAATGAGGAGGACCGGGGTGAGGGGGTGCAGAGTGTCCTGGGGGGGCTCCGAGCGCTTGGCAGGGGACTCAGCAAGGGGAGCGTAGGGCGGGCCTCACGTCTGCAGCTCCAGGAGGCAGTTGGGCTCTGAGGGTGGGGAGCCGGCCGGGCTGGAGCTATGGGCCTCGCGGAGGTCCTGCAGCACCCGGAGCAGCCGGGCCAATGAGTCCTCAGGGACTGTGGGCAGAGGCAGCCGTGAGGGCCCCTGGGAGTGAGCCCGAGGACCCCACCCGTGCATCTCTGGAGGGGGCTCGGGCCACGAGCAAGTCCCAGGTGGGCAAGACCTACCTTTGCCAGGGCTCGTGGGCACCGTGCCTGCCTCTGCGCCCCCGCTCAGCTCCCGGTGCCTCTCCCTGTGGGGGAGGTCAGAGTGAGGGCCAGCAGCCTCTACTCTCCCTGCCAGACCTTCTGGTGTCCTTGTGGGAAGGCTGGGGGTGGCCCAGCATGGGCCTCCTGGGCTAGAGGTGGCTCTGGGGGTGATGGCAGGGCTGACTCTTTCAGTCTGTGAAGAGGCTGGGCCAAGGCCCACCAGGGCACCTTCCACCTTCTCCCTCCCCGTGTCTCCTCCTCCTCCCCATCCCACTGTGGGTTGACCAGAAGGCCCTTTGCATTTGTTTTGTTTTGTTTTTGAGACAGAGTCTTGTTCTGCGGTCCAGGCTGGAGTGCAGTGGCGCAATCTAAGCTCACTGCAACTTCCACCTCCTGGGTTCAAGCAATTCTCCTGCCTCAGCCTCCTGAGTAGCTGGGATTACAGGCACCCTCCACCACATCAGTTAATTTTTGTATTTTTAGTAGAGAAGAGGTTTCGCCATGTTGGCCAGGCTGGTTTCAAACTCCTGATCTCCAACAATCTGCCTGCCTCCACCTCCCAAAGAGCTGGGATAACAGGCATGAGTCACCGCACCCCACCTTCGTGGGTTTTGAGGGCAGAGATAAACCCTGGAAGAGTCGATGAGGAATGGGGAGGACCACACCCTTCCTCCTTGCAGAGTGTAGGGGTGTGACAGATGAATGAGCTCCAGCTCCAGTTGGCTCAGGGGAAGCTGAGCGCATGGGAAGCACTGGATCACCTTGAAGTATCCTGGCACCAGCCACATCTCCAGAGACCCTGAGTGATGGGGCCTTGGCATCCTGTTTTTTAAAGCTGATCTTTAAAAGCATCTTGTTTTTTCTAAGCTTCTGCCAAGGCTGAGAACCACTGGATGAAGCAAGATGGCCAGGGAACTCAGGGAATTGGCTGAGGCTGTGCCTGTACTCCAAGGGCCCAGGGGAACAGCTGGGCAGGTTGCAAGGTGGGCTCAGTCAGCACATGGCATGAAGCAGGCATGGCCCTGACCCTTGGGGCCTCTGTCCTAACCTGAGCTGGCCTCGTGCTGCAGAGAGGTACTCCTGGTGCCCTCCCCAGATGTGGCCAATTACAAGAGAGGTGACCAGCCACCATGGAGCAGCCCCAAGCCTGGCACGTTCCCCAGGCTGCACAGGCTCTCCTGGGTGGGACTCACCACAGCATGGCCTCCACGCCCAGCAGGTGCCGGTAGATGAGCTGGGCCTCAAGGTCATGGTCAAGAGGGTCATTCCACTCCTGCAGGGTCACCCGTGACCGGGTCTTATCGCAGCCCTGACCTGGGGGCACAGAGAGGGCAAAGTTACGAGCAGACACTTGGGACTACCATGTCCAACACTGTGGTTGCACAGATGGAGAAACAGAGGCCTGGAGAGGAGAGAGATGCACTCGGGGGTCCCTAGTGAGGGCTGGGCTGGGAGCATAGCCTGGTAAGTCTGACCCAGGCCCTGCCTCGGCTCCCCACCCTCTGGGGGCAGCAGCTCCTCTTGGGGTCAGCCCCTGCACCACGGGATGCATGACTGAGGAGTATGGATATCATCAGGATATGACTTGGGTTGCTGGGTAACTTTTGGTTTTTTTTGAGACGGAGTCTCGCTCTGTCGTGCAGGCTGCAGTGCAGTGGCGCGATCTTGGCTCACTGCGAGCTCTGCCTCCCAGGTTCACGCCATTCTCCTGTTTCAGCCTCCTGAGTAGCTGGGACTGCAGATGCCCGCCACCACGCCCAGCTAATTTTTTATATTTTTAGTAGAGACGGGGTTTCACTGTGTTAGCCAGGATGGTCTCGATCTCCTGACCTCGTGATCCACCCGTCTCGGCCTCCCAAAGTGCTGAGATTACAGGCGTGAGCCACTGCGCCCAGCCAGGGAGCCGGGTAACTTTCTGGAAGACTGTCTGCCTGGAATGGAGCAGGCTGAAATGTTAACATCATGGTGAGGTGGGCCACAGGGGGTTCATGCCTTAGAATGAGCTGGTCCTGCAGCTTGCTGTCTTTATGACCTTGCCAAGTCATCTGCCTTCCCTAAGCCTCAGCTTCTCCTCCATACAGTGGAATAACAGGCCCTGTCTCTTGGGCCAGGGTGGGTCCCACCTTGCCGATAATGAGAGTATGGCTCTGATGGTTACAGGCAGAGGCTGCAGGCCATATCAGCCAGCCAGCAATGCCCTTGCAAAGAGTCACCAAGAGGCCAGGCACAGTGGCTCACACCTGTAATCCCAGCACTTTGGGAGGCTGAGGCAGGAAGATAGCTTGAGGCCAGGATTTCAAGACCAGTCTGGGCAACATAGTGAGACCCTGACTCTACAAAAAAATAAAATAAAAAATAGCTGGGTGTGGTGGCATGTGCCTGTAGTCCCAGTTCTGCAGGAGGCTGAGGCAGGAGGATGGCTTGAGCCCAGGAGGTCAAGGCTACAGTGAGCTATGATTATGCCACTGCACTCCAGCCTGGGTGAGAGAGTGAGAGACCCAACTCAAAACAAAAACAAAAACAAAAGAGTCACCCATCCCTATACAGTGCTTGGCTGTAAATCCAGGGCTGGGCTAGAGTGCGTGGGTCAGTTTTCGATGGCCTCTGCCACACTGGGCTCTGGGGACCAAGATTTGGCCTGGCCTGAAGGACAGGGGACTCGAAGTGCTGAGTCTACTCTGTAAAGTAAGTGTGGATAACAGGGAGAAGGTCTCGAAAGTTCTAGAACTGTGCTGTTCTACAGGGCGGCAGCTAGCCACATGAAGCTATTTGAGTTAATTAAAATTAAAACAACGTTTTTTGTTTCTTTTCTGTTTGTTTTTTTTTTGTTTTTTTTTTTTTTTTTTTTTTTTTTTTTTTTTTTGAGATGGAGTCTCGCTCTGTCGCCAGGCTGGAGTGCAGTGGCACCATCTTGGCTTACTGCAACCTCTGCCTCCCAGGTTCAAGCAGTTCTCCTGCCTCAGCCTCCTGAGTAGCTGGGACTACAGGCCCACGCCGCCATGCCTGGCTAATTTTTTTTTTGTATTTTAGCAGAGATGGGGTTTCACCATGTTGCCTAGGCTCGTCTCTAACTCCTGAGCTCAGGCAATCCGCCTACCTTGGCCTCCCAAAGTGCTAGGATTACAGGCGTGAGCCACCACACCCGGCCAAAACAACATTTTTAAAAATGTGAAACTCAGGCCAGATGTGGTGGCTCACTCCTACAATCTCAGCACTTTGGGAGGCCGAGGCAGGAGGATTGCTTGAGCCTGGGAATTCAAGACCAGCCTGAACAACATAGCAAGACCCCACCTCTAAAACAATTTTTTTTAAATGAGCCAGGTGTGGTGATGCATGCCGGTAGTGCCAGCCTACTCAGAGGCTGAGGCAGGAGGATTGCTTGAGCCCAGGAGTTGGAGGCTGCAGTGAGCTATGATCGTGCCACTGCACTCCAGCCTGGGCAACAGAGCAAGACCCTGTTTTAAAAAATTAAACAAAAAAAACCCCTCAGCTCCTCAAGCCACATTTCAAGTGCTCAAGAACCACAGGTGCTAGAACCTAGAGTACTACACAGTATGGAGTCCTTCTAGAAGCTCCTCTATGCCATCCCTCTAGTGCCCAAGGCTCAGGGTCCCCTCCCACCCACAGCTCCGGATTCAGATGGCCAGCATTGGAGTGTGCGAACCCAGGGGCTCTCTGGCTCTCATTAGCAGGGGGCTCCTCGAATGTGTTCCTGAGAACACCTGTTCTGTAAGAAGCTCCTTGGGGAAGAGAAGGGTTCCCTGTCAAAAGAGTTTGGGAAGTGCTGGGTTAAACCACGTTAGAAATGGAATTCTAGGCCGGGCGTGGTGGCTCACACCTGTAATCCCAGCACTTTGGGAGGCCGAGGAGGGCAGATCACGAGGTCGGGAGTTCAAGACCAGCCTGGCCAACATGGTAAAACCCCGTCTTTACTGAAAATACAAAACTTAGCTGGGTGCAGTGGCTTGCGCCTGTAGTACTTGGGAGGCTGAGGCAGGAGAATCACTTGAGCCTGGGAAACGGAGATTGCAGTGAGCCGAGATTGCACCACTGCACTCCAGCCTGGATGATAGAGCGAGACTCAGTATCAAACAACAACAACAACAACAACAACAACAACAACAAAACAAGAGCAGCTTGACTAACATGGTGAAACCCCATCTCTAGTCAAAATACAAAAAAATTAGCTAGGCTTGGTGGCGAGTGCCGGTCATCCCAGCTACTGGGGAGGTTGAGGCAGGAGAATTGCTTGACCCTGGGAGGTGGAGATTGCAGCGAGCTGAGATCGTGCCATTGCACTCCAGTCTGGGGGACAGAGTGAAAGTCTGTGTCTGAAAAAAAAAAAAAAAAGAAGAAGAAGAAATAAAAAGAAATGGGATTCTAACGTGTTTTCGGGCCTCCTTAGAGCCTTCAGCGAATTCACTCATATGCATCACACACATCACGTGGCATTTCCCAAACCACCTGGTCCACGGGACCCTTTCTGCCCAGAGCTCCTGGAGGGGCCAGCATTCCTTGGGTTAGGTCCCTGCAGGTGCACAGCAGGGCTCAGGGTCCCATCGTTCAGCCAGAGGCCCGATCTCGCAGTGGACGGATGCAGAGCCCGGGACCCAGGCCTCCTCTCCCACCTGTCTTCTCTTTTTGGTGGCAGCAGCTCCACTTGTCCCCACGGAAGACGCCAGGGTGGTAGGAGCCCAGCAGTCCGGTGTTGTTGATGCTCACCTTCCACAGCGCAGACAGCCACTGGTTAAGCTCATTCACACACTGCAGGGGACACGGAGGGGGAGGCCTGTTCAGACGTCACCTCCTCCAGGAAGCCCTCCTAACCCGGAGCTCCTGTACCACGCCAGACGCCATGTTCCCCACCATACCAACCCAGCAGCTTTGAGTGAATTAGGAGAAGCTGCCCTTCCTCCAGTGGAACATGACCCATGCCCGGGCGCATGGCCTGGAGAGCAGGTGCAGTGGCTCACTCCTATAATCCCAGTGGCTCACTCCTATAATGCCATCATGGCTGGCTAATTCCTTTTTTTTAGAGATGGGGTCTTGCTACATTGGCCAGGCTGTTCTCAAACTCCTGGCCTCCAGTGATCCTCCCACCTCAGCCTCCCAAAGTGCTGGGACTACAGCTGGGATTATAGGGGGCCGAGGTGGGAGGATCGCTTGAGCCCAGGAATTCAAGACCAGCCTGGGCAACACAGCAAGACTTCATCCTCTCCTCTCCCACCTGTCTCGTCTTTTTGGTGGCAGCAGCTCCACTTGTCCCCACGGAAGGCACCGGGATGGTAGGAGCCCAGGAGGCTGGTGTGGGCTGGATTTCAGCCGCCGCTGGCCCCTTGGCCACGCTCGTAGGTATTCCAGAACCCGCCAAATATATTTGGTGGCCCTGATATCACTACTTTTCCCAGTGGCTCTGGACCCTGACACAAAAGGGAACTCCTAGAGGGAAGGGCACAGAGGGACAGGTCTGTGACTTCCTCCCCACAGGCCAGGACGGTCAAGCCCGGAAGAAACCAACCCCCCTCCAGCTGCAGGCTTCTTACTTGTCCCACATGTCCCTGCCCTAGACACACATCTGGGTCACCCTCCTACAAGGTCCCTGCTCGAATGCCACCCATCAGAGGTCCTCCCTGACCACTCTTTAATTAATTTACTAATTAATTAATTTATTTATTTTGAGATGGAGTCTTGCTCTGTCACCAGGCTGGAGTGCAGTGGCTCGATCTCAGCTCACTGCAACCTCCACCTCCCAGGTTCAAGTGATTCTCCTGCCTCAGCCCCCCAAGTAGCTGGGACTACAGGCACCCACCACCACACCCGGCTGATTTTTTGTATTTTTAGTAGAGACGGGGTTTCTCCATGTTGGCCAGGCTGGTCTCAAACTCCTAACCTCAAGTGATCCACCCGCCTTGGCCTCCCAAAGTCCTGGGATTACAGGCGTGAGCCACCGTGCCCGGCCCTCCTAGGTTCTGACAAGCAGTACAGATGCCACACACCTGGCTTTCTTCTCTGACCCCAGGGGTACCTCAAGTGGGCTCCAAGGAAGGGGACAGGTGCCCCACTTGCCGGCCTCTCAGAGCCCCACTTGCCGGCCTCCCTCCTTACCCACCTTGGAGCTGGGCGTCTTCGCGAAGCTGAGGGCCTCGGTAGTGAGGGAGAAGTAGAGCTTCTTGAAGGAGGAGGACATGAGGGGGCCCTTGCCCTTGGTCCTGTGGATGAAGAGTGGCCCCTCCTTCACAGGTGGCGCCTGCAAACTCAGCGTCCGCTGCAGGTCCAGCTCTGCCAGGCCAGGGAGGGAGGGGAATAGAGAGCCCAGTGAATGAGGGCGGGACTGGGGGGAGCGGAGCAGTGGGAGGGGCCATGGGGCTCAAGGGCTGAGCAAATCTGAACAGCAGGCAGTGGACGTAGTCATGGGGCTCAAGGGCGGAGCAAACATCAACAGCTGGTGGTGAGCGGGGTGACAGGTGGACTGAGGAAGGCAGGGCCATGGGCTTGGAGGCGGGACACGCGTCAGTAGCAGGTGGCGGCGGGGCTATGGAGCTCAAGGATGGAGCAAATGTCAACAGGCGCAGATGATGCGGGGGTGAGGCCATGGGTCTAGGGGTGGGGCAAACGTCAACGGCAGGCAGTGGGCAGGGTCACAGGAAGCACAAACAGTGGTGCGTGGGTCTATGGCCTGGGGGCCTGGCAAATGCCAACAGCAGGCGGTGGGTGGGGCCACGAGAGGAACAAACAGCGATGGGTGGGGCCGTGGGGCTCAAGGGCGGAGCAAACGTCAGCAGTAGGCTGTGGGCGGGTCTGTGCAGGGCGGCGCTCACCGTCCTTCTCCTCGATGTCCACGAGCTTGGTGATGAAGTCCTTCAGCTGCGCCACGCCCTGGCGCACGGTGGGCTGCAGCGGCTCCATCCAAGCCTCCTTGGCCCTGGAAGCCGGCGTGTCCATGTTGCCCACGTTCTGGACTGCCTGGAGGTGACAGCAGGAAGGACCAGGTTCTGCTAGGTTAGGGGCCTAGCCACTGCACCCCCTCCCACCCCCCCTCCCCAAGTCTTTGCTACTCAGCTGTAGCGATGGAGGCAGAGGCGACAGAGGCCATGCCCACGGGCCCCCTCCAGCCCCACTAGGGATCAGGGAGGAGAGGATCATGAAGTTTGATGCCTTATGATAACTGAGACCACTTGGGCCTTCCTCTGTAGGTTTAACTGACGCTGCTGCACTGGATACCCCACCCCGGTGCCGGGCACATAGGTGCAGCCTGAGAGTAAGCAGACCCGGGTTGGAAGGTCCCGCGATTCACCACCGACAGGATGGGCGGCCTTGGCAACCCCCGACCCCTCGCAGGCCTGTTCCCTTATCCATGAGATGGAGCTCGGACAAGGTGGCCACAGGAAGGCTTTGCAAACTGTGAAGTGCAGTGCCTACGTGGGCGTGCCAGTGGCCTCGCCGGAGCCGGTAGGGAACACTCTGCAGTCCAGGCCAGGGCCCCGGTAGGACACCCAGCTGTGCATCCCGCCCGTGGCCGCAAGGCCCGCACCTTAGCCAACAGGAGCAGGGTGCGGCTGGTGCGGGCGTCCGCGTGGCGCTCCCGCAGGTGGAAGAGCTTGGGCGACATGATGGCGGGGGAGAAGAAGCGCAGGCACAGGAAGCTGGTGACGGCGATGAACGGTACATTCTGGAGGGGTGCGGAAGAGCGCGGGCTGGAGTCCCCCAGACCAGGGCTCCTGGCAGCCCCCTCCCCTTAGGCTCTGTCCCTGACCCTCGCTGCGACACAGCCTCCCTGGTCCTCCCCAGCGCTCCCTGGTTCCCCACCGCTCTTCACTCCTCGCCCCAGCCCAGTCCAACCCGGCCCAGCCTAGCCCAGCGGGTGGAGGGCGCACCTCGTGCTGGGCGCCGGGGAAGCGCTCGCGCACGCGCCGGAAGAGCTGGCGGAAGGTGGCGCGCACCACGGCGGGGCACGCGCGAACCGAGCGGCTGAGCGCGCTCAGCAGGGCCCCCAGGTGGGCGCGCAGCGTCTGCGCGCTCTGCTCCAGCACCTCGGCCTCGGTCTGCGGGCGGTGCAGCCTGGAGCACCTGCGTGGAACGGGGCGGGTTGGCAGAGGAGGTCGCGGTCAGCGCCAGGGCCACGACAGGAACAGTGGCTCTCACAGCAGCCAGGACACGGACACAGGGGACAATACACGGGTGGGCAGAAGCACAAACACACATGCTGACAGGGCCTGATCCCAACCCGCTGCCGCTGCACCCCGCAACCCCCGGAGTTACCCCCGGCCTCACCCTACATCCTTAACTTCCACTTTGCTGGGGTCCAGCTCCACGTACTTCTTCTCCTCAAACACCTTGTTGATGATGGGGCCCAGGACGCCGTGCAGGTACTGCATCCCGGCCACCTGGGGACCACCGCAGGTCACATTGATCCTGTCTCCCCCAGTCCCACTCCAGCTGCCCACCTTCTCCCGGCAGCCGCCCTTGCACCGTTTGCCTGCCGTATCCGCCCAGGAGGGGGCCAGGTACACATGCAGGGCAAACTGTTTATTCATGAATGAATGAATGAGTGAGTGAATGAATGACTAGAATTCTTAGCCCTTGTAATCCTAGCACTTTGGGAGGCCAAGGCAGGAGGATCACTTGAGGCCAGGAGTTTGAGACCAGCCTGGGCAACATAGTGAGACTGTCTCTAACTTAAATTTTAATCACACACACATTCTCTTTGGGGGGGGGTGCGGGGCACGGAGTCTAGCACGGGGCCCAGGCTAGAGTGCAGTGGCGTGAGCTCACTACAACCTCTGGCTCCTGGTTCAAGTGAGTCTCCTGCCTCAGCCTCCCCAGTAGCTGGGATTACAGGTGCCCACCACCATGCCAGGCTAATTTTTGTATTTTTAGTAGAGATGGGGTTTCGCCATGTTGGCCAGGCTGGTCTCGAACTCCTGACCTTAAGTGATCCGCCCGCCTCAGCCTCCCAAAGTGCTGCAATTACAGGCATGAGCCACTATGCCCAGCCACATTCTTAACCTTAAAGGGCTCTGAATATGGAGATAGAACACTGGAGTCGAAGTCCCAGCCCCCTCTGTCGCTCTCTCTGAAGCTCAGTGACTACTCCAGTATTAAATGATGCATGTATAAAGTTAGTCACTCTATCATTATCTGTAATAGCAGATGATTGGAAATGACCTAAATGTCTCATAATAAGGAACTAGTTTTAAAAAGCATGTTCCATTCATGCCTTGAAATACTATACATTGAAAAAATAAAAATTGTATAAATATGTGAAAAAAACAGTGTGTATATTATACTACGACTTACTTCTTTGTGCATAGATGTTCTACAAGGCTATATAAAAGATTGTTAATTATGGTTGTCTCTTGGGAGGGGGAGTTTAGATTGTATAATGGGGTAGAAGGCTGACTTTTCGTTGTTTACTATTCTGCACCTTCTGGATTTTGTACTATGTATATATTTTATATATTAAAATAGCTTTATATAAATAAAACTAGCCCCATGGCTGAATAAATTTTATTACAATTTTCTTATGATTCCCTGATACTCTGTTCCTTAACTTCCTAGTCTGGCTTGCATCTCACTGCTTGACCATTGAGAACCTGATCTTGCTTGCCTAATGAAAACTTTAGTAATTGTCTTGTCTTAGCTAACTTTACTGGGTTGACTCCTGCTAACTCATTTTACTGATTTACCTGTAAGTCTGGTTACCAGATGGACAAATTCCCAATCCTACTCCCTTCTGTTTATTTGCCAAGGAATCTACCCAACAGACAACAGTACCCTCTCTCTACCTATATATTAATACATTTTTTGTTGAAAAAGGTATTTTATTTTAATCCTTAAGCTTCCATCTTTAGTCCCCAATGTATTAAAATAGTGATTGCATTACTAAAGAGACTGTTTTACAAGATGCACATTCACCTAAGAGCCACGAGCTTTCCAAAGCCAACCTTCTCTCAAAGGAGAAAATACTATTATTTCTCCTAGTACTTATTTTGAAGAGCAACATCCGTTCAGCGACTATTTAGAAAGCCAGTATCAAAGTTTAGATTATTATTTTTAATATTTAATCAAGTTGCTACAACAGTAGTTAACAATCAATGAAAAATAAAGAGGTGATTAAAATGTATTAACTATGTAATTAAACACATGCACATACACATACAAACTAGGATCTCATTATGTCAGTAAAGAACTAGAAAAGGATAAAGGAGAAGAGAGGCAAATAAACCACACAAACAGAGGGACAGATGGGCCACTGAGGGTAGGGCCACTGCTGCGTTTTCCTCCCATTCCTAGCCTTGGGTTTGGCATATTGTAGATGCTCAGGAAAGATTTTTCAGAATGAGTTAAGGAAGATAATCTCACAGATTGTATGTGAGGAGGTAAAGGACCAATTTTTCTTTATCTTTCTTCTTCTCTGTCCCCTTTTCAACATCCTTCTGACTCCCTCTTACCACTAAGCACAGCTTGTTCAAATAGAGTTGTTCTGACAATACCCCAGATTCCTGGCCAAAATCAATCTCCATGTTTGTCATTTTAAAGATGCCAAGAGGAGGACATCCTAACACAGTGCCTTCTTTCCTCTTACCCTGACCTCTTCTGCAGTGTACCATTTAACTGAATTGAGGGGTATTAATCTACTTTGCAAAGTGGAATATGGCCTGTATTCTTATAATCTTAGCATCAATATTCAATCTTTGTAAATGGATTTAGTTATGTTGATATCTCAAATATTTAAGTGCATTACAAGGTCTTCTTCCATACTGGAAAAGTTTTTAAATTTCCACCCCACTGTCAGAGTAAAAACAATAATAACAAAAATATGGGAACAATAGAACCTATCTGTACTGTTCAATAAACTATCCGTCTCTTTGAAGATTCTTGACAGCCAAGGAAAATCTTGAAAAATTATTATTCTTGCAAGGGTGCCTAGATGTCTGAAGGAAAAGCGAAAACATGTCAATAATAGCAAGATTTGCAGGAAGGTTTATAAAAGAAAATTGGTCATTTTTTAAAGCACAGCCTATAAGTACAGCTGTTAGTGAGGGGTGATAACTAAGGAGAGGATGGGGAAACATACTAGAAATATTTAAACAGAGTGTACATAGTTATCTTTGTTTTAATACACAGTCTACTTTAAAAGTCAAATTGTAAAACCTAAAATAGCAGTGTTTAAATGTGTGAATGTCAAGTGAAATGCGCGCTGAAGCAGGAAACGGAAGATTGGGTTCCAAATTCCACCCCGATGTGTAACCCAGGGCGAGTCTCAATCTTCCAGAATCTTTAAGATGGAAATAGCAATATCTCAAACCTCCTATTACAGAATCATTCTGAAAAGTAAGTTTACATACTTGAAACTACTTCGTAAGCTCCTTGAGGGTGGGGTTCTTATCTTTTCCCCTTTATAACCAGTTACTTAAGGTATAAAAAAATAGAAAATATTTAATTCCTCGAAAAAAATTGAAATGTCATTAGGGATTATCTCAAGAAGCTCATTAGTAACTCTATAGAAGGTCCAACCTACAAAATAAATGAAGCTTTAGTAGCGTCAGCAAATCACCGATACTTTCAGTAATTAAAACTTTAGTTTAATTTTAGGCCAGGTGCAGGGGTTTACACCTGTAATCCCAGCATTTTGAGAGGCCGAGGTGGGTAGATCACTTGAGCCCGGGAGTTTGAGACCAGCCTGGACAACATGGTGAAACTCTATCTCTACATAAAATACAAAAATCAGCCAGGCCTGGTGTTATGTGTCTGTGGTCCCAGCTACTCCAGGGGCTGAGGTGGGAGGATTGCTTGAGCCCAGAAGGTAGAAGTTGCAGTGAGCTGAGATTGTGTCACTGCACTTCAGTCTGGGCAACAGAGACAGACTTTACATCAAAGAAATTTATTTAAAAAACCAACATTTATTTATCTGGTACCAGCCTTAAGAGAACAAAATATATAGAAAATAAAGCATCTTTTGAATATGTGAATATCCTCATAAAAAAAGATAATTTTACAAGTATGAAATTAGGTAAACAATGGCAGCATCTTTTTTTAAATACACAGTGGTAGACCGTGTTGTTAAATATACATAGGTATCAAGTTGCAATTCTTTCAGAAAGCATTCTGATTACTATATCAACAACCTACCGTGTCTACTACACCTCTGGCCAGAGACTTCCCCCATAGGCTCAGATCCACATACTGGACATTCCCTTCAGACCTGTTGCTTCTTCTGAACTCTCATGTATGGTGCCATAATTTGGCTGATTTCCTAAATCAGAATGCCAAGCATCAATTTAGAATCTTTTCCTCACCCACTCCATCCACTCAGACACTAAGTCTATAGAATTTTATACTTCCTTAACATCTCTCCTAAATGTATTCACTCCTTTTTTCCTCATTGCCAATGCCACTGTGCAGTCTCTCTTCACATCTTCATCACTGAAACGGCATTCTAACTGGTGAGATGGTAGGAATGGAAAACACAAATTCAAGAGATATTAACAAGAGAGAACCAACTGACAGAACCCAGGAGCAGAGTTCGGTTCCGGAGAAGGATAATGGATTTAGTTGTGAGTATGTTTAGTTTGAGGTACTTTGGGGTCATCTACATGAAGATATTCCAAGTATGTGCATACATGGGTATGGGCAAAGAAACCAGATTCATAGTGGACCCTGTGTATATGGATGCAATATCCCCTTTCATGTCTTACTGCCTTAAAAGCCTTTCTAGACCGTCTCATCCCACAGCAGTCAAGCCTCCCTTTCCCTTCTGATAACACTGCTTGTATCCTCTGGGTCCAAAATCATATGCCTTTTGTTGACATTTAATATTTCAATCTTCTTGTTCACAAATAATGCTTCTAAAGAATAGGAACCTTTTTATGCTTTATGTCCATAAATTCTCATGGTATCTAGCATAATCCAGCACACAGGAGGTGCTCAAAACCAAGGAGGAGTTGAAGGGATGAATTTCAGTAGCTTTAGTAATAATAATTATAAACATCTAGCACAGTGCCTGGCACATAGTGAATGCTGTATCTTTTATCTTTTAAATAGATTAAGACTTAATGTCCAAAATTATTGTTCACAAGGTTCTTGACATCTTAATACTCACCAAATCTGACATGCAACTGAAACTTGGACACAAATGCTGCTATTACATATTTTGTAAGAAGTACAACCACTCATAGTTTTATATATAACCTGTTTTCGTGAAAAGGTCATATATTAACAAACTTAATCCATCTTCATCATTGCCCATGATGATTGGTACACATCCACACTCTACTTTTAGTTTCATATTCTATTTTGATTCGTAGTTTTACTTCCTCGGTGTTTCCCTACAATGTTTGTTCTCCCTTTTATGCCTCCCAAATGCAATGCTCCTATGCCTCCTTTTTTCCACCCCTTGGCTAAGTCAGGTCAAAGACTTACTTAACAATGATTGGAACAATAATTATTTTCAGGAAATAAAGAGAAGGGAGGAGATGCCTGGCTCTTGGTAAAAAGCAAAGAGCCAATTATTTCGCTTAGGCGAAATAATTTAATGTTTTGATTTTGGCTCACAGCATTAAGACAAAAATGATTTTACGGCCTCCAAGTCGTGGAAAAGTTCAGCATCTGACACACTGACCCTTGACAAGTGAGGCCACATTTATAAATCAGTGCTGTTTTACATAAGCACATACAGATAGAAGTAGAAATCCTAACTAGGGAATACCGTGAAAGCTATCACTTGTATTAACCCTGGACATGTGACAGCATCTAACATAATACCCATTGGAGTGTATGCTGGTTCAACCTCTTTGGAAAACTGATTGAAGGTCTTTACTAAAGCTGAATATAAACCTAGACTATGACAGATTAACCCCACTCCTGTGTATATACCCAAGATAAGTTCATTCTTAAGTACAAGGCATGCATAAGAATGATCACAGAACTTTATTCATTATCTTCAAAACAGGAAATAATCCATTTTTATAAACAAAATAGAATGGATCAACAAATTATGGTATATTTACACAGTAGTGAGGTAGGAGGCAGAACTCGACTTTGGAGGTGGGGCTTGGACATCACACCAAATTGAGGACTAGCTAAAAGAGGTCTGAGGCAGAAGCACCTCCCCCATTAGACACCAGTGTGCCATGTTAGTTTACTGTTGCCATGGTAACATCAGGAAGTTACTGCCCCTTTCCATGGCATCAACCCGACAACCTGCAAGTTACCAACCTCATTCTAGAAATTTCTGCATAAACCAGTCCTTAATTTGCATCTAATTAAAAGTGGATATAAATTTGAGTGCAGAACTGCCTCTGAGCTCCTATTCCAGGTACACTGCCTATGGGGTATCCCTGCTCCACAAGGATCAGAACCTCTGCTGCTGCAGTTCACTGCCACTTCAATAAAAGTTGCTGTTTAACATCACAACCCTCTCAAGGGCAAGCCTCAATTTGGGGGCTTGACTGTCCTGTATCATCAGGATACTAAGAAGCAATAAAAAAAGAAATGGAACTACCACCACGCATAATGCTATTAATGAACCTCACAACTATAAAAGTGAGCAAAAGCAGCCAGACACAAAGAAAAACATACTGTATGACTCCATTTAAATGATGTTCAAGAAGAGACAAACTAATATATGATAAGCCAGTAGAGTGGTTATCTTGGGTGGGAGCAATGACTGGGAAGGTCTCAAGGGAGACCTCAGGTTCCTGGAAGTAGATCCTGATCAGACTGAGAATATGGTGGGAGAAGAGATAAATCAATGAGATACATATTTAAAGGAGATATTTAACTCTCAAACTGACAAAGAGAATACAGATGATTGGGAGAAGAATGACAAATTCAGTTATGGACATGTTGGTTATAAGCATACATAAAAAACCTGATCTGTACACTTAATATTTGTGAGGTTTACTCTATATGTTATACCTTAAATAAAAATTAACAATATAAAGAAAATGGGACAGGATTAAATATCCAATAGGACAAAAAAAAGTCTGGAGTACCAGGCCTCATAGTTACGCAGCAATGGCCAATTTGGGGAGCAGGTGTCCTACATTAACCCACACAACCCATTGATGGGAGTTGTGTGGCTTGGTTTCCAAACATCACTTAATCACTTTTGTTTTTGAGACGCAGTTTCACTTGTTGCCCAGACTGGAGCGCAATGGTGTGATCTGGGCTCACTGCAACCTCTGCCTCCCAGGTTCAAGCAATTCTCCTGCCTCAGCCTCCTGAGTAGCTGGGATTACAGGCATGCACCACCACACCTGGCTAATTTTTGTATTTTTAGTAGAGACGGGGTTTCGCCATGTTGGCCAGGCTGGTCTGGAACCCCTGACCTCAGGTGATCCGCTCACCTCAGCCTCCCAAAATGCTGCAATTACAGGCATGAGCCACTGCGCCCAGCCCCAAGCATCACTTTGAACATTCATTCCAAGGAGTGAATTAACACAGTGTAGTTCCTGCCCTGTTAGGTCTTATTGCGATCATAGGTCTTAATGTGATCATAATGTCAGTGGGGAACTCTAAATTTTCTTTTTCTTCTTAAAAAAAATAAAGGGATAAGTGTGCAGAATGTGCAGGTTTGTTCCATAGGTCTACGTGTGCCATGGTGGTTTGCTGCCCCTATTGACCTGTCTCTAATTTCCCTCCCCTCAGCCCCCAACCCCCAAACAGGCCCTGGTGTGTGTTGTTCCCCTCTCTGTGTCCATGTGTTCTCAATGGAACTCTACATTTCCTATGCAAAATATTTTATGCTGATTAGTCAAGTGATGTGGGAAGAGTTGAGAGGTTGGAGAAACCCCTGTGAGCTGGCTACTCAGGCAGTTCCCTGAAGGACAAGAGATTTGAGCCAGGATCTCAAAGGTTAGGAACAGACCCAGGGGTTGCAAAGTGCAGTCTATGCAAGCATTTTGTTTGGTTTTTTAGTATGTATGGCACAGCTTAAAAGCAATGGAGGCAATACGACTAGGCAGATTGGTGGATAGCCATGATCTTACATCATGTATTTTGAATTTATGCCAGTTTCCTTAGACATCTGACGTTATTCCTTCTAAATATGGGAGAGTCCCTGCTGAGCGGAACAACATAAAGAGTAGCTCTTGAGAATCTAAGTGAATGACTAGATTGTAAAAGTAGTTTGGGTATAAATTGCAGAGGCCTGTGAATGTCATACTGAACACACTCTTCAGGCAATATGAGACGAGAGCATGACAACCATGCATTGCAACTTGGCAGTGCTGGGACAACTGTGCAACTAGCATTAATAACAATGAATGATATAAGCAGTTTCTGTGTTTTCCAATGTTATGCCAAGCAACTGGACCCTTGGAAGTGGATTTGACTGCTTTCCTTCAGTTGTCATCTGCACTTTTGCCATTTTTGCAGATACAGTTTCTGTTTAAACAACTGAAGGAAGACAAAGAGGTTAAAAGACAAAGACAACTGAAGGAATATAAAGTAGGTTATACACAGTATGTTAAAAACTTGTGAGACCCATAAATTTTAGAGTAATCCTAAAAGAATTAGAAAATAAATTTACAGATGCCAATTAGGAACAATATCTTAGTGGTGTTGTTATGGAAATAAAGTTTTCTCAAGCCAATAATTCTGAATATTCCGAAAGTTTGCAATTTGTCACTGCTTTGAGGAGGAGTTCTCAGGCAGTAAAATTGCTGATATTGATACTACTCAAAAGTGTACGTAGCACAGTTCTTTGAAACTATTATTGAAAGCTCTTGGATATAATTATCAGAGGCCTGTTATACCCAGCGATTAATAACTATAAATTATGCATCCATGTATATTGAGAGATTCTTGAAATATTTATTGTTAGATTGAGGATCAACATGCATGAGAAGTTGTCCTAAGTTCTTTAATTTTGCAAAACAAACCTTAATCTTTGGCTTAGAAAACCTTGAAGATAATCTTTACTATTAGCATAACTTTTGCTACAAATAAACTCAAGTTGTTGTGATTTTTACTGTTATGGCTTCTTTATAAACTGGTCTTAAGGTCACTCTGTGAAGAGTGGCTACAAGCCAAGATAGCTGCTTTTTAGAAGAGCCCTGACGGGCAGGCCGTCAGGTTCCTGTGTGTGAGTCAGGTGAGATACAATGACAACAATGAGAAGGTGAAACCAAACGCATGAAACAGAAGAAATTTATTACTTACAGATCTGACAGCTTAGGGGTGCTGATGGGGAGCGCAGATAAGTCTGGAGGTGGCAGGGAGCTCAGCAGTGGGTAGGGAGTGAGAGAGCAGCTGTGGGAGTTCACCTTTATTAAGGTATATGGGTATTATCCCTCCGGTCTTCTAACAGGAGTTGTGGATTGGCTGGTTTAAGGAAAACACGCCAGAAGGGGGAAACTTATTTATATGACTCTGGTGTTGATCATTAGGTTTTATCACGGTTAGCAGCTGTGGGGTGTTTTGGGTTTGGGATTAGCAGGATGAGAAACAAGTGGGCTATATCTCCACCACACGGGGAGGAGTTATTTTAACTAGTACAAAGATCAGGTATGATTGGGTTTCAAACAACTTATGTCAGACCTAAAAATGCATGACCTTACATCATAAGTGTATGTTGAGTCAACGTCTTTGGTAGCTACTATATCAAACAAATGTATGACACAAGTTTAGCCTTATTTTTGATTTGATTATTAAGGGTAGTGGTGGAGAAGTAGAAATTCTATTGCAAAGTTCGACATATGATGGATTTTGACAGAAATGTGAACTCTTCACTTAAAATTTAAGATTAGAGGAAGGAAATCATGGTTTTAAAAATACAAAGATAAGCATTTCTTTTTCTCCATACCTTTGCCAGCATCCATTGTTTTTGACTTTTTAATAATAGTCATTCTGACTGGTGGGAGATAATATCTCATTGTGGTTTTGACTTGTATTTCTCTGATAATTAGTGATGCTGAGCACTTTTTCCTACTTTTGTTGGCCACATGTATGTCTTCTTTTGAGAAACGTCTGTTCATGTCCTTTGCCTATTTTTAAAATGGGGTTATTTGTTTTTTGCTTGTTGATTTGTCTAAGTTCCTTATAGATTCCGGATATCAGACCTTTCTCAGATGCAGTTTGCAAATATTTTCTCCCATTCTGTAGATTGTCTGTTTACTCTGTTGATGGTTTCTTTTGCTGTGAAGAGGCTCTTTAGTTTAGTTCAGCCACTGTGGAAAGCAGTTTGGAGATTTCTCAAATAACTTAAAACAGAGCTACCATTCAACCCAGCAATCCCATTACTGGGTATAAAACCAAAGGAAAATAGATCATTCTACCAAAAAGACACATGCATTCATACATTCATCACCACACTATTAATAACAAAGATGTGGAATCAATCTAGTGGCCCATCAGTGGGGGATTGGATAAAGAAAGTGTGTTATATATATACACCACAGAATACTATGCAACCATATAGGAGGATGAAATCATGTCCTTCACAGAGACATAGAAGAGCTGGAGACCATAATCCTGAGTGAATTAATGCAGGAAAAGAAAACCAGACACTGCATATTCTCATTTATAAGTGGGAGCTATACACTGAGCACACATGGACAAAAACATGAGAATAACAGACACTGCAGACTACTAGAGAGTGGAGGGAGGAAGGGGAGTGTGGGTTGAAAAACTACCTACTGGGTACTAGGCTTACCACCTGGATGCAATATGCCCATGTACAAAACCTGTACATGTATGCCCTGTATCTAAAATAAAAGTTAGACTAAAAAATATATAAAGATAGATGTAGAAATAGATTTAAATTTGTGTGGATATAAATATTCATGAATCTGTTTCCTAGCTCTGTCCACTGAGAGGGGCTAGAAGCTATGACATTCTAGGATCAATGACCATGCTCAGCATTAATATCTTAGTTTCCAAATATCATTCTCCAGTAACAGGAACTAGGGATCCTCCAAGAAATGGCTGATTCTAGGGCTGGAGCAAAAAAAATACAAGATGAGCCCAGAACACATTCTTGTGCCAGAAAGTAAGGAAGTGCAGAAGGAATCACAGGAGCATATCAGAAGGACAAGTGAGCCTACCTGAAGGGTGTACACTGGCCAAATGTGGGACAATGATAGCATGAAAAGGAATGACAGTGAGAAACCTAAGTCCACACTGATAAAAAGATGAATAAATAAGGAAAGAAGAGAAAGTTCTTCCTTATAGTAGAAAGCCACCTAATAAATATAGAAGAAATGATGGAATTAGAAAATCACCATTTGACAACCATCATAACAAGAGTTGATCTGGGTAAGTATCCCCAATAAATCCCAAACTTGTAGGTGAAAATTTTAAGAGGAGTAAGACAACCACATAGTCTCAGAGTATCTCTTCTTGAGGTGCTTATTAATTTCAAACAGAAAAATAAATAAAAGGTAAATCTGGAAGTCATCACCTTAACCAAGTGATCAAGATGAACAAGTCTAGCAATGGGACAAGGCAACATCATGTGTTCCTAGTAGAAGATAATTGAGAAGGATACAAGATTGTGTCTTTATATCTTTACCAAAAATACATAGCATGAATCTAATAATAAGAAAATCGGAAAAATCCAAATTGAAAGAAAATCACAAAATAACCGGCCTCTTCTCTTCAAAGTGTCAATATCATGAAAACTAAAGAAATCCTGAATTTCCTTTAGATTAAAGGAGACTAAAGAGATGACTACTGAATGCAATACATAACCTAGAATTTTCTTTTGCTATAAAGAACATTATTGGGACAACTGGCAAGACCCGAATAAGGTATGCAGATTAGAAAATGGTATTATATCAATGTTAATTTCCTGATATAATTGTACTATGATTAAGAGAATGAATATATTTTTAGGAAATATAGTGATGCATTTAGGTATAAAGGGGCATCGTGTCTTCAGAGAGAGAAAGAGAGAGGTTGAGAGAACAAGAAGATAGAAAGAAAAGGATAAAGCAAATGTGGTAAGATGTTAGCATCTGAGAAATCTGGGTTAAAGATACATGCAAATTCTTTGCACTAATCTTGCAACTGTCCTGTATATCTGAAATTATGTCAAAATAAAAGAAAAAGTCAAAACTGTAGAAAAAGTGAACAATTTAGCAATTTAGATCCTGTATACACATATATAGCACTATTATTTTTAAAATTACTTTTTTATTGCATTCTGTTCCAATTTGGTTTTGCTTCTTGGTTTTTAATAAACTCTGTTTTTGCTTTAAGACTTTTTAAACTTATTTTTTACTATGACTATCAAATTTCTTAGAATGTTTTATTCAGTTATATAAAGTTTATCATCTGAAATTCAAAAGTCCTCTAAATCATTTTCTAAAGTATAGCTCTCAGGCATGACAAGGTAACAGCTGAATACATAGTCAGCCATTACTTAAAAAAAAACCTCTCCTCATATATGGGTATTTCCTAAATGTTCATCTTGCTTTTTAAAGTTCACATAATGAGAATGTATAATTCATCATATTCCCCTTTTTGCTTATTTGCTGATAGAAAACAGCAGATTTCAGTGCTCCACTGCAGTAACTATAGTTAGTTAGGTAAATATATATTCTTTCTATCATTATATGACAAGATATTTTAATTTTATGGAAGTAAATGTAGTATATGCAATAATAAAAGAAATCTTCTTTATTTCATGTACCAACCCACGAAATGTATGTAACTGACCGAATATATATGCAAATACTTATGCTACGAAAGTATCAGAACCTACACTACTGCATTGGTTCAGAATTACATGATAAATTTTTGGAAGAAAAGGCAGGGACCATTTTGTTTTAGTGTATCAAGTTGTAAATATCACCTACAGGATATATGTAATAAAGAATTTTGATAATGATATTGGCTTCATTTGAATTTTTAAGTACATGTTGAGTTGGGTTTTACTGTAGTAACATATAAAGAAAAATATGCCGGGCGCGGTGGCTCACGCCTGTAATCCCAGCACTTTGGGAGGCCGAGGCGGGCGGATCACGAGGTCAGGAGATCGAGACCATCCCGGCTAAAACGGTGAAACCCCGTCTCTACTAAAAATACAAAAAAAAATTAGCCGGGCGTAGTGGCGGGCGCCTGTAGTCCCAGCTACTTGGGAGGCTGAGGCAGGAGAATGGCGTGAACCCGGGAGGCGGAGCTTGCAGTGAGCCGAGATCCCGCCACTGCACTCCAGCCTGGACGACAGAGCGAGACTCCGTCTCAAAAAAAAAAAAAAAAAAAAAAAAAAAGAAAAATATACCTCATGCAGAAAAATGAAAGCTGGAGTTTCAGATAAATCAACAAACCGCTCATCTTGAATGTTAATTGTGGGCACTATGGCATAAATGGGCTCTTGATCCTTTTCATCTTTCTCCTCTTCCTCTTCTTTTTCTGTGTCTGTGCTACTGTCTTCCATTTTTCACGATTCTAAAATAAAATTAATCCATATGTGGCTATTTAGGAGTATCTTCACCTATAAAGTAAAATTAATGGAAAATAAAAAAATAAGCAAAAAACTGGAATAAGCTATTGTTCAATGAAACTACAAATCAGGAAAGTTAGCTATAATCTCATTATAAAAGACGGCTTTTTTGCAAAGATACTCTCTATTGTTGCATTCAAATCAATCATTCTTATTTTTAAAAGTATGCTACTGTTGCATTAATTGGAAAATAAAAAATATATATGAATTATATATGTAAAATAGATATGAACTATAATGAGAATGCAAGTCAGTATCAGCCTAGACATTTATGAAACAAGAAGCCAGAAACCTCTCCAGCTATCCTATTATAAGCAAAATGTGCTTTCTGATACCTCTATAATCTATACATTGTACATATTTCTGTAGAAAAGTGCTTAAAACAGTGTATTGTAATTTACTATTTTTCATATTGTCTACCTTATTGGACTTCTTAGAACAGAAACTATATTCTTATTTACCCATATACCTTCAACACCTAGCAAATAACATACTTATAATGTGTGCTAAAAATAATTGCCAACGGGACAAACAAGTTCTGCTGTTCTTCTAATGTCCAAAGAATATTACAATTGCAAATAGTTTACTTGAATTTTCAGAAATAAAATGCTTAACACTAAATCAATGCAGTAACAATAATTCATTCACTCCTTATTGGAAAGTTAGTTTGTTCAAAACCAAATTCCCACAGGAGCAAAACTGAGGTTCTTCTGTAATTGCTGTGGGCAACTGCTAACACCAGCTTCGAAAATTTTTTTCCTCAGATCATATTGGCAGGGTGACCCACATAATTTGCAGGACCCAGTACAAAAAAACAAACCTAGGATTCCTTGTCAAAATGTCAGAAAAATGTTCTCTGAAAGTTACCAATATATAAAAAGTTTTTCCTTTAAAAAAATTTATTACTTATAAAATATAATAGGGGTAATAGTAATACATGAATAGCAACAAAAACTAAGTGAATAGTAATGAATCCTAAGAAAATATTTTTGATGTCACAATTTTATATAATAAAATAACAATAATGTAATATCTTGATTGATCATAAGATTTTTCTGGCTCACTTTTCTGCAAATTAATTTACTAGATCATCAAAATTTATACTCATTGTAATTTCATTTTTAATTGATCAAACTGAAAGTGATGTGAGCTGCTCTTGGGAAATGCAAGATCATAAATAATTTTTGGCAATTTTTAATTTGAGAAGAATCTTCCTGCTCATGCATCTTTCACTGAAGTTTATAAGAATATTTATAGGCTGTGATAACATTTAGATAAATTTCTGATAAATCATTTCAAAATATAACCTTTTGAGCTAATGATTCTCATAGAACAATTTTCTAAAAAGATTTAACTCTTCATAAAAATCAGCTTCCTCTGTGAATTTAATTTTAAATGTACATTTATTCAACATTCATTTTAATGTATCCTCTGACAATTCCTGTAACTTCTGGAGGTTGTGCAATAATCCAAAAGTGGCTTTATATTTTGTATATACACCAGAACACTTGCTTATATGCATTCTATTGCTGTATGTTCAATTACAAAAAAAAATAAAATTTAAAATGGTCTTTCTTGTTCATACTTCATTTATTCAAAGCTTCATAAGCTTTATTCAAGCTTGGAAAACTATTATTTTCTGTCACATGCAATCATCTTTAATTTCTATTCCTAAACTTATGGATATTTGATTTGTAATATTATAGTAATTTTCAAAACTGGAGATTTTAAACTCTTTGAAGAATTCTAATAACTCCTTGACATGTTTTATTGCAATGTCTGTGTGTTTGCTTTTATTTTGTAATATTTTACTAAAAAAGTTTTCTGCATTGAGTGCCAATAGTTTCTTTCCTTATTATATGTGCAGATACCACAGAGACAGGTGCTGGGGACAAGCCTCCCATGGTAGGTTCCAGAACTGTCCCCATGCAGGCCTCTTCTTTCTCCTGAGGCCATCACTGATGTAGCTGTCCCTATTACTTTTGTTGTCATGTTGCTTCTGCTGCTATTGCTGCCATTGCTTTTGCCAATCTGCACTCAAGTGCTGGCCTGGCTGCCTTGGGACTCTGTGATACCCCAAACTGCCCTGATGCATGCATTTGAGCACCAGGCCACAGGCCTATTTGCTTGGCACCCACACCCTCTGCCACAGCCATCGATTCAGGCCTGTGCATGTGCACACTGCTGCCTGGCCTATCTGTGCTGCTCATGTGAATGTTCAATTGTTCCAACAGACTTTATTTACAAAACTCAAGCTCAAAAATAAAATTTTAAGTATTTAAAAATGGTGACAGCAGGGCATTAAACCAAGTGCAGGGCCCCTCTGAGAGCAGGTCCTTGTGTGACTGCATAGGTCATACATCTATGAGGCTGAAGCTGGCCTTGTATATTAGCCATCGATTTGGTCATGTATTCAAGCAGATCCACAACAGTTTCTAAAAGGACTCTGTCTTAGTCAGCAAGGGCTCCATTGGTCCACTTTGGTGACACTGGGATGACTGCCCTTCTGGAGAGAGAGCAGGCAAAATGCCTCCATTGCATAAGAGAAAGCCAATATCATCATCAGCTCTTTTTGATCTCTGAAATACATGAATCTTCACTGAATCAACAGAATATTATACTTACACTCTTCTCTTGCCAGAGAAGATAACTGCAATTGTCATGCTTTTAGGGTCTGATCTTCTGCTGAATATGTATCATTTCTCATGTCAATCTCATTGGATTGGCTGTTCCTTGATGACACTGAGCCTCACTCTATAACATGGAAAGCACATTCCATCATAAGAAGCCAGAAGGCTTGGTAGGTTCTGGTTCTTGAATGTATTAGTCAGGTGGTCACAGACATATCATTTATTCATTAAATTTACTCCTCTCTAAAATGGGTTAAAATTAGTAAGACAAAACAACAACAAATTTTTATGTTTCAAAAAGATGTGCAGATTAAATGTGATAATGCCTCTGGGACTTGAGCTTCACTCTATCTCTAATTTTCTGCCAGCCGGAAATTATACATGTACTTGTTTTCCTCTTCCTGCTGCTACAACAATACTTCAGAGGTGGTAACATATACTTCCATCAGGAGGCTCCAAATATCTGATTGTCTGTTGTTATGTGATGTTAATAGCCAGTGGTATCATTTGACTTCCCTTTCTTTAACACGTTTGCTTTTTTCAATGCCCTAAAGTGTTTTTTTTTTTAAATAACCATTATTATTATGGCATTACAATACTTTATATTTGCTAGGTAATCACAGTTTATTGCTTAAATCTTCAAGCAGCTAAAAATGGTTTGGCTATATATTTAAATTTGTTTTGTGAATAAACTAAAATATGTACACTCAATCCTTTCATGGATATTAAATGTGAATGAATATCCCAGAAAAATATTTCCTTCAGAACATTAGGCTATATCTTATTTAACTTTTTTATTAAGAAGTTTTTCAAAGGCCGGGCATGGTGACTCACGCCTGTAATCTCAGCACTTTAGGAGACAGAGGCAGGTGGATTACCTGAGGTCAGGAGTTCAAGACTAGCCTGGCCAACATGGTGAAACCCCATCTCTACTAAAAATACAAAAAAAATTAGCCAGGCATGGTGGCATGTGCCTATAATTCCAGCTACTTGGGAGGCTGAGGCAGCAGAATCACTTGAACCCCGCGGGTGGAGGTTGCAGTGAGCCGAGATTGCGCCATTGTACTTCAGCCTGGGAGAAAGAGCGAGACTCTGTCTCAAAAAAAAAAAAAAAAAAAAAGAAAGAAAGAAAAAGTGTTTCAAATATAAACAAAAGTAGCAGATTAGTACAATTATTCCTCAAGTACCCATTAACGAGCTTCAACAAATATCAATTAATGAGCAATTTTATCTATAACCCTTCCACTTCCCCTTTGAACTCTCTAGATTATTTTGAAGCAAAACCTAGACAATTAGACTTAATAATATATCCTAAAGAACTTTATAGGAATATACAGAGATAGACCTCATCCCTTTTCATACCTGCATAGCACTCCTTTGCATAGATGCACCATAGGTTACTCAATTTCCTATTTATAAACATATTGAATATTTCCAGTTTTCTGCTATTACAAAAGGGTTGCAAAGTATAGTGCATCTATTTATTTTAAAAATAGGTATATATGTGTATTTTTTTTTGAGACAGAGTCTCGCTCTGTCTCCCAGGCTGGAGTGCAGTGGTGCATTCTCTGCTCACTATAACCTCTGCCTCCCAGGTTCAAGTGATCCTCCTGCCTCAGCCTCCAGAGTAGCTGGGATTACAAGCGTGTGCCACCACACCCAGCTAATTCTTGTATTTTTAGTAGAGACAGGGTTTCACCATGTTGGCCATGCTGGTCTCGAACTCCTGACCTCAGGTGATCCACCTGTCTTGGCCTCCCAGAGTGCTGGGATTACAGGCATGAGCCACCACGCCTGGCCTTGAAATCTTTATAATCAAGATGGTATTAACTTTGAAAACTTAGGTTCAGACAATTTCTCAGAGCACTGCACCTTTAAATATGATGCAGCTTAACTAGGCAACAAATGATAAGTACCATGCTGAATCTGTACAAATTCTTCAGTTTGCTAAAGTTTTCAATCTCTATTATTCTGAAAACATTCTAAATATTTTAGAGCAAGTAAAGTATTTACACAGGGAAGCAACTAAAAGACACTACAACAGAGTTCTGATAGAGATCATCAGAAAAACTTTAACCTTTAGAATAAAAATACTTAGGCATACATTTAACCAAGGACATGAAAGATCTGTACACTGGAAACTATAAAACTATGGTGAAAGAAATTAGACATAAATAAATGGAAAGGTATCCCATGTTATGGATTAGAAGAATTAATATTGTTAAAATGGTTTACTATACAAAGCAATCTACAGGTTCAATGCAATCCCTATAAAATTCCAATGGCACTTTTTTCACAGGAATAGAAAAAAAATCCTAAAATTTATATGGAACAATAAAAGACCCCAAATAGCCAAACCAACCTTGAGCAGGAACAACAATGCTAGAAAAAATCACATGTTCTGATTTCAAATTGTAGCACAAAGTTATAGTAATCAAAACAGTATGGTGCTGGCATTAAATAAAAATAAAAGACCAATGGAACAAAATAGAAAGCCCAGAAATGAACCAATGCATATACAGTCAAGTAATTTTTGGCATGGATGTCAAGAATGCACAACATAGTTTCTTCAATACAGGTGTTAGGGAAATTGGATAGCCACATGCCAAAGAATGAAATCAGGCCCTTGTTTTACATCACACACAAAAGTTAACTCAAACTAGATTAAAGAATTAAACATGAGATCTGAAAGCATAAAACTCCTAGAAGAAAACATAGGAAAAAAGTCCTTGACATTGGTTTTAGTGATTATATTTTGGATATGACACCAAAAGCATGGGCAACAAAAGGAAAAATAAAGTGAGATGACATCCAACTAAAAAACTTCTGCACATCAAAAGAAACAATCAACAAAATGAAAAGGCAACCTATGGAATAGGAGGAAATATTTGCAAACTATATATGTGACAAGGGGTTAACATCCAAAACATACAAGGAACTTATACAACTGAATAGCAACAACTCAAATAATCCCATTAAAAAATGGGTAATGGAGCTGAATAGACATTTTTCCAAAGAAAACATACAAATGGTCAACAAGTATGTAAAAAGTTCATCAACATTACCAACCATTGGGGAAATGCAAATCAAAACCACAATAAGATGTCGCCTCACACCTGTTAGGATGGCTATGATTGAAAAAACAAAAGATAGTAATTGTTTTTCTTTCTTTTATTATTATTATACTTTAAGTTTTAGGGTACATGTGCACAATGTGCAGGTTAGTTACATGTGTATACATGTGCCATGCTGGTGTGCTGCACCCATTAACTCGTCATTTAGCATTAGGTATATCTCCTAAAGCTATCCCTCCCCCCCTCCCCCCACCCCACAACAGTCCCCAGAGTGTGATGTTCCCCTTCCTGTGTCCATGTGTTCTCATTGTTCAATTCCCACCTATGAGTGAGAATATGCGGTGTTTGGTTTTTTGTTCTTGTGATAGTTTACTGAGAATGATGATTTCCAATTTCATCCATGTCCCTACAAAGGACATGAACTCACCATTTTTATGGCTGCATAGTATTCCATGGTGTATATGTGCCACATTTTCTTAATCCAGTCTATCATTGTTGGACATTTGGGTTGGTTCCAAGTCTTTGCTATTGTGAATAATGCCACAATAAACATACATGTGCATGTGTCTTTATAGCAGCATGATTTATAGTCCTTTGGGTATATATCCAGTAATGGGATGGCTGGGTCAAATGGTATTTCTAGTTCAAGATCCCTGAGGAATCACCACACTGACTTCCACAATGGTTGAACTAGTTTACAGTCCCACCAACAGTGTAAAAGTGTTCCTATTTCTCCACATCCTCTCCAGCACCTGTTGTTTCCTGACTTTTTAATGATTGCCATTCTAACTGGTGTGAGATGGTATCTCATTGTGGTTTTGATTTGCATTTCTCTGATAGCCAGTGATGAAGAGCATTTTTTCATGTGTTTTTTGGCTGCATAAATGTCTTCTTTTGCGAAGTGTCTGTTCATGTCCTTCGCCCACTTTTTGATGGGGTTGTTTGTTTTTTTCTTGTAAATTTGTTTGAGTTCATTGTAGATTCTGGATATTAGCCCTTTGTCAGATGAGTAGGTTGCAAAAATTTTCTCCTATTTTGTAGGTTGCCTGTTCACTCTGATGGTAGTTTCTTTTGCTGTGCAGAAGCTCTTTAGTTTAATTAGATCCCATTGGCAATTAGGCAGGAGAAGGAAATAAAGGGTATTCAATTAGGAAAAGAGGAAGTCAAATTGTCCCTGTTTGCAGATGACATGATTGTATATCTAGAAAACCCCATCATCTCAGCCCAAAATCTCCTTAAGCTGATAAGCAACTTCAGCAAAGTCTCAGGATACAAAATCAATGTGCAAAAATCACAAGCATTCTTATACACCAATGACAGACAAACAGAGAGCCAAATCATGAGTGAACTCCCATTCACAATTGCTTCAAAGAGAATAAAATACCTAGGAATCCAACTTACAAGGGATGTGAAGGACCTCTTCAAGGAGAACTACAAACCACTGCTCAATGAAATAAAAGAGAATACTAACAAATGGAAGAACATTCCATGCTCATGGGTAGGAAGAATCAATATCATGAAAATGGCCATACTGCCCAAGGTAATTTATAGATTCAATGCCATCCCCATCAAGCTACCAATGACTTTCTTCACAGAATTGGAAAAAACTACTTTAAAGTTCATATGGAACCAAAAAAGAGCCCGCATCACCAAGTCAATCCTAAGCCAAAAGAACAAAGCTGGAGGCATCACGCTACCTGACTTCAAACTATACTACAAGGCTACAGTAACCAAAACAGCATGGTACTGGTACCAAAACAGAGATATAGATCAATGGAACAGAATAGAGGCCTCAGAAATAATGCCACATATCTACAACTATCTGATCTTTGACAAACCTGAGAAAAACAAGCAGTGGGGAAAGGATTCCCTATTTAATAAATGGTGCTGGGAAAACTGGCTAGCCATATGTAGAAAGCTGAAACTGGATCCCTTCCTTACACCTTATACAAAAATTAATTCAAGATGGATTAAAGACTTAAATGTTAGACCTAAAACCATAAAAACCCTAGAAGAAAACCTAGGCATTACCATTCAGGACATAGGCATGGGCAAGGACTTCATGTCTAAAACACCAAAAGCAATGGCAACAAAAGATAGTAATTGTTGATGAGAATGTGAAGAAAAAGGAACACTTGTACACTGTTAGTGGGAAGGTAAGTTGGTAAACCATTATAGAAAACAGTATGAAGTCTCCTCAAAAAGTAAAAAATAAACCTTCCTTATTATCCAGCAATTCTTCTGGTTATATTTCCAAATGAATCGAAATCAGGATCTCGAAGCGCTATTGGCACTCCCACGTTCATTTCATCACTATTTACAAAAGCCAAGATATGGAAACAACATAAATTTCCATGGACATATGAATGGACAAAGAAATTGCGATATATGTATACAATGGAACATTTTACAGTCATAGAAAAGGAAATTCTCCCATTTGCAACATCATGGATAGAAAATGAAATATTTAGGCAGACAGAGAAATACAAATGCTATATGATCTCACTTATATATGGAACTTAAAGCAGTCAAACTCATAGAAGCAGAGTGGGATGGTGGTTGCCAGGGACTTGGGGTAGGAGAAACTGGGGAGTAATAGTTAAAGAGTACAAAATTTCAGCTATGCAAGATAAATAAGTTTTGAAGATCTACTAGACAGCATAGTGCCTGTAGCTAACAATACCCTATTGTATACTTAAAATTACTAAGAGATTAGATCTTATGATAAAGCAACAACAAATATAATAATACAGGGGGTGGATAAAACTTTGGAAGGTGAGAGATATGTTTATGAGATTGATGATGGTTGATGGTTTCATGGGTGTATACTTATCCCCAAACTCATTGAGATGTATACATTAAATATGTACAGTATTTTATACATCAACCATACCTCAATAACGTGTTTTTCAAAAAAGGAAAAGACAGGGAGAATGAGTAGTGAAAGAAAACCCAACAGAGGCAAATATAAAAAAGTCTGTGTGAATTAAAACAAAAAAACACTAATTAATCTAATTAAATAGGCAGGAAAGGACTTAACCAGATAACAAAGTTTAATGGATAAAACAAATATCTGGCCGGGCGCAGTGGTTTACGCCTGTAATCCCAGTACTTTGTGGTGTGGAGGTGGGCGGATCACGAGGTCAGAAGTTAGAGACCAGCCTGGCCAACATGGTGAAACCCCGTCTCTACTAAAAATACAAAAATTAGCCGGGCGTGGTGGTGGGCGCCTGTAATCCCAGCTACTCAGGAGGCTGAGGCAGGAGAATCATTTGAACCTGGAAGGCGGAGGTTGCAGTGAGCCGAGATAGCGCCACTGCACTCCAGCCTGCGCAACAGAGTGAAACTCTGTCTCAAAACAGAAAACAAACAAAAAAAAACAATAAATATCCAAAGACAGTTAATATATTGGATTGCAAAGCCCATTGTATTAATAGTTCCATATTGCAGGCAATATGATTGACAGCTGTAAATAAAATAATAGAATAAAGTATATTCTCAGGCTACGGTGATATGAACAGAGAATGTTTAATATAACACCTTAAATTCCTGGCATAGGAAGAACTACATAGCCATCAGGTATGGTAATTCTAGAGACTTATATCTCCAGAATGCCTAAATCAATTAAGTAAATATTTATTGAGTTTTCCTATAAAGAATTTACAAATATGCAAACAATGTATAATCTGAAGAGAAAGTAAGGCAGGGAAAGAACTAGTTCTCTGTCACATAAGCTGAGGTAAAATAAGCCCAAATAAAAAGCAACGTTCTTAGGAGAGTAGATAGGGCTGAAAAAGTAACTGGTAGCCTGGAATTTGGGACTTGAACTCTAGGCGTTGGGAGCCATGGCAGAGTTGTAAAGATATTGCTGACAATGAGAAGAATGGCTTGGAAAAGGAGTGAATTTAGAGGAAAGGAAACAATCTGGAGGCTGGGACCCAGCCACTGTGCTATGGGTAGGAGATAGGTACCGTGGTGAGCAAGACCAGACAAGGTTCCTGACCTTAGGGGACCCAGAGACTGGCAGCAAGACAAGTTAATCAAAAAATCACAGACATAAAATTCTAAACGTTTTAACTGAAATTGGTGCTATGATAACTTGAACCACAGAAACAGGGTGGCCACACACTTCACACTTACAGGGAGCACCACTGGCATAGCAAGTTCTGCAGAGAAGCAGCCCCCACTGGAAGGAGGCAAGGCAGTACCGTGAGATGCTGTAGGAGTCTGAAGAGAAGAGGATGTGGTCTTAAGGGGATTTTAAGAAAGCAGAGGACATGAATAAGCCAAAATAGGAAGCTTCACAAAGAATAATTAAGCCATAAACATTGCAGGGTACCCCTTGTTTTGTAACACATATCAGTAATTCCTCTTCTTCAAACGAAACATAGGTGATCATCATTTTGTTTTGATTTTGAATTCTTAAGGAAACATTTCTAGATAGTTACAAGGAGCATGTGTAAAAACCAAATACTGCATGCTCCAGAGAATGGGGCAGGATACACAAACAATGTGACTTTTGGACAATAAAATGGCAATGCTTCAAGAAAGCTGTAGCAGAAAACCACACGGTCTTTCAATATTACTCATCATTGAACAAGCACAGGTTTTGCTCATTTTAGAAACAGCAGGGTGTAATGTAAAGTTGAACATGATTTATTTCTCTCCTAGTCCCACACAGAACCTGAGTGTTCTTTTTTGTGACTTGGCTCTTCTGACTGCCCTGAAGATAAGATTGGGTGCTCCTTCCCCCAGCAGCCCATTGCTCTACAAGGTTAATTACAACATGTTTCTACAGGAACTCAGAGCTGACCCCTTGGAGGAAGGGAGAACTCTGGGACACTTCCATTTTTTTGTTTTGTTTTGTTTTAGTTTCCTAACATGTTAAAAAACATAGAAACTTCAAAACAGGGTTACAAAAATTGTGGTATAAAGTTGTATGACAAGTGCCTTCAATTCTGTCAGTGTATCTCTGGTAATTATATGTATATTATCTTTTGGAGATAACATTAAAAGTCTATAAAATTTAAGGCTCATCCTATGGGGCCTCTGGTCCACTATATGACAGGCTCAGAATATTGGGCAGCCAATCTGACATGAGGCATACCTCAGATCCATTTAATGGACAACAACAACAAAATCAGATGGAACTAACTTAATAGTCCTAAAAGCCACAGATAAAATGATTGCAGTTATTCCTGCCTAGATTTTATATTCTATGTACAATTATACAATGCTTATTTTTACCATACAAAGACAATGTTAGACTTGAAACATTTTTTAAGATATAGATACATATTTTATTTTATTTATTTTTATTTTTGTGGGTACATAGTAGGTATATATATTTATGGAGATGCTTTTTTTAAAAAAGTAAAAATGTTATTCAAAGACCCAACAAATCAAATCACAACATTTTTTTTTTCCTAAAAGGAATGATAAAGAGGACTTTCGAAAAAAGAATCCTGAAAAGAAAAGAATCCTACAGAAAAAACAAAAAGAATCTTAAAGGAAAAATGAAAACTCTTGCAGTAAATATGTACAGATAAAAATTGCTTCATAATTGAAGTGTTAAAGTAACAATGGGGTTTGAACTACCTTCAATTAAAACCGCACAAACGCACAAATAGAAAAACTCTGAAAGAAAGCTTCAAGTGCATATCTGGCCTTTAAAGTTAATGTTCAGACATGTTAAACAGTTACCTCTTAGATTATATGCATGTGTAATCCATGAGGAATCTGTTAATTGCAACATGATGGTGGAGAACCCAAGTCTCTATTACAGAATCAGCACCCCTCCCGAGGATGGAAGGGTGCTGAGAGAGCTCTAGGCCTTCTCCCTCATTTCACCATCCCCTTGCTTTCCTTTGCCCATTCCTACCATACCCCAAGCACAGACCCAAGAAAAGATCCTCACTCTCTCTTTAAAGCATCTTATATATTTTTTCCCTTTTTTCTCGGAAACCTACATAATCAAAACAAGCTCTGTATTACTCATTTCTGAGTAGGTATAACATGTGGGCTCATGATGGGGCAGCACCTTACATGAGGCAGAACTGCCATAGAAACAGACGTGATGTGTTTCCAACACACCCTCCAGGTTGCCCTTGTCAGCATGCAAGCACTCTTGTTCAGGGCGCCTAATAATAATATTTATATAACCCTTCACAATTTAAACAAAACTTTCCCTTGTATTACTTCACTTTGTCCTAACAACCACATACCATAAGAATTATCTCCATTTTGTACAGGAGGAAATTGACAATCAGAGAATATAAATGATGTGCCCAAGATCACACAGCAAGGATTGGCAGTATTTATTTAAACCCATGTCACCTGGCTCCAAATCCCTCACTCTTTCCTATTATACCATACAAGACTCTCTGTGGTCTTAGCAAAGCCCTTTCCTCTTGGCCTTCAATAGCCAAAAGCAGGATCAGCAATACAGGCAGGCTGACACAATTTGACTTCTGTCACTGCAACAGTGTTAAGGCTAGGACTCTTTTAGAAAAAGCAAGCCAACACAGTGTAAATCAGTTAGAGACAAATTATTGTTGAGCAGCAATTATTAGGCAGTCCATGAGGTGGCAAGGCTGAGCTGAGCAAAACAGCGGGCTATAGAACTTGTTGCTATAGTTACAAACAAAAGGACAACCTTCACATATACACAGTGTGGCGAGAAACACTGTTCTTATACCCACAATAATATACAGTCATTCTGCAAGTTTAGGCAGGCTTCAGAAATTCAAAAGCTGCCTGAAAGGCGCTATCAGTTCCCTTAATTAGTTTCCAAATAATTTAGCAGTGAGCAGAGCCTAAGAGTTCCAAATCTTGTAAGAGATTTGGAATGCCTGGGTAGGTCTAAAGCTGACAGTCTTCCAGAAGGTCTGTAAAATAGAAATTCTGCCTGTTTGGGTGCAATCTAGAATCCTCACACTGGAGGCCACTCCTCTTGCTTGCTATGAAAATGTGCACGTTAGAAAAGTCCCACTGTGGAAGACAGTGTGGCGATTCCTCAAGGATCTAGAACTAGAAATACCATTTGACCCAGCCATCCCATTACTGGGTATATACTGAAAGGATTATAAATCATGCTGCTATAAAGACACATGCACGCACATGTTTATTGCAGCACTATTCACAATAGCAAAGACTTGCACCAACCCAAATGTCCATCAATGATAGACTGGATTAAGAAAATGTGGCACATATACACCATGGAATACTATGCAGCCATAAAAAGGATGAGTTCATGTCCTTTGTAGGGACATGGATGAAACTGGAAACCATCACTCTCAGCAAACTATCACAAGGACAAAAAGCCAAACACTGCATGTTCTCACTCATAGATGGGAATTGAACAATGAGAACACATGGACACAGGAAGGGGAACATCACACACCGGGGCCTGTCATGGGGTGGGGGAGGGGGGAGGGATAACATTAGGAGATATACCTAACGTAAATGATGAGTTAATGGGTGCAGCACACCAGCATGGCACATGCATACATATGAAACAAACCTGCACGTTGTGCACATGTACCCTAGAACTTAAAGTATAATTTAAAAAAAAAAACTTGAATGCAATAAAATTCAGTTTTGTGAGTTTAAAATTCAGTTTTGTGAGTTTTGACAAATGTAAAAAGTCAGATATCCTCTTCCATAGTACCGCATAGAACAATTCCATCACCCTAAAAATTATCTTGTACAGCACATTATAGTCAACCCCTCGGACCTCCCCCAACCCCTGGCAACTACTGACCTGTTCTCTGTTCCTATAATTTTGCCTTTTCCAGGATGTCATATAAATGGAATTATATCACATGTCACCTTTTGGATATGGCTTCTTTCTCTTAGCATAATGCATTTAAGATTCATCCTAGCTGTATGAATATCAACAGTTATCTTAATTGCCGAATGGTATTCTAGTTTATGATTGTACCACAATTTGTTTATCCATTCACCAACTGAAGAGCATCTTGGTTGTTTCCAGTTTTTAGTGATTTTTAGTAAGGCTCCATAAATATTCTCATATACATTTTTGTGTAAACTTGATTTTTCAATTCCCTTCCAAAGGTATCTATGAGTGAAAATGCTGGGTCATATGTCAAGTGTATGTTAAATTTTAAAAGTAACTGCCAAACTGTTTTCCAAAATGCCTGAACCATTTTGCATTTCCACTAGCAATGAGTGAGGGTTCCTTTTGTAATACATCCTTGCCAGCATTTCATATTGTCATGTAAATGTATATGTGTATTTAATTCTAGCCATTTCAATAGCTATATCTTGAAGTGTTTCTCATTACACATTTAATTTTCATTTTCTTAATGATTGATATTATCTTTTAATACACTTCTTTGCCATCTGTACATTTGGGTTGGTGCAATGTTTGTTCAGATGCTTTGCTAATTTTTAAAATTAAATGTTATCTTTTATTGTTAAAAAAAAAAAAAGAAAGAAAAGTCCCACTGTCCTCCTTGCTGGAATTTTTAAAGGTGATACCAAAAAGCATGTGTATAACATTACAATACTAGTCTATATATCTTACCTAATTAGGTAATTGCCTTGCAAACCTGCTTTTTCATTTAACCCCTTCCTCTTTCTCACACCCTGGATAGTAGGAACTGTGGACGTAGATGGATCTGTTTGCTTAGGAAAGAACTCCATGAAATATGGACTATCACTGCTTCCCACCACTGATTTCTGTTAGCCAGGTTCCTCCCTTCTTCCACCTCCTCCTCCTCCTTGCTCCTTCTTTTATCTAAAACTGAGACTAGTGGTTTTGACTTAGTCTACCAGGATGGCAGCATGGGGTAACGGAAAGAACTACTTTGAAGTTCATCAATTTAGGCTTGAATCTCATTCCTCTCCTTCCCGGGTGACGTTGGGCAAAGTATGCAACCTCTTAGTAGCTGTTTCCTAAACTCCAAGATGATTTCAGTGTTATTGTGAGGATTAAATTGGACAATGCATGTCTCCCCAGATCTCAGTATATTGGCCTCAATAAATGTCAGCTTCCTCCCACCAGTGCCTTGTTCTTTTTATTTCATACATAACATACCTTACATTATTTTCACAAGGAACAAATAAAGAGAGGTCATCCTGGAGCCGGACCAAATATTTCAGTTATCTATAGGCTGGAAAAGATGATCTGGGTCCTTTTCGGCATGAATTTGTCCCAGAGCACTCCTTTAGGCTTTTGGTGTGAGAGCCTTAAAAGACCTTATCTTTAGTTCTCACTGTGAGACATTTAAATCTGGGATAAGAAATGCTGTATAGGACATTGGCTATTGGATCAGGGGAAAGGGAGCAACACCATTAAAGAAAAGACTTTAAAAGAATACAAGTCAACTCTAAGTCAGGGGAGGAACCACTTTAGATAATAAGTGAAGTAGGCAAAGTTCCCTCTCCCATGTCTACAAATTTCATAGCCTCCTTTTTTTGTTGCATAAGTATTTCCTGTTCTCAGGCTTTCACTGCCCTTGGCAGATCTCCACTTCAGTCTTTCTCTCTCCTGGGGCAGCATCCCTTACTCAACTTATTTTCTTCCTTTGAAGGTAATGGCTCTGACATTAATTATAGAGTTAGAATAATATTTACCAAGCCAATTTTCCTACCTTTTCATTGGAAGAAGAAATTAAAAGTAAAAATAAATAAATAAATATCTCTGATTTGGAGAACAAAGAGAGTTGGTGAAAAAAACAAATCAGTGTAAGCCTCTGAGGTACCTCATCTACCTAGGACAAGTCTTAGGAAAGGAAATGGAACCTGAACATTCAAGAGTATCAAGGGGGTAATGTGCCTCCTTTCCTAGGTGGTACTTGGAAAAAGAGGCAAGGTTCCAGAACCATCACCACCTTCATTACTTTATGTGATGAAGCACAGATGACTAGGCAGAGAGGGCCCAAGAGAGGTCACAGAGTGGCACGGGAGAGGTGCAGAGGCTGGCTGGGAGCACTACACTAAAGTCCTTGAAACTGGGATGAAAGGACACTGCTCCAGAAAGCTTTGTGGACCAGACAACTGAGAGCCAGGGGGGAATGCAGAACTCTCAGAAGATGCCACCATTGAGACCTATGTCTGAGACCCAGGTGGATGCACATCTCAGGAGGAGCCTGCATGGTCAGACACCAACTGTCGGCCAGACAACCAGCCTGAAACCACGGTGCTATCAAATGACCCTGAATGCAGGTCTTATGTCCAGGAGGAGGAGAGGAAAGAGAATCATGAATTAAGAGTTTTTTTTTAATTTAAATCAGCTTTTTTGAGGTATAATTCATATGCAATAAAACTCACAAGTTTAAGTGTACAATTCGATGAGATTTTACAAAGGTTGACAGTTGTGTGATCACTACCATAAACGTTTCCCTCACTCTTAAAAAGTTCTTTCTACCTGAGGCACTTTCTAAACACATAAATAAATAAATAAAGTTAAAAATTTCTTCGTGCCCCTTTACAATCAGTCCCTCACCCTATCCCCTCCCATTCCCATCCCCTCGCTCACTGGCACATGATAACCACCAGTAGTTTTGCCTTTTCTAGAATTTCATGTAAAGAGAATCTGTTGTGAACAGAATGTTTATGTCCCCCGCCCCAATATTCATATGCTAAAATTTAATCCCAATGTGAAGGTAGTTGGAGATGGGACCTGTGGAAGGCCATGTGGGTGGGACCCTCTTGAATGGGGTTAATGCCTTTGTAACAAGAGGCCACAGAGCTAGCTTGCTTTCTGCCATGTGAGGCTACAATGAGAAGTTGGCAGTCTGCGACCTGGAAGAGGGCCTGCACCTAAGGTGACTATGTTGGCACCCTGATCTCTGACTTCCAGTCTCCAGAACTGTGAGAAATAACATTTATGTTGTTTATAAGCTACACAGTCTACAGTACTTTTTCATAGAAAATCAAACTAAAACAATTATAGATGTGTCTGGCTTGTATCACCTAGTGTAACGTTTTTGAGATTCATCTACATTGTTGTGGGTATCAGTATTTCACTCCTTTTATTGCTGAGTTCAATTCCATTGCATAAATAAACCACATTTTATTTGTCATTCACCAATTGATAGACATTTCACTTGTTACCAGTTTGTTAGCTACTATGAATCAAGTTGCTATGAACATTTGAGTACAAGTCTTCATGTGACTACAAGTTTTCATTTCTCTTGGGTAATACCAAGAGTGGAATTTCTGGGTCATAATCTAAACATACATTTAATTTTATAGGAAACAGCCAACTTGGTTCCCAAAGTGGCTGTACCTTTTTATATTCCTACCAACAACGTACCAGGGTTCCCACTGCTCCACATCCTTGTTAACACATGGCATTGTCAGTATCTCAAATTTTTGACATCCTAGTGAAATTGTACTAGTATCTCAAGGTTTTAATTTGCATTTCCAAAATGGCATTACTATGTTGAATATCTTTTCATACACTTTTTTTTTGCCATTTATATATATTCTTAGGTAGAGTATCTGTTCAGATATTTTTATCCATTAAACATAATTAGGTTGCCTTCCCATTATTAAGTTGTGAGAGTTCCTTGTATATGCTGGATATAAATCCTTTACCAGATATGTTTGGCAAATATTTTCTCTCAATGTCTCCTAGCCTTTTCATTTTCTTAGCAGTGTCTTTTGAATTTTGGTGAAATCCAATTTATTGTTTTTTTCTTTTGTGGTTCACACTTTTTATATTTTATAAAAGAAATCTTACAGATTATCCTGAATTAGAAAAAAAATCTTTGTCAAACCCAAGGTCACAAGATTTTCTCCTATATTTCCTTTTAGAAATTTTATAGTTTTAACTCTTATAGTTAGATCTTTAATCTATTCCAAATTAATTTTTTGTGTATGGTAAGGGTTGATGTTCATTTTTTTGCATATATATACAATTATTCCTGCCATTTGTTGAAAAAAAAAATCTTCTTCCCATTGAATTCTCAAGACACCTTTAAAAATTACCAATTGACCAAATATATGTAGGTCTATTTCGGTACTCTATTCTGTTCCATATGTATCTATTCTTATACTAGTAAAATATAGTATTTATTATTGTAGCTTTATACTAAGTCTCTCTCTCTCTCTCTTTTTTTTTTTTTCTTTTTCTTTGAGACAGAGTCTTGCTCTGTCACAGGCTGGAGTGCAGTGACACAATCTCGGGGCTCACTGCAACCTCTGCCTCCCAGGTGCAAGTGATCCTTGTCCTCAGCATCCAGAGTAGCTGGGATTACAGGTGCCCACCATCATGCCCAGCTAATTTTTGTATTTTTAGTAGAGATGGGGTTTCATCATGTTGAATAGGCTGATCTGGAACTTCTGACCTCAAGTTATCCGCCCACCTCAGCTTCCCAAAGTGCTGGGATTACAGGCATAAGCCACTGCACCCAGCCTATAATAAGCCTTAAAATTAGGTATTATAAGTCCTCAAACTTAATTCTTTTTCAAAATTGTTTTTTCTGTACTAGATACTTTGCATTTCCAAATTGAGAAGCTAGCAGCTTGTCAATTTCTATTTTTAAAAAGCCTGACGGTCTTTAATCCATCTTAAGTTAATTTTTGTATAAGGTGTAAGGAAGGGATCCAGTTTCAGTTTTCTGCATATGGCTAGCCAGTTTTCCCAATACCACGTCTTGAATAGGGAATCCTTTCCCCGTTGCTTATTTTTGTCAGGTTGCCCAAAGATCAGATGGTTGTAGATGTGTGGTGTTATTTCTGAGGTCTCTGTTCTCTTCCATTGGTCTATATATCTGTTTTGGTGCCAGTACCATGCTGTTTTGGTTCCTGTAGCTTTGTAGTATAGTTTGAAGTCAGGTAGCATGATGCCTCCAGCTTTGTTCTTTTTGTTTAGGGTTGTCTTTGCTATATGGGCTCTTTTTTGGTTCCACATAAATTAAAGTAGTTTTTTCTAATTCTGTGAAGAAAGTCAATGGTAGCTTGATGGGGATAGCATTGAATCTATAAATTACTTTGAGCAGTGTGGCCATTTTCACAGTATTGATTCTTCTTGTCCATGAGCATGGGATGTTTTTCCATTTGTTTGTGTCCTTTCTTATTTACTTGAGCAGTGGTTTGTAGTTCTCCATGAAGAGGTCCTTCACATCCCTTGTAAGTTGGATTCCTAGGTATTTTATTCTCTTTGAAGCAATTGTGAATGGGAGTTTACTCATGATTTGGTGCTCTGTTTGTCTATTATTGGTGTACAGAAATGCTTGTAATTTTTGCACATTGATTTTGTATCCTGAGGCATTGCCGAAGTTGCTCATCAGCTTAAGGAGATTTGGGGCTGAGATGATGGGGTTTTCTAAATGTACAATCAGGGGGCGGTTTCAAGATGGCTGAATAGGAACAGCTGCAGTCTACAGCTCCTACCATGAGCGACGCAGAAGATGGGTGATTTCTGCATTTCCAACTGAGGTACCGGGTTCATCTCACTGGGGCTCGTTGAACAGTGGGGGCAGGAGAGTGGGTGCAGCCCACCAAGTGTGAGCTGAAGCAGGGCGAGGCATTGCCTCACCCAGGAAGCACAAGGGGTCAGGGTATTCCCTTTCCTAGCCAAGGGAAGGGGTGACAGACGGCACCTGGAAAATCAGGTCACTCCCACCCTAATACTGCGCTTTTCCAATGGTCTTAGCAAATGGCACACCAGGAGATTATATCCCGCGCATGGCTCGGAGGGTCCCATGCCCAAGGAGCCTCGCTCATTGCTAGCACAGCAGTCTGAGATCAAACTGCAAGGCAGCAGTGAGGCTGGGTGAGGGGCGCCTGCCATTGCTGAGGCTCGAGTAGATAAACAAAGTGTCCTGGAAGCTCGAACTGGGTACAGCCCATCACAGCTCAAGGAGGCCTGCCTGCCTCTGTAGACTCCACCTCTAGGGACAGGGCATAGCCGAACAAAAGGCAGCAGAAACCTCTGCAGACTTAAACGTCCCTGTCTGACAGCTTTGAAGAGAGTAGTGGTTCTCCCAGCATGGAGTTTGAGATCTGAGAACAGACAGACTGCCTTGTCAAGTGGGTCCCTGACCTCCGAGTAGCCTAACTGGGAGGCATCTCCCAGTAGAGGCAGACTGACACTTCACACGGCTGGGTACCCCTCTGAGACGAAGCTTCCAGAGGAATGATCAGGCAGAAACATTTGCTGTTCAGCAATATTTGCTGTTCTGCAGCCTCTGCTGGTGATACCCAGGCAAACAGTGTCTGGAGTGGACCTCCAGCAAACTCCAACAGACCTGCAGCTGAGGGTCCTGACTGTCAGAAGGAAAACTAACAAACAGGAAGGACATCCATACCAAAACCCCATCTGTACGTCACCATCATCAAAGACCAAAGGCAGATAAAACCACAAAGACGGGGAAAAAACAGAGCAGAAAAGCTGAAAATTCTAAAAATCAGAGCACCTCTCCCCCTCCAAAGGAACACAGCTCCTTGCCAGGAATGGAACAAAGCTGGACGGAGAATGACTTTGACGAGTTGAGAGAAGAAGGCTTCAGACGATCAAACTTCTCCGAGCTAAAGGAGGAAGTTCGAACCCAATGCAAAGAAGTTAAAAACCTTGAAAAAAGATTAGACGAATGGCTAAGTAGAATAACCAACGCAGAGAAGTCCTTAAAGGACATGATGGAGCTGAAAACCATGGCATGAGAACTACGTGATGAATGCACAAGCTTCAGTAGCTGATTTGATCAACTGGAAGAAAGGGTATCAGTGATTGAAGATCAAATGAATGAAATGAAGTGAGAACAGAAGTTTAGAGAAAAAAGAGTAAAAAGAAACGAACAAAGTACCCAAGAAATATGGGACTATGTGACAAGACCAAATCTACGTCTGATTGGTGTAGCTTTAAGTGACGGGGAGAATGGAACCAAGTTGGAAAACACTCTGCAGGATATTTTCCAGGAGAACTTCCCCAACCTAGCAAGGCAGGCCAACATTCAAATTCAGGAAATACAGAGAATGCCACAAAGATACTCCTCGAGAGGAGCAACTCCAAGATACATAATTGTCAGATTCACCAAAGTTGAAATGAGGGAAAAAATGTCAAGGGCAGCCAGAGAGAAAGGTCGGGTTACCCACAAAGGGAAACCCATCAGACTAACAGTGGATCTCTTGGCAGAAACTCTACAAGCCAGAAGTGAGTGGGGGCCAACATTCAACATTCTTAAAGAAAAGAATTTTCAACCCAGAATTTCATATCCAGCCAAACTAAGCTTCATAAGTGAAGGAGAAATAAAATCCTTTACAGACAAGCAAATGCTGAGAGATTTTGTCACCACCAGGCCTGCCCTAAAAGAGCTCCTGAAGGAAGCACTAAACATGGAAAGGAACAACTGGTATGAGCCACTGCAAAAACATGCCAAATTGTAAAGACCATCGAGGCTAGGAAGAAACTGCATCAACTAACGAGCAAAGTAACCAGCCAACATCATAATGACAGGATCAAATTCACACATAACAATATTAAGCTTAAATGTAAATGGGCTAAATGCTCCAATTAAAAGACATAGACTGGCAAATTGGATGAAGAGTCAAGACTCATCAGTGTGCTGTATTCAGGAGACCCATCTCATGTGCAGAGACACACATAGGCTCAAAATAAAGAGATGGAGGAAGATCTACCAAGCAAATGGAAAACAAAAAAAGGCAGGGGTTGCAATCCTAGTCTCTGATAAAACAGACTTTAAACCAACAAAGATCAAAAGAGACAAAGAAGGCCATTACATAATGGTAAAGGGATCAATTCAACAAGAAGAGCTAACTTAAATATGTATGCACCCAATACAGGAGCACCCAGATTCATAAAGCAAGTCCTTAGAGACTTATAAAGAGACCTAGACTCCCCCACAATGATAATGGGAGACTTTAACACCCCACTGTCAATATTAGACAGATCAATGAGACAGAAAGTTAACAAGGATATCCAGGAATTGAACTCAGCTCTGCACCAAGTGGACCTAATAGACATCTACAGAACTCTCCACCCAGAATCAACAGAATATACATTCTTCTCAGCACCACATCACACTTATTCCAAAATTGACCACATAGCTGGAAGTAAAGCACTCCTCAGCAAATGTAAAAGAACAGGAATTATAACAAACTGTCTCTCAGACCACAGTGCAATCAAACTAGAACTCAGGATTAAGAAACTCACTCAAAACCGCTCAACTACATGGAAACTGAACAACCTGCTCCTGAATGACTACTGGGTACATAACGAAGTGAAGGCAGAAATAAAGATGTTCTTTCAAACCAACGAGAACAAAGACACAACATATCAGAATCTCTGGGACACATTTAAAGCAGCGTGTAGAGGGAAATTTATAGCACTAAATGCCCACAAGAGAAAGCAGGAAACATCTAAAATTGACACCCTAACATCACAATTAAAAGAACTAGAGAAGCAAGAGCAAACACATTCAAAAGCTAGCAGAAGGCAAGAAATAACTAAGATCAGAGCAGAACTGAAGGAGATAGAGACATAAAAAACCCTTCAAAAAATCAATGAATCCAGGAGATGGTTTTTTGAAAAGATCAACAAAATTGATAGACCACTAGCAAGACTAATAAAGAAGAAAAGAGAGAAGAATCAAATAGATGCAATAAAAAATGATAAAGGGGATATCACCACCGATCCCACAGAAATACAAACTGCCATCAGAGAATACTATAAACACCTCTATGCAAATAAACTAGAAAATCTAGAAGAAATGGATAAATTCCTGGACACATACACCCTCCCAAGACTAAACCAGGAAGAAGTTGAATCCCTGAATAGATCAATAATAGGCTCTCAAATTGAGTCCATAATTAATAGCCTACTAACCAAAAAAAGTCCAGGACCAGACGGATTGACAGCCAAATTCTACCAGAGGTACTAGGAGGAGCTGGTACCATTCCTTCTGAAACTATTCCAGTCAATAGAAAAAGAGGGAATCTTCCCTAATTCACTTTATGAGGCTAGCATCATCCTGATACCAAAGCCTGGCAGAGACACAGGAAAAAAAAGAGAATTTTAGACCAATATCCCTGATGAACATCGATGAAAAAATCCTCAATAAAATACGGGCAAACGGAATCCAGCAGCCCATCAAAAAGCTTATGCGCCATGATCAAGTGGGCTTCATCCCTGGAATGCAAGGCTGGTTCAACATATGCAAATCAATAAACGTAATCCAACATATAAACAGAACCAACAACAAAAACCACATGATTATCTCAATAGATGCAGAAAAGGCCTTTGACAAAATTCAACAGCTCTTCATGCTAAAAACTCTCAATAAATTAGGTATTGATGGGACATATCTCAAAATAATAAGAGCTATTTATGACAAACCCACAACCAATATCATACTGAACGGGCAAAAACTGGAAGCATTCCCTTTGAAAACTGGTACAAGACAGGGATGCCCTCTCTCACCACTCCTCTTCAACATAGTGTTGGAAGTTCTGGCCAGGGCAATCAGGCAGGAGAAAGAAATAAAGAGTATTCAATTAGGAAAGGAGGAAGTCAAATTGTCTCTGTTTGCAGATGACATGATTGTATATTTAGAAAACCCCATCATCTCAGCCCAAAATCTCCTTAAGCTGATAAGCAAATTCAGCAAAATCTCAGGATACAAAATCAATGTGCAAAAATCACAAGCATTCTTATACACCAATAACAGACAAACAGAGAGCCAAATCATGAGTGAACTCCCATTCACAATTGCTTCAAAGAGAATAAAATACCTAGGAATCCAACTTACAAGGGATGTGAAGGACCTCTTCAAGGAGAACTACAAACCACTGCTCAATGAAATAAAAGAAGATACAAACAAATGGAAGAACATTCCATGCTCATGGGTAGGAAGAATCAATATCGTGAAAATGGCCATACTGCCCAAGGTAATTTATAGATGCAATGCCATCCCCATCAAGCTACCAATGACTTTCTTCACAGAATTGGAAAAAACTACTTTAAAGTTCATGTGGAACCAAAAAAGAGCCCGCATTGCCAAGTCAATCCTAAGCCAAAAGAACAAAGATGGAGGCATCACGCTACCTGACTTCAAACTATGCTACAAGGCCACAGTAACCAAAACAGCATGGTACTGGTACCAAAACAGAGACATAGACCAATGGAACAGAACAGAGCCCTCAGAAATAATTCCACACATCTACAACTATCCAGTCTTTGACAAACCTGACAAAAAAAGCAATGGAGAAAGGATTCCCTATTTAAAAAATGGTGCTGGGAAAACTGGCTAGCCATATGTAGAAAGCTGAAACTGGATCCCTTCCTTACATCTTATACAAAAATTAATTCAAGATGGATTAAAGACTTACATGTTAGACCTAAAACCATAAAAACTCTAGAAGAAAACCTAGGCAATACCATTCAGGACATAGGCATGGGCAAGGACTTCATGTCTAAAACACCAAAAGCAATGGCAACAAAAGCCAAAATTGATAAATGGGATTTAATTAAACTAAGGAGCTTCTGCACAGCAAAAGAAACTACCATCAGAGTGAACAGGCAACCTACAGAATGGGAGAAAATTTTTGCAATCTACTCAGCTGACAAAGGGCTAATATCCAGAATCTACAAAGAACTCAAACAAATTTATAAGAAAAAAATCAAACAACCCCATCAACAAGTGGGCGAAGGATATGAACAGACACTTCTCAAAAGAAGACATTTATGCAGCCAACAGACACATGAAAAAATGCTCTTCATCACTGGCCATCAGAGAAATGCAAATTAAAACCACAATGAGATACCATCTCACACCAGTTAGAATGGCGATCATTAAAAAGTCAGGAAACAACAGGTGCTGGAGAGGATGTGGAGAAATAGGAACACTTTTACATTGTTGGTGGGACTGTAAACTAGTTCAACCATGGTGGAAAACAGTGTGGTGATTCCTCAAGGATCTAGAACTAGAAATACCATTTGACCCAGCCATCCCATTACTGGGTATATACCCAAAGGATTATAAATCATGCTGCTATAAAGACACATGCACACATATGTTTATTACAGCACTATTCACAACAGCAAAGACTTGGAACCAACCCAAATGTCCACGAATGATAGACTGGATTAAGAAAATGTGGCACATATACACCATGGAATACTATGCAGCCATAAAAAAGGATGAGTTCATGTCCTTTGTAGGGACATGGATGAAGCTGGAAACCATCATTCTCAGCAAACTATCGCAAGAACAAAAAACCAAACACCGCAAGTTCTCACTCATAGATGGGAACTGAACAATGAGAATACTTTGACACAGGAAGGGGAACATCACACACCGGGGCCTGTTGTGAGGTGGGGGAAGCGGGGAGGGAAAGCATTAGGAGATATACCTAATGTAAATGATGAGTTAATGGGTGCAGCACATGTATACATATGTAACAAACCTGCACATTGTCCACATGTATACATGTACACATGGCACATGTTTACATATGTAACAAACCTGCACGTTGTGCACATGTACCCTAGAACTTAAAGTATAATATAAATAAATAAATAAATAAATAAATAAATAAATGTACAATCATGTCATCTGCAAACAGAGACAATTTGACTCCCTGTCTCCCTATTTGAATACCCTTTCTTTCTTTCTCTTGCCTGATTGCCCTGGCCAGAACTTCCAATACTATGTTGAATAAGAGTGGTGAGAGAGGGCATCCTTGTCTTGTGCCAGTTTTCAAAGGGAATGCTTCCAGCTTTTGCCCATTCAGTATGATATTGGCTGTGGGTTTGTCATAAATAGCTCTTATTATTTTGAGATACATTCCATCAATACCTAAAACCATAAAAACCCTAGAAGAAAACCTAGGCAATACCATTCAGGACATAGGCATGGGCAAAGACTTCATGACTAAGACACCAAAAGCAATGGCAACAAAAGCCAAAATTGACAAATGGGATCTAATTAAAGTAAGGAGCTTCTGCACAGCAAAAGAAACTATCATCACGTGAACAGGCAACCTACAGAATGGGAGAAAATTTCTGCAGTCTATCTATCTGACAAAGGGCTAATATCCATACAGAATGGGAGAAAATTTCTGCAGTCTATCTATCTGACAAAGGGCTAATATCCAGAATCTACAAGGAACTTAAACAAATTTACAAGAAAAAAACAACCCCATCAAAAAGAGGGCAAAGGGTACAAACATAGACTTCTCAAAAGAAGACATTTATGCAGCCAACAAACATGAAAAAAAGCTCATCATCACTGGTCATTAGAGAAATCCAAATCAAAACCACAACGAGATGCCATCTCACGTCAGTTAGAATAGCAATCATTAAAAAGTCAGGAAACAACAGATGCTGGAGACAATATGGAGAAATAGGAACGCTTTTACTGTGTTGGTGGGAGTGTAAATTAGTTCAACCATTGTGGAAGACAGTGTGGCGATTCCTCAAGGATCAAGAACCAGAAATACCATTTGACCCAGCAATCCCATTACTGGGTATATACCCAAAGGATTATAAGTCATTCTACTATGAAGACACATGCACATGTATGTTTATTGCAGCACTGTTAATAATAGCAAAGATTTGGAACCAACCCAAACGCCCATCAGTGATAGACTGGATCAAGAAAATGTGCACATATACAACATGGAATACTATGCAGCCATAAAAAAGGATGAGTTCTTGTCCTTTGCAGGGACATGGATGAAGCTGGCAACCATCATTCTCAGGAAACTAACACAGTAACAGAAAACTAAACATCACATGTCCTCACTCATAAGTGGGAGTTGAACAATGAGAACACATGGACACAGGGAGGGGAACATCACACACCGGGGCCTGTCAAGGGGTGTGGGGCTAGGGGAGGGATAGCATTAGGAGAAATACCTAATGTAGATGACAGGTTGATGGGTTCAGCAAACCACCATGGCATGTGTATACTTATGTAACAAACCTGCACATTCTGCACATGTATCCCAGAACTGAAAGTATAAAAAAAAATAAAGGCTAATGGAATTTTGACTGGGATGGTGATGAATCAATATATCAATATATATCAATCAATATATCAATGTGATATCGATATATCAATATTTATATCAATATATCAACGTGTCTACTAAAAATAATGTGAGGAGATTTGACATCTTGTATTGAATTAGATTTTCCTTAAATATGGTATTTTCCCCTACTTATTTAACTCTGCTTTAATTTCTCTCAGTAATGTTTTATACTTTTCAGAGGACGGGTGCTATTGACTGAATGCGTCCTTCAAAAGTTCATAATCCCCAATGTGATGATATTTCCAGATGGGGCCTGTGGGAGGTAATTAGGTCATGAGTATGGAGCCTCACAATGGGATTAGTGGCCTTAAAAGAAGTTACAGAAGACAGTTTCCTTCCTCTCTAACTCCACCATGTGAGGAACAACAAGAAGACTGTTGTCTGCAAACCAGCAAGAAAGCCTCATCAGAACTGAGCATGCCAGCATGATCAGTATCACCAGCAATACTGTGATCTCAGAATGCCCAGCTTCCAGAACTGTAAGAAATAAATTTCTGTTATTTAAGTCACCTGGTCTATAGTACTTTCGTTATAGCTACTTGAACTAAGACAACAGAACCTGAATATATTTGTTGTTTATCTCTAATTATTACATATTCTGTACATTATTGTAAGTGACTTTAAGATTTCAGTTTCCAAATGCTATTATTAGTTCTTAGAAATACAACTGATTGGCCGGGAACGGTGGCTCATGCCTTTAATCCCAGCACTTTGGGAGGCCGAGGCAGGCGGATCATCTGAGGTCAGGAGTTCCAGACCAGCCTGGCCAACATGGTGAAACCTCGTCTCTGCTAAAAATACAAAAATTAGCTGGGTGTGGTGGTGCACGCCTGTAATCCCAGCTACTGGGGAGGCTGAGGCAGGAGAATGGCTTGAACCCAGGAGGCGGAGGTTGCAGTGAGCTGAGATTGTGCCACTTCTAGCCTGGGTGACAAGCAAGACTCTGTCTCAAAAAAAAAAAAAAAAAAAAAAAAGAAAGAACGAAAGAAAGGAAGGAAGGAAGGGGAGAGAATTGATTTTTGTTTTTGACCTTGTATCCTATAACTTTGTAAAATTTCATTTTAGTTCTAGTAGCTTTTTAATAGATTTCTTACAATTTTCTACTTAATCATGTTGTCTGTGAATAAAGACAATTTTACTTCTTTTCTAAAGTGAATTTTTTAAGACTTATTTTTTGGGAGGTGGGGGTAGTTTTAGATTCATAGCAACATTGAGAGAAATGTACAGAGATTTCCAGCATACTCCTTGTTCCCATATGTGCATAACTTCCCCTATCATCAACATCCTCCACCACAGTGGCACATTTGTTACAACTGATGAAACTACATTGACACATCATAATCACCTAGAGTCCATCGTTTACGTTAGAGTTCACTCTTAGTGTTGTACATTCTAGGTATCTGAACAAATGTGTAATGACAGGTATCCATCGTTATAGTACCATACAGAACATTTTCACTGCCCTAAAAATCCTTTGTGCTCTGCCTATGCATCTCTCTCCACCCACCCCAAACTCCCTGGTGATCACTATCTTTTTTTAACTGTCTCCACAGTTTTGCCTTTTCCAGAATGTCATATAGCTGAAGTTATGCAGTATGTAGACTTTTCAGATGGGTTTCTTTCACTTAGTAATATGCACTTAAGTTTCCTCCATGTCTTTTTATGGCTTGACAGCTCATTTCTTTTTATTGCTGAATAATATTCCACCATCTGGATGTGTCAAAGTTTATTTATTCATTCACTTACTGAAGGACATCTGGGTTGCTTCCTAGTTTTGGCAATCATAAATAAAACTGCTTAAACATCTATGTGCAGATTTTTATATGGACATAAGTTTTCACCTCCTTTGGGTAAATATTAAGGAGCATGATTGCTGGATATATGTTAAGAGTATATTTAGTTTTGTAAGAAGCTGCCTATCTTCCAAAGTGACTATAGCATTTTGTACTTTCACAGCAATACATGAGAATTCCTGTTGCTCCACATTCTTGTCAGCTTTTAGTGTTGTCAGTATTCTGGAGTTTGTCCATTCTAATAGGTGTGTGATAGTATCTTACTATTGTTTTAACTTGCATTTGCCTGCAACGTGAAGCATGTATTCATGTGCTTATTTGCCATTTGTATATCTTCTTTGGTGAGATTTTTGTTAAGGTCTTTGGCCCATTTTTAAATCTTTTTGTTGTTGTTTTTGAATTTTAAGAGTTCTTTGTATTTTTAGATAATAGTCCTTTATCGATGTGCCTTTTGCAAATATTTTCTCCCAGCCTGTGGGTTTTCTCATTTTTTGACATTGTCTTTCGCAGTGCAGAACTTTTAAATTTCAGTGAAGTTCAGCTTATCAATGATTTATTTAATGGATCATGCTTTTGGAGTTGTATCTAAAAAGTATTCACCAAACCCAAGGTCATCTAGGTTTTCTCCTATGTTATCTTCTAGAAGTTTCATAGTTTTGCATTTTACATTTAGGTCAAAATCCATTTGAGTTCATTTTTGTTAAGAGTGTAAGAACTGTGTTTAGATTCATTTTTTTTGCATGTACATGTCCAGTTCTTCCAATACCTCTTTTTTTTTTAACTGCCCCCTCCAGCACCATTTGTTGAAAATACTTTTACTCCATTGTATTGCCTTTATCCCTTTGTCAAAATTCAGCAGACTATATTTATGTGGGTCTATTTCTGGACCCTTTATTCTGTTCTATTAACCTATTTGTCCACTCTTTTGCCAGTACCATACTGTCTTGATTACTATAGCTTTATAGCTTCCTTCCTCTCTATCTCCACCATATGAGGAATAACAGGAAGACTGTTGTCTGCAAACCAGGAAGAAGGCCTCATCAGAACTGACCATGCCAGCATGGTCAGTATCACCAGCAATACTGTGATCTGAGAATGCCCAGCCTCAGAACTGTGAGAAATAAATTTCTGTTATTTAAGCCCCCTAGTCTATTGCACTTTTGTTACAGCTGCCTGAACTAAGACAACAGAACCTGCATATATTTGAGTTATATGTAAGTATTGAAGTCGGGTAGTGTCAGTCCTCCAATTTTGTTCTTCTCCTTCAATATTGGGTTGGCTATCCTGGGTGTTTTGCCTCTTCAAATAAACTTTAGGATAAGTTTGTTGATATCCACAAATTAGTTGCTGAGATTTTGATTGGGATTGCATTGAATCTACAGATCAATTTGGGAAGAACTGCTAACATCTTGAAAATATTGTCTTTCTCTCCATGAACATGAAATATCTCTCCATTTCTTAGGTTCTTTGATTTCTTTCATCAGAATTTTGTAGTTTTCCTTATATATCTTTATTTTGTTAGATTTATACCTAAGTATTTCACTTTAAGGGGTTCTAATGGAAATGATGTTTTGTTTTTGATTTCACATTCCACTTGTCCATTGCTGCTGTGTAGGAAAGTGACTGACGTTTGCAAAATAAACTTACATCCTACAACTCTGCTATAAACACTTATTAGTCTCAGGAGTTTTTTGTTGTTGTTGATTCTTTTTCTACATGACAATCATGTTATATGAGAATAAAGCCAGTTTTATTTTTTTTCTTCCCAATCTATGTCTTTTACTTACTTTTCTTGTCTTACTGCATCAGCTATAACTTCCAGCACAGGGTTGAAAAGGAGTGGTGAGAGGGGACATCTTTGCCTTGTTCTTGATCTTAGTGGAAAAGCTTCTAGTTTCTCACCTTTAAGTATGATGTTAGCTACAGGTTTTATATAGATATTCTTTAGCAAGTTGAGGAAGCTCCCTTCTAGTCCTAGTCTACTCAGAGTTTTTGTTTTTTTATCATGAATGGGCTTTGCATTTTGTCAAATAATTTTTCTGCATCTATTGATATGGTCACATGATTTTTCTTTTTTAGCCTGTTGATGTGATGGATTACATCTATTGATTTTTGAGTGTTGAACCAGCCTTGCATATTTGAAATAAATCCCATTTGGTGGTGGTATATAATTATTTTTATACATTGTTGATTCAATTTTGTTGAGGATTTTTGCACTTAGTGTTTATGGGAGACATTGGTCCATAATTTTGTTTTCTTTAAGGTCTTTGTCTAGATTTGGCATTAGAATAATGCTGGCCTCAGAGTGATTCAGAAGTATTCTTCTGCCTACCAAAAGAAATTGTAGTGAATTAGTATAATTTTTTCCTTAAAGGCTTTGATAGAATTCACCAGTAAACCCATCTGAACTTTGTGCTTTCTATTTTGGAAGGTTATTATTTATTCAATTTATTTAATAGATATAGGCCTATTCAGACAGTCTATTTCTTCTTATATGGATTTTGGCATGTTATATCTTTCAAATAATTGGTCCATTTTTTCTAAGTTATCAAATTTGTAGATACAGAGTTGTTCATAGTATTCCTTTTTAAAATCTTTTTAATGTCCATGGGATCTGTAGTGATCAGTTTCATTCTGATGTCAGTAATTTGTGTCTTCTGTCTTTTTTCTTAATCAGCCTCACTAGAGGCTTATCAATTTTATTAATCTTTTCAAAGAGCCAGCTTTTCATTTCATTTATTTTCTTTACTGATTCCCTGTTTTCAATTTCACTGATATCTGCTCTAATTCTTATTATTTATTTTCTTCAGCTTACTTTGGATTTAACTTGCTCTTCTTTTTCTAGTATTCTAAGGTGGAAACAATTCTAGATCTTTCTTCTTTTCTAAAATATGCATTCAATACTACATAATTTCTTTCTAAACACTGCTTTCACTGCATTCCACAAATGTTGATATGTTGTTTTCACTTTCATTGAATCGAAAGGGTTTTAGTTGTTGTTGTTGTTTTTGAGACAGGCGGTGGCACAATCATAGCTCACTGTGACTTCAATCTCCTGGGCTTAAGCAATCCTCTTGCCTTGGTCTCCCAAAGTGCTGGGATTATACGCATGAGCCACCATGCCCAGCCTCAAAATACTTTTTAATTTGTCTTGAAATTCCTTCTTTGACCCATGTATTTTTAGAAATGTGTTGTTTAATCTCTGTATATTTTGGGATTTTCTGGTTATATTTCTGTTGCTTTCAATTCCTTTGTAGACAGAGAGCAGACATTAAATGATTTCTAGTCTTCTAAATTTGTTAAGGGCTGTTTTATGGCCCAGAATATGTCTATCTTAGAGAATGTTCCATGTGAGCTTGAAAAAGAGTGTGTTTTCTGTGGTTGTTGGATAAAGTAGTCTACAGATGTCCATTACATCCAGCTGATTGACGATGCTGTTGAATTCATCTATGTCTTTACTGGCTTTCTACCTGCTGAATCTGTCCATTTCTGATAGACGGATGTTGAAGTCTCTAATTGTAAGAGTGGATTTAAATATGTCTTCTTGCAGCTCTATCAGTTTTGTCTCACCTAGTTCGATGCTCTTGTTAGGTGCACATGTGTTAAGGATTATTACACCTTCTTGGACAATTAACTCCTTTATCATTATGTAATGCCTTTATCACTGATAACTTTCCTTTTTTGAAGTCAACTGTGTTTGAAATTAATATAGCTACTTCTGCTTTCTTTTGATTAGTGTTAACAGGGTATATTTTTCTCCATCCATTTACTTTTAATTTATATGTCTTATATTTAAAGTAGATTTCTTGTAGACATCCTATGGTTGGGTCTTGTTTTTTTCATCCACTCTGACAATCTCTGTCTTTTAATTGGTGCATTTATCATTGCTGTTCAAAGTGATTACTGATATATAGTAAGTTCTCACTTAATGTTGTTGACAGGCTCTTAGAAACTGAGACTTTAAGCAAGACAATGCATAACAAAACCAGTATTACTATAGGCTAACTGATATAAACAAGTTCGTATGGAAAAACACTACCAACTTGCTTTTTTCTCTTTTCTCTTCCTCTCTCTTTCTTTCGCTCTCTCTCTCTCTCTTTCTTTCTCTCTTTTTTTTTTCAGGGTCTCACTCTGTTGCTGCAGCCTCAATCTTCTGGCCTCAAACAGTCTTCCCCTCTTAGCCTCCTGAATAGCTGGAACTACAGATGCACACCACCACATCTGGCTAATTTTTGTATTTTTTGTAGAGATGGGGTTTCGCCATGTTGCCCAGGCTGGTCTCAAACTCCTGGGCTTAAACGATCCACCCACGATGGCCTCCCAAAGTGCTGGGATTAAAGGTGTGAGCCACTGCACCTGGCCCAAACTTCTAAATAAAGACTCAAAACACTTCTAACATTACAAACTGAAATAAATGCGGGCTATACATATATTTAAGAAAGATTAAGAAAAACAAGATAATTATTTACTCAATTTTTGGTGAACCAGTGAGCAATGGTGGTTGTAGTTGTGATGGATTAAATCAAGGAATAAATATTTGCAAAGGGAACATTGCGAGAAGCACCTTCTACCACTATGCAGTTCAAAAACAAACAATAACAAATATGGTGGGCTTGCTGAGTGCTTTCATACTGAATTTATTGTTGTGCATTTGTATAATTATCACATACTTTATGAATTTTTATTTTGCAATAATTTTTATCTGTTTATGTCTTCATTTTCCAATCCACTTACTGTGTAGTTCAGGGTCTCAGCTAGCTGGAACCTATCCCAGCAGCTCAGGTACCAACCCTGGACAGGATGCCATTCCATTGCAGGACACACATACACACCTCCAACCCACACTCACTCAGACAGGGACAATTTGGACTCTCCAATTAACCTAACATGCACGTCTTTGGGATGTGGTAGGAAACCAGAGTACCCAGAGAAAACCCAGGCAGACATAGGGAGAACATGCATACCCCATAGACACACACACACACACACACACACACACACACACACACACACAGAGTGGCCTTAGCCAGAAATTTATTTTTTTATCAATATTACTATAAAACAATGTTGAACAAAACAACATTATTTGAGGATCTGCTGTAGTTGGATTAATATCCATCATATTTGTTACTATTTTTTATTGATTGCCCTTGTTGTTCTTATTTTTGTCTTCCACTCTTTTTCTGTTTTGTGGTTCTAACTGAGCATTTTATATGATTCAATTTTCTCTCCTTTTTAGCATTTGATTTTTAATTATTTCTTTTAGTGGTAGCCCTAAATTTGCAGTATTGATTTCCAACTAATCCTAGTCCACTTTCAAATGACACTACATTTGGCTCTAGCAATATATGTGTTTGAACAGCATGGGTCCACTTTTACAAGGATTTTTTTTCAATAAATCCAGTCAACCCTCCCTCTTGTAGAGTTTGGCATCCACAACCAAATGCAGATTGCAGGATGCAAAATCCCCCAGTAAAGAGGGCCAACTTTTCTCTCATGCAGGGTATGCAGAGGGACTCGAGTATGTGTGGATTTTGGTATCCACAGGGGTCTTAGAATGAATGCTCCACAGATACCAAGGGATGATTGTGTACTGCTTCACCTTATAATAACAAAATAATCATAATTACTCCGTCCTGCCAATTATATCATTGCTGTCATTAATTTTATTTTACTCATATAGAAGCATATATGTGTGTGAGTGTGTGTGTGAATGTGTGTGTGTGTGTGTACCTAAGCATATGTAATTGATTTTTCAGTCTGTTCAGCTTTTTATTTGTTAGGATGCAGTAGCACCAAGTTCCTTACATGAAGAACCCCAAACCAGAAGCTATTTTATTGTCCAATTGCATTGTATGGGACCTCCAGTACAATGCTGAATAAAAGTGGTTAAAAAAAAAAAAAAAAAAAAGGTGTTCCAGGCTGGGCGCGGTGGCTCACACCTGTAATCCCAGAACTTTGGGAGGCCGAGGCAAGTGGATCACCTGAGTTCGAGACCAGCCTGGCCAACATGGTGAAACCACGTCTCTACTAAAAATACAAATATTAGCCAGGTGTGGTGGTGCGCACCTGTAGTCCCAGCTACTAAGTGGGGATGAGAATTGCTTGAACCCGGGAGGCAGAGGTTGCAGTGAGCCAAGATCACACCACTGCACTCCAGCCTGGGCAACAAAGTGAGACTCCATCTCAAAACAACAACAACAACAACAAAAGTTGTTCCAAATCTCAAAGGGAAAGCATTCAGTCTTTCATTATTAAAGTGTAGCACTAAGTGTAAATTTTTCACAGATGCCTGTTGTTGGAGGAGGTTCTCTTCTCTTTCAAGTTAGTGGAGAGTTTTTATCAGGAATCGCACTGAGTTTTGCCAAAAAAAAATTTTTTTTTTTTTGAGATGGAGTCTTGCTCTGTCACTCAGGCTGGAGTGCAGTGGCGTGATCTCGGTTCACCGCAACCTCTGCCTCCCGGGGTGAAGCAATTCTCCTGCCTCAGCCTCCCGAGTAGCAGGGATTGCAGGCGTGTACCACCATGCCTGGCTAATTTTATATTTTTAGTAGAGATGGGGTTTCACCACGTTGGCCAGACTGGTCTCGAACTCCTGACCTCAGGTGATCCACCCACCTTGGGCTCCCAAAGTGCTGGGATTACAGGCATGAGCCACCGTGCCTGGCCTACCAAACACTTTTTTAAAAAATCTATTGAGATAATAAAAAAAATCTATAGAGACAATCACATTTTCCCTTTTTTTAGTTTGTGAGTGGTGAATTACACTGCTTAATTTTATTTATTTATTTATTTATTTATTTATTTATTTACTTACTTATTTTTTAAGACAGAGTCTCACTTTGTCACCCAGGTTGGAGTGTGATGGTACAATCATAGCTCACTGCAGCGTTGACATCCTGGACTCAACTGATTCTCCTGCCTCAGTGTCCTGGGTAGTTGGGACTACAGGTGTGTGCCACCACGACTGGCTAATTTTTTTCTTTCTTTTTTTTTTTTTTTTTTTGTAGAGACCGAGACTCACTATGTTGCCCAGGCTGATCTTGAACTCCTGGATTCAAGCGATCCTCCCACCTCGGCTTCCCAAATTGCTGGGATTATAGGCATAAGCCACCACACCTGGTCCACTGCTTGATTTTTGGTCATAAAATTAATCTTGCATTCGTGAGATAAACCCCACTTGGTCATGATGTATTATCCTTTTCCCATATGATTGATTTTGATTTGCTCATATAATGTTAAGGATTTTGCTTTTGTGTTCATGGGGGATTGTTTTCTAGTTCTTTTTTGGCAATATTTTTGTCTAATTTTTTTATCAAGACAATACTGTCCTCATAAAGTGAGTTGGGAAGAGTTCTCTCCTTTCTAATTTTTGAGACAGTTTATGTAAAACTGGTATTATTATTTCTCTTAAAATGTCTGGTAGAATTCACCTGTAAGGTCATCTGCTTCACAGATGGTGTTTTCTTTTTATGCATGATTTTTTGAAATTCACTTTTAAATTTACATAGAGTAAAAATTACTCTTTTTGTTTACAGTTCTGTGCATTCTATCAAATGCTTGTACGCAAGTTATCATGACTACAATCAAGATACAGAACAGTTCTTTCCCTTCCCTTGGCCCAAAGTAAATTCTTTCATGCAGTACCCCTTTGTAGTCAAACTTTATCTCCACATGTAACTCCTGGCAACAAGTGATCTGCTCCCTATCGTTTTTATTTAGCCTTTTCCAGAATATCATATAAGTGGAATCACAGAGTATGTAATCTTTCGAGTATAGCTTCTTTCACTTTGTAAAATGTTCTTGAGTTTTTTGTTTTTTGTTTATGTTTTTGTTTTCTTTTAGACGGAGTCTCACTCTGTTGCCCACGCTTAAGTGCAGTGGCACGATCTTGGTTCACTGCAACCTCTACCTCCCAGGTTCAAGGGATCCTCCTGCCTCAGCCATTCAAATAGCTGGGACTACAGGCACCCACCACCATACCTGGGTAATCTTTGTATTTTTAGTAGAGACGTGGTTTCGCCACGTTGGCCAAGCTGGTCTCGAAATTCTGACCTCAAGTAATCAGCCCACCTCGGCCTCCCAAAGTGCTGAGATTACAGGTGTGAGCCACTGCACCCGGCCTGTTCTTGAGATTTTTATCTATTTTGTTGTGTGTACCAATTGTCGCTTTTTATTACTGAGCAGCATTCCATTATGTGGATGTACTACAGTTTGCTTTTCCACTCACATTTGAGAGACCTTTGGGTTGTTTCAAGGTTTTTGGCGATTGTAAATAGTCTTTGATAATTTGGGGGTGGTAACTTTTCCTTTGAAAATTTTGGCCAGATTTTCCTGTTTCTGATATGTTGAGTAATTTGGGATTTTAAGATGGACAATTTGACTATTATGCTGTTCATGCCTGTAATCCCAGCCTTGGGAAGCCAAGGTGGGAGAATCACTTGAGGTCAGGAGTTTGAGACCAGCCTGGCCAACATGGTGAAACCCCGTCTCTATAAAAATTGGCCAGGTGTGGTGGCATGCACCAGTACTCCCAGCTACTTGGGAACCTGAGGCAGGAGAATCGCTTGAACCTGGGAGGCAGAGGTTGCAGTGAGCCGAGATTGCGCCATTGCACTCCAGCCTGGATGACACAGTGAGACTCCGTTTAAAAAAAAAAAAAAAAAGGATATTATGCTGGCTATGAAGCTCTGGGTCCTGTTAAAATCTTCTAAAGATACTGATTTTTGTTTGTTTGTTTTAGTAAGTAATCAATCTGGTTAGGCTCAGATCACAAGTTCTGTCATGCCTTCAGGGACAGTAATTTCAATATTTAGTTTTCAAAGCCTTTGCTATGTTCTTTGGGTCTGTACATTACATGCAACACTCGCGAGTTGTTCTGAGACCTTTGTGGTATTTTTATCATAGTTCATTTCTCAAAGCCTTAACTATGTTTTCTTGAGTAGTCCTCCCCTTATCTGCATGGGATGCGTTTATACGACTTCCAGTGGATGCCTCAAACTGTGGATAGTACCCTATATATCCTATACAGGCACTGTGGCTATAACTTTTGCAGTTTGAGATGTGATAGCAAAACTAGTACAAAATTGTCTTCTCCACAATTTCACAAATAGAAGATTTGTTCTTATCATAGATTTTAGCAACCTCAGCATATGATTTTTTTATTTCCTTATTAAGTCAAAAACTTTCACTTTTTCACTTAAAGGAAGCACTTTATGGCTCCTCTTTGGTATATCCAAGTAGTCAGCATCACTACTCTTGTACTTTGGGGCCCTTATGAAGTAAAATAGGGTTAGTTGAGTGCAAGCACTGAGATACATCAACAGTTGATCTGATAACTGAGATGGCTACGAAATGACTAGTGGGCAGGTGTCTGATTTAACAGTGACTTCAAAGCAGATATTATAAATATGTCTGAAGAATGAAAGGAAACCATATTTAAAGAATTAAAGAAGAGTACGATGTAATTCATCAGAGAATATCAATAAGTAGAAATTTTTAGGAAACCAAATTGAAATTCCTAAGTGGAAAATTATAATAATTGAAAAATTCGCTGGGGGGGTTCAATGGTAGATTTGAACAAGGAGATCAGTGAACTTGAAGACAGATCAGTAGAGATTACAGTAGTATCTCCTTATCCATGGGGGATATGTTCCAAGATCCCCAGTGGATGACTGAAACCAGGATTAGTACCAAACTCTGTATACACTATGAACTAATTTATTTTTCATTCTTCACAATTTCACAGGCAGAAGATTCATTCTAACCTTAGATCTTAGCAATCTCAGCATATAGTTTTTTTCTTTCCTTATTAAATTGAGAATGTTTCACTTTTTCACTCACAGGAAATACTTTATGGCTTCTCTTTGGTATGTCCTAATTGCTGGCATTACTACTCTTGTGCTTTGGAGCCATTATTAAGTAAAATAAGGGTTACTTGAATATGAGCACTGAGATATCACAACAGCAAATCTGATAACCAAAACAGCTAAGCTACTGAGTGACAATTGGGTGGGTAGGGTAGACAGTGTGGATATGCTGCACACTGGAGTGAGACAGTGCAAGATTTCATCATGTTTCTCAGAACTGTGTGCAATTTAAAATTTACAAGTTATTTCCAGAATTTTCCATTTAATATTTTCAGACTGCAGTTCATCATGGGAAACTGAAACCTCAGAAAGCAAAGCCAAAGATAAGAGGGGCCTACTGTACTCCATGTTTGTGCAGGAGTAGGGCTGACCCTGTTACTTACATAGTTTCAAGCATAGAATTAGGATCACCTTCTCTAGTTCTCTCCTACATGGGATTTCTGCTACACTTTACAGTTTTTGTGGGCCCCCTTTGTTATGGCCAAAAGGATCAGGCTGTCTTAAAGATTTTGCCTTATGCTGCCATTCACTTCTAAGTAGTTGGGGCTGCCCTCGAGGTAAAATATCAAGAAAAAAAGAGAAAGAGTATCGGGATTCCCTCACACACTCTCTTTCCAGTTCCTCTATTCAGAGAGACAGTGCTCTCTTTTATTCTTAGGAAACCTCACAGCCTGGCAGTGGCAGTGCAAATCTATGTTTGGAGCTGGCTTTGTGGCAGGGCCAGCAGACCAAAACGGAAAGAAAAAAATCGGGATTTCCCTACAATTTCTGTGTGGCAGGAGCCCCTTTTCTTCTACACAGTTCTCAATTCAGCCTGCTTTTAAGTGAAAGCCAGAAGATAAAGGAGGAAAAAAGAAACAAGGAAACTGAAACTTATTGGTATGTCTTATTTCTTAAACTGGGTGTTAGGCATAAAGATGTTCTTTTTACTATTATTCTTTAGACTTTATTCATACTTTATTCTTTTGTATGAATGAATTACTTTGCACAGAAGGAAATGAAGCAAAAATAAAAGAAAATAAAAATCGAAAACCTGGCCCATGACCATGGAAATTGGTCGAGTTCTGACTGAAGCAAATCCAAAATTGTTCTACAGGGAACAAGAAAAATTTTATTGTAATCTAGAATGTAAAGGATTTTCAGAAAAGAGAACTCCCGCTGAAGATGAGCTATAAATAAAAATTTATACGCCATGACAAGAAATAAACCACCATGAGACAGAGTTTGTTTATGTAGCAAAAGAGAAACAGCAACCTCATAACAGAACAGACTAGAATAATTTTGCATCAGTATGTTTAAAATAATTAAAAAGGCAAGAGAAGGTAAAGAAACCACAGTAAAATAAACGGGGCAGTTTAAAATAAGAGAAAACAGATTTTTTAAAGAACCAAATAAATATTCTAGCAATGATAATATAGTCATTGGGATGAAAAATTCAATGCAGATATTAAACAATGGATTAGCAAAGATTGGATTAGCAAAGATTCATTAGCAAAGATGTTCTAATGAATTAGAACATAGATTTGAGGAAATCATCCAGAATGAAATACAAAAAGATGAAGAGGCATAAATCATATAAACACAGTTAAGAGATATGGATGACAGAATGAGAAATTAAAATACATGTCTAAATGAGAGCTCCAAAAGTAAAGAATAGAAAGAGCAAGGACATGCTGAAGGTTTATAAATTGGAGACTTTAGACAAAGAAAGCATATTGACTTCTGAGCAGGACAAATAAAACTAAACCATATTAACAATTTTCTAACAATCTTCCATAAAATAAAAGAGGCAACATTTGCCCTTCTAATTTTACCCTAATATCAAAACCAGAAAAAGACATGAAAGAATACTTTGGACCAATATCCTTCATGAAAATAAAATGTAAAAATCCTCACAAATTTAGCAAGTTGAATCTAGCAATTTATAGAAAAGATAATGATGGCAGTGGCTGGTGCCATCACGCTGGCTGCAGCAGGGAGGAAAGGCTGGGACTGCAGACCCAGGCCTCCCACTCCATGGGGCAGTCAGGAGCCCCACCCTCCTGGACGGTGCTACAGCCGCCCAAACTGCAGCTGTAGATCCGAGCCTCCCTGCGCTCTTGAAGTGGGGCTGGGAACAGGCAGGATCTGCCCTCTTGGGTGCAGCTGCAGCCGCCTGACCAGCAGCTGCAGACCTGGGCCTCCCACAACATGGAGCAGGCAGGAGCTGGGGAATCCTGCCCCTGCTGAGTTGGCCTGCGGGAGCTCCCTGGGTGCAGCTGCCACTGCCCTCTCACCCACGGGACCCAGGCATCTCTGCAGCCTGTACCCTCTGGTGCCCCGGAAGGCCCCCCTATCCCTGCAGGCTTGGGGTGTCTGCTCCCGCTGCCTGACCTCTCTCCTCTCCTGACCTCTCTCCTCTCCTGGAGCTGGCTCAGATCTTGGAGTGGGGTTGGGGTTGAGCCCTGGGGCCATGAATGGCAGCGGGAGGCAGACAGATTCTTGGGTGGAAGGGGGCAGGTCCCCAGTAAGGCTCTACCTTCAGTCCAGGAAGGGCCTGAAGGCTGGGGGCCAACTGCCAGTACTGCATACCAGTTTGGGGACTCATGGGGCCTCTTCCAGCAGCCCATGGCTGCCCATGGACCAATCAGCATGAACTTCCTCCCCTCTGAGGTCCATAAAAGCCCTGGACTCAGCCAGAGCAGGGCAGAGGATGGCCAAAGGACGAAGAGGGTAGACAGACTACACAAGGACCAGCTGCAGAAAGGAGCTACCGTCTCTGCCGAGAGCTTCAGAGACAACCTGCCAGCAGACAGGAGGCACCCTCTCCAGGGCCTCCTCTCCACTGAGAGCTGCAGACATCAGGACAACCAGTAGTAGAGAGGAGCTACCCTCTCCAGGGCCACCTCTCTAATGAGAACTGAATGCTGGACAGATGATCTTCCTACAGAGAGGAGCTACCCACTGTGGGTCTCCTCTGAGCTCTTGTAACACTTAATAAAGCTCATCTTCGTCTCGTTCACCCTTCACTTGTCTGCGTACCTCATTCTTCCTGGATGCAGGACAAGAATTCGGGCAAAGGTGCTGTGGCCACAGAGGTTTCTGGCCAGGAAATTGGCAACGCAAAACTCCCTGACAATAACATGATGAAATGTAGCTTATTGAGGGAATGAAACACTTGAAAAACAATCACTGTAATACACCATATCAATAAATTAGAAGAAAAACAATATGATCATCTTCATAGACACAGAAAAAGCATTTGACAAAATGCAACATTCACTTATGATAAAAAGTCTAAGCAAATTAGAAAGTAAACTTCCTTAACTTGCTAAAGGGCATCTTTAAAAATCTACCGCTAACTTCCTAATTGTTGTTGAAATTTCCCTCATAAATAGGAAATAAATCAAGGATTTTTGCTTTTGCCACTCCAACTCAATATTGTAGTGGTGGTCTTAGCCAGTGCAATAACACCAGGAAAGAAAAGCCATACAGAGAAAGGAAGAAATAAAACTGTCTATTTGCAGTTTCACATAGAGATTTCAAATAGAATTAGTACCTATATATAGTCATTAAATACTTCTCAATGTTGATAGTTATTAGTTAAGATTGTTGAGTTTATTAATATTTCATAAGAATAATAGAAGTCATAAGATATATCTCTTTTTAAATAGTTTATAATTCAGAAAGTTAAGTTCTTATGGCTTTTCTCTTAAGCTAAATTGCTGAAGTCTTTGTTTTGGTTACCTTTTCTTCTGAAAACTCTCTTATGACCTCTGCTGTCCATTTATTGAACATAAATCATTAAATAAAATATTCGTTGACATTTATGTCTAGATGGTAAGAAATCTTCTGCCCATCTGATTATTTGAGTCAGTTTTAGGAAACAATATATGCTAAGAAATGCTTTAAAATTGTTTTCTTATAAATGTAATATATTTTCACTATTGATAACACACAAAAAATTGCAGTAACCACTCATCATATCACTGCTTAAAGATAACAACTGTTATCAAGTGGTACATATCCCTCTGGAATTGTTTCTGTAAAGTATAATTTTATGTTAAATTTATTATTATTATTACACAATTGAGATCATACTATACGTGCAATTTTGTATATATTCTTTTCACTTTATATATGGACTATTTCCCATATCAAGATATAATGTTTAAATTGTTGCATAATATATCAGCTATATACTAATTTATGTAATACTGTCTTATTTGCGAGCATTTAACATTTTTTTTTTGAGACAGAGTTTCAGTCTTGCCATCCAGGCTGGAGTGCAGTGGTGTGATCTCGGCTCACTGCAACCTCTACCTCCTGTGTTTAAATGATTCTCCTGTCTCAGCCTCCTGAGTAGCTGGGATTACAGGCATCCATCACCACGCCAAGCTAATTTTTAGCAGAGATGGAGTTTCACCGTGTTGGCCAGGCTGGTCCTGAACTCCTGACCTCAGGTGATCCACCCGTCTCAGCCTCCCAAAGTGCTGAAATTACAGGCATGAGCCACTGCACCTGGCCAGGGAGCATTTAAATTGATGCAATTATTTTCTCTTACAAGTAACCCTATAAAACGTAATTCCTTGAGCATACCTAATTTTATGCTTACATCCCCAAGAGCACAATTTCTGAGTCATAGAAAAAGCTTTTCATTCTTATTGCTGAATTGAACTCTAAAAATTTTGTGCTAACTTAACACTCCTACCAGAAGTATATGTTCATGACCACGGAAATAGCTTTTTAAAACTAAGATGTGAAAATATCTTAGAAACAAACTCTAAATAAGGAGAAAAAAGTTGTATATAATTTTCTACTTATGAGGTGAATAATTTCATTTTTTCTTCAAAGGTGTCAGGAAAATGGACGTTTTGGTAGAGTGATAAAAGGGCCAGACCTTCTAATTGCTTAATCTTAATGTTTCTGAATCTGAATCCTCATCTATAGTGTGAGGAGAATAATTTCCCTCCTAATTAGTGAGGATACATTGAGATGACGCATGTGAACATGGTTTGACAATTATAATGTCATATGGATGGAAGATACAACTTTTATTAATCACTGTTGATATGTGGACAGATTTGATACTCATTATACTGTTTTTAAGTGTCTATAACTTTAAATATTTTATGCCAATCTTAATATTAATAATTTTCTCCATTTTCAACATTGTATGATCAGCAAAGTAAATTTTCAGTCAATTCTATTTGGTTTTTATTTGAAAAAGTAAAATAATGATCATGCAACATAGAAAATTATAGTTCAGTTGCCAATTCCATTAACTTAGTTTGTCTCAGAAAAGGAAAAATTACCATAGACACAGAATTAACTATTAGAATTAATATTTAATCTAAAAATGTCTAGTGTTTCTACAGAAAATTTGAGTACCTTCTCAACTTCCTTAAACCAGTGCCTTTTTCAAATTTCTTTTCAAAGTTACACCTCTCAATTTTCATAAAAAATAGTTTGAAGATTATTCTGAATAATTATAACCAATGAAACACAAAGACAAGAAAAGAACTATTGCAGTGGGCCCTTGCTGAACCTGAGCTAGCACCTATAATGAGTGAGTCTTCACCAAAAGAATAAGGAGGGAGGAAGGACTAGAAGGACAGAAAAGAGGCAATGATAACTTAAGAGAACACTGAATTTTTAAAAATTTTAAAAAGGTAGTGGCTAGCAGAGAACCTGAGACTTGTACCCATGAGAACTTTAGCCCAGTCTATCTATCACGATAGCCCCAAGAATTCTGGTCATTGTACTTGGGTAAGGGCTTCTATTTTTTAAGGCACTTGCATTTTATGAAATGTTAGTGTTTGCAGGTGTCTTGGCTAAATAATTTAGGGAATACATTTTAGGAGGAAGTAGGGGCACAGAGGGGGAGAGAGAAACCAGGCAGGAAAGAAGAAAAAAAGAAAAAAGAAGAAAATAAATCTTTCTGTTCCCATTATTTTACTGCCTATAGAATTATAAAAGGTAAACACACACACACACACACACACACACACACACACACCCCTTATAGGGTCATTTAGAACCATCTTTCTTCATTTTAAAACTAAAGAAACAGGTCTAGGTGACACAGATGAAGCAGTGGCAGAGCCAGGAAAATAACCTGACCCTTGTCCCTGCTCTTTCCACCGCACCATGGTGACTCTCTTTTTTGTGTCTTTTTTTTTTTTTTCACTCTAAAACTGAGGATCATTTGTAGTCAAAGAGATCAATGCTATTCTCAAAACAAGTTCTGATCTCTCATAATTTTCTTGGTAACTCAGAATCAATGTTAAGTACGTTGAAATAAAAATACAGTTCTTTACACGGTAATTTTGTAGACTGTGCACCACGGTCCCATCCATTTTCTTACTTGATCCTTACAAAAACCCTTTGAGGCAAGGCAAGGAAGGTATTATTATCTACATTTTTAAAGTGAGCAAATTAAAACCCAAAGTAAGGTCACTTAGGGTCAGGACGGAGCAAGTACTCTATTCCTATATTTGGAATATAGGAGGGAATACACTTCCAAAGAGGCAATTCCCTCAAAAAGCACCAATCTTGCTCTTTACTTTCTTACCAAGGCATTCTCCATGCCCTGGAGATGCCCTCACTAAGTTAGTGAAGCTTGGATGTTGACATCCACAGAGGTTACTCCTAGTTTGCACCTAGTTGTCATCTTAAAAAGCGCAGTTTCTTACCCCTTCCCTTGGTCCTGATCCTTATTTAGGCTCCTATTTTTCTCTTTGGGATTTGGCGTCCTGGGTCTCACTCCAAAGCTCCACCCTCTCCAACCAAGAAGTCGCGTGCTTGGTATCCAAGGTGACCACGCAGCTTTACCCGCGTTGCCCCTTCCGTGCTTCCCATTGGCCAGTGGACTCCCATGTACCGCCCCTCCAATAGCCAATGGTCTTGAGACAAAGGGCGCCCGCCTTTCCAGCGATTCTAACACCTACCCTCTTACCCGTGCTCCCCTGCGCATTGCCTCCTGGGAAATGTGGTTTCTAAGAGGCAGAGCTCTGCGACTTAGAACTACCTATCCCGTCGGCCTTAGCGAAAGGGGGTGGACTTAGGCAAGGGGTCCAGGTCAGAGTTTAGAGCTTTCAAATCCCAACTTGCCCCTGGGGATTGCGCGGCTGATGTTTAGAACGCCTAGTCAAGCCAACCGGCTCGCTCTTGTTTCAGCAAACCCTGACTTACGTCTCCTATTTGACTTGAGGCGGCACAGTGGCCAAGTCGATTGGCCGTGGCAAGTGACCCTCCCTGTGGCTGAAGTGTTCTGAGGACTGGCGAGAGAGGCGCGCCATGCTTGCCCCCTGCTCAGGTTGGGAGCTTGGCTGCTTCCGTCTCTGTCTCCGTCAGGTCCGACTGTGGGCTGGCGCTGGGCGCTGGGCTTGCTGGGCTTGCCAAGCCAGGCCGTACAGCTCAGGTGGGAGCGAGCGCTGGCCCGGATCGGAGACTGAGGTCCCTCCGCCTGGCCCGGGGCGCCGAACTCTGAAGGAGTGGACACTGCAGGTGAGCCCGTTTGGTCGGCTGCGGGCGCGGCTCCCGTGCCACCTGGCCGTGAGGCCCCTGGACCCCCTCACCTACCCGGATGGCGACCGCGTGCTGGTCGCGGTGTGCGGCGTGGAGGGCGGCGTGCGGGGCCTGGACGGCCTGCAGGTGAAGTACGACGAGGATCTGGAGGAGATGGCCATTGTGTCTGATACTATCCACCCCCAGGCGTCCGTGGAGGTGAACGCGCCCCTGAAGTTTGGCAAGTGAAGTGAAGTGAAAACGGGTTTGGGTCCCAGGGAACGCACAGTGAACTTAATAAATGTGGTCGACGTGCACTTTTAATTGGTCCTGGCTCTCTAAACCTAATTTACAGTTGGCCCCTTCGGAAATGCACCTTTTCCTCTGTTCTGTTCTTGAGTGTCCGAGTAGTATTTAAAAATTAGGTTCCCAATTATAGAAATTTTATACATCGAATGGAAACATGATTTGGTATAATCCAGGTCAAATTCTATTTCTGGAGCCGCTTGTGTTCTCCTTTATCCCGTTGTCATTAGCAAACTGGCTTATTTTTCAAGGTTGAAGTTTCTTGACAATTCATTCAATGGTATGGCAGTCCATCTACATTTCATCTTGCTCACAGCCTGGGGGTCTGTCCCAAAACAGCCCTGTCAATAGGATGTTCCGGGTATCACCTGGTTTGAGTATTTGGTTTTAGACGGGCGCCCAGCTTCTTACTGTTATATTTCCATTCTTTTTGGCCTAAGTTTTCCATGAGTAGCAAGCTTTGAAGAAAAACACATGGTAAGCCTGCCTAGGAAGCTTCAATAATAATGCCTGCAAGATACCTTTCTTAGCTTTTCCTAAATGGCAAGCCACTGTGTACACACACTTTTCTAGGAAGGGCTCCCCAGACTGTCATTCTTCCTGGGACTGATGGAAGATATTGATGATGATGATGATAGTAATAATAATAGCATTTAGCATTTTTAAGATCATCTTTTATAATGCTTAGAGTTGCCCAAATAGTAGATGCCGTAGTCCTCCCTTATCCACCGTTTGGCTGTCTCAGTTTGTTACCTGCCTCAGCTGTTGTAGGAAAATATTAAGATATTTTGACAGATCACAGTAATATAACTTTTATTACAGTATATTGTTATAATTGCTGTATTTGTTATTATTGTTCATCTCTTACTATGCCTAGTTTATAAATTAAACTTGATCATTGATATGTATACAGGAAAAAACATAGAATATATAGGATTTGGTACTATTTGTGGTTTCAGGAATCAAGTGGGGGGGCGGGTCTTGCCTACTTTAAGAGAAATCATCAATATTTATGTTAATTCCAAATTAAATATCAGCGTTTTTAATTTTTAAAATTTGTATACAGAGATGCCTGCAGTTACATCTTAAATAGACAGCCAAGGATGGCATTTGTAATTCCTTATTTTCCAAACTTGCTTCATATACCACTGCCATTTGTCCACAATCTTGTGGGGTTTTTTGTTTGTTTGTTTTGGTTTTTTTTGAGACTGCATCTCACTCACTCTGCCACGCAGGCTGGAGTACAGGTGCACAATCATGGCCCACTGCAGTCTTGACTTCACGGTTTTAAGCAATCTTCTCGCCTCCACCTCCTGAGTAGCTGGGACTACAGGTGCATGCTACCATGCCCGGCTAATGTTTTTGTTTTTTTGTAGAAATGGAGTTTTGCTACATTGTCCAGGCTGGTCTTGAACTCCTGGGCTTCAAGCAATCCTCCTTCCTCGGCCTCCCAAAGTGCTGGTATTACAGGCATGAGCCACTGCTCATGGCCTAATCTTGTAGTTTTAATAGTATATATTAGCTTTTTCAAAGTTGTTCCCATTTTTAAAAAATTACTTCAAATACCTGTGATATAGTTGCATGGTAATATTTTCATTTTTTAAGTATGAAAGGTTAGACATAGGATTTGAAAACCTAAGTCATGATCATATATACTGGGGAAGAGGCTTCTACAGTCTTTCACAGGAGTACTTAACAGAATCGTAGTCTCCTTTACTTCCCATCTATGTTAGTTCTCTTTAGGTGATTTAGGCCAGTAGAAATAACTGCTCTGTTTCTAAAAACGGGCAGAAAGGCTATTGTTTTTGGTCCCGTTGCTGTGGTAGAAGACCCCTTACCTTTACAGTATGCACTTTCCAGGATTCAGCAATATTACGGACATAACTGAGGAGTTGGGTTTCTAGGTTAAAATGCTTTGGAGCTTATAAACTGCAGTACTAACTTGCTTTTTTCTTTTTTTACTTCTAGGTTTAGATATCAAGTCATCAGGGTCTGGCTGTGTAAAAGTTCAAAGTATTGAGGGTGATAATTGCAAAATTGAAACAGAGCATGGGACTAGTATCTTGCAGTCTGTTAAGGTATAGCATTTTTCTAATTTTATTTCACTATTATTTTTTTAAAAGCCTTAAGCTATGAATCGTACTATCAAACTCAAGAGATTCTTCTGTTTTTCAGAACATTGTCATTCATTCATCTCTCAGAAAGTCCTTGGCAAACATTTTGCCTTGAAATCAGTTCTAGTAAAGTACAGAGGTTATAGCAGTTTTGAGGTTTTGCCTCAAATTTCTTTTGGATTTAATTTCAAAGTGTACAGTGAAACTAATAGTATTTTCCTAGTATTCTGAAATCTTACTAAAGAAATTTTAGTTTCCACAAATGATTTTCTTCCATTTTATTAAAGAGTAAGGAAGAATCTTTATGCACTATAAATGTGCTTAAATATTAGATGACTTTAATCACATTTTTAATGTACCAGGTAGCTCATTACTTAAGGATTAAGTAGTTATTTGTGCAAAGTAACATATGATTCATCTTGTTTTGTAATTAAAATTTTTTTTTTTTTTTTTGAGATGGAGTCTTACTCTGTCACCAGGCTGGAGTGCAGTGGTGCAATCTCAGCTCACTGCAACCTCTGACTCCCTGGTACAAGCAATTCTCCTGCCTCAGCCTCCCAAGTAGCTGGGATTACAGGCATGCACCACCACACTCAGTTAATTTTTGTATATTTAGTAGAGACAGGGTTTCACCATGTTGGCCAGGCTGGTCTCGATCTCCTGACCTCGTGATCCGCCTGCCTTGGCCTCCCAAAGTGCTAGGATTACAGGCATGAGCCACTGCGTCCGGCTGTAATTAATTTTTTTTTTTTTTTTTAGTGTTTTCTTTGTAGAGACAGTGTCTCACTGTATTGCCCAGGCTGGTCTTGCACTCATGGGCTCAAGTGATCCTCCTGCCTTGGGCTCATGAAGTGCTGGGATTACAGGTGTGAGTCACCATGACTGACCTATATTTAATTTTTTAAAGATTAGACTGGTGTTAGCTGTAAATAGTTTGAAATACCTCTCTGATAGGTGCTAGCTTATTGTTACTCTTAGTGCTTCTTGCATTTGCATAGTCAAAACTTGATACTTTTGTGAACTTTGAAAGCATGCAATTTTGTTGAAGTCAGTCATCTTTGCTTCATAATTGCAAAATATTTTCATTTTTAGATTTCTAAACACTAGTTAGAATAATTTGATGCATTTTTAATTTTTACATATTTTTTCTTTCATCCACCTTTATTTGCGTATCTGCCATCAGCATGTGTCCACATATGAATCAGTTCAAATAAATTTTTGGCACAAATATCATAAAAGATTAACATTACCATCACAAGTCCTTTTAGCAAAATAAGTTGGTTCAGATTCTTGTTGTAAAAGATTGTGTAATAAGGTCTTCATGTTGAATGACTAGGTGAGGATATCATAATTCTTTTTTGTCCTTAGAAATATTTTGTTCAGTCATTGATACTTAAGTTTCAGAAAACTAATCTAGACTTGTCCTCTGAAGACTCAAGAGTTTGAGATTTCCAATTTCACAATCAAAATTAGAATCTAGTATACTGCTGTCTCTGCATTTATGTTTTGATTAATCTGATAGTTCTGAAAGATCTTTCTCTGTTGATTTTCTTCTTTTATGCCATTGTAGGCATAAAATTAAAAGTGGTTTCTTAGCCTTGGCAATACAAACCTTTTCAGTCAGGTGATTTGTTGTGGGGGCCTGTCTTGTGCAGTATAGGATATTTAGCACCATCTTTGGCCTCTACCTTTTAGATGCCAGTAGCATGCTCCTCAGTTGTGACAAGGGAAAATGTCTCCAGACATTGCCAAATATCTTCTAGAGACAAAATCATCTCCAGTTGAGAACGACTGCTTTATGCAAGTCCATCATTCTTCTGTTTTCTTATTTAGTTTTTTTAAAAAACATAGTTGGGAATAATTTATGAATAATGATGAAATAACTCCTAGGATGATGAATTAGCAAAAAAAAAAATTAAAAATAAGAACACTATTATCCCATAATGTATTTCAGGTTTATAAAAGTCCAATGGACCAATTAATGGTAATTACAGGATAGAAAGAGTTTTGTTCTATTTTTTTAAAAGTAAGTACATTTTCTATTTATTCCTTGAAAGACCTCCCAAGAAATAACAGAAATCATGAAATATCAGTTCTTACAAATAAAATAGCTCAAAACAAGAAATTCATGAAAAATTACGCCTGTGGATACTAATGGTATACCAAGGGTTAAGAGAATTATCCTTGAGATCATAGGATTTAACTAACTTCAATTCACAAATGAGAACACTTTGGTAAAATATCTGGTTTAAGTTTTAAGTATCGTACAATAATATCATTACCTTGAATTAGTGGTCACCTGTTGATATGTGTCTCTTTCATTAACTTAAGGACTTGAAATATAGTTGACCTACATAATAAAAAAAATTTTTTTTTTTTTTGAGGCGGAGTCTCACTCTGTTGCCCAGGCTGGAGTGCAATGACACGATCTTGGCTCACTGCAACCTCCGCCTCCTGGGTTCAAGTGATTCTCCCACCTCAGCCTCCCGAGTAGCTGGGATTACAGGCACCCGCTATCATGCTCGGCTAATTTTGGCCAGGCATGTTGGCCAGGCTTGTCTTGAACTCCTTTCCTCACATGATCTGCCCCACCTTGGCCTCCCAAAGTTCTGGGATTACAGGCATGAGCCACCGTGCTCAGCCCTACATAATAAAATTTTTATAGCAATAATAATAACTACTGTTAATAAGTCCTTATTATGTACCAGGAATCTTAGCTAAACCTTCATTTAATCCTTGAATTTTCTCCATTTTATCAAGGAAGAAACTAGAAGGCACCAAGAGATTGAGGAACTCACTTGCGTTCACATAGCTAAAAAAAATTGAGCTGGGATTTGACCTTGGGTCTTTCTGATTTCCAAGCTCATGCTTTTTCCACCTTTATTTATTGTCCTGACAAAACATATGGTAAGACCACATTTGTACAGCATCCTTAGGGAATAAGATAAGTGCATTTTTTAGGCAACAGACCCTTAACTAATTGAATGTCACACATTTGCATTTTTTAAATGCAGTATAATTTATTTTCTAAATAATTTCTGATTTATTTAAACATTTAACTATTTGGTTTTATGTTTTTAAAAATTCTATAATCAACTTCACATTTTTTGGGGAATTAGATGAGCTTTAAATTATAACAGTAGCTCTTACTATTTTTGAACCTTAGACCTCTTAGAAAATCTAATTGTCTCCTTAAGAAGAAAAAAATGCATGTCTATGAAATTTTACTTATAATTTTGTAAGTTCATGTGAGCTTGGTTAAGAGTTCTTGACTTAAAACAACAAGTGTGCGCCTCCCGTCGCCCAAGATGCCGAAAGGAAAGGAGGCCAAGGGGAAGAAGTTGGCTCTGGCCCCTGCTTTTGTGAAGAAGCAGGAGGCCAAGAAAGTGGTGAATCCCCTGTTTGAGAAAAGGCCTAAGAATTTTGGCATTGGACAGGACATCCAGCCCAAAAGAGACCTCACCTGCTTTGTGAAATGGCCCCGCTATATCAGGTTGCAATGGCAGAGATCCATACTCTATAAGCAGCTGAAAGTGCCTCCTGCGATTAACCAGTTCACCCAGGCCCTGGAAGGCCAAACAGCTACTCAGCTGCTTAAGCTGGCCCACAAATACAGACCAGAGACAAAGCAAGAGAAGAAGCGGAGGCTGTTGGCCCAGGCAGAGTTGTGGGCAAAGGGGACCTCCCCATTAAGAGACCACCTGTCTTTCGAGCAGGAGTTAACACCATCACCACCTTTGTGGATAACAAGAAAGCTCCGCTGGTGGTGACTGCACACGACATGGATCCCATTGAGCTGACTGTTTTCCTGCCTGTCCTGTGTCATAAAATGGGAGCCACTTGCTGCATTATCAAGGGGAAGGCAAGACTGGGATGTCTAGTTCACAGGAAGACCTACACCACTGTCGACTTCACACAGGTTAACTCAGAAGACAAAGGAGCTTTGGCTAAGCTGATGGAAGCTATCGGGACCAATTACAATGCCAGATACGATGAGACCCACTGTCACTGGGACGGCAATGTCCTGGGTCCCAAGTCTGTGGCTCACATTGCCAAGCTCGAAAAGGCAAAGGCTAAAGAACTTGCCACTAAACTGGGTTAAATGTACACTGTTGTGTTTTCTGTACATAAAAATAATTAAAATAATTAAAAAATAAAAAAAAGTGCTTTGTGGATAGTCTTTTCAAAGGTTTATCACATATTTGATAAGGAGTATATTAAATATAATTTGACTTCAGACTCATGTCTCTGGGCATAACGTAGTTAACCATGCTATAGTACAGATTTTTTTTCTCTAAGAGACAGGGTCTTGATGTGTTGCCCACGCCGGAGTGCAGTAGCACGATCCTAGCTCACTGAATCCTCAAACATCTGGGCTCAAGTGATCCATATCTCTTTATGTAACAAAACTAAAGACGTATATAATGATTAAGGGAAAACATCTGGGCTCAAGTGATCCATATCTCTTTATGTAATAAAACTAAAGACATATATAATGATTAAGGGAAAATAAACTACTCTAAAAAAAAATCAGACTAGGCCGGGTGCAGTGGCTCATGCCTGTAATCCCAGCACTTTGGAAGGCTGAGGCGGGTGGATCACGAGGTCAAGAGATCGAGACTATCCTGGCCAACACGGTGAAACCCCATCTCTACTAAAAATACAAAAAATTAGCCTGGCGTGATGGCATACGCTTGTAGTCCCAGCTACGTGGGAGGCTGAGGCAGGAGAATCGCTTGAACCCAGGAGGTGGAGCTTGCAGTGAGCCGAGATCTCACCACTGCACTTCAGCCTGGGCGACAGAGCGAGACTCTGTCTAAAAACAAAAACAAAAAACAATAGACCAAACATCTAATGGCTCATATATAATATGAGTTTATTTCTTACTTGTGTCCAGGTGTATGGGTGGGTCTTTTTCATTCAGTGATTCTAGGTTCCTTCCGTCTTCCGGCTCTGCCATCTTTTAGAGCCTTGTTATATTCTGGACCCACTTGGTGGAATGAGAAGAGCACAGAGAAGGCACACTTGTTCTAAAAGCACCAACCTGGAAATGGCATATAGCATTTCCACTTACGTTATGTTGGTAACAACTTAACAACACCTAAGAGGTAAAGGAAGCTGGAAAATGTGGTCTTGCCATGGGTCAAGCTATACTGCTTTTACTTTGGAAAAAAATGGATTTTGATGAGCCAATAGTAGTGTTTGCCATAGTTCTCAAGTCCAAAATCAAGTCACTCACACACACACACATACACATACTTTTGTTTTCTGTCTTGCAGAATAGGCTAACTGGCTTGTGACTGCTGTTTTGTGCTCGGAGGCATTTTTACTTAGTTTCTGGGATGTGTTGTGCTAGAAGGTTTAAGTGGGCTGTTAACCTAATGTGTATTCTGTCCTTCAGACCGGTCCAGCGTTAAGAGTGTGGGCTTTGGAATCATACAGAACTTGATTCTAATTGTTACTTTAGATTTTGGGTTTTTTTCTGTGTCACCCTGATAAAGTGATTTACCTTTCTGAATCTTGGCATTCTTCCTCTGTAAAATGGGAAAAATGTAATACTTATCTCTCTGGTTTGTCGTGAGGATTAAATGATAGTTCATGTGAAGTAGCTAACATGGTATCTGGTGCAGAGAAAATGCCAAATAAGTGATAACTATTATTGTTATTAATGATGAATAGTAACTGATTATTATTGTCATCTTCATCACTGTGGATATTTAGTTAGCTGGTCACAGTGATTTTTGATTCCCAAGTCCTTCATCAGTGAAGCTACCAGAATACCCAAGTATCTCTTGTTTTTCCCTTAGAGTCCAAGTGGCTTATTTAATCCCTTTAACAGCAGTTGACATTTTTTTCCAGTTGATGTCATTATTCGAAGCAGTGAGTTTCTATTTCATTCCTTATTGTTCTTTTGTTGCTTTGTCAGTATTAATACAGAAATATTGAAAATGTTTCACTAGTATAAGTCACACTTACTCTCTTTTTCACTATATGTATTTTTAAATTTGTCTTTCAGGGTCAAAAATTGCATGTTCAAACAAAAGGAGGCAAAGTGATCTGTCTGGGAACAGTTTATGGAAATATAGATATTCATGCATCAGATAAAAGTGTAAGATTGAAACTTTCTTTTTTTTTTTAGTAATTGCAACTTTGCTTCCATTTGGCTCACCAAGTTGGTAGGTTCTACAAAGTTCGTAGCATAACATTCCCTTTTTAATGCATTTTAGTTCATAAGTAAATTCAAATTTGAAATTGAAGTGATGAAATAATATACAACTTAAGTTTTAGTTTGTGGTTTAATACTTTTGACAGTTACTTAGTTCCTAGTCTGGAATCAATAAAAACTTAAATGCTTACTATTTAACTCTAGTTCTGAAAAGATTTTTATTTTTATCATCATAGATTAAAATAGATGATTAAGTAATATCACCAGTAACTGGATTGGATTTTTCTTGTGTTAGGTTTATTTGAGTATTTTCTAAGACCTTTTTACTTCGCCCTTAGGCAAATTGAAGGATGTTTCAAAACTCAGCTTTCTTCAGTATTTTCCACAAGGTGGCACCATTAGATAGCTTTACTGCTCTCACAGCTTTTTTTTTTTTTTTTTTTTTTTTTTTTTTTTATAGTAGCTATTGGGATTTTTGTTGTTATAGGAAGATAGTTGGTATTTTTTAATCAACTCCTTTTGTAGCTTTTGGTTATTTAGCATAGTATTAAGAGTAAAGGTATAATTTTGGAATTATAAATTGTCATTTAAAAAATGTGATTGATAATGTATCTTTGAGAAAAAGTTTCCTTTTATTTTACACTTATACAATTTGCAAGAGCTTTTTTGTTTCTTATAAATTTGCTAAATTCCATAGTCAGCTTTATTTTCAGATAATTGGTGGGGAGGAGTTGCAAGCATATTTTGTATGTAGATTATTGTTGGCATAATTAAACAAGATAGACTATAACAGTAATTGTTTCTGTTGTTTTATCTTCCATCACCTTCCTACAAATTTGCTATATTCCATGGTCACTTTATTTTCAGAGTTGGTGGGGAGGAGTTGTGAGCACATTTTATATGTAGATTATTGTTGGCATAATTAAACAAGGTAGGTTATAACAGTAATTGTTTCTGTTGTTTTATCTTCCATCACCTTTCTCTTAGACCCCGTGGGAGGTTGTTTAAACCTAAACATTTAAAAATACTCTGTAAATTATACTAGGAAAGTGTTGAAAGACACTGTGTGGCCTTATGCTGCAGCTTTTTTGAGATGGCATTTAGTTTTACTTTTTAGATTGCTGTGGTCTTGGAGGTGCAAGAGGGAAATTAGACAAATTTACAGCCCCTTCAAACTCAGTAAATGATGGCTAATGTTATTGAAATAAGTTACTAGAATATTGTAACATTTGCATTCAAATATAAGTATCAAAGAATTTAATATCTTAATCATTTGCTACCTTGAATATCTTGGCCACTGTTTCCTCTCAGTTATTTATTTGTTCCAATGTTTATGGTTTATTGAATATTCATGTGTTTTACTTGCTATTATACAATTTTATTTCTTGATTGAGTTTTGTTATGTACTAAAGAATCAGTCTAGGGTTTTTTTCCTATTTTTATTACATATAGTATTGATTTTTAATGTATATTTCTAAGTTTGTAGTTTTTATAAAACATAAAATAAATACTTGTGAAATCTATTAACTTTTAATACACAACTTTCATAGAAATGTGATTTGGATATTTGAGAGACAAATATAGTGAATTAGTTAAGAGCACAGAATATATTCAGAGCCAAACTACCTGTGTTTGAATTCTGGCTCCACCATTCACTAAGCTCTATAACTGGACAAATTACTTAACCTCTGTGTGTCTCAATTTTTTGGAAAATTGGGTAATAGTAATAGAACAAACTAAAAAAATCCTCTATTAAGAGGATTAAATGAGTTAATACAGGTAAAATACTTAAAACAACGTCTGGCACATAGCTAAGTCTAATGTAATGCTTACCACGATGATGATGATAAAGGTAAAGGAATCACAGGAAAGATAACTTGGACGGGTTCTAGACCTACCAGTTAGCTTCCCAGAGACTCAGTTTCATTATTCAGCAAACAGGATGGTGATATTTGCTTTGTCCACTTAACAAGGTTGTGAGAATCAAATGAGCACTATAAATAATAGCATCATTATTCTACATGACTGTTTTTAAATTGTGTTAATTTCAGTATCTAAGTTTAGTTTTATAACTTAGCAGAGAACACAGAAACCCATTTCGTCTATTTGGTGAATTGATGACATAGTTGTCAGTTTTCCTCTCAGTCTGGGCTATGAAGCCACAGTACTTCCTTAAAACTTGGCTTTCATTATTTGTAAGAACTATATATATGTATTTACATATATATTCATAATAACTAAGTGAAAAATTTTTCTTTTCATGTAGAAAAGAAAATTTATAGCAATACCTCTGTCAGGAAGATACTGATTTTTAAATCTACTTTTTGTTCTGTCATTAAATAGTAAATTTAAATTCCTTCCATTTAGTTTGGTGGAAAGCTACTGCCTTATTAGATGTCAAGTGGAAAAGTTCTAGAAATAATAGTGTATTCACTAATTAATGTACTAAAAGAGAAAAATCATGATAAATCAATAGAATCAGATAAAGTATGTGCTAAAATTCAAAACCTATTCATGATTTAAATAGCAAAAGCAATCAAACAAAGTTGAAATAGAAGGGAATGTCCTTAATCTGATAAAAATTATTTTAAAAATATCTATAGCAAACATCATGCTTAATGGTGAAATGTTGTAAACTTTTCTTTTGAGAACAGGAATAAGACAAGGATGCCTGCTGTCCCATTGCTTCTGCTAGCTGCTATTCACTGTTGAATTGCGGGCCTGAGACAGATGGTTAAGGCAAGAAAAAGAAAGAAAAAGCAGGAAAAAAAGTATTAATATAAGGATTGGAAGGGAGGAAATGAAGCCATCACTTGTAGACAGTATAATAACACATATATAATTTTTAAAAGTACAGATAAATTATTAGGATTAGTGACTTTAGTGAAGTTGTTGGATTAAGATCAAATACAAAGTCAATTAGGATAAAATGAAATTTTAAAAGATACCTTGTACAATAGCACTTAAAAATATCTAAAAGGAATAAATCTAATAAAAGATTAAGAATTTTATATAGGACATATAAAACATTAAGAGAAATTAAAGGAGACCTAAGTCAATGGGGGAATGTATTGGATCTGTTCCATATTCTGCAGAGAATGCACTATTGCTCAGAATCTCGTAATTAGAGGTAGGGAATCAGAGTCAATAAAGTGATTGTGTACTAGGTAGTAACATTTTATGTAGTTATCCACTGATTCCACAGGTAGCATTTTGGCTTTTTACCAGTCTTTGTTTTATAATGAACTGATTAGTCTTTCTCTTACTAGGCTGTGACCATAGATAAACTGCAGGGAAGTTCTGTTACTGTATCTACCGAAGATGGTTTGCTGAAAGCCAAGTATCTTTATACAGAATCATCATTTCTGTCTTCTGCTGCTGGGGATATTACATTAGGAAGTGTTCATGGTAAGCTGACAAAGGCATAATACATCTGAGACTTTCCACATAGCATAAATTTTAAGAGATGACTCTGTAGTTGAAAAAAGGATCAGGAAACTGGCCTTTTAAATAATGAAATGCAGACTAACCATCTTTTTAAAAAAAAAAACCATAAAAATAAAATGACTCATAAAGCTAATTTAATTTTATTTGTGCAAGAGATTAAAGATTATGCTGTTATATATGGAACTAATAGTAAGTCTAATTTTTAATGCATTTCTTTTTTCTTTTTTTTTTGAGACAGAGTCTTGCTCTGTTGCCTAGGCTGGAGTGCAGTGGCGTGACACTGGCTCACTGCACCCTCCACCTTTCACGTTCAGGTGATTCTCCCACCCCAACCTCCCGAGAAGCTGGGACTACAGGTGTGCGCTATCACGCTAGGCTAATTTTTGTATTTTTAGTGGAGATGGGGTTTCGCCATGTTGCCCAGGCTGATCTCAAACTCCTGGGCCCAAGCGACCCACCCCCTTGGCCTCCCAAAGTGCTAGGATTACAGGTGTGAGCCACACTGCATCCAGCCTGTGTTTTCTTATAATAGGAAACAAATAGCAAGGAAATACATGCAGGAGATGAAGTAAAAGCAGTGTTAGGTAAAGATGGGTACTGAATGATTGCTTTTATGTTAACATAAGAAAGCTGAGGGTTAAATTAATGAAACATTTGGTGGAAGGTAATTATAGCAACTCTGATACTAACTTTATTTTAAATGTTTTGCGTGTATTTGTACTGGCACCAGGTTTTCTCAGCACCCTGTTGTTTCCATTTTCTTTGATAAATATCCTCTTGTGGTTTCTAAATCCTGTCTCTGCAAGAAATATTACATAGTTAATGTTTGCATTATTGAAAGAAAATAAGAGTATAATGATGAGGTAATATGGCAAAGGGCATGCTGGTGTTCAGTGTCACTCAGCTGCTTCTTGAATTTCCACAGAGCAGATGATTCAAATCCAGGTATGTTTTCTGAAATATATACAGATAGAATTAATAATCACTAATCCAGTATAAAACATCTGCTAAATGCCTTTTGAGCCATATTCCAGGAAGTACAGATTCGGACTTTTTCCATATATAGTCCACTCATTTCACCTCTATAGTAAAGCTGGATATTGGTATCTGTACACTCTGGCAAAACTCTCAGATTTTAGTTGTGAGCAAGAGTTATAGAGTGGCATTAGAAAGCATGGTTAGTGCTAATCATGCTATGTAGTAATTTGGCAAGTAGTCTTCTAAAAAAAAATTTTAAAAAGCATACTTATATGCTTGAAATAGTTCTGGAGCCTCAATTTAATGGTTAAACCTCAAGCATTCTTGCAAGGTTAAAGTATTATTTGAGCCCAAAATAGCTTAAGTACATATGGAGCTGTACCCAGATGAAGCAAATGGTTTTGTTACTTATTCATTTATTTATTTTTTATTCAGTTGTACCTTAAGTAGATCTGGTAGTTTGTAACTCTTCATAATTTAAAAGTGACTTTTATATAAGCATTGCATTTCTAACTATCTTAATCATAATGAAAAATACTGTGCTTAATGTATTTAGTAGCTTTTAGTGGAGAAACAATTCCTTATCAAGTCAGATGTGGATTAACATCCACAGGAAAAGCAGTCTGTTCTCTGCAATGCTTTATACCATGTTTACACTAAATTCATAATGTTTCTTTTTTGCATTCTTTTAAGTTAGATAAATTGAATTTGGTACAGTTTATCATTAATTGCCTAGATGGTAGTAAAACAGGTGGTCTTTTTTGAAGCAGTCCTCAAAGTACTTAGGTCTGTTGATTACTTAAAGTAGCTAAAATGGAAATACATTGCTGGAAAAGAAAGTTAATTCCTTAGCCTTAATAAAACCTTTTTATATTTACTGACCTTTAATATGAAATCAGATACCTTTCCTTAGCTGGTTTAAATCTAGGTCCTCTTTTGGACTATTGTTTCAGGTTGAATTTCCCTGAAAGCAGACACTCTGAAATGGAAATTTGAGCACAGCGAATTTACTAGGGAGGCCTCTTGGGACCAATGCCATGTAAAGGAAGAAAGCCAGATTTCCATGGGAGAAGTTGGACTGTGATACAGTTTCAGTAACCCACACGGAGAGCTCTGAAGCTGGGATGGTCCCTCAGAGTTGTCTCAAGCTGGGGTGAGAGGAGCTGGACGTTTATATCCCCAATCATTAGATGCAAGCTGCCCCAGGAAGGAGTATGATCTTGGGCCGAAGTGACTCCTTTTTGCTAGGTAATTCCCAAAGACGGCTGACAGCTGAGGGCTGTCTGCCAGCAGTACTCCAATAGCTAGGAAAATAAGCCCTTCAGTTATGATGTGGGATCTGGATGAGGAATATAGCATCTACTACAGTTATATTTATTCATTCATTTGACACATTTATTGACCACCTACTGTGTGCCAGATTTCCAGGCACCAAGGGTGCAAAGTTGGGCAGGAGGTGAAACCTGTCGTTAAAGAATTCAGAGTAGAGTAGAAGGATTAAATATACTTTCTTATTTTCTCAGTTACTACCATCCCCTTTGGGATGTTACTTCCCACCTCATTTCCAGTGGTCCATTATCACCCTGCCTCAATGCAAAGAACTCTTTTAGATGTTTCTCACAGCTTCTTTGTGTAATACTAGTACAGCAATGAGAAGGAGAAGGGGAAGGGAAAATTTAATCCAGTTTCAAATTATAGTTACTTTCACAGAAGTAACTGTAGAAAAGCTTCCATGTTCAGCCTTGCTTTCTCCACCTAGTCCTTGTTCCTCACTCTGCTTTGGTTTTTCAGCATATACAAGAGAGAACTAAGACAGGAAACCCCTCTTAATTCCATGGACACACCCCAGTGCCTCGACTTTTAAAAAATCACCCTTCAGACACTTCTAAGTTTCTTGCCTTCCTCTCCCCTATCACCTCTATTTCCATCCTTGTCCTAAGGGATTGTATGAACATGCTTTTGGAGTTTGTAGTCTGGGGTTTGGGATGGGAGGGGTACAGGAGAGCGGGCAGTGTTTAGTCTCACATCCTGGTGGGTGAGAAGATTAGAGTCATGGCTGGTGAAAGTAAGTCCCAGTTTTCTAGTTCCTGGAATTTTGGTGGGAATTATTTCTCCCAAGATCTTCCCAACCTAGAACTCTGGATATATATTTCAATGAATTCTTTGTGCTAAATGCTGATGGTTATATAACACAAATTAGGTATATATTTTGGCTATATTTAAATAAACTGGCTTGAGAATCTTAAAACTTGTTTTTATGGGAAAATACATTGCTATTTCTAAACATTTGACTTACAGAAAACAAACTGAGAATATATGCGTTCTTGGTCAGGATTTATTTACTTTAGCTTCTTTTTTCTTAAGCAAGGCTTAAACTAATTTTTTTCCAGAGAGAGCAGAAAAAAAAAATCCAACATATAGATGTTGTAAAAACCATTTATACACAAATATAATGCAGTAACTTTCTTTTTGGTGGATTTTACAAGTAGAGTTTGGAGCCTTTGTGCCAGTAGGTGGGTGGGTGGGTGGTTGAAAGCAAACATGTATTGAGTACCTAAATTGGCCAGCCCCTTTTACTTAATGAACAATTGGCTGTTCACAGATGAGGAAAACTAGACTTAGAAATGTCTAATTGTTTACTCTCAACTCCACAAGTTAATTAGTGGAATAGCAAGGATTTGATCCTAGTTTCTTGGCTTTCTAGGAGAGGTTTTTAAACAGTGAACTTGATTGCAACCGCAAATTCCATCATCACTTTGAGGGCTTCCTGGCTCACTGTAAAGATGTTTCCTCCAAGAAGACAGTACTATAACACAGATGCACTGCTTCAGCTATGTTCTACATTATAAGTTCCTTGAGTTTCAGGACATTTATCGTGCTTTATGACTGAAAATGTAGATGTTCCATACAGTGTTTGGGCTTAGCTCCATGGTAGCATTCAGGAACTGGACTCCTTCCATAAAAGTGATGGTGCTGTCTTAAGTGTGTGGCTTCTAAGTCTTCCATGAAAGGAAACAAGAGCATGAAATTTATTTTTTGTCTGCATTTTCAATATTTTTATATACCCTGATGGCAAAGCAACATCTAACATACTAGTGCCGAGTACTTAGAGCATGCCCATTAATGAGGAAAAGAGTAATGAAAGGAGCAATATATCTTTCCTGGCCTTGCAAGTTGATTCCTATGTATAGAGAAGAAAATAATTTATCCTAAGTGTTTTTTCAAGTGAAATTTTTAAGTATAGCTAACTATATTTTATATGTAAGAAACTGAGTAAGCTAATTGACTAGTCATATTTCCTATTTGTATAGTTGGTTGAATCACATCTGTTAAGTGTGTATGCCTTCTACTACAAAAGAAACCAGTTTATTCATTGACTTATTAAATATTCACTTTCTGACGATGGGAATCTAGTGGGAGAATAGGTACTTGAATAGGTTGTGTTTAGATGTAAAATTTTATGAGTTTACTATCTTGATTTCCTTCTAAATAATCAAAAATTAAATTTGGTTTTATATGAATAATATTTTATTAAATTCTGATATTTGAATATTGATACTTTTCAAAGAATGCTGTGCATGTATAATACATGCATATATTTATATGTATTCTACAAAATACAGTTTTAAATATAAATATGGTTTTTCTGACTCTATTGGAGACAATGAAAAACTTCCTTGAAATGGTTTGCTAGGATTGGTTTTATTTATAACCCATGATTTAAACAAACTGATTCGATTAAGATGTAAGAGTGTTCATGTTACTTGTTTTTGTGTATTTTAAAAATTTATGTTATGATCCGGAACAGTGACTAATGAATAAAACTCTATTTTAAATATTTAGATTTCCTATGTAAATTAGGCTCTATTTTAAGTTCTATGGAAACATATCTTGATAGATAAATTGCTGAGTATTAGTTCTCTCATTTTCTCTGCACTTCAAAAGTCCTTTGTTCTTCAACTATTTGGCATACATGCATAAACTTTTCCTTTAGTAACTACTTTTTTATTTTTGAAATTTTCAAGAAGTACAATTTACATGAACTGTACAAAACACAGGTGATAACTTTGATAGCACTCAAAATTTCAGAAGAAATGTCCCAATCTGCTTTAAGAAGGACTTGTAGTCACTGATAAATTTATAAATCTGGTTTGTAAACTTAGAAAGTCAGAAATAATATACAATTTTAAAACAGAATCTTTTATTGGATTAAATAGATCTTTTCATGACATTCATGAAAATGTTTTATTGAAATTCTAGTATTTATTCCTAGCCTAGGTCATTATGAAGTTTTAATTTGATTATCATTTTGATGCTTAATTTCGAATCTGGACACATACAACTTTGTTTTTTTTGTTTTTTTTGTTTTGTTTTGTTTTGTTTTTGAGAGAAGTCTCACTCTTGTCCCCCAGGCTTGAGTGTGATGGCTTGATCTCGGCTCACTGCAACCTCCACTACCCAGGTTCAAACAATTCTCCTGCCTCTGCCTCCCAAGTAGCTGGGATTAAGGCGCCTGCTACCACGCCTGGCTAATTTTTATATTTTTTAGTACAGACAGGGTTTCACCATGTTGGCCAGGTTGGTCTCAAACTCCTGACCTCAGGTGATCCGCACGCCTCGGCCTCCCAAAGTGCTGGAATTACAGGCATGAGCCACCGCACCTGGCCACAACTTTTTTATATGAAATATTAGAAAAGAATTACAGCTTTTTTTTTTTTTTGTGGTGCAAACCATGTAGGTTTTTCAGGGTTTAGACCTCTGACACAAAATATTGATATTTACTACAGTGTCTGTCCTAAGTGCAGCTCCTTAGAGACATTCAGAGACTTGGCTTCCTCAGTTTGTGGCTTCCAAGTCTTCCATGAAAAATGAGACAGCACAGAGGATCATGGAAGAAGTTTCAGAAACCAGGCCTAGAAGTGCATATATTACTTCTGCCCATAGATCTTTGGACAAAATATTTTCAAATGGCTTTACCTAACTGCAAAGGCTGAGATATGTAGTTTAGCAGTACTTTTATGGAAGAAGAGAGGCACACAAATATTAATGGACACTGGCAGTCTCTATCATATATTTATAATTGCTCTTTCACAAATGTCTCTATATTCCTTCTCTTTCCACCTCTGTGATAATTGGTATTCTCCAGGATTTCATCCTTGTCCTATTGTTCTTTCTCTACATATTTTCCTAGGGCATCTTATATACTTTTGAGTCTGAACTACCCTTACAAGGGTGTTTCAAATCTGATTATTCAAATCTATGTCTCTAGCCCTGACTAATTTATACATCCATCTGGCAGGTAGACATAGCCATTTGGATCTTCACAGACATCTTGAACTCAACATTTCTTGCTTTTTTCCCTTCTTCCCCAGTCCCTGAACGTCATCTGTAATGTGTCCTCTTTCCTTGTTTTTATTTGCTGTTTCTGATATTGCCATGTTCCCAATTCCCATGCTATAAATCTGGCAGTGGTCTTAACTTCCTGTTTCTCTCTCATCTCCTGCATCTAATCAACTACCAAGTTTAGGCAGGTTTTATCTCCTAAATATTTTTTCAATCTATCTCACCTTTTTCCTGCTAATTTCTACACTTCTGTTTTAGACCCTCTTGACCTCTTGCCTTGATACTAGCAATAACTTTGCCTCCAGCCTTGCCTTCTTCAGATCCATTTCTCCTCACTGCAGCTAAAGTAGTTTATTAGTAATGCACATTGAACATGTCATTCTCTTATTCGGACCGTTTTCTACTGCCTTAGTGACGTGCCCAACTTCCCTCTTCCCTCTTCTGACTGTATGCTTTGTCTTCCAGAATTAGTCTTTTTTCCTATATACATTTTTACCTGTTTTATACCTCTGAGTTCTTGATCAGAGCCTTTGATCATACTGATCATACTGTTTATATTCTGCCTGAAATGCTTTTCCTAGCTTTTTAAAAATCTTGTTGACTTTTTTAATCTTTCAGTACTCAGCTAAAGCATCTTGCCTCATCTCTGGTTTTCTATAAATCCTTGCCTAATTATAAATTCCTCAAGAACAAAGATTATGTTTTATTCATCTCTATATTCTTAGCATTTAGCACTGTGGCTTGCAAATACAAGTGTCTCCCTTTCCACCTCCCCACCCCTACCCACCAAAAACCACAAAATGACTTAATCTTTAAGGATACTTGATTACTCTGTTTGGATTTTAAGAGTTCTATGTGCTTGAACCATAATCACATTTCTTTTGGTGAAGAAAAATAAACCAATGTTTATCTTTAAATTGATTACATTTTTTTTTCCTCTGACCATGCTAGAATGAAAGGTTACAAGCTAAGAAAAACTATCTATTTTCTCAAATACTGGGATTTGTGGAAAACTTATATAACTTGAGAGTAGGGTAAGCACACATAGTTATTACAGACCATCTGGTGTCTGCTTTATTGGAAAGAAGCTTTTACTAAGATTTACTCCTCTCAAATAATTAATTTATTATTTTCAGTGTTTGGAGATGAAGTAGGTGGAATCAAAATATAGAAAATTTTGCTAATAATGCCCATTTTGTTGCTTGGTATACTTTTAAATATACTACTTTATTCCACTATGCATTTGAAGGAAGAAATCCATTTTGTGTTTTCTAATGACTTTAGAATATTTCTGTTTAAGGTAGAGATTTTCTAAATATTTTGATATGAGTTGAAAATAAGTTTTTGTTTACTGTTTTATTTAGAGTTGACAAAAATATTTTGAAGTGTTACTTACAACTAGACAGTATTTGAAATGATTCCTTAATTCCATGGGTTTTTGTTGTTGTTGCTCCATTATGCTTTTAGTATACAGTAGAACTCAAACATTCAAGAAGAATGTTATCTGAGACTCTATAGGTCCCACTATAATTAACTAATCCTCATTTTGTATAGATCTAAAACTTCTATTTTTCTGGTTCAAAGAATCATTGTTTTCTCAAGACCTCCTCACTTTCATGACAAGCACTAATGATTGGCTTTTTGAGAAAGACCATATTTTTATTTTAAAAAAAATTGTAAATTTTTACTGCATTATTAAAGACTAGTGTAAAACTATAAAGCTCCATTGCCTTGATGAGTGGGTGACTGGATTCACTAGCTAAATGACTGTAAAACTTTATCATAGTTCTTTATTAATAAAGTTACGAATATCAGGGACCTGTCTATCTTTTATTGTTCAGGAGGTAGAGCAGTGTCTTAGTCTGTTTTCTGTTGCTATAACAGAATACCTGAGACTGAGTGATTTATAAAGCTTATATATTACAGTTCTGGAGGCTGAGAAGTCTGAGGTCTAGGAGCCGCATCTGGTGAGAGCCTTCTTGCGGATAGGGGCTCTGCAGAGTCATGAAGTGGCACAGGCCTCACATGGAGAGAGGCTGCATGAGAGACACCCACACTGGCTCTTATAACAGACTCACTCTTGTAATAGCTAACCCACTCCCTCTATGACCCATTAATCCATTGATTCATGAATGGGTTAATCCATTCATGAGGGTAGAGCCCTCATGACCCAATTACCTCCCAAAGGTCCCACCTCATAGTATTGCTGCACTGGGGACTAAGTTTCCAACACATGAACTTTTGTGGGAACGTTCAAACCACAACAAGCAGTAAAGAGAATGCTGAGTATGGAAACACCCACTGTCTCACACTAGGTGAATCTCCTTAAAGCATGGTTTTCTTGTATTTTTATTCATCTTGAAATTCTTCACTAACTTTTTTGGTGTAGGATAGTCAGTAGACTTAGCACTCTGTGGTTCTACCACAGGTTGCTCTTTACCTACTTTTCCAAACTTTTTATTTGTTCACAAAATAATTGTGTTTACTATGTACTATGCACTGTGCAAAGTTCCCAGGTATGAAGCTAAATAAGAAAGATGTGATTCCTGTCCTCCTAGACTTGCCTCATTGGGATCTAATTAAATGAAAGAGCTTCTGCACTGCAAAAGAAATTATGAACAGAGTAAATAGACAACCTACAGAATGGGAGAAAATATTTGCAAACTCTGTATCTGACAAAGGTTTAATATCCTTTGTTCCTTTGAATCTTCAAGGAAGTTAAACAAATCAATAAGCAAAAAACTAATAACCCTATTAAAAATGAGCAAAAGACAGGACATTTTGCTCATTTCTCAAGAGAAGACGTACAAGAAACCAACAAACATGAAAAACTGTTCCAAATCACTAGTCATCAGAGAAATGCAAATCAAAACCACAATGAGATATCATCTCACACCAGTCAGAATGGCTATTATTAAAAATAAGTAAAAAAACAACAGACGCTGGCGAGGCTGTGGAGAAAGGGGAACACTCATACACTGTTGGTGGGAATGTAAATTAGTTCAGCCACTGTGGAAAGCAGTTTGAAGATTTCTCAAAGAACTTAAAACAGAACCACCATTCAACCCAGCAATTCCATTACTGGATATATACACAAAAGAAAATAAATCATTCTTCCAAAAAGACACATGCACTCAACATATTCACTGCAGCTCTATTCACAATAGCAAAGACATGGAATCAACCTATGTGCCCATCAGTGGTGGACTGGATAAAGAGAATGTGGTACATATACACCATGGAATACTATGCGGCCATAAAGAAGAATGAAATTATATCCTTTGCAGCAGCATGGATGCAGTTGGAAGCCACTATCCTAAGCGAATTAACACAGGAATAGAAAACCAAATACCACATGGTCTTACCTATAAGTGGGGGGTAAACATTGGATAATTATGGACATAAAGATGGCAACAGTAGAAACTGGAGTCTACTAGATGGGGGATGGAGGGACGGGGCAAGGGTTGAAAAACTATTGGGTACTATGCCTAGTACCTGGGTGATGGGATCATTTGTACCCCAGACTTCAACATCACACAATATACCCAGGTAACAAACCTGCACATGTATCCCCTGAATCTAAAATATGAAAAAAAATTAGTAATCTTATAAGCTTCAGTACACAAACCAAGTTTTTATTCATACACAAATATACTCCTTGTTCATATACTCACAAGAAATATGATGGTATATTAGACCTTCAGATGGATTTTTGCAATTAGGCGCATCTGGCTATTGAGTAAATGAATCCAGTGCCTTTTTTTGGTTTTTCCCAGATACTGATACAAGTCAGTATTCATAAGGTATATGAAATGAGATAAAATGAGTTTACTGAAGATTAATTCTGAGGCCAAAGTTATTCCTTTACTTTTTAGTGTAGTTTTGGAATTATTTTAGAAGAGATAACATTATTGCTTATATTTTCAGTAGAATAAATATGAGTTCCTGATTCTAGGAATACTTACACATACAAACACACATATGAAGAATAATCCTACTACTTTTGGTGTTAGGGGAAAGGGGCTGGGAAGAATGGTTGCAATATTCCATCCTTATCATGGAAAACATATTTTCACTAAGACGGAAATCTTTGAAGCTTCTTTGTTCTGTTTTGTTAGTCATACCTCCATGTATTCATTATTCCTATCTCAAACCACTTTAATTCTTGGCCCAGAAACTACTTTTAATTTAATAGACATGGCAAGTGGCCTGAAAAATAAAAGTAATTCTTTTTTTCCATACCATATTTTAGTGTTACTTGGTTGAAAACTTCGCTTTGTGTGGTCTGATAAATACATTGATATTTAGGTTGAAAATGTACAGTGACTACATTTCAGTAATTTTTTTCACTTACAGGTTTTAGAAGTATTGTTTTTCCTCTGTGCCAGCAGTTATGGTGATTTGTAGTTATGCTATAAAAGCTTAAGGTTTGGTAGTAGAGAAAGAAGGTTTGCAGAGATACCTAAGCCAGTTATTTCAGAACTACAGCTCAATCTTTGACTGGACTTGTGATATTGGGAAAAATTGCCAACAAAAATAACATTGTAGATATTCATCCATGTTTTAGCATTGCTATGTATCACAGTTCCTTTCTAGATTGTCTCTAGTACATAAAAGTATCTTTTTCTTTTTGGCAGGTAATATAACATTACAAAGCAAGATGGGTAACATCACAGTAGGTATGTGCTAAGCTACTAGTTCGTGTATTTTGTCCACTTTTAAAAATGGGTATATTTGTGATGACTTTATTAGAATAAATGAATTCTACAGTTTAACTGATGAACTTGACAGGATCACAAGTCAAATATAGGCAGAACCAATGTACTAATTATGTCCACTCGAAGAAAATCGCCTGAGCTGGTATTAAGAAATGTCTTATATTTCTTGCTAAACTTCTCTGAAGAAAAAAAAAAGAAAAGAAAGAAAAAAAGATCTTACAAATTTCTTGAATTCTTCAAATATCTAAATTAAGTCCTTGAAAGAAAGATATAAATAATGTCACTGTTTATTGGGCTCCAAATGTGTTAACATTTGAAGACAACCTTGTGAATACCAATAACTAGTTAGTCAACATGTATTTATTGAGTACCTGCCATGTATTAAGAATTCTTTTAGGTACTAGGGAACATATTGGTCAACAGGACATAGTTTCTGTGCTCAGAGACCTCACCTTCTCTGAGCCCTGGGAAGAAAGACAACAAGCACATAAATAACAAAAGGTAATTTTAGTTTGTGGTAAGTACAATGAAGAAATAAGAAAGGGTAACTGAATAGAGATTGGGGAAAAAGAAAGCTACTTCAGTTAGGCAATTGGGGGTGGTCTGGAGAGGGTACATTTAAACCAAAGCCAGAAAAATGAGAAAGAGTTATATAAAATTCTGGATACAGGCTCCCTAGATAGAGGAACAGCAAGTGCAGGCCTTGAAAATGGAAGTTTACTATTTTCAAGGGAAAGAAGGCTGGCTTATGAGGAAAGTGGTAGGATATGAGGTAAGTAAGGCTAGATCTTAGGACCTTGTAGACAGGGTAAGAGTTCAGACTTTATTCCAACTACAACAGGATGTTAGGGAAGTGATATATAATTTATATTTTAAAAGAACAACCTAGCTGTTATTTCATAATGTACCAGAAGGGTTCAGAAGTGAAAGCAGGCTATTAGAAGGCTTAATTTGTTCATTCTACTGTTGATGGACACCTGGGCCATTTCTAATTTTTTGGCAACTGTAAATAAAGCTGCTATGAATATATTAATGTAAGTCATTTTATGGATGTATATATATTTTTCCTCTTGGGTAAATACGTAGGTATGGCATTGCTGAGTTGACTAGGTAGGTTCTATGTTTAACTTTATGATAAACTACCAGACCTTTTCCCAAAGTTCCACTTTATACTCTCATCAACAATGTATGAGAATTTGAGTTGCTCCACATCCTCATCAACATTTATTATTGTCAGTTTTAAAATTTTTTTATATCATCATTTGTTGAAAAAACTTCCTTTCTCTGATGGATTACTTTAGCATCCTTGTCTAAAATCAAATCACTATATAAGTGTGGCTCAATGTCTGATCTCTTGTTCCTAATTCATTGATTTATTTGGTGAGCCTTATGCCGGTGCCACAATATCATGATTACTGTATCTTTGGTAAGTCTGTAAATCAGGTAGTTGAAGTCTTCCAAATTTGTTCCTTTTAAGGATTACTTTGGATATAATAGGTCCTTTGATTTTCCAGTCAGTTTCTACCAAAAAATACAGTTTTGATTATGTTTGGGATTGCACTGAATCACATTGTATCTTCCAATTAATGAACATGGTAGGTAGCTCTCTCCATTTATTTAGGTCTTCTTTAATTTTTCTCAGCATTGCTTTGTAAGTTTCAGTGTAGAGATCTGGCACATTTTTTTGTTAAATTCATTTGTGTTTTTAACACTGTTACAAATGAGACAGTTTTTAAGACTTTGCTTCTAATTGTCTACTGCTGATATATGTAAATACAAATGATTTTTATAAATGGACCTTGTATCTTGTGACCTTGCTAAATTTATTCTAATAGTGGTTTTCTCAAATCTAGAATCCTTTTCTAGCTGAGCAGACATTTTCAACTGCAAATAGAGTTTTACCTCTTTCCCTCCTATCTTTATTACTTTTCTTTTTCTTGCCTTATCAGACTAGCTATGAACTTCAGTATAATGTTGAATGTAGTGATGAGAGTGTGATTCCTTGCACTTGATCCCTATCCTTGTCCCCAATATTAGGGGGAATGCATTAAGTGTGATGTTAGCTATAGATTTTTAACAGATGCCTTTTATCAGATTGGGAGAGTAATCTTTTATTCCTTGTTTGCTTAAAAGTTTCTCTTTTTTTACTTTCTTTGTTCGTGAATGAGTGTTGAATTTTGTCAAACACATTTCCTGAATTTATTGAAATGATCATTTTTCTTTTATTAATATGACCAACTATACTGACTGATTTTTCTTTTAACATTATTTACTTGTTTATTATTTTAAAAAATAGAGACAAGGTCTCACTTTGTTACCCATACTGGTCTCAAATGCCTGGCTTCAAGCAGTTCTCCTGCCTCAGCCTCCTAAAGTGCTGGAATTACAGGCATAAGCCACCACACCTGGCCCTTTCTTTAAAATATCTATCATTTACTCAGTGCCCATGTGCCAAGCACTGAGCTAATCACATTACAATGTAGATTTATTTTGGTATCTTTTGTGGTGTGTTTTGTTTTTGTTTTTTTTTTTTGCTTTTGCTGACTTTATTGAGACATAATTGACAAAACCGTATATATTTAAGGTATACATGCAATATAATGATTTGATATACATATATACTGTGAAATAATTTCCACAGTCCGTTTAGTTAACATATCTGTCACTTCACCTCATTACCATTTTATGTGTATGATGAAAATGTTTAAGATTTACTCTCTTAGCAAATATCAAGTTTACAGTACAGTATTGTTAATTACAGTCACTGTGCTATACATTAGATCTACAGGACTTTCTCCCAGATCCATAGAATTTCTCCATTATGTAAACTCCAAAAGAATGAAATTCTGTGGATGAAGCCTTAATTTTACTCTTGATAATTAATTTTAGTTCTGATAATTTGTGTTAAACAAAAAAAATAGGAGGGCTTGTTTTGCTGCATAGTTTTAAAATATCACCTTTGCCTTCTTTCTTGAAAACATCTTGCGTTTTCATTTTTTTATTTTTTAACATCCTCCAAGGGATGAGCCATCATTAGAGATCAATACAGATAACATGAGGATATAATTACTTTGTGGCCTAGGATATAATTATTTAGCTGTCATTTATTTCTCATTTGGAGGGAAAAATAAATGAAAGTATTATTTATGAGCCACATAAAAATTGTGTGTGTTTTTTTTCCCTCCTTGAGAAAGCGAGAAATCACACTAATGTTTCAGCTATTTTACTTTGTTCAAACTGGAATAATACACACCTTGTGTATTACACTTTTCTTTTTTTTAGCATAATGTAATTTTTACTTGGCTTCTTTTAGGATGCGGTAAGAGGTTTAAAAAGGAGTTTCTGTTGGTTCGTAAGCAGTGAAATGTTCATTTTGTCCAGCTATTCTGTGTCATTTATCTCTAGTGGTTTCATTTCCCAACGTCAGTGTTAACTTTTGACACTTGAAAACTAAATAAATTGAGTCTGATAAAGGGCATTTTCCAGTATAGATTGGAAATAAATTATTATAAATGATCTTGGAGCCGCATTTTAAACAGTTTATTCCAAATTTACTCTCTTTGTTTGAAGTCAGTTAACATTTTTTTAAAAGAAAAATGTTGGCTCCTATACACACACACACACACAAATGTTTTCTCTCTCTGTTTTGTAAACAGTATAATTTTTGGCATAGTTTTCACCACACTCCCTACTTTGTTTCCACTTTGAAGTAATAAAACCTCCTGATAAAATATGCTTTTTAAGAGGCCTCTCTAAAAAGAATATGCTTTGGCTTTCTCCAGGCAGTCAGATAGAATATTAAATTAAAGATTCAATTGCCATGGGAGAAAGAGAAGAAGGAAAAACCACTTAGCACTAACTCTTCAAGTTCATTTTCTTACTTCCTTATTTTGACTGTTTTCCCTTGAACTTGAGATACTGGTTGATTCAAAAGTGGGGTCATTGACCACATAGGGAAATTTGAATGACAAATCAGGGTTACCTTAATTATTATTTTCTTATCCTCACTTAAAGATACCTGTTCAATTCCAGAAACTTGAAAAGAACTATTAGATATAAACAAGCTATTCTTCAAATTATTCCACCCTGCCCTTCTGCCCCTTAAAGAAATGCAGCAAGCCAGGAACAGTGGTTTGTGCCTGTAATCCCAGGAGTATGGCTTGGTCCCAGGAGTCAGAGACCAGCCTGGACAGCATAGCAAGACCCTGTCTCTAAAAAAAAAAAAAAAAAGAAAAAAAGAAATGCGACAACTTTATGTAGAGTAATCTTTTACTATTAGGAGCACTTCTTAGTATCAGCAAATTTGCTACAAGGAGAAATTATGAGAGGTTTTGATTTTTGTCAGCCTTGCTACTGCTTGTATGTGACTATACATGAGGTAGAATTCTTTGGTAATTATTGAAAGTTTACTAAATGTATCAACATGATAAAAAACTAAATATATCAATGATGCTTAGTGGTCAAAGGAACCATTACTTGCAGACTCTCCTTCCGACTCATTAAGTTTTAGAGTAAATGTTTAGAGATAAGTTATTCAGGTTAATATAGATAAAGATTTTTAAATTAGTTGTTTAATAGATTTCTAGGTTTCTGATACTGTTTACGTTCAAGTGCAAACAATGGCATTGTTATGAGGAAAATACTAAACCTTGCAAGATTCTTAGCCCCTTATCCTAATGCTAAAGCAGAGCCTTTTATTTTAAGTTTGTAATTCCATTTATCAAGTAAGAATTATTTTACTTATGGTTTTTTCTTCTTCCTAGATTCGTCTTCTGGATGTCTAAAAGCCTCAACTAATCAGGGTGCCATAGATGTTTATGTCAGCCAACTGGGGAAAGTGGAATTGAAATCCCATAAAGGTTAGTGAACTGGAATGTTTTATTTTGACATATGATGTAAGGAAGGTTTATGTAACACTCAGGAAACAGATGGTCAAATTATCTATACTGACATAGTGATTTCAAGAAAATATCTTCTGATAGAACCTAATTTAAAGGCACTGGTCTGCTAGCTTTCTAGACCAGTGATCTTTACAACTTTTGGGATAGATGGCCATGCAGACTATCTTTCCCTTTGTAGTACAAACAAAAATGTAATATTTTGACTGTTATTATGGAATTTTTAAATGTTACTCTGTGGATTTTTCAGTTTATTCTATTCTGAAATAGAATAATCTTTGAAGGAAAAACGCTGCCATACACTCTTTTGGAAGCTTCTCTGCCAGCCTGTAAAAGGAACTTCTCAGGCAATCAGTGTAGAGTAACAGTTTTCAAAGTGTGATCCTTAAATAAAGGTATCACACAGAAAGGTCCTCTAAAGTGATTACTTAGTCTCTTGAAGTATCAAGACTTATGATATGTCTCTATCATTTAACTTCTGACACAACTTATTCTGAGTCCAACTCTTTCATTTAAAATGGTATACTTTTCATCTGAAAGCTAAATATGAATTTGTCTGTTCTTCTGCACACATGGATGTACACATATGTGTTGACAAGTGGCTTGGGTGAAGTAGGTTGGCCATAGGGGCTGAAGTGGCTTGGCTGCAGAAAGTTAAGAACTGTAGCTCTGTATAAAAAAATTTTTTTAAATAGTCTAGCAGCTCTTGCATGTTGGCCAGATGTTTAACAAGGAAAATATTTCCTCACAGAGACTGATTGTTCCTGCTATTAGTAGTTGCTTTACCATATTGATGTAATAGTTTTTTTTAATCCATCTCTAGAATTTGTCAGTGTCAAAACTGCAAAACACAGAGGTCTGAAACCTCAGTTATTGCTGATACACCGGTGTGACTTCTCAATATCATATTTTCTCCCTTTAAAATAGGATAAACTTATGTCCTCACTAAATCTAAGAGCTTCAGGTAATACTCTTCAGGGAAAATTATAAATGGCATGTAAGTCATATAACTGTACTCCATTATTACAAAGATCCAAAGAGAAGAGGGATATATTGTTAATATAACTAGTAACAGAGTAAGAACAAAGTTTTGAATAAGCAGCTGTTACATACAAATAATTTAATGTTTTGCACAGTAGGCAAAATAAAACAAACAGAAAACTGTAAAACTTTTGAAGATTGTTAGTCTTTATTCATTTAAAATATTTCTTAGTATTATTTGGAATATTGCTGGAACAATATTGGAATAGTATTTGAAACTATTGAAATAGTATTTGATGTTGCAAAATTTGATTAGGATTACAGTTTTATGTTTTCTTCTACTGGGACCATGTTACTGGCAAAAGCTTAAAGACAACTGAAAACAAAGATTTCTGTCTTACTTCAGATCTCCGAATTCTCAATACACTTGGTAAGAGTAACTTTTTAAGAGTAATGGAAAGTTATTCAGTAACTCTTTCTTAATCGTTCGCAAAGACATCTGGAATCCATTCCAACTCTGCCACTGTCTTGCTGTAGGGTTCAGAGCCAGCCACTGGAGTCTCTTAGGTCTTCAACATTTTCTGATGTGGAAAAATATATAATGCTTGTTTTCTTTCACCTTATGAAAATTAATATGGTGACCTTCTTAATTCATTCCAGGCTATGCTTGGGCCTGGGAGTCACACCTGAATCTGAGTACTGACTTTTCTACTTAACATTTTGTCCTTGGGAAAATCACTAATTTTAACATAATATGCCTTCAATAAATGATGCTGTTAGTTCACATTTGAATTTTTAAGAGGATAGTACTGATGTCAACCATGAAGAAGTTTATGATGTGAAAAGAGGTTAAAGAACACAACAAGAGCCCTCCTTTCTAAAAAAGTTAGTGTTAACGATGGGACATTAGGAAGGTTTTCAAGTCATGAAAATTCTTCATTCACAAACAGTAATGGAGTTTTGGTAGGTGGTTTTTGGCTTTTAAAGATATGGAGGGAGATGGGGTAGAAATCTTTGCATTGCTTAACATTTCTAAAGATCTGAAAAATTTAAGATCATGTTATGCATTTAAGGACAGAGACAAGTGTTCATAAAGTTAGCACACTTGAAACTTGATACATTTAGACATATCAAGCCCTACAAAAAAGTTTTTAAATCCATGATTTTCTACTTTTGAAAGTATGTTTGGTAGAAAAACGTGTCTTCTATTTATCCTGAAATCTTCCAGGGTTGTTTTTGTTTTGTTTTTTCCTAAAGCCCTCATATGTTGTTATGGGAATCTCCTGTCTGTAGTTTACATTTGAACCCTGGAAAGCAATTAAGTTTTTTGTTTTTGTTTTTGAGACAGGGTATCACTCTGTCACCCAGGCTGGAGTGCAGCAGCAAGATCATGGCTCAGTGCAGCCTCATCAGGATCGCCTAAGCTTGGGAGGTCAGCCTTCCAGGTAGATGAGACTACAGTTGTGCACCACCACACCCAGCTTTTTTTTTTTTTTTTTTTTTTTTTTTTTGAGCTGGGGGAGGTAGAAACAGGGTTTCACCATGTTGTCCAGGCTGGTCTCGAACTCTTGAGCTCAAGCAATCCACCTACCTTGGCTTCCCAAAGTACTGAGATTACAGCCACAAGCCACTGTGCCTGGCTGCAATTTATTTCTTAATAAAATAAACTAGTTGTAGTAATATGCATTGTTCCCTAATTTTTTTTTAGAATAGAACAGTTTGTCATGCTTATCTCAAACTTCTAGCTCCAGTTAGGAAGACCAAGAAATTACTTAAGGAAGCTTAAGCTGATGTTAGCCAGATTGGAAGGAAAACCACGACCCATAAGTAAATGCATTCTAAACCCCATCCTGACCATCTTTGTCCACAGAGGTGGGGTTAATGCATTATGGCAGGGGCCTTTTACCTACTTTATTTAATGAAAAACAGGAAGAAAAACTTCTGAAATAGGAGTGTGTTGGTGAATTTACACTGCAACCCACATAATTCTAAAAATGATTCCATACCTAACAGAGTACTTTTCCTGATTTACTCCTTTAGAAGGTTGAATTACAGCCAGGTTGTATGGAAATACAGGCTGAGTGTCTTACCTTAGGTATCCAAAAGCCTGTAATCTACTCAAAAGAAACATTAGTGAGTTGGAATTCAAATAATCCTTTTCTATTGTTATTTTTTGTTACACACAAGGCACATCTGAAAGCACAAGAGCTCAGTGTTCTAGTTGTGTTATAATAATGAGGTCACAAGTCCTGTACTACGATGAGGTAGGAGTGTGTGAAATACCATGGTGGTTAAAAGCATGGGCTTTAGGGTGGAGCCAAGATGCTGAATACGAACAGCTCCAGTCTACAGCTGCCAGCGTGAGCGACGCAGAAGACAGGTGATTTTTACATTTCCCACTGAGGTACCAGGTTCATCTCACTGGGGAGTGTCAGAAAGTGGGTGCAGGACAGTGGGCGCAGCGCACCGAGCGTGAGCCAAAGCAGGGCGAGGCATCACCTCACCCGGGAAGCGCAAGGGGTCAGGGAATACCCTTTCCTAGTCAAAGAAAGGGGGTGACAGACAGCACCTGGAAAATCGGGTCACTCCCACCCTAATACTGCTTATTTCCAATGGTCTTAGCAAACGGCACACCAGGAGATTATATCCCACGCATGGCTCTGAGGGTCCTATGCCCACGGAGCCTCGCTCATTGCTAGCACAGCAGTCTGAGATCAAACAGCAAGGCAGCAGCGAGGCTAGGGGAGGGGCGTCCACCATTGCCGAGGCTTGAGTAGGTAAACAAGTGGCCATGAAGCTCGAACTGGGTGGAGCCCACCACCGCAGCTCAAGGAGGCCTGCCTGCCTCTGTAGACTCCACATCTGGGGGCAGGGCACAGCCAAACAAAAGGCAGCAGAAAGCTCTGCAAACTTAAATATGCCTGTCTGACAGGCTTGAAGAGAGTAAAGGTTCTCCCAGCATGCAGCTGGACATCTGAGAATGGACAGACTGCCTCAAGTGGGTCCCTGACCCCCGAGTAGCCTAACTGGGAGGTATCCCCCAGTACGGGCAGACTGACACCTCACACGGCCAGGTACTCCTCTGAGACAAAACTTCCAGAGTAATGATCAGGCAGCAACATCTGCTCTTCACCAATATCCGCTGTTCTGCAGCCTCTGCTGCTGATACCCAGGCAAACGGTCTGGAGTAGACCTCCAGCAAACTCCAACAGACCTGCAGCTGAGGGTCCTGACTGTTAGAAGGAAAACTAACAAACAGAAAGGACATCCACACAAAAACCCCATCTGTACGTCACCATCATCAAAGACCAAAGGTAGATAAAACCACAAGATGGGGAAAAAAACAGAGCAGAAAAACTGGAAACTCTCAAAATCAGAGCACCTCTCCTCCTCTAGAGGAACGCGGCTCCTCACCAGTAACGGAACAAAGCTGGATGGAGAATGACTTTGACGAGTTGAGAGAAGGCTTCAGACAATCAAACTACTCTGAGCTAAAGGAGGAAGTTTGAACCCATGGCAAAGAAGTTAAAAACCTTGAAAAAAAATTAGATGAATGGCTAACTAGAATAATCAATGCAGAGAAGTCCCTAAAGGACCTGATGGAGCTGAAAACCAAGGCATGAGAACTATGTGACGAATGCACAAGCCTCAGTAGCTGATTCGATCAACTGGAAGAAAGGGTATCAGTGATGGAAGATGAAATGAATGAAATGAAGCGAGAAGTTTAGAGAAAAAAGAATAAAAAGAAATGAACAAAACCTCCAAGAAATATGGGACTATGTGAAAAGACCAAATCTACATCTGATTGGTGTACCTGAAAGTGATGGGGAGAATGGAACCAAGTTGGAAAACACTCTGCAGGATATTATCCAGGAGAACTTCCCCAGTCTAGCAAGGCAGGCCAACATTCAGATTGAGGAAATACAGAGAATGCCACAAAGATACTCCTCGAGAAGAGCAACTCCAAGACACATAATTGTCAGATTCACCAAAGTTGAAATGAAGGAAAAAATGTTAAGGGCAGCCAGAGAGAAAGGTCGGGTTACCCACAAAGGGAAGCCCATCAGACTAACAGCTGATCTCTCAGCAGAAACTCTACAAGCCAGAAGTGAGTGGGGGCCAATATTCAACGTTCTTAAAGAAAAGAATTTTCAACCCAGAATTTCATATCCAGCCAAACTAAGCTTCATAAGTGAAGAAGAAATAAAATACTTTACAGACAAGCAACTGCTGAGAGATTTTGTCACCAACAGGCCGCCCCTAAAACAGCTCCTGAAGGAAGCACTAAACATGGAAAGGAACAACCAGTACCAGCCACTGCAAAAACATGCCAAATTGTGAAGACCATCGAGGCTAGGAAGAAACTGCATCAACTAATGAGCAAAATAACCAGCTAACATCATAATGACAGGATCAAATTCACACATAACAATATTAACCTTAAATGTAAATGGGCTAAATGCTCCAATTAAAAGACACAGACTGGCAAATTGGATAAAGACTCAAGACCCATCAGTGTGCTGTATTCAGGAAACCCATCTCACGTGCAGAGACACACATAGGCTCAAAATAAAGGATGGAGGAAGATCTACCAAGCAAATAGAAAACAAAAAAAGGCAGGGGTTGCAATCCTAGTCTCTGATAAAACAGACTTTAAACCAGCAAAGATCAAAAGAGACAAAGAAGGCCATTACATAATGGTAAAGGGATCAATTCAACAAGAAGAGATAACTATCGTAAATATATATGCACCCAATACAGGAGCACCCAGATTCATAAAGCAAGTCCTTAGAGACCTACAAGGAGACTTAGACTCCCACACAATAATAATGGGAGACTTTAACACCCTACTGTCAGCATTAGACAGATCAACGAGACAGAAAGTTAACAAGGATATTCAGGAATTGAACTCAGCTCTGCACCAAGCAGACCTAATAGACATCTACAGAACTCTCCACCCCAAATCAACAGAATATACATTCTTCTCAGCACCACACCGCACTTATTCCAAAATTGACCACTTAGTTGGAAGTAAAGCACTCCTCAGGAAATGTAAAAGAACAGAAATTATAACAAACTGTCTCTCAGACCACAGTGCAATCAAACTAGAACTCAGGATTAAGAAACTCACTCAAAACCACTCAACTACATGGCAACTGAACAACCTGCTCTTGAATGACTACTGGGTACATAACGAAATGAAGGCAGAAATAAAGATGTTCTTTGAAACCAATGAAAACAAAGACACAACATACCAGAATCTCTGGTATGTCAAAGATACCAGAATCTCTGGTATGCTCTGGTATGTGAAAGCAGTGTGTAGAGGGAAATTTATAGCACTAAATGCCCACAAGAGAAAGCAGGAAAGATCTAAAATTGACACCCTAACATCACAATTAAAAGAACTAGAGAAGCAAGAGCAAACACATTCAAAAACTAGCAGAAGGCAAGAAATAACTAAGATCAGAGCAGAACTGAAGGAAATAGAGACACAAAAAACCCTTCAAAAAATCAATGAATGCAGGAGCTGGTTTTTTGAAAAGATCAACAAAATTGATAGACCGCTAGCAAGACTAATTAAGAAGAAAAGAGAGAAGAATCAAATAGATGCAATAAAAAATGACAAAGGGGATATCATCACCGATCCCACAGAAATACAAACTACCATCAGAGAATACTATAAACACCTCTACGGAAATAAACTAGAAAATCTAGAAGAAATGGATAAATTCCTGGACACATACACCCTCCCAAGACTAAACCAGGAAGAAGTTGAATCTCTGAATAGACCAATAACAGGCTCTGAAATTGAGGCAATAATTAATAGCTTACCAACCAAAAAAAGTCCAGGACCAGATGGATTCACAGCCGAATTCTACCAGAGGTACAAGGAGGAGCTGGTACCATTCCTTCTGAAACTATTCCAATCAATAGAAAAAGAGGGAATCCTTCCTAACTCATTTTATGAGGCCAGCATCATCCTGATACCAAAGCCTGGCAGAGACACACAAAAAAAGAGAATTTTAGACCAATATTCCTGATGAACATCGATGCAAAAATCCTCAATAAAATATTGGCAAACTGAATCCAGCAGCACATCAAGAAGTTTATCTACCATGATCAAGTGGGCTTCATCCCTGGGATGCAAGGCTGGTTCAACATATGCAAATCAATAAACATAATCCAGCATATAAACAGAACCAACGACAAAAACCATATGATTATCTCAATAGATGCAGAAAAGGCCTTGACAAAATTCAACAACGCTTCATGCTAAAAACTCTCAATAAATTAGGTATTGCTGGGATGTATCTCAAAATAATAAGAGCTATCTATGACAAACCCACAGCCAATATCATACTGAATGGGCAAAAACTGGAAGCATTCCCCTTGAAAACTGGCACAAGACAGGGATGCCCTCTCTCACCACTCCTCTTCAACATAGTGTTGGAAGTTCTGGCCAGGGCAATCAGGCAGGAGAAAGAAATAAAGGGTATTCAATTAGGAATAGAGGAAGTCAAATTGTCCCTGTTTGCAGATGACATGATTGTATATCTAGAAAACCCCATCGTCTCAGCCCAAAATCTCCTTAAGCTGATAGGCAACTTCAGCAAAGTCTCAGGATACAAAATCAATGTGCAAAAATCACAAGCATTCTTATATACCGATAACAGACAGAGAGCTAAATCATGAGTGAACTCCCATTTACAATTGCTTCAAAGAGAATAAAATACCTAGGAATTCAACTTACAAGGGACGTGAAGGACCTTTTCAAGGAGAACTACAAACCACTGCTCAATGAAATAAAAGAGGATACAAACAAATGGAAGAACATTCCATGCTCATGGGTAGGAAGAATCAATATCATGAAAATGGCCATACTGCCCAAGGTAATTTATAGATTCAATGCCATCCCCATCAAGCTACCAATGACTTTCTTCACAGAATTGGAAAAAACTACTTTAAAGTTCATATGGAACCAAAAAAGAGCCCGCATCGCCAAGTCAATCCTAAGCCAAAAGAACAAAGCTGGAGGCATCACGCTACCTGACTTCAAACTATACTACAAGGCTACAGTAACCAAAACAGCATGGTACTGGTACCAAAACAGAGATACAGATCAATGGAACAGAACAGAGCCCTCAGAAATAATGCTGCATATCTACAACCATCTGATCTTTGACAAACCTGACAAAAACAAGCAATGGGGAAAGGATTCCCTATTTAATAAATGGTGCTGGGAAAACTGGCTAGCCATATGTAGAAAGCTGAAACTGGATCCCTTCCTTATACCTTATACAAAAATTAATTCAAGATGGATTAAAGACTTAAACGTTAGACCTAAAACCATAAAATCCCTAGAAGAAGACCTAGGCAATACCATTCAGGACATAGGCATGGGCAAGGACTTCATGTCTAAAACACCAAAAGCAATGGCAACAAAAGCCAAAATTGACAAATGGGATCTAATTAAACTAAAGAGCTTCTGCACAGCAAAAGAAACTACCATCAGAGTGAACAGGCAACCTACAGAATGGGAGAAATTTTTTGCAATCTACTCTTCTGACAAAGGGCTCATATCCAGAAGGTACAATGAACTCAAACAAATTTACAAGAAAAAAACAAACAGCCCCATCAAAAAGTGGACAAAGGATATGAACAGACACTTCTCAAAAGAAGACATTTATGCAGCCAAAAGACACATGAAAAAATGCTCATCATCACTGGCCATCAGAGAAATGCAAATCAAAACCACAATGAGATACCATCTCACACCAGTTAGAATGGCGATCATTAAAAAGTCAGGAAACAACAGGTGCTGGAGAGGATGTGGAGAAATAGGAACACTTTTACACTGTTGGGTGGACTGTAAGCTAATTCAACCATTGTGGAAGTCAGTGTAGCGATTCCTCAGGGATCTTGAACTAGAAATACCATTTGACCCAGCAATCCCATTACTGGGTATATACCCAAAGGATTATAAATCATGCTGCTATAAAGACATGCACACGTATGTTTATCGTGGCACTATTCACAATAGCAAAGACTTGGAACCAACCCAAATGTCCAACAATGACAGACTGGATTAAGAAATGTGGCACATATACACCATGGGATACTATGCAGCCATAAAAAAGGATGAGTTCATGTCCTTCGTAGGGACATGGATGAAGCTGGAAACCATCATTCTCAGCAAACTATCGCAAGGACAAAAAACCAAACACCACATGTTCTCACTGATAGGTGGGAATTGAACAATGAGAACACATGGACACAGGAAGGGGAACATCACACACCGGGGCCTGTTGTGGGGTCAGGGCAGTGGGGAGGGATAGCATTAGGAGATATACCTAATGTTAAATGACAAGTTAATGGGTGCAGCACACCAACATGGCACATGTATACATATGTAACTAACCTGCACGTTGTGCACATGTACCCTAAAACTTAAAGTATAATAAAAAAAAAAAAACATGGGCTTTGTAATTATTGAGCTGAGTCTAGGTTCCAGCACGAGCACTAGTGGGAGCTTGAGCAAGTTCTTATCTATAAAATCAGGGCAATAATAATACCTCATAAAGTTAATATGGGGATTAAAACATAATGTAATTAGGGGTCTGGCTCATATTAAATGCTCAATGGCAAATCCTATCTATAAGCTACAGGTGTAGTAAATTACTCACTTTCTGGTGTTGGATGAGCTGTGTAGGACTATTGGCAAAAGAAGAACTAGTAGTTAATAATGTGCTAATAACCCATATTCTTTACAGAAGTTACTGTGAATGCCTTGAGAGTAAGGGAACTTTGGGCACCTGGGAATAAGGAAAAGGTTTAAATAAATACTGTATGCTGAGGAGTAAAAACAGTGTCTCAGGAGCAATGCTACCCTGTCAGTCAAATTTATAATAGACTCTGGTACTTTTGATTTCTTTATATTACTAAGCTCTCCATTATATTTATTACAGGTTCTATTATTGTCAAGGTCCCATCTTCACTTCAAGCTCATTTACAGTTATCAGGGAAAGAGGTTGATGTGAACTCAGAAGTCCATGTTCAGGAAATGGCTGAAGTTCGTAAAGATGATGTTGTAACAGTGACTGGTAAGGAGGCTGCATTTTGCTCTGTCAGATGAATAGCCATTCTCCATACATAAGTAGAAATGTGGTACACTTAACGGAAGTTTTAGCTTTTTTATATTTTTCCATTATTACGTCCTCATGTTTGACATCTTTTTTTCTTCTAGTTGCTTATCATTAATATGATGCAGACATTTTGTTTAAAAAGACCTCATTAAATCATTTAGGAACACTCATTAGTCCTGTCATTGGGTAAAATTGATTTTTAAATTTTCTAGAAGAGCTGTTTTCTAATTCTCGAACTTAAAAATAAACTGAATACATATATTATAATGCAAAATTTAAAACTAACTTCGTGTGACTGGAGTAAATCGGAATTTTGTTTGGTATGTACATTTTAAACTTGCTCTTTCAGAACAACAAATTCTCAGTCCCACAAATGTGAATCGTTTTTGTACATTTTTCATTATATCTGGCTACACTGGTGGCTGATACTATTTTTTTAAGGTTTGTCATTGGTTGGTTTTTTTGTTGTTTGAGACAGAGTCTTACTCTATTGCCCATACTGGAGTGCAGTGGCGTGATCTTGGCTCACTGCAACCTCCGCCTCCCGGGTTCAAACGATTCTGTTGCCTCACCCTCCTGAGTAGCTGGGACTACAGGCATGCACCACCATGCCCGGCTAATTTTTTTTTGTATTTGTAATAGAGACAGGGTTTTACCATGTTGGCCAGGCTGCTCTCAAATTCCTGACCTCAGGTGATCAGCCCACCTCAGCCTCCCAAAGTGCTGGGATTATAGGAATGAGCCACTGCGCCTGGCCAAGGTTTGTTGTTTTAATGAATAAAAAAATTAATGCTGGTGAAGTTTTCCTTTAAATTTTACCAGAATGGCATCAAGGAGGACATTGCAATTAGACCGTGTATAGGGATGAATGCTACAAGCTAAACCCATGAGATGCCAACTAGAAAAAGGAAGAATTGGGGAGTAGGGGAGGGTGGTCTTCATAAGATCAAATTTCAGTTTTAGGTATTCATTTTATATGTCGTGAAAATTAAGAAAGTTGTCTGTTAAAATTCATAGAATATTACCAAAAAACATAACAGGAATAAAAATAATACCTATACACTCCCAGATATAACTGCATGCCACCTAATGGGCAGACTCATAGTTAAGTGGCGAAAATTTGATGAAAATCTAAGTACAGTCATGCATCACTTAATGACAGAGATACATTCTGAGAAATGTGTTATTAGGCAATTTTGTTGTCATGTGAACATTACAGAGTGAACTTATACAAACCTAGATGGTACAGCCTACTATACACCGAGGCTGTGTAGTAGCCTATTATTCCTAGGCTACACCCTGTACAGCAGGCTACTGTACTGAAAACTGCAGGGAATTGTAACACAATGGTATTTGTATATCTATATATAGAAAAGGTACAGTAAAAATATGGCATAAAAGATAAAACATGGTACGCCTGTATAGGGCACTTACCATAAGTGGAGCTTGTAGGACTGGTAGTTGCTCTGAGTGAGTCAGTATGATGAGTGGTGAGTGCATGTGAAGGCCTAGGACATTACTACTATAGACTTTATAAACACTGTACAGTTAGGCTACACTAAATTTATTTTTAAGTTTCTTCAATAATAAATTAGCCTTAGTTTACTGTAACTTTTTTACTTTATTTATTCTAGAGATAGCTGCTTTCTCTGTTGCATAGACCGGAGTGCAATTATAGCTCACTATAAACTCAAACTCTGGGCTCAAGTGATCCTTCTGCCTCAGCCTCCCTAGTAGCTAGGTTATAGGTGTGTACTACCGTTCTCAGCTAATTTTTAAAAAGTTTTTAGCAGACACAAGGCCTTGCTATGTTTCCCAGGCTTGTCTTCAGCTCCTGGCCTTAAGTGATCCTCCCGCCTCAACTTCCCAAAGAACATTTTTACTTTATAAACTTACATTTTAAAAAATTTTTTGAGGCTGGGCATGGTGGCTTACGCCTGTAATCCCAGCACTTTGGGAGGCCAAGGCGGGCAGATCGTTTGAGGTCAGGAGTTCGAGACCAGCGTGACCAACATAGTGAAACCCCCATTTCTACTAAAATACAAAAATTAGCCGGGCGTGGTGGCGGGCGCCTGTAATCTCAGCTACTCAGGAGGCTGAGGAAAAAGAATCCCTTGAACCCAGGAGGCAGAGGGTGCAATGAGCCAAGATCGCGCCACTGCCCTCCAGTCTGAGCAAGAGCGAGACTCCCTCTCAGAAAAAAATAAAATAAAATAAAAAACTTTTTGACTCTTTTGTAATAATACTTAGCTTGAAACACAAACACACTTTACAGCTGTAGAGATATACTTGTCTATCTTTATTCTGTAAGCTTTTTTCTGTTTTTAAAATTGTTAATTTTTTTTAATTTTACTTTTTAAACTTTGTTAAAAACGAAGACACAAACACACACATTAGTCTAGGCTTTTACTGGGTAAAGAATGTCAGTATCACTTTCACCTCCACATCTTGTCCCACTGAAAGGCCTTCAGGGGAAATAACACACGTGGAGCTGTCATCTCCTGTGATGATAATGCCTTCTTCTGGAATACTTCCTGAAGGACTTACCTGAGGCTGTTGTATCGTAACTATTTTTTTTTTTAATAAGCAGAAGATATACACTCTAACGATAAAAAGTATAGTAAATACATAAATCAGTAACACAGTCATTTATTCTCATTATCAAGTATTATGAACTACACATAACATATGTGCTATACTTTTTTATGACAGTGGAGTGGGTTTGTTTACACCAGCATCACCACAAATGCAGGTAGTGCGTTGCATTTAAACAACCATTAGGATGGCTACGAAGTCACTAGGTGATAGGAGTTTTTTACCTCTATTATAATCTTATGGGACAACCATCATTTCTGTAGTTCATCGTTGACTGAAACATAATTATGCAGTGTGTGACTGGATATCAAATATAGTGAGAATCAACTTGTGATCTAATGCTTGAATTTGATAAGGAGCCAAGAGAGTTACCTATTTTTGGTCCCAATAATCTAAAACAATAATAAAGTTTGTTTAACTGTGCTCTGAATCATAGCATAACCAAAATTATTTGCATATGTAAGCATGTTTGAATTATAAGCTAAAGCTATTTTGTCATATTTTTATTCATTTATTCATAGAATCATATGCCTTTCTAAAATTTAGATTTAGTTTTAAAACTATTCTCACGACTTCAGTCATTATTTCTATGTACATAACTTCCAAGTCAATACATGCAGACCTGATCTCTATTGTTCTTGTGCATTTCTATTCCACTAAACCAGTGCCACCTAAAACTTAATGTTTAAAAACAAAATTATCTTCCCCTAGCCTACCTCCTCCTTCTCCTGTCTTTTCTATTTTTCTTTATTTGCTCAGTTACTCAACAAATGTTTGAGTCAACACTGCCGGAAACTAGGAGTGCAAGGGTAATATAAAGCATGGTCTCACTGCCTTCTGAGGAGCTTACATTCTAGTGAGGAAAGGCAAACCAGAGAATACAGTACAGTGGGATCAATGTTATAAACGTATGTACATTGTACTGTGAGAACACAGGGGTGAGGAAGTGAGAGAAGTCAAATATGGCCAAAGTATAGAGAGTAAAGGGGAAAGTGGCATAAAAGTAGGCTGGAGAGTTTGGGAGAGGTCAGATCATATGGGACAGTTTGGATTTTATATTAAGAGCATTGGGAAGCCCTTGGAAGGTTTTAACTTGGGGTTCACATAATCAGATTTTTGTGTTAGAAAGATCACTCTGAATGTTGAGTGGGGATAGATGAGAAAGAACAATGGTGGATGAAGGAGAAAAAAACAACTTTTGCTTTTTAGGAGGTTACTGCAGTAATTCAGCAGAAGGAGTACAGGGGCCTGGACTCCATAGTGAGCTATCTTAAACTCAGCAAATAAATAGGCCTTCAGTAACTTTTGCTTGAATATAAAGACGAATGAATGCTATGAGGAAGATGCATGCTTACCTCATTGGTTATTATGAAGCGCCTTAGCCTATTGAGTTCTTTTTGTGTGTTACTTGTTATTATGGCTTATACTCCGGCCCCACCTCCTGAACCAGGAAGGGCCAAATCGCAGAATGATGAGTTTATTTCCTGTTCACAGTGGAAGAATCTAGGTACTGATCAAGCATCGTTTTGCAGAGTAGCACAGACTACCCTATGAGGTTGGTCCCCAGATGGATCTGTATGTTGTCTCTGATAGCAAATTAAATCCATTAAAGTAATAATGGACCTCAGGTGAAGAGAGCAGCAGTCTCTGGAGGGAGCTGTGAGTATGAACAGGTGATTGGGTTTAAGAGAAACTTCCATATTTCATTTTGGTTTTAAAACTGTTTGGTACCCAGTCAGCCACAGGCCTTATGTATCAACTGGATGAAATAATTTAAGAGGCCTAGAAAATCAGGGCAGATTGCTTTTTTCTGTGGAGATTTCCAATCTGAAACCAAATTTTGGAAATAATGAGCAGCTTTATATGTGAGCTATTATTATAGGCAGCTGAGCTCAGCTCATCTTGGCCTTCCTCATAGAGCCCATGAGGGATAAAAATAGAAATACTCTTATTGCTAAAAGCCTGGATTTTATCTGCAGCATGACTTCTGGATAATCTCTGCAAGAAGCCATGCCAGTAAAATTATTCCCTTAGGTTCCAGCTTCCCACAGGGTTTTGATGTGTCAGCTCTATAATTTTATTTGATTTCCTGCTCCATGGTTTCCTTTGCTATTGCTGTCACTGATAAATAACTCAGGTGTATAATTCCTACCATGATTTACACGTATTATGTGCTATTCTGAGGTCAAAAGGAAACCTGAGACTCTCAGGCTGAAACATTTACCTACTAAAAAGCTATGCACAAGTGTGTATTGGGGCTGCATTCTATAATCTTCATGAGAGTCTTGATTCTAAGTTTTGTCCTCTACCCATGTGTGGCAAATTTAACATGTTGTGAGTGGCTTAGGTAAGATGCTTCTAATAAGTTGGCTTCTCTATTAGGTTTTAGACTTGGTTCATCAACTTAGATATGAAACTTGACTGTGGTAAACATCAAGTCTCCAAGCCCAGGTATGCATGTTGTACAAAGTCCTTTGGTCTTTACAACTCCACAATTTAGATGTTTAAATGTTCAAAGAATATTAGAGGTAAAGTGCGTTGCCAGTGAACGGATTGGTGTTTGTCATTGTCTGGATAGTAGGGAAGCTAGCACTACTGGGTTTACCTCATTTTAGTAAAACTGGAAATATAAAGCATATACAACATAAATTCATTTGGGATAAAAATAAACCACCAAGTCAGAAAAGAGTTCTTAGCTTGTCTAAAGGACAGAGGGTAATAACATACAATGGAATTGTTATTTATAGTGGAATACTCGTTCATGGGTTGGAAGAGGTTGAAATGGGACTAAGCTCATAAGATGCCACTTTAAAAATCTAGAGACACTGTTTTCTCTCCAAATCGGGAAAAATCCAGTCTTTTGATATGACTAACTCTTGGAAATAGCTCTGATTTTAGAACCCACTAAAGTTTTTGGTTTTTCAAAGCTTAGAGCACATGAATTTGTCAGCAATGTATATATATTTCAGGACCAGATGGAAGAAATTCAATAACAGAATGAAGAATGCTCTAAGGCTTATAGGTATCTGCTTAAAAATACTTTGACAGGGAGTTAATGTAGGAACTGTTTTCACGTCATAGTGCTTTTATGGTGTTTTTTTTTTGTTGTTGTTGTTGTTTTTTGAGACGGAGTCTCTCTCTATCACCCAGGCTGGAGTGCAGTGGCACCATCTCGGCTCACTGCAACCTCTGCCTCCCGGGTTCCAGGGGTTCTTCTGCCTCAGCCTCCTGAGTAGCTGGGACTACAGGCGCCCGCCACCATGCCCGGCTAATTTTTGTATTTTTAGTAGAGACAGGGTTTCACCATATTGGCCAGGCTGGTCTCACCTCCTGACCTCGTGATCCGCCCACCTCGGCCTCCCAAAGTGCTGGGATTACAGGCGTGAGCCACTGCATCCGGCCGCTTTTATGGTGTTTTTATTTCCCCACCTTTTTGTTAAAGAATAAGATCTTGAGAGTATCATGGGTAATCAGATGTCAATGTTGTTAATGTTTGCCCCAAAAAAGAAGATCAGGTTTTCTTTCCATTCATCTGCAAACTTTATCTGTAAACACCATATAGTAAATATGTTAGACTTAGCAGATTACATATGGACTCTGTTGCATATATTTTTTTGTTTTTAAATAACCCTTTAAAAATGTAAAAGCCCGGCCGGGCACGGTCGCTCACGCCTGTAATCCCAGCACTTTGGGAAGCCGAGGTGGGTGGATCACCTAAGGTCAGGAGTTAGAGACCAGCCTGGCCAACATGGCGAAACCCTGTCTCTACTAAACATACAAAAATTAGCTGGGCGTGGTGGCGGGTGCCTGAAATCCCAGCTACTCGGGAGGCTAAGGCAGGGAGAATTGCTTGAACCCAGGAGGCAGAGATTGCAGTGAGCCGAGATCGTGCCACTGGACTCCAGCCTGGGTGACAGAGACTCTGTCTCAAAAAAAAAAAAAAAAAAAAAAAAGTAAAAGCCCTTCTTAGCTTTCAGGGCATACAAAAACAGGCCCCTGGCCAGATTTGGCCTGTGAGCTATAGTTTGCTGATCCCTAGACTAGAGTTCAAAGAGCAGGCCCCAATCTCAGAGCATTATGAGTTCTGTTTGTGATGCCTGTGGGGTTTTGTTTTATTATTGTCTTTGTATTTATTTTGGTCATTCAAGAAATATTAAACCATAGCCAAATCCTTATCCTAAGTGAACTATCCCCAGTAGTGAAGAAAACATGATTCGTGCACACAAAAGTTTAATCTTGTAACTTTTAAGAAACAGTGCAACCATAGAAGATATATGATGGCAAAAAAATACACAAAAAGATATTTACCATCACTAGCCATTAGGGAAATGCACATTAAAACCAGAATAAAATACTACATACTTACTAGAATGGCAAAAATTAAAAATACCGATTATTCAAATGCTGGCAAGTGTGCAGAGAAACTGGATCTCTTCTACATTACTGGTGGGAATGTAAAATGATACAGCTACTCTATAACTCAGTCTGGCAGTTTCTTAAAAAAATAGAAAAAAAAAGAAACTACCATTAATCACCTAGCATTTATATTCCTGGGCATTTATCCTGGGGAAATGTAACTTATGTTCACACAAAAACCTGTACACAAATGTTCATAGCTTTATTTGTAATAGCCAAAAAACTGGAAATGACTTAAATATCCTTCCATGACTGAATGTTCATATGACTCATGGTATGTCCACATAAGGTAATTCACCGACAAAGGGAACAATCTGTTGATGTAAACAACTTGAAGGGAATTTAAGGGCATTATTCTGAGTGAAAAAAGCCAATCTCAAAATGGTCCATACTCTATGATTCCATTTATATAACATTCTTGAAACAACAAAATTAAAGATGTAGAGAATAGACAAGTGGTTGCCATAGGTTAGGGAAGGAGAAGGACAGTATGACTTTAAAGGGACATGACAAGGGACTTCCTTTGTAGTGACAGAACAGTTCCATATCTTGATTAAAATGATGGTTATATATGAATCTATATATGTGATAGATAAAATGTCATGAGTATATACAAAGACATACCCGAAAAATGAATGCATGTAAAAACTGGTGAAATCTGAGTAAGGTCTATAGTCCAGTTAATTTGCCAGCTAATTTCCTGGTTTTGATAGTGCAGTATAGTTATAGAAGCTGTCACCATTAGGGGAACTGAGTGATGGGTATACAGAACCTCTCTCTACTGTTTTTGTAACTTCTTGTCAGTATGAAATTATTTCAAAATAAGTTAAAAAAGAGGGTGGAAAGAAGGCAGGGAGAGGGAGAAAGAAAAATAATGAAGTCTTCTGGGCAGGATGGAGTTAAAGGGTCTGACTTACCTTCCCACCTGAAACAATGACAAAAAAATTTAAAAATTAAGCAGATACAGGAAACAAACAAGATGAGTCTTGCTTACTGCCTTGAGAGAGTCTCCAGGCTCCAGTACGGGAAAAGGGAACTGCTCTTGAGTCTAGAACACTCCCTGAGTTAGGGAGATCAAGATGAGAGTCGATAAAGATCAAGACAGGGTTCACAGGACAAAGTACCAGAGGGAATAGAACCTGGTGCTCACACAGGTCCAGGAATAATGCCTGTTCTTCCCACCAGACTGGAAAGAAAATCATAACTCATGGGGCATTGGGTAGAGCATTTAGTAGTGGGAAACAATCAGTCTTAGGCTGAGCACCACTCTATAATTGCCTAACAAATTATAAAAGCAAGAGATGAAAGGCTTAAACTATTTCCAAGTAACTTAACTGCATCCTTGAGTGAAGCTCAAGATTTACAGGAATACAAAAATATCCAGCACCCAACAAAGTAAAATTCACAATGTTGTAACCCACCCAACAGGTTCACCTTGCCCACTGCCTAGAAAGAGCCAACTTATCAAGACGGGAATTGCAGTAGAGAAAGAGAAATTCACGCAGAGCTGGCTATGCAGGAGACCAGTTTTATTATTACTTAAATCAGTCTCCCTGAGAATCTGACGATCTGAGTTTTTAAGGATAATTTGATAGGGGGCCAGTGAGTTAGGAGTTTTGATTAGTCAGTCTGAGATGAAATCATAGGGAGTCAGAGCTGTCCTTTTGTGTTGAGTCAGTTCCTGACTGGGGGCCACAAGACCAGATGAGCCAGCTTATCAATCTGGGTTATGCCAGCTGATCGACTGAGTTTAGGGTCTGCAAAATATCTCAAGCACTGATCTTAGGTTTTACAATAGTGATGTTATCCGCAGGAGCAATTTGGGGAGGTTTAGCAATTTGGGCAGCTTCCAGCTGCATGACTCCTAAACCACAATTTCTAATCTTTTGGCTAATTTGTTGTCCTGAAAAGGGAGTCTAGTCCCCAGGCGGGAATGGGGTTTGTTTGGGAAATGGCTGTTATTGTCTTGGTTTCAAAGCTAAACTATAAACTAAGTTCCTCCCAAAAGTTAGTTCAGCCTGTACCTAGAAATGAACAAGGACAGCTTGGTGATTAGAAGCAAGATGGAGCTGGTTATGTCAGATCTCTTTCACTGTAATAATTTTCTCAGTTATGATTTTTGCAGAGGTGGTTTCAATGTCTAGCATTGAATCAAAGATCATCAGACATGCAAAGAGCAAAAAAACCCATGAGTTATAATGAAGAGAATAATTGAAACTAACCCAAAACTGATACAGATGACCGAATTAGCAGAGAAGGAAAATAAAAGTTATTATAACTGTATTGCACTTGTTCGAACACTTAAGACATGGAAGATATAAAAAGAAGACCAAAATTGAATTTCTATAAATGAAAACTACAGTGTCTGAGATGAAAAATACAATGGATGAGATTAGACATTACAGAAGAAAAGATTTGAGGAAGAAACTATTACTATTATTTTTTGGGAAGAACTGATTAATTGTATACTTCCTCAGTATACTCTTGCCTAGAGTACTGTTGACTTTATTATTATTGCAAGTATTTGAGAGGAAATTTAGTGGATAGGCATCATTAAAACTAGCTCAAAAATATTTTTTTATCTGGAAGATTTCTTGTCAAGGTATCTTGGGTTACACTTTTGTTGAGAGAAGATTGTAAAAAGTTAAAGAACGTTGAGGCTGGGCACGGTGGCTCACGCCTGTAATCCCAGCACTTTGGGAGGCCGAGGCGGGCAGATCATGAGGTCAGGAGATAGAGACCATACTGGCTAACATGGTGAAACCCCATTTCTACTAAAAATACAAAAAAATTAGCTGGGTGTGGTGGCACGCGGCTGTAGTCCCAGCTACTCGGGAGGCTGAGGCAGGAGGCTGAGGGAGGAGAATCATTTGAACTTGGGAGGCGGAGGTTGCAGTAAGCCGAGATCGCACCACTGCACTCCAGCCTGAGTGACACAGCGAGACTCCGTCTCAAAAAACAAACAAAAAAGAACGTTGACAAAATTAAAATATTTTGTTATGGAATTGTATGTGGTGTTAAAGGTATTGTTTGTGAAATGTATGTGTTAAAAATAATAAAATTTCAGAGTAATTACTTTCATGTTGTTTCATAGTGTATGATTTATTTTCCTAGTGAGTTGGTAAGCTTTGTGAGAGCACTGGTGTGTCTTTTCACATCTTTTGAACCTCCCTAATATACTTAGCATGGCACTTCCTATAGTGGGTGGCCCAAAGTGTTTGTAGTATAAAAGAGAATCCTCCAACCCTGATGCACTGAAGTTTAATCTGCTATTATTAATAATAAGGCAGCAGCAGAAGTATCCCTCTGAACCAAATGTACACAAACAAAGAATGTTACAGGGTTAGAAGTGGGAGTGGGGAGGGAGGCAGGAAAAAGCTCACCTTACCAAGAAGCTTGTTAATCCTATTTTTAAACAAGACAATTCTGCAAGTTACTTCCTGGAGCCCTGTCTTTGTTGATATTTAGTGCAGAATAGATCAGGTATATTTTGGGTTAAATAAAAAGAACATAGAGATTCATATATTTGGGTACATTGGGGCAGGAGTTTCGAGAGCAAATTACAGAGTTAAACACATGTCCTAGGAAGCCTTTCCTCCCACTTAGTGGAAGCCACAGTGTATAGGGATAGAGTAGTCATTTTCCCATTTCTTGGTCAAAGAAACAGTGTGTGATTTTAATTGGCAAAGGGAAGTAAATAAGGAGGAAGGCTTTTGAAACCCCAAATTCCAATATATGTTGAAAAACTTTTGTAGGAAGGAATTTATAAACTTTACAAATTATTAATAGAATAGAGTCTCCACAGATTCAGGTCAAAGTACAAAGAAGTTTCAGTAAATTACTTATTGGCAAGATAGAGAAAGCTATTTTCAAGCAACCTAGATGGAATTTTATAAACTGTCCTCCCTTTTGAGTATTGTCTCTAAGCTGAAATTGCTTGTGTGTTCTTTTTCTTGAGAGCAGTAACACTGTGCTTGGCCTCTATTGCTGCAAAAGGAAATAGGTTGAAGGCTTTTCACTCCATAAGTAAGAAATATATTATTGGGGAGGTGATAAATAATATATTAAGGAAGAGATCTCAGATATGTAGAAAAGCCTTACTATTATTGATGCTTTATTATTGGTGCTAAATGGTATTTAAAAAGAAGAAAAAGTTGAAAAAACAAAAATTTCAGGATTTCCTGTTCTTTCCTCCACATTTATTTTATTTTATTTTTAAATTTTATTTATTTATTTTATTTTGAGACAGAGTTTCACTATTGTTGCCCAGACTGGAGTGCAATGGCACAATCTCGGCTCACTGCAACCTCTGCCTCCTAGGTTCAAGCAATTCTCCTGCCTCAGCCTCCCAAGTAGCTGGGATTACAGGCACCTGCCACCACGCCCAGCTAATTTTTGTATTTTTGGCAGAGATGGGGTTTCACCATGTTGGCCAGGCTGGTCTCAAACTCCTGACGTCAGGTGATCCGCCCGCCCTGACCTCCCAAAGTGCTGGGATTACAGGCGTGAGCCACCGCATCTGGCCCAACATTTATTTTAATTACTAGAAAAAGAAACTCTGTATTACAGAAAAGCAAATGGGTGCAAGGTACCGCAAAATCACGACCTACCAAATGCAGCATAGGCACAGAAAAAGAACAGTTTAAATAAGCGGAACCCCTTATTGATGAAGAGTTAGAGTTAACACAGGGATTTACCAATTGAACTCAGAGATTTTAACCAGCTTATCAAAGCTAATTAAAATGGGGTTGTGATATTGAAAATATAGCAAGAGAAGAAGAGGGAAAAAGCTTACGGGAGGTCCTTGAATACTCAACTGTGTTCTGGGAAAAACGCAATGAGCTCCAGGACATAGACAAGATTATGGCTCAGAGTGAAAGGGAGAGATAAGAATTCAGAGAATAATTTGCATCAGAAAAGCACCTGACAAAAAGATCAGATGGTACAAAGCATCTAGCACCTTTTCTTCAGCTGAGGATATCATGGTACTATTATAACAGAGGGAAAAACTGTACTGAGGAAGAGGATCATTCTGTATTTTGTGTGCTTGGATTCAACAAGGAAAATATTTGTGATGAAATGCAATAGTGTAATCACAACTCTCCTCAGTTCAGATTTTGTTATTGAACCAAACGGAGGTCCACTCGCCCAGCGTAATAAGACTACGTATCTATACCATATCTAAACGAAGGCTTGTAGCAAGAGAAGGGAAAGTGTTTGTTTGTAGGGACCAAGCAAGGAGAATCAGGCAGATTATACTTAACACTTGAACTCTCAGATGGCTTATAGGTAAGGGTTTTTAAAGGTGGAGAGAGCCCAGTGGCCGGGAGTGGCAAGACTAGATTGCGGCTCTGACTCTGACGGACAGAGCAGCGTGTAGAGGCTCGCGTCATGAATTTTAGCTCCAGAACAACCATAGGAATAAATCAGGAAACCTAAGAGGACCCACAGACCCTCTGAAGGAAGCAGATTGCTCCTACAGGACCCAAGAGACACCCGAAATACTATGCTGGTATCCATGGCTGAGAGACCCATAGACGGTTCACATCACAGGAATCTGTGCAGACAACTCCCGTACCAGCCCAGAGCCTGGTAGACTTGCTGGGTGGCTAGATCAGAAGAGAGATAACAATCACCACAGCTCGGCTCTCAGGAAGCCACATCCATAGAAAAAGGGGGATGGTATTACATCAAGAGAACACCCCATGGGACAAAATCTCAACAGCCTTCAGCCCTAGCCCTTCCCTCTGACAGAGCCTACCCAAATGAGAAGGAACCAGAAAACTGTGTTGGTTTTCTGACAAAACAAGGCTCTTTAACAACCCCGCGAAAATCACACTAGCTCACCAGCAATGGATCCAAACCAAGAAGAAATCCCTGATTTACCTGAAAAAGCATTCAGGAGATTAGTTATTAAGCTAACCAGGGAGGGACCAGAGAAAGACGAAGCCCAATATAACGAAATCCAAAAAATGGTACAATAAGTGAAGGGAGAAATATTCAATGAAATAGATAGCATAAATAAAAACAATAAAAACTTCAGGAAACAGACACACTTATAGAAATGCAAAATGCTCTGGAAAGTCTCAGCAATAGAATTGAATAAGTAGAAGAGAGAAAATAAGAGCTCGAAGACAAGGTCTTTGAATTAACCCAATCCAACAAAGAAAAAAGAAGAAAATATGAACAAAGCCTCCAAGACATCTGGGAGTATGTTAAATGACCAAATCTAAGAATAATTGGTGTTCCTGAGGAAGAAGAGAAATCTAAAAGCTTGGAAAACATATTTGGGGGAATAACTGAGGAAAACTTCCCTGGCCTTGCTAGAGACCTAGACATCCAAATACAAGAAGCACAAAGGACACCTGGGAAATGCATCGCAAAAAGATCTTCTCGTAGGCACATTGACATCAGGTTATCCAAAGTTGAGACAAAAGAAAGAATCTAAACTGTGAGACAAAAGCACCAGGTAACCGATAAAGGAAAACCTATCAGATTAACAGCAGATTTTCAGCAGAAACCCTAGAAGCTAGAAGGGATTGGGGCCCATCTTCAGCCTTCTCAAACGAAACAATTATCAGCCAAGAATTTTGTATCCAGCGAAACTAGGCATTGTGTATGAAAGATACAGTCTTTTTCAGACAAACAAATGCTGAGAGAATTCACCACTACCAAGCCACCACTACAAGAACTGCTAAAAGGAGCTCTAAATCTTAAAACAAATCCTGGAAACACATCAAAACAGAACCTCTTTAAGACATAAATCTCACAGGACCTATAAAACAAAAATACAATTTAAAAAAAAAACAAAAAAACAAAGTACACAGGCAACAAATAAAATGACAAATGGAATGCTACCTCATATCTCAATACTAACATCGAATGTAAATGGCCTAAATGCTCCACTTAAAAGATAAGAACTGCAGAATGGATAAGAATTCACCAACCAACTATCTACTGCTTGAAGAGACTCACCTAACACATAAGGACTCACATAAACTTAAGGTAAAGGGGTGGAAAAAGGCATTTCATGCAAGTGGACACCAAAGGTGAGCAGGAGTAGCTATTATATCAGAAAAACTAACTTGAAAGCAACAGCAGTTAAAAAAGACATAGAAGGGGCCAGGTGCAGTGGCTCATGCCTATAATCCCAGCACTTTGGGAGGCTGAGGCGGGTAGACTGCCTGAGGTCAAGAGTTCAAGGCCACCCTGGCCAATATGGTGAAACCCTGTCTCTACTAAAAATATAAAAATTAGCCAGGCGTGGTGGCGGGCACCTGTAATCCCAGCTACTCGGGAGGCTGAGGCAGAATTGCTTGAACCCGGGAGGCAGAGGTTGCAGTGAGCTGAGATCACGCCATTGCACTCCAGCCTGGGCCACAGAGGGAGACTACGTCTCAAAAAAAAAAAAAAATACAAAGAAGGACATTATATAATGCTAAAAGACCTTGTCCAACAGGAAAATATCACAATCCTAAACATTTATGCACCTACCACTGAAGCTCCCAAATTTATAAAACAGTTACTAATAGACCTAAGAAATGAGACAGACAGCAACACAATAATAGTGAAGGACTTCATTACTCCACTGACAGCACTGGACAGGTCATCAAGACTGAAAGTCAATGAAGAAAAAATGGATTTAAACTATACCTTGGAACAAATGGACTTAACAGATATATACAGAACATTCCATCCAACAACTGCAGGATACACATTCTATTCAACAGCACATGGAACTTTCTCCAAGATAGACCATATGATAGGCCACAAAATGAGCCTCAATAAATTTAAGAAAGTTGAAATTATATCAAGCACTCTCTCAGACCACAGTGGAATAAAACTGGAAATCAACTCCAAAAGGAACCTTCAAAACCATGCAAATACATGGAAATTAAATAATCTGCACCTGAATGATCACTGGGTCAAAAACAAAATCAAGATGGAAATTTAAAAATTCTTTGAACTGAAGGACAATAGTGACACAGCCTATCAAAACTTCTGGGATACAGCAAAGGCCACTTTTCCTCCTAAGAGGAAAGTTCACAGCCCTAAATGCGTACATCAAAAAGACTGAAAGAGCACAAACTGACATTCTAAGGTCACACATCAAGGAACTAGAGAAACAAGAACAAACCAAACCCAAACCCAGTAGAAAAAAGGAAATAACCAAGATCAGAGAAAAACTAAATGAAATTGAAACAAACAAACAAAAAAATACAGAAGATAAAAACAAAATGCTGGTTCCTTGAAAAGATAAATAAACTTGATAGACCATTAGTAAGATTAACCAAGAAAAAAAAGAGAGAAAATTCAAATAGCCTCAATAAGAAACAAAATGGGAGCAGAAATACAAAAGATCATTCAAAGCTACTATGAACACCTTTACGCATATAAACTAGAAAACCTAGAAGAGATGGATAAATTCCTGGAAAGATACAAACTTCCTAGCTTAAATCAGGAAGAATTAGATACCCTGAACAGATCAATAACAAGCAGGAGATTGAAGTGGTAATTAAAAATTACCAACCAAAAAAGTCCAGGACCAGACTGATTCATAGCAGAATTCTACCAGACATTCAAAGAAGAATTGGTACCAATCCTATTGACACTATTCCGCAAGACAGAGAAAGAAGGAACACTCCCTAATTCATCCTATGAAGCTAGCATCACCCTAATACCAAAACCAGGAAAGGATACAACCAAAAAAGAAAACTACAGGCTGATATCCCTGATGAACACAGACGCTAAAATTCTTAACAAAATACTAGCTAACCGAATCCAACAACATATCAAAAAGACAATCCACCATGATCAAGTGGGTTCCATACCAGGGATGGAGGGATGGTTTAACATATGCAAGTCAATAAATGTGATACACCACATAAACAGAATTAAAAACAAAAATCACATGATCATCTCAATAGATGCAGAAAAAGCATTAGACAAAATCCAGCATCTCTTTATGATTAAAACTCTCAGCAAAATCGGCATACAAGGGACATACCTCAATGTAATAAAAGCCATCTATGACAAACCCACAGCTAACATAATACTGAATGGGGAAAAGTTGAAAGCATTCCCTCTGAGAAATGAAACAAGACAAGGATGCCCTCTCTCACCACTCCTCTTCAACACAGTACTGAAAGTCCTAGCCAGAGCAGTCAGACAAGAGAAGGAAATAAAGGGTATCCAAATTGGTAAAGAGGAAGTCATACTGTCACTGTTTGCTGATGATATGATTGTTTACCTCAAAAACCCTAAAGACTCCTCTAGAAAGCTCCTAGAACTGATAAAAGGATTCAACAAAGTTTCCAGATACAAAATTAATGTACACAAATCAGTAGCTCTTCTAAACACCAACAGCAACCAAGCAGAGAATCAAATCAATAACTCAACCCCTTTTACAATAGCTGCAAAAAAAAATGAAGTACTTAGGAATATACCTAGCCAAGGAGGTGAAAGACCTCTACAAGGAAAACTACAAAACATTGCTGAAAGAAATCATAGATGACACAAACAAATGGAAACACATCCCATGCTCATGGATGGGTAGAATCAATATTGTGAAAATGACCATACTGCCAAAAGCAATCTACAAATTCAACACAATCCCCATCAAAAAACCACCATCATTCTTCACAGAGTTAGAGAAAACAATTCTAAAATTCATATGGAACCAAAAAAGAGTCCCATAGCCAAAGCAAGACTAAGCAAAAAGAACAAATCTGGAGGCATCATATTACCTGACTTCAAACTATACTTTAAGGCCATCGTCACCAAAACAGCATGGTACTGGTATAATAATAGGCACATAGACCAATGGAACAGATTAGAGAACCCAGAAATAAACCCAAACACTTACAGCCAACTGATCTTCGAGAAAGCAAACAAAAACATAAAGTGGGGAAAGGACACCCTTTTCAACAAATAGTGCTGGGATAATTGGCTAGCCACATGTAGGAGAATGAAACTGGATCCTCATCTCTCACCTTATACAAAAATCAACTCAAGATGGATTAAAGACTTAAATCTAAGACCTGAAACTGTAAAAATTCTAGAAGATAACATTAGAAAAACCCTTCTAGACATTGGCTTAGGCAAGGATTTCATGACCAAGAACCCAAAAGCAAATGCAATAAAAACAAAGATAAATAGCTGGGACTTAATTAAACTGAAGAGCTTTTGTACAGCAAAAGGATCAGTCAGCAGAGTAAACAGACAACCCACAGAGTGGGAGAAAATCTTCACAATCTATACATCTGACAAAGGACTAATATCCAGAATCTACAATGAACTCAAACAAATCAGTAAGAAAACAACAATCCCATCAAAAAGTGGCCTAAGGACATGAAAAGACAATTCTCATAAGAAGATATACAAATGGCCAATGAACACATGAAAAAATGCTCAACATCACTAATGATCAGGGAAATGCAAATCAAAACCACAATATGGTACCACCTTACTCCTGCAAGAATGGGCAGAATCAAAAAATCAAAAAACAGTAGATGTTGGTGTGGATGTGGTGATCAGGTTAGACTTCTACACTGCTGGTGAGTATGTAAACTAGTACAACCACTATGGAAAACAGTGTAGAGATTCCTTAAAGAACTAAAAGTAGAACTACCATCTGATCCAGCAGTCCCACTACTGGGTATCTACCCAGAGGAAAAGAAGTCATTGTACGAAAAAGATACTTGGACAGGCATGCTTATAGCAGCACAATTTGCAATTGCAAAATCAAGGAACCAACCCAAATACCCATCAATCAACAAGTGGATAAAGAAACTGGAATATATATATATGACGGAATACTGCTCGGCCATAAAAAGGAATGAATTAACAGCATTCACAGTGACCTGAATGAGACTGGAGATGATTATTCTAAGTGAAGTAACTCAGGAATGGAAAACTAAACATCATAGGCTCTCACTGATAATGTGGGAGCTAAGCTATGAGGACGCAAAGGCATAAGAGTGATACAATGGACTTTGGGGACGTGGGGGAAAGGTTGGGAGGGGGGTGAGGGATAAAAGACTACAAATAGGATGCAGTGTATACTCCTCAAGTGATGGGTGCATCAAAATCTCACAAATTACAACTAAAGAACTTACTCATGCAACCAAACACCACCTTTACCTCCATAAACTATGGAAAAAAATTAAAAATAAATAAATTAAAATAAAATAAAGGTGGGGAGGCAGAGGTTATAGGCAAAGTCATAAATTGATACATGGGGGCTGCATATTGGTCTGACCTAAAAAGTCAAGACATCTAGAAGCAGGGGGGCTGCAGGTTATAGGTGGATTTAAAGATTTTTTGATTTCTGATTGGTTAAGGAAGTGAAGCTTTATCTAAAAATTTGGGATCCGCAGAAAAGAATGTTAGTTCTGGCTCATGGGTGTGACCTCCTCCAGGCCCCTGAGAAATGTACAATGGTCAGTTTAGTCCTGAGCTTCCCCTTATCTGAAGTCCATGTGCCAGCAGATCTGTTTGGTGTGGGGGTCCAGGTTTTTGAGAAACAACTCAGAGACATATGTTCAGATTTTGTCTTTGGTTCTTATAGAAAACAAAACATCTATTTTAACCTTTTTGGTTATTGTTTTAAGCTGTTATTTTGTTGTTGTTGTTGTTGTTTATTAAGTTGCTCATTTGCTTTTTTTATTTTTCTTCCCTGAGACGTAGTTTCATCCTTGTTGCCTAGGCTGGAGTGCAATGGCATGATCTCGGCTTACTGCAGCCTCCGCCTCCAAGGTTCAAGCAATTCTCCTACCTCAGCCTCCCAAGTAGCTGGGATTACAGGCGCCTGGCACCACACTTGGCTAATTTTTGTATTTTTAGTAGAGACGGGGTTTCAACATGTTGGCCAGTCTGGTCCCAAACTCCTGACCGCAGGTGACCTGCCCGTCTTGGTCTCCCAAAGTGCTGGGATTACAGGCCTGAGCCACCTCGCCTGCCTGCTCATTTGCTTTTTAAGGCTACTTAGGTAGGTGCCTGGAATTTTTTAATGAACCCAAGTTTTTGTTTGTTTGTTTGTGTTTTTTTGTTTTAAATTTTTGTGCTTGAGAAGAGTCCACAGGCCCTTACAAGCGGTCCCTGTTCTGTCTCAATTTGACTGGTTTCTTAAATCCAGAAGTGCAGTGGAACTCCAGAGGAGATATAACACCTTCATAACCTTGATTTGTAAAGAAAACGTAGAACTAGAAGAATAGATCTGAGAAACAAACGAGGGGAGCTTTGTGATTGCCACAGCCTATGACCTTGAAAGAGTTTCCAGGCTGCAGGGCAGGGAGAGGTCGCACAGGCAGAGCCCAGCAGACTCCCTGAGTGGAGGAGACTGAGCTTCTGAGCTGAGCTTCTGGGGAGACGGGGCTGCCCAGAGTTCATAAGAAAGAGTTCCGGAGGGGAGCAAGCTGCACAGAGGGGATTGCGGAGGGTGCCATGAACAGTCAGCAAAGTACTAATGAGCAGGCATTGAGGAAACTACCTATACATGGTCCACTGTGGATGAACCTCAAAATAATTACGCTGAATGAAAGAAGACGGATTTTTTTAAAAAGAGTGCATAACTGTATACTCCCATTTATACCATTTATATAAGATTTTAGAAAGAGCAACTAATCCATAGTGCCGCAAAGCTGATCAGTGATTGAAGGGGGTGGGGGTCGGAGGGTGACAGGAAGGGAGGGGCATGAGGGAAAGACTGTACTTGACTACAAAGAAATTTTTGGGAGTGATGAATATGTTGACTATCTTGATTAAGGAAATATGGTTCACAGATTTTTACCTATGTCAAAACTTACTACATTGTATACTTTAAGTACATGTAGTTTATCTTGTCAGTTATACTCCAGTAAAGCTCTTTTTAAAGACTGCATTTAAAAATAATATATGTTGAGCATTCCAAATCCAGAATCTGAAATGCTCCAAAATATGAAACAAGGAAATGCTCATTGGAGTAATTTGGATGTCAGATCTTCAGATTAGGGATGCTCAACTAGTATGTCTTCTCCAATATTCAAAAAAAAAAAATCTGAAATTTGAAACAATGCTGGTCCCAAGCATTTTAGATAAGGGATACTCATCCTGTACAAATAAAAAACAGAGGTCAGGCTTGGTGGCTCATGCCTGTAATCCCAGTACTTTGGGAGGCCGAGGCGGGTGGATCACGAGGTAAGGAGTTCGAGACCTGCCTGACCAACATGGTGAAACCCCGTCTCCACTTAAAAAAAAAAAAAAAAATACAGAGTAGGCTGGGCGTGGTGGCTCATGCCTGTAATCCTAGCACTTTGGGAGGCCAAGGTGGGTGGATCACCTGAGGTGTGGCATTCAAAACCAGCCTGGCCAACATGGTGAAACCCCATCTCTACCAAAAATACAAAAAAATTAGCCGGGCATGGTGGCGCGTGCCTGTAGTCCCAGCTACTTCGGAGTCTGAGGCCGGAGAACCGCTTGAACCCAGGAGGCAGAGGCTGCAGTGAGCCGAGATCGTGCCACTGTACTCCAGCCTGGGCAACAGAGTGACACTATGTCTCAAACAAAACAAAACAAAACACAGAGTAGCCTCCCTCTCAGGGTTGTTCTGAGAAAATGAATGGAGGGGAGCAAGCCCAGATAACCTCTTTGCAACTCCTGCCCAGTTCAGACTATCTTTACCAAGATTCTTGATGTTCTAAGGTGTTTTTCAGTTTCAGAGATGTGTTGCTAGGATCTATGTGGTCAATTAATGCTCTTGATATAATTTTATGCAATTTTGTGTTTTAGGACTCATGAATCAAGCAAGCAAACGTGAAAAATGGATTAAGGCTGATGCCCCAAAAGGCACTGTAAGTTTTAGAAGGCAAAGTTGGTTTCAGTCCCTGAAACTGCAGGACTAAAACTGATTTGAGTTGGATTTATGATTTTTAACAATGATTCGCAGATCTGTGACTACAAAAATGTAAATCCCACCATTCATATAAAGGTTGAAAACAACAAATTGAGAATGAATACTGGTGAACTGTTTTGGGAGGCTTTTTCAAAATTTGTGCTTTGCTATTGTATTCATTTTCTACTGCTCTGTAACAAATTACCACAAATTTAGCAGCATAAAATAATACTCATTTACAGCTATGTCTAGGTTCTCCGCTCAGGGAATCACAAGGCTAGAAATCAAGATTTTGGCCAGGCTGAGTTCTCATCTGGAGTCTCTGGGAAGAAATCTACTTCCAACTTCATTCAGATTATTGGGAAAATCCAGTTCCTTGTGACTGGATGACTGAGGTCTCCATTTTCTTGCTGGCTGTCAGCCAGCAATCACTCTAAGCTTCTAGAGGCCACCCACATGCCTTCTCATGTTGCCCCTCCATCTTCAAGCCAGCAGTGATGCGCTGAGTTCTTCTCATGCTTTGAATATCTGACTTCTTCTGCAGCCAGCTGGAAGAATATATACTTTTAAAGGGCTCACTTGATTAGGTCAGGCCCACCCAGGATAACCTTTGTTTTGCCATATAATGTAACATTCATAGGAGTGATGGCCCATCACATTCAGTTTTCACTCCCACTCAAGGAAAGGAGATTATACAAAGGCATCCATCATGTGGGGACAATTAGCTTAGAATTCTTTATAATGTAGCTCTCACATGACAGGTTTTCTACTTAGTACCTTTTATGGCATCAATGTAAATTTAAGCTGTAAATAAAAAACAAATATGTGAAGCAGTTGCTACTGATTCTTAATATCTTTTGTGTAACTTAAGATATAGCTAATTAGGAAAAAAGAAACAGCTATTTTATAGCCTGATGTATGAAGATAGATTTTTATAAAGGTATACTGTATAAAGATATTTTATGAATTCCATTTCTTTCAAACATCTCTATTCCTGGAACATTTAAATTATATAATACTGGCCAGGCACAGTGGCTCATGACTGTAATCCCAGCAGTTTGGAGGCCAAGGTGGATGGATCACTTGAGGTCAGGAGTTTGAGACCAGCCTGGCTAACATGGTAAAACCCCATCTCTACAAGAAATACAAAAAAAAGAAAATTAGCTGGGTATGGTGGCTCATCCCTGTAATCCCAGCTATTTGGGAGCCTGAGGCAGGAGAATCGCTTGAACCTGGGAGGCAGAGGTTGCAGTAAGCCGAGATCACACCACTTTACTCCAGCCTGGACAACAGAGTGAAACTCCGTCTCAAAAAAATTAATTAAAATAAACAAATAAGTTATATAATACTATAACTATACTATAAGACCAGACCTATCTCTTGGTGATGTAGTTTGGATATCTGTCCCCCAAAATCTCATGATGAAATGTAATCCCCAGTGTTGGAGGTGGGGCCTGATTGGATCATGTGGGCAGATTTCTCATTAATTGTTACCACCACCTTCTTGGTTCTGTCCTCATGATAGTGAGTTCTTGCAAGATCTGACTGTTTAAAAGTGTGGGTATCTTCCCCGTCTCTCTCTTGCTCCTGCTCTTGCCATGTGATGTGCCTGCTCCCACTTTGCCTTCTGCCATGAGTAAAAGCTCCCTAAGGCCTCCCCAGAAGCCAAGCAGAGAGGCCCGTGCGATGCTTTCACAGCCTGCAGAACCAATTAAACCTCGTGAGTCAATTAAACCTCTTTTCTTTAGAAATCACCCAGCTTCAGGTATTCCTTTATAGCAAAACAAGAATGGCCTAAATCGCTTGGATTATATTTTTTATGATTAAGATAAGTCAGTTCTTTTTTTGTTTGTTTTTTGAGACAGGGTCTTGCTCTGCCACTCAGGCTGGAGTGCAGTGGCACAATCTTGGCTCACCGCAACCTCTGCCTCCGAGGTTCAAGCGATTCCCATGCCTCAGCCACCACAGTAGCTAGCATTACAGGTGCACGCCACCATGCCCAGCTAAGTTTTGTATTTTTACTAGAGATGGGTTTCACCATGTTGGCCAGGCTGGTCTTGAACTCCTGGCCTCATGTGATCTGCCTGCCTCAGCCTCCCAAAGTGCTGGGATTACAGGTGTGAGCCACTGCACCGGGCCAGGAGAAGTCCATTCTTAAACACTAATTTTTAATAAACCTTTCCAAATATTATTATTTATGATGATCTTTTTCTTTTTTTCAGACGAGGTCTCACTCTGTTGCCCAGGCTGGAGTGCAGTGGCATGATCATAGCTCATTGAAGCCTTAAACTCCTGGCCTCAGGCATCCTCCTGCCTCAGCCTCCTGAGTTGCTGGGATTACAGGCAGGTGCCACCATGCTCTAATTTTTAAATTTTTTATAGAGATGGGTTTTACTATGTTCATCAGGTCTCGAACTCCTGGCCTCCAGTTGTCCTTCTGCCTTGGCCTCCCAAAGTGCTGTGATTATAGGCATGAACCACTGTGCCCAGCCTCCTTTTCATTAATTTTCCATTTCTTTAGAGTTCTGTTTTTAACTTCTTATTTATGAAACAAAAGTCAGCTTTGTAGGATATCTCAGAGTCTCCTTTTAGTTCACCCTTCATGAAATCAGAATGTATACAAGTCTGAAAGATACTCACACATTGGTATATTTGGTATGGTTGTGGTGTGTTATACTATTAAGTAGAGGAAACTGTGTAGCAGTGAGGCAGTTTTGATAATCTTTTTTCACCCTCATGCAATTACATAAACATTTTCATGACTAAAAATAAATTAGCTAACCACAGCCAGAAAAGTCATAAGCATAACAGCAGTCAACTATATTTAAAGCTACTAATGGAATTGTACATATTTGGATCACATTGTTAAGTCCCAGACAAAAAGAAAAAGCTGCCATAATTTACTCTCTTGGACACAGACCTATGAATATGAAATACGTAAGGGCTAAAGACCTAACTAATATCTTTGATATTTTGAGTAGTTTGCATCGAAAACTTAAAAGATTTCTCTACCTGTATCCCTATTCTTGGTCTCCTTTCATAGCTCACTTTTTCTACTCCTTTTCTTCATTTATGTAGCTGTAAAATTTGTCTCCCCAGAATGAATGAATGTGTCTTCTGTTCTTGTTTAAGAAAGGATGTTACTCAAAGAGCTTTGGAGCAAGCTCTGAATGTAAAGCAACCTGCTAGGTTTCTGGAGAACATAACAGGGTGTGTTTCTTACCGGGGTCTAACCAGTGCAGGTGTCATTCCTTTAGAAAGCAATTGCCTCTTTTATAAGTTCCACCAGTTGTGTGCATGAAGCACTTAGGGATCAGATTTTTGAAAACATCTTTAATGCAGCTGCCAGAAATTTCCAAATTTAGGTTAAAATCATACTCTTATGTCATCTTATGTCTCTTGGCTATGGTCTAAAACTTCCCACTCAAATGATTCTGTTGCCTGTGTGCCCACTCCTAGGAACCTTTCCACAGCTAAGTAATATTACCTTATTTCAAAAACTTTGCAAGTCAACCTCAGTGGGGGAGAATTACTAAAAGCATTTAGCTAATACAAGGTAGCCTATAATAATACTTTGTACAATCTTTTTAAAACTTTTCAAAATAACGATGCTTTATCTTAAGTTTTTAATCCTTATTTGAAACTTGTGGGATACAAAAAGAGAATTAACTCCACGTGAGAGATAAGTAATTGAGGAAATAGAAAGGTTAAAAGGCTGATCTGATATTGCTGACAAGGCTTGTTTGCGGCAGTCAGAACAGAGTTGTGTTTTCTCTTGGACTGTGTCAACATCAGTGTTACATAATATCAAATAATGGTAAAAACCCACAGATGTGCTCACTTCGGCAGCACATATACTAAAACCTACGGATTAAAGCTTATTAAAAACTAATATGTAGATATGCAATTAATAACCCATACTTCCTAGCATAAAATTGAGGGAGCATCTTTTTTGGCATAGCATAGTTTAAGAATTCCTCCGTTGTGCAAATTTGATTAAAGAGATGTCTTTCTGAGACATTGCAGGGACATTCTTTCTATTCAGATAGTTCTTGTTTCTATTTAATTTGCCCCTGACTAAGTCAAATGTTGAGATAAGTACAGAGTTAATTGGCGGCATTTAGTTCTCTTTTGTTGTTAAATGTCTGGAAACCACAGAAAAGCCACATTTCCTTTGAAAATATTAATATATGTCTGTATTCTTTATAAAGCCTTAAAAAGCGTTACAGATCCTTAAAGTTATTCCCCTGGCTCAAACTCTTAGTTTGACATATGGCCATCTCTGCTTTCTTTTTCCTTTCTAAAGAAAAATTTCTTAATTTCTTGTCAAAAAAGTCTCATCTCTCAGGGTTGTTTCATATAACTGTAGATTTTATAATCTCATCAAAACTATTGGTTTGATTAAATTTAGGCAGAAATTTTGTGTAGTCAGTACTTGATTTGGCTTCTTTTTTTTTTTTTTTTTTTTGAGACGGAGTCTTGCTCTGTCGCCGAGGCTGGAATGCAGTGACGTGATCTAGGCTCACTGCAACCTCCGCCTCTCAGGTTCAAGCAAGTCCCCTGCCTCAGCCTCCTGAGTAGCTGGGATTACAGGCGCCCACCACCACACCCGGCTAATTTTTGTATTTTTAGTAAAGATGGGGTTTCACCATGTTGGCCAGGCTGGTCTTGAACTCCTGACTTATGGTCCACCCGCCTTGGCCTACCAAAGTGCTAGGATTACAGGTGTGAGCCACCGCTCCTGGCCTGGCTTCTTTTTTAAATCATGATTATTTAGACAGAAGAACTACTGATGTGTTTGGAAATATTTGTAGTTGGAATAAGAATCAGAAGATGGTTTGTTGCTTGTTTACATTGTTATTGAGATTCAGCTAGTAAACATACTTGCAACAAATGGAGAAAACTTGCCAAGTTCTTGATTTTTTGTTCTTCCTGCTTGAGGCTGAAGGTCACGCTGCTTGGTCTTCACTGCTGTATGTTGACTTTTTCACTGTTAATTCTAAGGCTCCTTTAGATGATGTTATGTTGTCAAGCTCTGTAACAGGGTTTCCTTCCCTATCATAGCCAAACCAACGTGGAGGGTCATTAGTGTTGTATTCCTGCTGCTGAACTTTAGATGACATTCTTTGAGCTGCCTTCCTGTAATAACAGTGCTTAGCATTAGCTAGTTGCAGAAGTAACCCCTAGTGCAAAATTTTCAAACTCAACCAAATTTGGAGTTAGGGAATTCACTGTCACAATCTGAATTCACATGAGACCTCTCTTGCCTTGCTGAGAGTGAGGATATGGGTAAGTGTACAAATAAACAGGGTCCCAAAGCCTCAGTAACTCTGATTCAGCCAGTTCAGAAATTAACAGATACAGTGAATGGGTAAGGAAACTACACATGGCCATGGAAGAGGAACACTGAGGCCTCTATTTATTTATACTGCTTTAAGTAAGCCCCTTCCTTGGTATTTCTAGTTTCTCTGATGAGGGAGTAACCTAACCAGCCTACCTGTGAAGGCTGACCATGCACCAGGCCAGGAGCTCTTAACCCAGAGTTCACAGATCCCTTTTGACTACATGGATGAACTTCAGGGAGGTCCATGAACTCCCTGAAAGTTCATGCAGTTTTGTCTATAATACACATTTTTATGAGAAGGTTTGTGACTCAAAGGTGTCACAACACTATAACACAGTATTAAAAAATACTGTTATAGTCTTTCTTAGCAGGAAACAAGAAAGTAAAGAATGCATCAGAAAAAAAGTAGGTCTAACTTGAAAACAAAGCCATTTTGAGGACAGAAGGAAGAATTTCCTTTCCTAGAAAGTTGGTTTGAATCACGAGATTAGTACTAAAGAGGAGATGAGTAATTGACCACTTCTGTACGATTAGAAATGAGTAACTATGATGTTTACCCATGAAGGCACTACCTTCCCCACTCTTGCCGTATGTTACCTTGAGTTATTAATTGCAAAAGTCTGGAAACTGAGTCATTGATATGGAGCTGGCATTACCATACACTTCGAGTTAAGTTTGTGCTGAATGGCCATATGAGTTCAGGTAAGGCAATGAAATAGGAAGAAAAAAAACCAACAACATAGAGATAACAGTTTAAAATGCTATTTCAGTTAAATCAAACTTTAGATGTATTAAAATAATTGTAACCAAACTTAACAGGGAGGTAACCAAAGCATTCCTAATTCTGCCTCTAAGCACATTGCTTTTTAGCTTATTATTGGCTCTCACACAAAACTTCTACAAACTTAAAGAACAAATTGAGTAAAAGCAATTATCATATACTAATTCCTAGTTTGGAGCCACCAATCCCTATGGACTAAAACTTGGCAAACAAGTTTATTCTCTTCAGAGAAATATTTATTCTCAGTTTTGAAAATGGTAAGTTTATTGTCAAAGATAATGTTTTGCATTCTGTTAATTTTTTAAATCTTTTTTTAAGGTGCTAGCCTGCATTTTAAACCTCTTATATAATCTTTACATATCCTCAAAGTAGAACATTACTATGCAAAAGTAGTGGGTTTATATCTTTTGCTTTTCCCACATTATTCTCCTAATGATATTTCTCCCTTTTCAATTCTATAAAGGTGAGATTATCATATCTTTCAACACATTTTCTGAACATTTTTCCCCTTAAGACTTACTGAAATATAATACCAAATGTTGAGGCATATAACATTAGCACCATCAGTTTCATGTAACAAACAGCAAGGCTCCATCATTACCCTTCACCCATCTCTATCAGTCTAAACATTATCCATTTTTCAAAACTCCAAACCAATCCAGCCTCCTTGGAAATGGCTCAAACCCAGTCTTCTCCTCCTCTAAACATCTACAGGAAGTTGATCATAGAATTAATTTCTTTCTATTACATAGCTTCAGGGCATTAATTATTTATAATTTTAAACTTTGTTATTTTCCTTTTGTTTAAGAAGGTAGTAAGTTACTTAAGAGTTTATTACATTTCTTTGCATCTCCCTGAAACTCATCATGAATAGCTCAAACGAGAGATTTCAGCAGCTTACACCAAGAAGGGAAGTCCTTTAACCCTCTTGGCTTCTGCTGGATTGCTGGTCTAGAAGGGGCATTCTTATGTTCCTATTTCCAACACCCTCCTGCCCCCTGCCTCCCAAACACCAGAGTTCTGGACACACACTGCAGTTCACAGTTGTTCATAATCATTCAATGCCACTGATGTTGACTGTAGTACAAGAGTAGCACAGTTAGAGGCAACAATGATCTTGACCTATAGGAAAAGGAAATGCTTGTTTTAGGGAGTAAAAGATTTGCAAATCCTCATTCACCAAGTTACATCTTACCTTAATGTCAGAAGAGCAACAGTTTTGACGGCTCTAGATAACTGGTAAGAGGATAAGTACTACTAATGATAAGTCTGGGAAAGTGTAAATATTGAGTCCTATGGTTGCTCAGTCAGCTACAAGCCAGGGTAAATTAGATGGTAATTGTGACATAAAACAATTAGCAAGTAGTGGGGGTTTGAGAAAATAACAAGAAAAAGGAAAGTGAGAATGCTGACTCCTTAATATAAGATAAGGAAAACAGTGAGTGAACAGGGAGACTACTCATTTAATGCAGTGTGATGGGACAGAATCGAAATGAGCTGCATGTTGAACCCCAGCCATGGGTGAAGTGCCCACTGGTATATGCATTTCTTTAATGTCCTCATTCCTTAGTCCCTGTCCCCCTTACCCTAGCTCTGCTCTCCAGTCCACCCACAGACAGCTTTAGTGAAACCAAACATCAGTGGGTCCCTGACTATTGGAAGTGATGCTTACTGACTGGAGGGGAGCAAAGGATCAGATCTCAGACCCACTCTCCTTCCAGACTCAAGTTCTGGGAGGTTAAGGCTTCCTCCACCTGGTATGTCTTTAGGGCCTGTTTTAGTCTGAAGTGCTTTCACAGCAAGGGTGGTCCTAGGGAAAAACAGAAAATATGAATCTGTCCTGGAGCAAATCTAGGATTATTTTTAGAGAGCTATGGATACTAGTATAGACTATTCCCTATTCCACTTCTTTCCTGCCCTTCAGAAAATCCTTAGCCGTGACTAGCTGTCCTCACCACCTTTGGCATCCTCACACGGACTGACTAACCTAAGACCCAGGACCTTGCCAAGAGAAGAGATCGGCAAGTGGCTGCCAGAAGGTTTTTCTGAGTTCTTTATCATAGCATCCTATGTAGCTGTGTGTTTGCACACACGCACCTTTAAAAAAAAATTTAGATTCAGGGTGTACACGTGCAGGTTTGTTATGTGGGTATATTACATAATGCTGGGGTTTGGGCTGCTATTGAACCCATCAGCCAAATAGTGAACATAATGCCCAGTAGGTACTTTGTTAACCCTCGCCATCCTCCCTGCCTCCCCACATTTGGAGTTCCCAGTGTTTATTGTTTCCATCTTTATGTCCAAGTGGTTAGCTCCTACTTTTAAGTGAGAACATGCAGTATTTGGTTTTCTGTTTCTCTGTTAATTCACTTAGGATAATGGCCTCCAGCCGCATCCATGTTGCTGCAAAGGACATGATTTCATTATTTTTTATGACTGTGTAGCATCCCATGGTCTGAATGTACCACATTTTCTTTATCCAATCCACCACTGACAGGCACTTAGGTTGATCCCATGACTTTGCTATTGTGAATGATGCTGCAATAAACATACAACTGCAGGTGTCTTTTTGATAGAATTATTTCTTTTCCTTTGGGTAGATACCCAGTAGTGGGATTACTGGATGAAATGGTAATTCTATTTTAGTTCTTTGAGAAGTTTTTATACTGCTTTCTATTTTGGCTGACCTAATTTACATTCCCACCACAGTGTAAAAGCATTCCCTTTTTTCCACATCCTCACCAGCATCTTTTATTTTTTGACTTTTTAATAATAGCCATTCTGATTGGTGCGAGATGATACTTCATTGTGATGGTAATTTTGCATTTCTCTGATGATTAGTGATGTTGAGCATTTTTTCATATTTTTGTTGGCCACTTGTATGTCTTCTTTTGAGAGGTGTCCGTTCATGTTTTTGCCCACTTTTTAATGGGCTTATTTGGTTTTTGCTTGTTGATTTGTTTAAGTTCTAGATTCTGGATATTAGACCTTTGTCGGATGCATAATTTGATAATATTTTTCTCCCATTATCTTTACTCTGTTGATAGTTTCTTTTGCTGTGCAGAAGCTCTTACACATGTATTTTGAATCGTATCAGGAAAGTTAAAAATGTAGAAACTATATTTCTGGGAGAAACCTCTCTCTCTCTCCTGCCCCTCCCCTTTCTCTCTTAATAGCTTGATGCTGTAGTGTGATCAGCACATGGGAGCTAGGAAATATTGAAAAAAACATGTATTCTTAGGAACCACTGTGTGTTCTAAATTCCATAGAGCACATATGGAATTCTTTGACTGCATTCCATTCTGCTTTGGCCTAAGTGACTGTGAGACCCCGTATGAAATGATTTGGGAATTGAACCAATCTGCTGCAATGGTTACTCATTTATCCTGGTGAGAGGTTTCTTTGGATCAGTATAGAACAGTGATTTTCAAACATGATATGTCATAGTTGTAACATTTCACATTAGATGGTTAATAATAACACTGTACTGAAGTTTGTTAGTGATTTTTGTTTCTTATAAATTAAAAGGGATTCAGGGTTAGCCCTGTAGTAACACTGTGTGCCTTAGCTCACATTTCCTTCTAATCTCTTGAGTAGGCAAAAAAAGGGAATGTTGGAGCCACCACCAAGGACTGCTCATAATCCACAGCCTCTCTTATTGTGCATCAGACATAAATTAGGCAAAACAGAGCACGTGTCTACCCTTACTGACCACATCCCTTGAATGTCAGAGCTTTTTAAAAGCTTGAGAATGTAATATAAAGGCGAAGAGCAGCACAGTATGATTAAGACCTAGGTACAAAGTATGGCTCTCCTTATTTGTGTGGCTGTGGGCACATTATTTAACCTGTTTAAACCAGTTTCCTTATCCATTTTGATGATAAAGTGTATTTGTGAGGCAATATCTGTAAAATAGGATTTAGCACAGTACGTGGCAAATAATAATTGTTAAATAACATTATTTGTTCATACTGATAATAAAAGTCAACAGCTCCACATCAGAAAGGCTTGAACCTTTCCATGAGCTAGAGAGGAGAACTCTGATAAGAGTTTTATTTTTTATCAACACAGATCTCCTAGAATGCCTGAGCAGTAGGGACTGTCCGAGTTTAAGCTTCTAGCAACTGCTAAAGAAGGCCTTCCAGGAATTTCATACTGTGATTTGGGGCTCTGAAGGCCACTAAGACTTTCTCTACTAGTTCTCTAGAATTGAAGGTTTTGGGCTCCAGATAGAAATATATCAAAAGTTCCCTTTATTTTTTTAAAAAATTTATTTCCAACTTTTATTTTAGGTTCAGGAGTACATGTACAAGATGTACAGGTTTGTGACATAGGTAAACGTGTGCCATGGTGTTTTGCTGCACAGATCATTCCATCACCCAGGTATTAAGCCCAGTATCTATTAGTTATTCTTCCTGATTCTCTCCCTCCTCCCACCCTCCACCCTCTGACAGGCCCCAGTGTGTGTTGTTCCCATCCATCTGTCCATGTGTTGTCATCATTTAGCTCCCACTTATAAGTGAGAACATGCGTTATTTGGTTTTCTGTTCTTGGATTAGCCTTTTCGCTAACTATACAATTAGTGATTCTTCAGGTTCTCTGTGGTTCAGGCCCTCCTGGGTTGTGGGGGCCATTGTGAGGGTCTTTCTTCCTCTCTCTCACTCCTACCTTGTTGCCTTTCCCCACAGAGGGCCATAAGTTGAATGGCTGGCTGTCACAGCTGCTTCAAATACAAATAGCTTGTCGTTTTCTGATCATAGTTGTTACTTATTCCTCCTTGAAATAAAGGAGCCTTTATCTTGCATCCACACGGTGCTTCTGGGGTCACTTCCTGGAAACCCTTCAGACTCTGGGGTTGGTAGAATGCCAGCCATATCTTCTGCAGGAAACTCTCCTGCAAAAGGGCTACAGCCAATTTGCTCATTGACCAAAAGTTTGCTACTCCTCTGGTTCAGAAAGGGTGAGCTGAGCAGACATCTTTGATTTGCAAAGCTGGTGCAGTAGTTTCAGATTCCATTGAGTATGAGTGAATTTATGTATAAAACAGCCTCTTCTGACGGCTGTAATTGGACCTTAAGGGCTGCATCATACATTGTTTTCATGTTCAAAATGGAATCAAGCATGTGGAGAGCATTGCTTTGTGATTCAAAGACATTGAGCTTCTTCCCAAGCCAGAAAAATCTCTCTTATCCCACCTGCCAAAGGTTCTGTTTCACCCAGACAAATCAAAGCCTCTGCAGTTGAGGGAGCCACACTGGCCCTGATTAGATAGTGAGCATAGGTAAGGGATTAGAGATCATCAAGGGCTTGAGTTTTGAAGGGTCTACATACACTGTGCATTTCCAACTGCACTGAAGGATCTAAATGCAAAACGAAGCTGCTCCATAGAGCACCCGGAGCTGATCGCAGAAAGCTGCATGCAACTAGGCCCCCTTACAGCTTCTCTAATAAAAAAATTTGAGGCCAGGGTATTTCAGGAGCCCCCTAACTGACAAGTAGCAACCTATCCTAGATGTTGAACATAAAGACAGATGTTTCTGGAGCTTTACTAGTCCAAACACTGGGACTCTCCAAGCCACTCTACAGTGAGGACTGTCTTTCTCCATTGCTAGACAAAGATGGAATCGAGGGATTCTAGGCCTCTTTCCTGCTAGAGCTAAGCAAGGGTGGAGCTTTCAGGGAGACTAAAAGGTAGTGGTGTGGCCTCTTTAGACAACGAAGTGCACACACCAAACCAGCCCCTTTCTAAGCATTAGGGCCAAGTCTCTGCCTGCTTCTTGTGCATAGGGACAGCCAAGTTTGATTGCAGAAGACAAAATAGGCCTTCGGCTGTCATGGCTTAGACAATGGAATTTTTCACAGCTATAGCTGGTTAATTAGAGTTCTACATTGGGGTTTTGGGACAAAGCTCAGCTAGTAGTCAAGTCTTACTATGCCTTGTTTTATTTTTTTTGCACGTATATTTTTTAAATCTAGGGACCTAGCAAGAAGACCGAGCAGTTAAGGCAGGATTCGGATGTTACTGGATATCCTGGGTCTTCTTGACCACTCACTATATTAATCATACTTCAGTGTCCCATATGTCTTGGTCCATTTTGTGTTGCCATAACAGACTACTACAGACTGGGTAATTTATAAAGAAAAGAAATTTATTGCTCATAGTTATAGAGGCTGGGAAGTCCAATATCATCCCATGGCAGGAAAGAAGGAGCCCTAGCTCATCCTTTTATCAGGAACCCACTCCCATGATAACTAACTCACTTCCATGATAACGGCATTAGTCTGTTCATGAGGGCAAAGCCCTCATCACCTAATCACCTCTGAAAAGGTCACACCTCTCAATAATGTTGCATTGAAGATTAATTTTCAACACATGAACTTGGGGGACCACATTCAAACCATAGCATCACACCATGATTAGGTTCAAAGAGCCCCTTGCCAGAAAGTCTCCATTCATTCTAGAATCTTACTTATTAGAAATTCAATAATATTACCTCTTATAAATAGTGATTGGCAAAATATAATCAAAAAATTAGAAGCTAAACTCCTTTGAGTAACACGTTATTCATTCACTGTCATCTTGCTGAAAGTTGTCTGTTAATAATCTAACAAGTTTGGCAGAGACTCCTAGGACCCTATTTCATTGTATATCCTTTAAATGAGGTTAGCAGTATTCATATCAGAGTTATCTCCAGACCTATCAGGAAGGGTTGAGTCTCCAACCCTCCTCAAAAATTTTCAAGGACCTACCCCCTTCTCTCTGATCCAACTCCAGCTGGCTGCCCTACCCCTGCAGGCCTGGGCCCAGTGGGAATGTCTATTTTACAAGTAATTTTTCTTTCTTTTTTCCATTTCATTTTAACACACACTTCCTTGGATAAGAAACCATGTTCTTCCTCAGGCCTCAAGAAACCAGGGCTCATGGTTCAGCTCATGCCATAACTACTTAATTAAGAAAGTTCCTCTGTGAAATCTACATGCTTGAGCCACATTGTACACTTTATACTTTGATAATATTAATTCATAGTATTAATTTTTCACATCTGCCTAATAGAACCTTACCTTCTATGTCAGGGAATGGTCAAGGATTCTCATTTTAAGCATTTCATATGTTACTTTATCAGGTCAGTTAAAATACTTGCACATTTTTGCCCTCAGTCAAGAGGCAAAAACTTGTGAGCTGGCTTAATCAGATGATTCTCTTAATGCTCTAGGGGAGATTAACTGAATGGACTGTATTTTGAGAAATGAGCAGAGGAAGAGCTAGAGTTAAAGCTTTGGACACCTGCTTAGTCAAGGAAGGGAAGATGCTTAAAGTAAAAGGCCTACTGGAAAAGGGATAGGAAACCACAAAGGCCGTTTTAGAACAACTCACAATGTTAGCTTCAATTAGGCAAAAAATAAAATGAAATGAAACTTCCTAACACTGAAAGCTGCTATGTATTATGAACCTTATAGCCATATACTATGTTTTCTCAGAAAGTAGTTCTCAAAAGTTTGTCATAGTCAGGTACATACTTACTTGGAAATATTTGTGCAGTATTGCATCTTAAGGATCCGGAGTTGTTTGCAGCCTATCTGAAGGTCCTCAAGGATTTGGTCAGTAAGCAAGACACAACCAGAGATATCCAAAATGTGCAGGTAATGGCATTTTGCCGATAACATCTCCATTGCTGAGTCAGTAATCTGAACACAGAGCCAAAGTAAGTACTGGTTATTCAAACACTATCTCAGGGAAGAACAGTGCCTTAGTCACTTTGGGCAACTATAATAAACTACCACAGACTGTGGCTTAAACATCAAACATTTATTTCTCACAGTTCTAGAGGCTGGGAAGTCCAAGACTGAGATAAAGATAGAGGTACCTGCAATTGGTGTCTTGGGAAGTCCCTCCTTATTTGCAGATGCCTCCATTCTTGCTATCTTCTCACATGGCAGAGAGAGAGAGAGCTCTAGTCTTTGTCTTCTTATATGGTCATAATCCCATCATGGGAGCTCTACCCTTATGACCTCTTCTAAATCTGTTTACTCCCAAAGGCCCCACTTTCTATTACTGTCACAGTGGGAGTTAGGGTTTCAACATAATAATTTTTGGAGGACAAACATTCAATTCATAACAAATAGAGTAACAAAATCAGACACTTGCATATTCTCTTTCACCCAGCTTGTCACATAATGGGCCTACAATTCAAGTGAGTTGTTTAACTGTTTCCAAATAAGGTCAGAACAGTAAAATATCTGCCTCAAGTAGCACCAATAGAAATTATGATCTTAGCAAGGCACAGTGGCTCATGCCTATGATCCCAGCACTTTGGTAGGCTGAGGCAGGCAGATTGCTTGAACCCAGTTCGAGACCAGCCTGGGCCACATGGTGAAACTCCCAAAAATACAAAAATTAGCTGGGCATGGTGGCACGTGCCTGTAGTCCCAGCTACTTGGGAGGCTCTGGTGGGAGGATTGCTTGAGCCTGGGAGGTCAGTGCTTCAGTGAGCCGAGATCACGCCACTGCACTGGGTGACGTAGCCTCAGTGACAGAGCAAGACCCTGTGCCCTGCCCACCCCCCACACAAAAAAAGTTGTGATTTTGCTGTTATTTTCATTTAAGAGTCCTCTGGTTTGGATGGAAAACTTCATCAAAATTTTTTAGTAATACCTGTCACACCAATATGAGCAACTTATGAAATGCTATAGAGATGGGATTTGGCTTTAAATTTAAAATCCTCTCTAAGGCATCACCAATTTAAAAACATATGTTTAATAACATTACATGCTACAAAACTACAAAATATATATCCCCCAAAGTTAATCTGCAGACAGCCTCATATTACTATGAGAAGGGACCTGGACATCACTGATGGTTTAGATGTAAAAAAGATGGAGTAACCTAGTTCTGGAAAGGGACAAGTAGGTGAGACAGATGTTTGGAAGCAAGGGGAGAAAGAAGCAGAAGCCACAGAGACTACACAAATCCCGCTCTGAAATATCCTGCCAAGGGTTCCAACATATCACAGTTTTGCCCAGATGTCCTACAGAGGTAATTCAAGTATACTACTTAGAGTATTTCACTTACTCCAGGATAAGCTTTCAAATTTATAGCTAAACTGAGCCTTGCTGCAGAATCAACTAGATTACTCTCTCCAAAGGAATTTTTTTCCAACTGGATTCAATTTCTTATTTTAAATGTTTGAACATTCTGAAAAACATAGGCCGTGAGGCTTGGCTCTTGTTTTAACATAAAGTTAAAAGAAAAATCACTTCAGTTTGGAACATACACTTTTTAAGTTTGGAAAAAGAGACGTTGCCATTGTCTAAACACGCTTTGTTTCCGGAACACGCTCAGGACCAAGGTTAAACATTATAACTGACTCTCACAAAAATGCCTCAGACATTCCTGCCATACTAGGTTGATCTCTGAGGATCTGATGTCATTGATAAAAGAAAAAAAAAGGCCCACAGAATTGTAGAAGAAAGGAAGGACAACAAGGTGATGGAAAAGTCCAGGGGAGGTGGAGTTCAGAGTAGCAGGTTTGGTTTGATACTAGGAGAGCTGAAAAGGAGCCTGACAGTTCCTGTAGATCAGTAGCTCATGTTGTTCAATGACTGATGTGATGTTGTTGGGATTTATGGATTAAGGGCTGGGAACTACAGATGGAAACAACTTTGCTGCATTTTTAACTCCCAGATATAAGGTCCTGCTCCCAGCCTCATTGGGCAGATTATGTTACTTCCAACACAACTACTTTTGATTCCTTGAAAAAATGTTTTGGTTTATTTTTAAATGAAATTATTTTATATTTTAGAAATAATATAAGCACATTGCCAAAAAAATAGCAATAATAGCAAAGGAAAGCAATTACACATTTATCACTTAACATAACTACTTTTAATGTTCTGGAGTATTTCTTGCTCGTTTCTCATTCCTATCCCCATTAACAGATTTGTAAATACAGTAATTACATTTATTTTGCATCCTCTTTTTTTCTTTCTTTTTTTTATTTTGCTCTGTTGCACAGGCTGGAGTGTAGTGGCACAATCTCGGCTCACTGCAACCTCTGCCTCCCAGGTTCAAACAATTCTCCCACCTCAGCCTCCTGTGTAGCTGGGATTACAGGTGCCCGCCACCACGCCCAACTAATTTTTGTATTTTTAGTAGAGACAGGGTTTTACCATGTTGGTCAGGCTGGTCTCAAACTGATGACCTCAAGTGATCCGCTCACCTTGGCCTCCTAAAGTGCTGGGATTACAGGCGTGAGCCACCATGCCCGGCCTTTTTTTTTTTTTTTTTTTTTCCGAGTTGGGTTTCACCATGTTTCCCAGGCTGGCCTGGAACTCCTGGGCTCAAGCTGTCTTCTTGCCGTAGCCTCCCAAGTGGCTGGGACCATAGCTGCACACCACCAAACCTCGCTTTCATCTTGCTTTTTTGTTTTTCCTAGTGCATTCTTATACTACTTCACAGTCTTCATATTTACAATCTTTAATTATTATAAAATGTTTTATTTAGTAGATGTAGTTTAGTTTATCATTTACATATTTCTGGTCATTTCCGTTGTTTTCAAGTTTTTACTATTTAAATAACATTTTGATGACTGTTCATAAATACAGTCTTTTCCAAGTTTTGGACTGTTACCCTTAGGATAGATTTCAGAAAGTGGATTTGTATGCTATGGTTTGAATGTTTGTTCCCTCCAAAACACATATTGAAACTTAACCCAAGATGTGGCAGTATTGAGAGGTGGGGCCCTTAAGAGGTAATCGGGTCATGAAGGCTCTGCTCTCATCAGTGGATTAACCTGTTATCATGAGAGTGGGACTGGTGGCTTTATAAGAAGAAGAAAGGTCTGAACTAGCCTGTTAACATGCTCATCTCCCTTGCCATGCGATTCCCTGCGTTGCCTTGGAATTCTGCAGAGAGTCCTTGCCAGCAAGAAGGTTCTCCACCAAATGCTCCACCTTGACCTTGGACTTCCCAGCCTCCAGAAATGTAATATTACTAAATTTTGTTCTTATAAATTACCCAGTTTCAGGTATTCTGTTATACACAACAGAAAACGGACTAAGACAGGGTATGACCACTTTTGTGGCTCTTGTTTACGAATTTTCACATTGCTTCACAAAAGGATTATACCCATCTATAATGCTATCTACAATATAAGGACCAGTTTCACTGACCCCCTGCCAACCACTGGGCATTACCATAAAAAAATGTGCAATTTGGTAGGTAATAAATGATACCTCAAATAATAATGTTTTAACTTGGATTTCTTTCTTATGTTGGATCTTTTCCCACATTGTTTACTAGCAGTATTTTCTCTGATTTGAATTCCCCAGCTCTGGCACTATTTAATTGTGACCATAGGCAAGTTGCTTAAATTCTCCGAGCCTCAGTTTCCCCATTTGTAGAATGGTTACCCGAGATTGCCACAGAACTAAAGGAGAACATGTATGTGACCAGTGACTAGCATAAAGTAAGCACTCAATAAATGGTAGCTATAATTATGATTATTCATCTCCTTTGCCATTAATATATGTGATTTTTTTTTAGTAGGACCTCTTTATACAAAAGAGAACTTGACTGTTGGCTTTCAGTTTGCTGAATTATACTTTTGTTTCTTCTCCCCTTTGCCCCCTCCCCACCAATTCCTGTTTTGATTGTGTGAGAAGTCAGGTAATTTTACTAGCACTTCTGGTGACGATCCCAAGAAAAAACCCGCCTTGAAGATGGACAGCAAGAAAGGGGCTGAATAGTCCACAAAATGAACTTTTAGGTTAATAACAGGTGGTTTCATGAGATATTAACTAATGAAAATCTAATGCAGTAAGAAATAATGTGCTTTAAAGGTCAGGCCAAAAAGAGAGTCCAAGTTTTTGCCCTAGCTTTTTTTAAACCCCTGAACTGTGGGAGGGCTTTTAAATATAATAAACATATTTTGAATATAAGCTGAGCGTGGTGGCTCATGCCTATAATCCTAGCATTTTGGGAGGCTGAGGCAGGTGGATCACTTGAGCCCAGGAGTTTGAAATCAGCCTGGGCAACATGGTGAAACCCCATATCTACAAAAAATACAAAAATTAGCTGGGTATGCTAGTAGTCCAGCTACTCAGGAGGCTGAGGTGGGAGGATCACTTGAGCCTGGGAGGTTGAGGCTGCAGTGAGCTGTGACTGCACCACTATACTACAGCCTGGGAGACAGAGTGAGACCCTGTCTCATATATATATATATATATATATATATATATATATATATATATATATATGTATATATATCTCTAATATATTAATATATATCTAATAAATGTATCTTATATATAATAAATATATCTAATATATAATATATATATTTCCAAGAGAGGGAGAGGCTCTTAGGAAATTATCTTCTTGCATATTATGTTATATTATGCTATATTTGGCTATTTCCTAAGAGCTCTATCGTATTATTTTCATTTATTTGTGAGAATGTAGCTGTGGTAGATTAAAAATGGCCACAAATGCTTTGCAGCTACTGTCAGCAAGAAGTAGAGTCTGTTTCCTCACCTCTTGAATCTAAACTAACCTTGTGACTTGCTTTGACCAAAGGAATGGAGCAGAAGTCATATTCTTCTGAGCCAGGCCTCAAGATGCCTTGCAGCTTCTACCTTTAGCCCTTAGCCTCTTGGAATGTGTTACTGCCCTTGAAGCAGCTCAGCTAGCTTGCTGGAGGATGAGACCGCATGAAGCAGGAGGAAGCTGTCCCAGCTGGGTCCCCTAGGCCAACCAGCTCTAAGGGGAGTCAAGAGATGACTGCAAAGAGATGACTGCAGCTCCTTGGGCAACCCTGGGGCCAACCACTGTCAGAAGAACCACACAGCCAAAACCAGCCCAAATTCCTGGCCCACAGGTTTGTGAGAAAATAAAATGGTAGTTGTCTTAAGCCACTGAGTTTGAGAGTGACTGGTTACACAGCAAAAGATCAGCCAATACTATGTGCCAGGAATCTCATCCTTTGTAATATATGGTAAAATATGACCCATTGATCATTTTTTTTTTATACTTTAAGTTTTAGGGTACATGTGCACAATGTGCATGTTTGTTACATATGTATACATGTGCCATGTTGGTGTGCTGCACCCATTAACTCATCATTTAACATTAGGTATATCTCGTAATGCTATTCCTCCCCCCTCCCGCCACCCCACAACAGGCCATGGTGTGTGATGTTCCCCTTCCTGTGTCCATGTGTTCTCATTGTTCAATTCCCACCTATGAGTGAGAACATGCAGTGTTTGGTTTTTTGTCCTTGCGATAGTTTGCTGAGAACAATGGTTTCCAGCTTCATCCATGGGGAATCCTTTCCCCATTTCTTGTTTTTGTCAGGTTTGTCAAAGATCAGATGGTTGTAGATATGCAGCATTATTTCTGAGGGCTCTGTTCTGTTCCATTGGTCTATATCTCTGTTTTGGTACCAGTACCATGCTGTTTTGGTTACCGTAGCCTTGTAGTATAGTTTGAAGTCAGGTAGCGTGATGCCTCCAGCTTTGTTCTTTTGGCTTAGGATCGACTTGGCAATGCGGGCTCTTTTTTGGTTCCATATGAACTTTAAAGTAGTTATTTCCAATTCTGTGAAGAAAGTAATTGGTAGCTTGATGGGGATGGCATTGAATCTATAAATTACCTTGGGCAGTATGGCCATTTTCACAATATTGATTCTTCCTACCCATGAGCATGGAATGTTCTTCCATTTGTTTGTATCCTCTTTTATTTCATTGAGCAGTGGTTTGTAGTTCTCCTTGAAGAGGTCCTTCACGTCCCTTGTAAGTTGGATTCCTAGGTATTTTATTCTCTTTGAAGCAATTGTGATCATTTCTTTTCCTTATGACCATTTCGAAACCTCTAATTGATTTTCCTTATGGTCATTTTAAAACCTCTAAGCTGAAAGAATTTCCAAACATGTTAGCCAGCTGCACTAAGAAAATAAAGGTTGAAAAGGGTAGGATTGTCATGGGGAATCCCAGAATTAGCAAATCTCTTACTCCTCTCCCTTTACATTATAAGTCTGTAGAATTGGGATGAAGTTACCTCACTAAATCCTATTTGCTCAATACTTCATGCCTTTCCACTCCTAATTTCCCCATCTGTAAAATGAGGGTAATTTAAAACAGACAAAAAATAGTGTTTACTCTCATCTCCCAGTGTTTCAGTGGTCTAGAGACATTTCTCCAAATAATGAACTTTTTGGGTAAAATGTTTTACCATATTAGTATAAGAGAAATTCTGTGCATGCCCTGGGGATTTCGCCCAGCTCACAAGTTTGTGTAGCTTTAGCTGAGCCTGGGGCCTTAGGGGAGAGCAGCCAGGCTTTGTGACCTGGCTCAATCACCTTCTCAGATGTACTTCACCTGCAGGACAGTTCAAGTAGCCTTGGGCACACCCAGTTCTCTCCCTTTTGTAGATTGTCATTCTCAAGAATAACTATAGAATGTGCTGGGGATGTAACATCCTGAGACTGAGGATAGGGGGTACTGACTGGAACAGCCAGGCTCTGTTCCAGTTCCCCCTAGAAACAGGACATCTTTCCGTGCTTCAGCCCAGTGGGTCAAGTGAACCCAAGGTTATAAAACCCAAGATGGTCCACCTTCCAGATACCCTCAGCTGCGGTGCAAGTGGAACATTTACAGTTGAGATTTCATCCACCTTGAGCAGCTTTCCTGAGCCTTGGGAAACAGGCCCTCCAGGAATCCTCGGCTTCTGTTGTCACTTGCTGCCTATCTGTAAGTAATCTGCTTCATGAAGCTTTTTGCATATGAATGTGTCCTGTCTCACCAGACTCAGACAAGTTGGTAATCAGTGCACAGTGGACCTGCTTCACATCACCTACACTTGTAGGACAGAAATGCAGTTCTAAAGCACTGGCCTGCTTTCGCTTACCTTATCCCTCTCAGAGGTGCATTGCAGAGACATTTTGTCATTGTTCAGGGCTTTGCTTTAATTTTTCTCATTTCCCACCCCCTTTTCTTTCTAATCATTACTAACTCCCACTTCACGTCGGTCATGAGGGTCAAAAGTGACAGTGTTAACCACAGGGCCTAGTGCACTGCTGAGTGCTTTGAACTGGCCCCAGAGCAACCAGCTTTTCCTCTGATTTGTAGCTATATTTGTTTTCCTTGGCATTTTAGTGTCGAGTAGGATGAGGTCACAGTACTACTAACTGACCTTCGAGGTGAGGTGGTTGCAAGGAAAAGCCGGCCTTTCTGGGGATAGATAAGGTGACCATTCAAAATTCACCTGTGGACTTTTGGGAAACCTGGCACAGAATGATGAGCCAGACACCAATGTGTTTTACGGCTCATCAAAATCAACATAAGTGGAATATGTTAGGTTGGACCACAGCCTTATGAATTCAGGGTGAGTTGAGGAGTATTCAGATTGGTCCAGATGATGGTCCCCACATCTTCTCAATCAGGATACTCATCTGACCCACAGTCTGACCAGAACAATTCAGATGGTAAAGCTAAATCTTTCTACTCCTTTGTATCAGCGTTCTAAAATAATTGACTCTTCCTTCTTCCTCTTTCTCCCTCTAAACCTTTGATACAGAGTGATGCATTTCTTGCATATTTGTTTAACATCCCCCTTAGCTTCTGGGCTGCAAGACAATAGCCATGCACAGTTTACAGAAGGAATTCCCTCAGCCTTCATAACAAAAAACAAAAAACCAAAGCAAACAAACAAACAAACAAAATCCTCTGCCCTATTTTCTGTTTGCACTGGAGCCTTTTCTTTTCTCATTCTCCTACTTTCTGCTTTAGAGCCACTAAGAAACCCAGTCTCCATCTGTGCCTGCTTTATAGCCAGGGCAGTTCTCACTTCTCACTAAGCCATGTGTTGCCCATATGTCTGTGTGCTATGAACGCAAGAATCTCTGTGAACTATCACTGTTTAAGTTGCAGAGAGTCAGTTGGTCAGCGCTTCTAGTGTTCTGGGTCCCTTGACCCAGCTCACTAATAGAACCAGATGATGCTGACCAGAAAGACATCTGGTTCCCCTAGTTCTAAACAAGTATATTATTAAACAAAAATAATTTTGCTGTGAACTTTTTGGCTTAGTTTTGTCACGGTTTACCACATCTTTTTCCCTGCTGCCTCCTCCTTTTTATTGCAGCACAATTAGCTAACCATACAAACCAAACAACATAGAAGCTGAACTTCTAGATTAAATAAAGCGTAGGGCATCTTGAGAGTTGGTGTGATGCTGTAGTAAACAAAAGCCTTCAGTGTGTACAATAGAAGAGAACACGATTGTTAATAACCTTGTAATTTCTGAGGATTTTCAAAAAAATTTCTTAGTTTTCTTCCTTCTTCATATTTTGCTAACTCCAAGTTTTTCCTGTTAATTTGTGTTGATCAATATCTTCCACTTTAGAGACTTTCCTCTTATGTCTGGTAATCCTTTTGTTCACGATTAAGAGTGGAGGACTAAAAACTAATCGGAAGGTCAGAGTACACGCATCTCTATTGTAAGCTTCAATGAAGGATGATCTACGTGTGTTATTTGTTGGGAACCACCCCTGTCAGTCATTTTAGGTCTTTCATCTTGGGCTAGTCAGGGTTCCCAGAGAAGAGGCTACCAATCTCCCACCTGGAGAAGAAGATCTGGCAGCCAAGTTCTTGATGCTCAGTTGGAAAAAGTGCTTGAATATCTCTGCACTCAGCATTGAGTCACTTAGTTAGCCTAGCAACCCTCTGTTTTAGTATCTCTAGAGTAGTGGGTAATTCAAGAACAATTTTGGCCCTCACCTCCACCAGAGAACATGTGGTAAGGTCTGGAGGGATGGGATCTTATGTGCTACTGACATATAGTGAGTAGAGGGCAGGCATGCTGTTAAACATCTACAGTGCCCGGGACACACACACACACACACACACACACACACACACACACCCCACTACAGAGAGTTATCTTGTCCAAAATATGAATAGTGTCAGGGATGAAGAACCAGAATTTAGGAAATAAATCTCCAGGCTTCTGTTTGGGGTGGGGAGAGACAGTTGCCCAGATTTATGGAGTAGGGGCTGGAATCTAGAGATCTATCTACTTCTTAAGAATCTCTAACTCAGTCTCCCTTATTTTCATCCCCACTCTTAACCCAGTTCCAAAGGTACACGGTGCTCCCAAGCTTGAAGATTGTGGTGTAAATCAGATTTTTTTTTCCAGCTTTCTCTACTGTTGGCTTAGGATTCAAAGCAGTCTCTGGTCTGCTAAATTAGTCCATCTATTTTCAAGCTTCCAAATTTTTGTTGCTCTTATCTCCTCTCCTGTTTTCCTTATCCATATGGGCCCTCACTCTTCATCTCTAGTTCTGGTAGCGTTTCAAGAGGAACAAAATTATATGTGTATATTCAGTCTACTATTATTAATCCAGAACCTGAGATCTCTAGTTCTTTACATGGAGATATGTCCATAGTATATTAAAAAGTAGGTTACAATGTATTTTGGAAAGTATGATTCTATTATTTTAAAAAACAAGGCAAAACACAAACTTTCTGTAACTATTTCTAATCTTTTTGTGCATAGAAAAAAATCTAGAAGAATAAAATACCAGCGATGGTTATGTCCAGGTGGTGACAGGACAATGGATATTTACTTTCTCCCTTAAGCTTTTATATGTAGTCCAAATTTTTCATAATGAGTACTTACTTCATTTATATACAGAGGTCCCAGAAAAATTATAAAACACTTGAAAATAACACAAAAGATGATGGTATGTCCTTGGAGTGTCAAACTGGAACACTGTTTAACAGGCCTACCTGGAGAATTCTATAGGAAATCATGCCTTTGTTTGACATACCATTTACTGTCCACTAAGGCCCTAGCTCAATGAAGTTATATGTTGTTATATTTTTGTCCAGGAAAGATGCAAATTATTTGTATCTGGTATAAACTGTAACCCCAAGGTTATGGATTTAATAACTTGTAAAACACTTTTAGATCTAACCTAACACTCTTAATGCAACATTCTTTCATCAGTTCCTACAAATACTAAGTTCATTCAAATGCTCTACGCACTGGCTTTGTCATTTTGTTGGTTCTCTCATTAGTGAATTAAAGAAATCTTTGACACATGTTTATATTTGTATGAGAATTATGTTTTTAACTTTTGGAAAATTCTACTTTGACACCAGTGGAATCATAAGCTATTTCCAATTTGAGGATAGAAGAAAAAAATCCAATGAATACCTCAACCATGGCAAAGAGAACATATTCTGAGTCCAGCCCTGATCGCTGTCCTGCCTTGTCCCTTGGCAGTGCTTAAATTGGATGTGTTTGAGCCCTGACTCCTGCACATACCTTTGGACAGCCAGCAATGCTGAGAGATGTGAGGTTAATGCAGTAAATGGCCAGTGCTTTGATAATCATATCTGACAGCTGGGAGCAATAAGAGACATCCAAATGTTCCAAGATCAGTGAGCTTTTGCAGAATGCCTGCAAAAAATTCCAAGGTCAAATTTTTTCTTTTCTTTAGTCATCTAGAACTGTCTTACTTATAGTAGCTTATTAAATGTACATTTCAGTCCCTGAAATACAGATGTTAGATCTTGATGCCCCCAAAAAATAATTTAAAAAACCCATGTTACATCCAACATCTGTTTATAGCAAAAGATATTCACAAAGCAGCTTAACAGCTTAGTGATATTCAAATGCCTGCTAACAAAATTTGGTTTTCTTGAAGTTAGGTCTAATGAAGTTTGACTCATATGGTCAGTAATGAGTAGAAGAAAAGAAATCTGAGGGTAAGATTATATGGCAGACACTCCAAGATTGACAGTGGAATGTAATGGAAAGAACAGATTCTTTGGAATCAGACAGACCCGAGTTTTGCTTTCGTTTCCACCATTTATTACCTCTTAAATCTTAGCAAGTTACTATCTTTCTGAGCCTGTTTCCTTTTTTTTTTTTTTTTTGAGAGTCTTCCTCTGTTGCCCAGGCTTGGAGTGCAATGGTGCAATCTGAGCTCACTGCAACCTCTGTCTGCCAGGTTCAAGTGATCTTGTGCCTCTTGTGCCTATTGGGACTACAGGCGTGCACCACCACGCCCGGCTAATTCTTTTTTTTTTTTTTTAGTAGAGATGGGGTTTCTCTAGGTTGCCCAGGCTGGTCTTGAACTCCTGACCTCAAGTGATCCACCCTCCCAAAGTGCTGGGATTATAGGCATGAGCCACTGTGCCCAGCTCCTCTTTTTTAACTTAGGGAAAATAACATCTACTCTCTAGCATTGTTTTGAAATGCTGAAATGTTCACCTGAAATATCTAGGACTAGAAAAAGGCCTGGAAATCATTCCCTTTATATCAATACTTCTTAATTTTCATTCCTACTTTTCAGTTAAAAAATAACTCAGTGATAAGAATCCATGAGGAAATAACACTTAAAAGTTTACAACTCAGCAGTTATACAAGAACAAAACAATCCACAAAAGTAAACCTAACCGTAATTGTAAAAATATATTTAAAAAGCAATAGGAGTAGAAATTGGAAACCATGATGAAGGAAGGAAGGAAGGAAGGAAGGAAGGAAGGAAGGAAGGAAGGAAGGAAAGAAAAGAAAGAAAGAAAGAAAGAAAGAAAGAAAGAAAGAAAGAAAGAAAGAAAGAAAAGAGAAGACAAGAGAAAAGAAAAAGGAGGAAATTTCCTCCCCCAAAATGTGAGAATTATTATAATTATCTACATGTGCTCAATCATTCTAAGAATTCTGCCTCATTATGAAGCAGCTCCTCTTAGAATACAAAGTTAGAGACCTCAGTAAATGGTAGTTTACCATTAATTTTAGTTGTAAGTACTAGATTTTAGTAACCCTAATGGGTTACTAAAGATACTTCTTATTTATATATAAATTATATATATATATATTATATGCGATTATATATATATTATATATATGTGTGATTATATATATTATATATATGTGATTATATATATATATATATATGTGATGTGGCTCTTAGCACAAAATAGATTCTCTAGCTATCTCTAAGATTTTATATACTGTGTTAGTTGAGAGGCAGTATGCACACTGGCTAGTGCTTGGCACATAGTAAGCACCCCATAAAAGTTAACTAGTGCTTACTTCAGCAGCACAGATACTAAAATTGGAAAAATACAGGGATTAGCCTGGCCCCTGAACAAGGATGACACAGATTTGTGAAACATTCAATTGTTTTTTCAGTTAGGAGGAGAAAGTTCAAGAGATCTATTGTATATGATGACTATAGTTAGTAACGATGTATTGTATACTTGAAATTTGCTAATGGATTTTAAATGTTCTCACCATAAAAAGTATCATAAGTATGTAAGGTGATGAATGTTAATTAGCTTGATTTAACCATTCCACAATGTGTGTGTGTGTGTGTGTGTGTGTGTGTGTGTGTGTGTATCAAAACAGCATGTTGTACTTCATAAATATATACAATTTTTATTTGTCAGTTAAAAATTTTAAGCCATTAAAAAGAATAAATGTTAACTACTATCAGGATTTGCACATGACACCAATAATAATAAAGATGCACAAATGTATTGTACTTTGAGAAAAACTGAAAGATATTGGTTATTTAACCCTAAGTCATCATCTTTTCCTGACCACAACAGCCAACAGTGATTCATTCTTTGATCTCATGCAGAACTTGTCTTTTTCAACTGATTCAGCACTTAGGGTATTTGACTCATTCCTGTACTGCATGAAAGTCTGTCTTGTCTGGCAACTACGTGATGGCAAAAATTAGAAGGGGCAGCTTGTCAGGAGATAGCTTGGGACCTGTCACTGGAGATAATCAAGCATAGTGGGGCACACCCAAGGAGGTACAGAAAGGAATCTACCTTTGAATTATTGGAATCAGTGGCCTGGAATCTCAGTTTGGAGATTCAATAAAAATGCAATAAGCCCCTTGTACTGCCTGGAAATCTGCTAGCTTTCATATCCCTTTCCCAAACATCATATTAGAACACAGTAAGTGCTCAGTACATACTAGTTGGTTCACTGATCCTTTATGTCTTCAAGAAAATTAAGAAGTCTCTTTTAATAATACAAGAATTTTTATGTTGCAAGAAGTAAGGTGACATTGTTTTTTTTTTTTTTTTTTTTTTTTGAGACGGAGTCTCGCTCTGTCGCCCAGGCTGGAGTGCAGTGGCGCAATCTCGGCTCACTGCAAGCTCCGCCTCCCGGGTTCACGCCATTCTCCTGCCTCAGCCTCCCAAGTAGCTGGGACTACAGGCGCCCGCCACTACGCCCGGCTAATTTTTTGTATTTTTAGTAGAGACGGGGTTTCACCGTTTTAGCCGGGATGGTCTCGATCTCCTGACCTCGTGATCCGCCCGCCTCGGCCTCCCAAAGTGCTGGGATTACAGGCGTGAGCCACCGCGCCCGGCCCCGACATTGTTTTTCCCTTGTTAGAGACATTAACATTGTTAGAGAGAATGGACAGAGTTAGAGGAACCAGAGAAAAATTAAAGCAAGAAAGAATATTTAAACTATAAGAATAATTTATTGAAGGATGAAACAAGCTTTAGAGGGAGATTCAAGGCTCTTCGTGTCTGAAAACCCTCTTCAGTAGCATCTGCCAATGTCTTGGACTGCTCGAATCAAATCTGCCTTATGCCTTTTTAAAAGCTCTAATATTCTTTAAAGACAAATGTTCTCAGAGGTTTTAAATTTAAAACTAACTTAAAAATGATTACAAGGTCTATGATACATTCATGGTACCATTCTCATCCATGGAAAATCTGAGGCACAAAAATTGGTCTAAGGCTTTATGCTAAATCAGTGGCAGATTGGCGAACTAAAGTCAGAACTTTTCCTCTCTTAGAATTCGTGTTTTCCTTTAAACACATATAAGTCATATTAAGTACTTAAATCTGCAAGCATGTTTCAACATAATCACTCATGAAATTCCATTTCCCCCCTACAGATAAGATTACAATATACACTTCTGGCTCCAATGCTGCAGAATCATACTTCTATCGATGCTGCTGATTTTCTTTCCTTGGAAAATGCAACACTAAATTTCTTCCAAGTCAAAATCTTTTACAGTAAAGACAGAGATAAAAATGCAAACATTATCAAGTTTGGCTCCTTTCCCATGTATCAGCCAATTTTGCTGTGTGTTGGCAATCTGGAAGAAAACTTCCATATCTCTTAGCGAGTTAGATCATTCCTTCTTGTGTCTTCTGAGCTGAGTCACAGTGTAGGCACTTAATGACTACATTCCTAAATAGGGTACGTAGAGGAGACTGAATTTCACTCACATTTATTGACTGTCACAATAATGTGCTTCTGCCAAAATCCTGAATTAAACCACTTTGACAGGTGGCAGCTTCTAGCCTTAGAAAAGCTCACTTCGTGTTGCATACTCATAACACCATCTCTTGACTATTTGCCTCATTAGGTCCCAATTAATTCTACTGCAAAGTTGGGGAGTTTTTCCCTGTTGGTAATTCTGGAAAATATGTGCTGTCAAGAACCATTTTCTATAATGAAGACATTTTTGGCTGCCCCAAAGGCTAAAATGCAACTTCCACAATTTTAAGATATCAACTAAATACAAAAACTTCAGTTTCTTGGGCATATCCCAAGATATCTACTTCGCATATCCCATGAGATGGAGAGCTACACTCCACCAACAATGGCCTTGTTCCCACTGGGCATCAGAGCAAGTGGGACTGGTCATGGCCTGGCACCACAACTAAACTCTGCAGAGCCTGAAGGTGCCCCTCCTGGAGATGCCACTCTTGCATTCCCACCTTCCCTGCCAGGGAAACCAGGCTGAGCAAGGCTTAGCAAAGGCCCAGCCTCAGAGAAGCTCCCTGTTTTAAAACATGGAGAGAACTCTGAAAGGGAAAGGGGGATAAGGCCAAGGACCAAAACAAATATTTCCAAAGACACTTTCATGATGAAATTTGTTATAAAATTAGATGGTGATGTGAGGGATAAACTTTGGCTTCAAACCAGCTCAAATGTGGTTTATTCTACAGTCTTCCCCAATTCTTCTCTGTGGAAGAGATGCGCTTTCAAATTCTTATAAGCTTTTCTTTCTTTTTGACAGGGTCCTGCTCTGTTGCCCAGGCTGGAGCATAGCAGCATGATCATAGCTCACTGTAGCCTCAAATTCCTGGGCTTGAATGATCCTTCTACCTCAGCCTTCCACATATGTGCATGCTACCATGCCTGGCTCATTTTTTAATTTTTATAGAGACAGGGTCTCACTATGTTGCCCAGGCTGATCTCGAACTCCTGGCATCAAGTGATCCTTCCTCCTTGGCTTCCCAAAACGTTGGGATTATAGGCATGAGCCACTACGCCCAGGCAACTTTCTCACTTTCTACTTGTATTATAGTTATTCATGTAAGTGTCTTATCTTCTGCATTGACTGTAACTTCTTGAGGGTAGAATCCATGTCTAATTTATCTTTGCCAACATCTGGCATACAGAATTAGTTCAAGATGAGAGAGTATCCAAAATGAATGAAGAATGCTTCTCAGCACAGGAGTGAGGAGAATGAGCTTCCATATATGGCCCTCAGAATACTAAGCCCAGTCCTTCTTCTCACTCGGTTCAGTAACTGCCAGAGGCAGCATACAGGGTTGGTTAAGAGCACAGTCTGGGGGCCCACTGGCTTGAGTTCAAATCCTTCCATGAGATGTTTTGTGTCTCTGGATAAGTTACTCAACCTCTCTTACCCCTCAATATTCTCATCAGTGGTGTGGGAATAACACAGGAGTAGCTTAATATGAGGAGTAGCACCTACTTCATAGAGTTGTTGGGGAGATTAAATGAGTTAATATGAATAAAGCAGTTGAACAGTACCTTGCACATAGTTAGCAGTCAGTAGATAGTAGCTAGTATTATTATTTGTATGCACTGCTTCTCTGTGGCTCTGATTGCCAAACTTTTTAAATCATGAACACCATAGTAAAAAAAAAATTTTTTTTTTGAGACAGAGTGTCACTCTGTCACCCAGGCTGGAGTGCAGTGGTGTAGGGAAAAGAGAGATCAGACTGTTACTGTGTCTATGTAGAAAGGGAAGACATAAGAAACTTCATTTTGACCTGTACCCTGAACAATTGCTTTGCCCTGAGATGCTATTAATCTGTAACTTTAGCCCCAACCTTGAGCTCACAGAAACATGTGTTGTATGGGATCAAGGTTTAACGGATCTAGGGTTGTGCAGGATGTGCCTTGTTAACAAAATGTTTACAGGCAGTATGCTGGGTAAAAGTCATCGCCATTCTGCAGTCTCGATAAACCAGGGGCACAATGCACTGCAGAAAGCCATAGGGACCTCTGCCCTGGAAAGCTGGGTATTGTCCAAGGTTTCTCCCCATGTGATAGTCTGAAATATGGCCTCGTGGGATGGCAAAGACCTCGTGGGATGGTCCCCCAGCCCGACACCCGTGAAGGGTCTGTGCTGAGGAGGATAGTAAAAGAGGAAGGCCTCTTGCAGTTGAGATAAGAGGAAGGCCTCTGTCTCCTGCCTGCCCCTGGAAACGGCATGTCTTGGTATAAAACCTGATTGTATATTTGTTCAATTCTGAGATAGGAGAAAAACCGCCCTATGGCGGGAGACGAGACATGTTGGCAGCAATGCTGCTTTGTTATTCTTTACTCCACTGAGATGTATGGGTGGAGAGAAGCAAAAATCTGGCTTACGTGCACATCCAGGCATAGTACCTACCCTTGAACTTAATTGTGACACAGATTCCTTTGCTCACATTTTCTTGCTGACCTTCTCCCCACCATCACCCTGCTCTCCTACCGCATTCCTCTTGCTGAGATAGTGAAAATGGTAATCAATAAATAATGAGGGAACTCAGAGACCGGTGCTGGTGCAGGTCCTTGGTATGCTGAGCGCCAGTCCCCTGGGCCCACTGTTCTTTCTCTATACTTTGTCTCTGTGTCTTATTTCTTTTCTCAGTCTCTCGTCCCACCTGACGAGAAATACCCACAGGTGTGGAGGGGCTGGCCCCCTTCACAGTGGCATGATCTTGGCTCATTGCAACCTCCACCTCCTGGGTTCAAGAGATTCTCGTTCCTCAGCCTCTAGCTGGGATTACAGGTGTCTGCCACCACGCCCAGCTAATTTTTGTATTTTTAAGTAGAGACAGGGTTTCACCATGTTGGCAGCTGGTCTTGAACTCCTGACCTCAGGGATCCGCCTGCCTCAGCCTCCCAAAGTGCTGGGATTACACATGTGAGCCACTGTGCCTGGCATAGTAAAAATATTTTGAGCATACACTTTCAGTAAATGTATATTAATGTACTTTGTAAATTATATAGGCATAAACTATTCAAATATATATTATATATTTAAACATATAAAATAGAATGTATGAGATAAAAAATAAATCTGACATTTCTAGAACTTTCAATATTTTCTTGTCACACCAAAAAAATTGTGTTGTTCATTTGCTGGAGTACATGCTTTCTCTAGAGACACCTACCCAACAGCACACCTTTGGTTGCCAGTAAATCTTGATGGCTTACTGGCTGCACAGATCCAGAACATTTTGTAAAAATAAAGGAATTATCTTTAACATATAAAATTTGACAGATGCATAAAAAGAAGGAAAATTGGAAGAAATTAAAGAACAGAAAGGGTAAGCAGTGAAAGAGAATGTATATTGGGAAAACCAAAAGGAAAGATGACCAGGAAAAGACCAAAACAAAATGTCTTTGAATTGTACTTGGTAACTAGAATTTATTGAGAAAAATTTTAGAACAGCTTCAGGTTTTAGATTTTCTCTCCAAAATAAAAATGAACCAGGATTGAATTACCCAAATGGCAATCAGATATTTTTCTTGTTGCCTGTGGCATAACCCACACTTTTTACATTTCTCTAAGTTTATTTCAAAAAGTGGTGCCTAGTGGCCCAATTACCTGGCACTAGTCCAGGGTCCTCTGTGGGGCAAGAAAGGCGGGGGAATTCCTTAAGCTAAAATAATCAGCCAGAAAGAGTTGATGGGTGTCTATTTGCACAGCCAGCCACCTCACTTTTTGTTCTTAGTCTTTCCCAAGAAAATGACAACTCATAATGTTTACTGTAAGGACAGTCACAGCATCCTATGACCTCTTCCATTTAAGGATCTCTAAGAAATAAAGAGTTCACGAACTATTATCAGTACTGCTTTCACCTCCCATTTGCGGACATAATAGAATAAGAGGTGATCTAATCAAGGGAGGCTACCAGTCTAGTGGAAAAAAAGAGAGCCTGGAATCTGAAATTGTATCTATGTGACCAGGAACAAGTCATGTTACCTCAAGTTTCTTCATATATAAGAGGAGAAAGAAAATAACTGTCTACCTATCTCATAGGCCTATTAGAAGATTAAAAGAAAATGTGTATTCCAAAAGCACTTGGAAGACATGGACCCTGGCTTTTGTCTGTGAACCAGAGAGATCCTGGAACGATCCTATCTATGATGTATGTGATGAGGGCTTTAGGATGAGGAAATATAATGAACAAAATTTAACTGGAATTGATAGGGAGGGTTATTACAAATTATAACATGGAGAAATCATAGCTCCTGTGAGACATGCCACAGGCCCTTGGTTTATGTCAGGCAAGGCACAATGAGCAAAGCCTAGGTGTGTCACATAGAAGAGGGATCAAAAACATATCAAAAACCTAAACATAGGTTTAAAAAACAAAAGAAGCAAACATTCTGATGTTTATTTTCCCTTTTTTTAAATTTTTGCCTTCAGACAATCTGACAGTTTTTTTTTTTTTAACTTTTGGCAAGTTTCATCTTACAAAGGATAAACTAATGTTCCAGGGGCAGCTTAAAGAGTGGGAGAGGGCTCCTACGGATTATCTTCCTTTTAACACATTCTCTTTTAGTTCTGTTCTGTGGATGCTCAATATGAAAAGAACAGATGTGCACATTCATTTAGCAAGTTCAGCAGTGCTTCAGTTGTCTGAGAGTGGTTCTTCCCCAATGGGAGTGGGCAAGAAGCCAGGACTGGTGTGGGGTGTTCTCAGCTTCAGCTGTTTTTCGGCCAAGAAAACACAGTACCCATGACTCCAGTATCCCTTGGAACCTTACAGACAATGGGAAACTGACAAACTGTCAAATCCCACATCCTTTGAAGTCTAGCAAATTTCTAATTCTTTTGAACTGCCTCCACAATTAGAAACACACTAGTGTCAGGAGCCACAGAGAATACTGTTTATTTCTTTTGCTCACAGGCTTTGAAGAAAGAATAATGCCTGGGTATCTTGGCAAGAGTTTATCTGTGACTCCCAGTTGATTCCAGGTGTCTTGGGTCTCCAGGAGTATGTTGTTCTATTATAAAGTTTAGGAAACTATCCTTGGCATGGATAGCCAAGCAGCACAGATTTCCATAGTAAAACTCTTAATTATTCCAGGTTTTGTAGGGGGTTGCTTTCTCCACAAGCTACCAGATATCCCCACTACCCTTCATTCTACCAGAGGAATTCCTTAGTTTCCTCTCCCAATACCCTGTAAAACACTTCTAAACCAGAGACCCTCTGGAATCTCCATCATAGACAGTTTAGTCAATTATTTCCTAATCATAACCTGGAGTATTGGATGAGAAGAGAGACTTTGCCAAGCAATATGGTCAAGAGACAAAAGATCCAAATGTCCGGACGTTCCACCTCCCCATACAAGAGATTTCAGAGCTTCTGCTGCAACAAAGGCCAATGATTAAAGTCATTTTGGAAAGGAGTCCTCCGTTGCTTCTGTTGCGAACCATAAACACAACTTGTAACCCTAGAGAAGAGGTGGAGTTACTGAAATCTCATGCTTTGATAATTACTGAATGACTTAATCTTGGAAAACAAATAGAAATCAATGTTGAGTTCTTTAAAAAAAAATGTTGCTACATGGAGCCAACACATCTAATCCATCTTTGGCATTACAAGTCAGTATGTGTCAAAGGCTACCAAAATCAACTTTGGTTGAGCACCAGGGGGTGGAGTCTATCAACTGATGAGAATGATTGATGAGAATCTTGCACAAACAACATTTATAACTAGTTAGAAAGTTTAGTGATTCAAACTAAGTATTTAAGATCAGAAGAGAGTCACTGGAGAATAATCCAGTTCTTGCTGTTAGAGCACATGAACTCAACCCTTCTTACACTCCAGAGAGGAATGTGTAGAACAGGCTGGTCATAGGCCATTGTCGGGGAGGAAGATTTTGACTGGACTGTTGCTGAATGAGGTAGGTACTCCTGGGCCTTTCTGACCTGAGTATCCTTGTAGATGTTCCTTACAAATTCTAGGGGTTTCAGTTCCATAGCACAGATAGTCCAGAGTACAAGACTCAGAACTCTGAACCCTCAGTTTCTACTTAGACTATGCCTGGAGCCACTCAACTTACTGAACATTCCTGGGTCAGACCAAAAGTCAAATGAACAGCAATGACTGTTGCTCTGTTGTTCTCCCAACTATGAAGTAGCTTATGATTGTGCCACATGGCTGCCGCCCTTCCCAGTCCCTTATGCCGAATCCCTCCTCCTCTACCTCCTTTTCTATTTGTAAATCAAGATAAATGTTACCAAAGGGCAAATTTTTAAAATCGAAAGTTTATAATCTAAGAGAATGTATCATAAAAGGTTATGAAGATTAAGGGAGAGAAGGAGTATGTTATTTCAAGTGGTAGGCCGGGCATGGTGGCTCACACCTGTAACCCCAACACTTTGGGAGGCTGAGACAGGCGGATCACCTGAGGTCAGGAGTTCAAGACCAGTCTGACCAACATGCTGAAACCCCGTCTCTACTAAAAATACAAAATTACCTGGGCGTGGTGGCGCATGCCTGTAATCCCAGTTACTTGAGAAGCTGAAGCAGGAGAATCACTTGAACCCAGGAGGCAGAGGTTGCAGTGAGCCAACATCGCACCACTCCAGACTGGGCAAAAAGAGCAAAACTCCATCTCAAAAACAAAAACAAAAACAAAAAACAAAAAAACCTGCCACAGCTTTTAAAGAAAGGCTGGGTACGGTGGCTCACGTCTGTAATCCTAGCACTTCAGGAGGCCAAGGTGAGTGGATCACTTGAGGTCAGGAGTTTGAGACCAGCCTGGCCAACGTGGCGAAACCCCGTCTCTACGAAAAATACAAAAAATTAGCCAGACATGGTCGTGGGCACCTGTAATCCCAGCTACTCCAGAGGTTGAGACAGGAGAATCGCTTGAACCCAGGCGGCGGAGGTTGCAATGAGCCAAGATCGCGCCACTGCACTCCAGCCTGGGCGACAGAGCGAGACTCCGTCTTAATAAAAAAAATAAAATAATAAAAATTTAAAAATCCAATGTGAAGCAGCTAGAGCAAGATTGAGGGTCTCAAAAAAGACGGGGCCTGAAGAGGACAATGAGAGAAGTGGAGGTTCTAATATCTCTACTGCCGTTTATACTCCATAAGCCGAAGTCAGATACCTAAGTGATCATCAGACAACAGGGTGCTGACCTAGGTTACACCCTTAAAATTCATCAGTGGTGTCATCTGCAAGATATTAGTAAACCAGCTTGTGAAGAATATAAGCCACAAACCAGGCAGAAAACACAAGAGAGCAGATGAGGCTGAACCACTACCACAGACTTCCTTCTTTTGTGTAATTATAAATACTACCCACTGCATTCTGGTTTCAGGGCTTTAAAAAGCAGATGAACTGTCTCTGTTAGAGATACTTTTTTATAATTAACTTCAGAGTCATTTATTAATTATCTTTTATAGTTAATAAAAATAAGAGGGAGCTATGTTTGGGTTTGGAGAACAATGACGATTATCGAAGTCTGAATCTTCGCCTCCCCTCCAAACCAGAAAATATAAAGAGAAAAGAAATAAAACTGCACAGGACCCATACATTCATCATTACTAGAACTAAGAGAACAATACATCCTTCAAATTACTTGTAGGTAGAGTAAAAACAAATTCAAACAGAGCTCCCTTAGCCTGCCTGCGGCTGCCACAAACCTAAAGATAGAGTGGGAGAGAGAATGCCTAAAAGACTGTCGTAAGAGTGGAGAGGTGAAGAGAGCTTAGAGGAAACACAGACAAAATCATGCCATATTAAAAAAACTGTTTTTTTCTCTATAGTCACACCACTCTCAATACTTCCAGAACACTTCACTTCTGATACCAGATGTGTGGGTTTTTCTATACACTGACCAATTCTGTGACACCAACTGGATGTTCTACAATTTAATTCAACTCTGACATTAACTGGAGTTAGCACAGACCCCACAGGTTAAGAGCCCAATCCCAGTAGATTTCAGATGCCAATCGCAAGTCCCAGGTTGTCACTTGGACTTCTGATGAACCAGCTATATATTAGTGTTCCCATAACTACCTCCTTGGGCTTGATAATTTGCTAGGACAACTCAAATAATTCAGGGAAACATGTTTACCAGCTTATTATATAATAAAGGATACCAATGAACAGCCAGATGAAAAGGTACATAGGGCTAGGTGTAGAGGTCCTGAGTGCAGGAACTTCTGTCCCCACAGAGTTGGAGTGCACCCCTCTCCTGACATATGGATGTGTTCGCCAACCTGGAAGTACTCTAAACCCTGTAGTTCAGGGATTTTTATGGGGGCTTCGTCATATAGACACCATCAATTATTAGCTCAATCTCCAGCCCCTCTCCCCTTCCCAAAGGATGGGGAATGGAGCAGAAAGTTCCAAGATTCTAATCGTGGCCTGGCCTTTCTCATGACCAGCCCCCAACCAAGAACTCACCAAGAGTCACCTCATTAGAACAGAAGATACACCCAGGAAACTCCAAGGAATTAGGAGTTCTGCATCAGGAACCATGGTCAAAGACCAAATATTAGAACAAAAGATACCTATTACCCCTATTGCTCAGAAAGTTACAAGCCCTTTAAGGAGCTCTGTGCCAGGACTGTGGATAAAGACCAAGATATATATATTTCCTATAAATCACATACTCACAAGAAGAGAAATTTTGACAACAGTAAGTGCCAAAATACTGAATAGATCTTGGTAGTTCATAGGGCTTGAAAGCGGGGACACCACCAACATTCCTGGCAGCCAAGTCAGATGCATGGACATCGTCTTTAACCACATCTTCACACTCATCCCTCATCTGAACTATCAACAATTTCATGGATTTTGCTATCTAAATGTTCATGTTCTCTAATCCATTTCCTTCTCCCCAGCCTCCCTGTTACTTCCCTTGTTCAGGTTGCTATCCTGTCACCCCTGGACTATAACAAAAACCTCTTAGATTCCTACCTTCACTCTCCTTTTCCCCTTCTGCTCTTCAATGTAACTTCCACTTTCCTTGTTAAAGTGATTTTTCTGACAGATAAACTTCCCTGGCATTCCCATGCTGGATTAGGTACCTCGCCTGAATCCTCCCATAGCCTCCTACATACCTTTATCACAGCATTATGACTAAAAGCATCCTTTTGGAATTAGACATTTTATACACTAGCTCATGTACTTACCTGTTTCATGACTTGGGAGAAGTTTTTAACCTCTTGGAACCTCCAGTTTGTAAAATGGAATTAAAAGTATTGCCTACCTCATAAAGTAGGAAATTAATACATGGAAAATACAACAGTGCCTGACATGTAGTAAGGGCTAAATTGATATTAGCTGACAACCACCACATAGTATTGAATTTTTCTGCTTATATATCTGCCTAACCCACTAAACCTAGCCTCATCATTTAAAAAAAAATTATAATGATTTCTGTTTTCAAAAAACAAACAGATTATCCATGTCCTCTACATGGAAAGTCTAATCCAAAATGTTTTGTGTTCAATCACTGAGCAAGATGGTCACATTTTCACAAAATTAATTAATCTGAGGCTGGGCATGGTGGCTGATGCCTATAATACTGGCACTTTGGAGGCTGAGGCAGGCAGATCACCTGAGGTCAGGGGTTCAAGACCAGCCTCAGCCAACATGGTGAAACACCATCTCTACTAAAAATACAAAAATGAGCTGAGGATGATGGCACATGCCTGTAATCCCAGCTACTTGGAAGGCTGAGGTGGGAGAATTGTCTGAGCCCGGAAGGAGGTTGCAGTGAGCCAAGATCGTGCCACTGCATACAAGCCTGGGCAACAGAGCAAGACTCAGTCTCAAAAAAAAAAAAAAAAATCTGAAATGAGATGGTTTGAGCATGATCTTACTTGAAGGTATGGAGTAGCCTAATTAATCATCTAAGCTCTTTCCAACTTGCTAATTGCAAATAATACCCCAGTGTTGTACTAAGGAAGCTTAATGGACATGACCAAAGTGCCTGAACTTTGGGACAGCCACAGGCCACCTATGCAAGCACAGCCAGCCCACCAGGCTGCAGGGTAGAGAGCACAAACAGCATTTGCTTATGACAGCCACAGGCTCAATGCTCACTGACGGTGGCTGTCTGCCTGCCCAGCTAACCTGTAGTTCTTCTGTATGGCCTACACTCTAAGAATGGTGTTTATATATTTTGAATGGTTGAAAAAAAAGCAACAGAAGAATAATATTTCATGATTATGTGAAAATGATATGAAATTCAAATTTTCAGTGTCCATAAATAAAGTTTTATTGGAATACAGCAACTCTCATTTATTTACATATTGTCTATGGCTGTTTCTATGCTCAATGGCAAAGTTGGGAAGTTGCGACAGAGACTGTATGGCCTGCAAAGCCTAAAACAGAAACTACCTGACCCTTCAAAACTTTACAGGAAAAAAAAAAAAGCCTACCCCTGCTCTAGGGTGCAAGCTCCTGTCTGCTTCACAATTGTAGTCACTGTAGGGGAATGAATTGTTGTGGGCCAAGTGAATTGCTTAAGAAAATGTGGCCATGTAAGAGGCAGAATTGGAATAAAAATTAGGACTCTTGACAGCTAGTCCCACATTCCCTAAATTATATTATTACTTTTGCTATCAGAGAGCTAATCCACACACTTCCACAGGAAAAAGAGCTTTGTCATTTAAATGGATGATTAATTTTTAAAATAAAACATAGACAAAAAGGTAATTCTTTAACACTCAATTTTTTTTTCTTTCTTTTCTTTTTTTTGACATGGAGTCTCTTTCTGTCGCCCAGGCTGGAGTGCAGTGGTGTGATCTCGGCTCACTGCAACCTCTGCCTCCTGGGTTCCAGTGATTCTCCTGTCTCAGCCTCCGGAGTAGCTGGGACTAGAGGTGTGCGCCACTATGCCTGGCTAATTTTTTTGTATTTTTAGTAGAGACAGGGTTTCACCATGTTGGGCAGGCTGGTCTCAAACTCCTGGCCTCAGGTAACCCACCCACCTCGGCCTCCCAAAGTGCTAAGATTATAGGTGTGAACTACTGCACCCAACCAACAAACCAATTTTTATTATCTGCTTTAAATACTGACCATCATCTATTGGTTTTAGCCTAGAAATGTATAATCACATAGCATCTCTCTATACACAATTTGGGTGTAATAAATACATATACACATTGACATATGTATATGATCTAATATATACCAAGGTGTATACATATATTTAATTTACCTACATATACTAGACATAGATGTACCTTTACATATATTTGCATGTAAACACACATATATGCACACTTTCACTGCATACACACCTGCCAGTCCTTCTGGTGCATCCTAATGAAACCTGATTTTCTCCTGCTAATGACATTAGCACCTGGCTGCTAATGACATTTCTTAATCAACTACCTCAACCTGCTAACACTGAAATAATTAGAAATTTTTGTCTAGCTGCAAGATTTTCATTTAGAGATAATCTGCATAAAAAATACACATTCGAGGCCGGGCGCGGTGGCTCACGCCTGTAATCCCAGCACTTTGGGAGGCCGAGGCGGGCGGATCACGAGGTCAGGAGATCGAGACCATCCTGGCTAACACGGTGAAACCCCGTCTCTACTAAAAATACAAAAAATTAGCCGGGCGTAGTGGCGGGCGCCTGTAGTCCCAGCTACTCGGGAGGCTGAGGCAGGAGAATGGCGTGAACCCAAGAGGCGGAGCTTGCAGTGAGCCGAGATTGCGCCACTGCACTCCAGCCTGGGCGACAGAGCGAGACTCCGTCTCAAAAAAAAAAAAAAAAAAAAAAAAAAAAAAAAAAAAAAAAAAAAAAATACACATTCGTGTGTACGGATATTATATAAATGTATTTATATTATGCTTCATTCTAGGAAAGAGGAATCAGAAATGCAAACCAGATTAAGAGTATAAAAAGCAACCAGAGGCCAGGCACGGCGCCTCACACCCATAATTCCAGCAGTTTGGGAGGCCAAGGCAGGTGCATCACCTGAGGTGAGGTCAGGAGTTCGAGACCAGTCTGGCCAACATGGTGAAGTCGCATTTCTACTAAAAATACAAAAAATTAGCCAGGCATGATGGTGCATGCCTGTAATCCCAGCTACTCGGGAGGCTGAGGCAGGGGAATCACTTGAACCCAGGATGCGGAGGTTGCAGTGAGTCGAGATCGTGCCATTGCACTCCAGCTTGGGCAACAAGAGCGAAACTCCATCTCAAAAAAAAACAACCAGAGTAAATAATTGGATTTATTCCATTGGTTCTATCAAAACAACTTATTAAGATGGAACTTCTAATACGTCTGAACTGTAACACTGCATTTAAGCCCATTTCTTTGCCATACTTTGCCGTCTGTTATTTAACTGACCTCATAAAATCCTCAAGAAAACGATTTCTTAAGAAATGCTCAGTTACAGCTGCATCAAACATCTTCTCCAAAATGCCTTTCAAGAGCACCAAATAATTTTAGTGTAACATAATCATTGAATGTCTGTTGTTCTCAGAAAAGAACTAACGTTGGAGAAAGTAATTAAAGCCAGATCCTAAAAGTCAATACATCTGAGGCTCCAGACACTGACTCTGCGTGTGCTGTGGTTTCCACTAAACACTAAAATGAGGTAATTTTTTATTCTTATTATGTTCACAACTCTTGCAAAACCTAACCAGGGTAAAAAATTTATTCATTTTTCTCATTAAGCGAATTATGTAGTGTGTAAGTTTTCAATGTCTTGTGCTAAAAACAGAATCTCTCCTATAGTTACCTTATCTAAGTAACGAGAGAGCATTCTTTATAAAGTGCAGATAATCTAAACATCTCAATTTACTCACTTTATTTTATTCTCTTTCCTTCTCTTTTTAAATCCAGGTAAGGAATTGTGAAATTAGTTTGTAAGTCACTTTCTCCTCCCCCGGCTTTGTCTGTTCCCTTTTGGGACTTAATAATTGGGCTGGAGGAGGCAAGGGGAAAGATTACCACATGCCCAGAAGTATGAATCTTGGAAGAGGTAAAACTGGTTAAAAGCCACAACACAGACACACACGTACCAAAAGCAGGGAGGAGAAAAAGAAGGATGAGAAATGATGAAAAAGAAAAATTTCAGGGTTGAGGGTGAGGGGAGGGAACTCAGAGTACAGGTCAATAGGTGCAGCAAACCACCATGACACACGCATACCTATGAAACAAACCTGCATGTTCTGCACATGTATCCTGTTTTGTTTTGTTTTTTTAGAAAAAAAAAAGAAAAATTTATTGTTCATGAATTTGAGTAGAACAACTAATCTTTTAGATTACTGAAAATAAATACATGTCAGTTTGTAAAAGATTAAATTGTTTTAAAGATATGCCAGAACTCAGCTGTATGGTCATATAGTTACCAAATGGGTAAATGCTTTCATCTACAATCTCAGAGCACCTAAAAATAGTACAATTTTTAGGCTCCAAAGAGTGAAAAGAAAAATGTCTGGACCCCACAGAATCAAAAAAGAATGACAGAAAACACTGGTCTCCTGATACTTAACATCAAACTTTGGCCAATACTCCTTCATCCCAAGGATGAGAGGAGCATCTAAAAATTAATCAATAATGTACATTAAGAGGCTATGTCATCACCATGGTAGGTTTCAATACTTCTAAATGATTTCTAGTTATTGTTCAAATATAACTGATCACCATATGAGAAATATAACCCAGTATTAAAAATGTTAATATTTTAAACTGTTTTGTCTAGTCTATCACCTTGTCAAAGATCTTTTGAAAGCCTGACTATATCATATTCATAGATAAAACTTTGTATAAATGCATGTTTAACCCTTAAGTTAATTGCAGCAGGTAAATCATGGCTTAACTTTAGAGGAATCTTTCAACTTTTTGTCTTAGTAGGTTACATACATCTAAATGATTTGTAACCCTTTTTGTTATTAAAGAGTTACAATATTTCCAATATGGAAGTTTCTAGTCCTCTCTGGGATATTTGTTTTGTGTTCATTTATTTAACTCTACACTATTAAATATACTACCAGGCAGATTTCTTAGGGACTTCTTAGAACATTAGTATCCCTGGTCTAAAATTGGGGGAAATTGACATTATGTGACACTAATGCTCCTTAAAGCAGATTCCCTTAAGTATGATTACATTGTTCCCAGTGAGCAACAGCAGACCCAGTGAGAAACAGCAAAAATAATTTGAAAACGTTTTTCTCTCACTAAGCTGTCAAACAACCATTCAGAACAGCAGTTCTCCGTTTCTACCTTTCATTTTCATAAAACTGTTACTGAATTAGTTTGCTGAGAAGGTATAAGACTTTGGGCCAGTCATTTAAGCGCTCTTGGCCTTTGAGGTAATTTTTTATTCTTACTACCTTAACATTAGGGAGTTGCTTTAGATGTTTCTAAGATTCTTTCAGCTCCAGAAGTTTAGAATTCAATGCTAGAGGTCTAGAGAATCTTTTGACCTGGAATCCTCTACAGCCCACACTAGTTGGGATGGTATTTTAACAGTCTCCTGTTAGTCATGTTAAAACTTCTGGGAAAGTCTACTTCAAATTGACAGAGATAATTTAAGGTTTGCCATGCTCTGTGGACTTCTCAGCTATTATTGCATTATCTTCCTACTTGTGGGACAAACCCTTTTATAGGTTTTTCTTTCTCTCTTTCTTCCCTCCTTCCTTCCTTCCCTCCCTCCCTCCCTTCCTTTCTTCCCTTTCCTTCTTCTCCTTCTCCTTCTTCTTTTCTTCTTCCTCCTCCTCTCCTCCTCTTCCTTTTCCTTCTTCTTCTCTCTCTCTCTCTCTCTTTCTCTTTCTTTCTCTCTCTCTTTCTATTCCTACTTTAGCTTCAGGTTTTTATGAGTGATTGGGGTTTTAAACTCTCAAGGCACATTTATCTAGAGCTTCCAATGTGTTTCAGTGCTTGTATTCCTAGGTTACTGCTTCCCTTCTTGTTCAATACATGTATGACACATGACTTTGGGGTTTTTTCTAACAGCATATTGATATGCTTGAAGTGATGAAAAAATTACACTGTGGCTTGCTCACAATATGTACTTTATGACTTCCTACACATCACTTAAGATTAGGTCTAGGAATTTTACTTTTCTCACACGCTCTTGAAGAATCAATTGAGCACGTAATCATTTATCCTAGCCAATTACTTATCTCATGCTTTCCATTCCCATAAAGGATGTTAGGAAGTATGTTTGAGTAACTTAAGTTCCTAATTGTTGAGTATCTGGCATAATTTTTCAAACTCCCCCAACTTTCATGATTAGATCATATAACATTTCTATCCACAGAATACTTTGTTTATATGAGAAGACTTTTACCACACTGCAGTTCATCGCTCTCCATGTAAAATATCCCTGTTTATTTTGAATCTGACATGAGGAAGGGAGAGAGTAGACAGGGAAAAATGGGAAAATAAATCTCAATCACTTTGGCTGTGGAGACCTAACTAAGAGCCTGGAGGTGAACTTGGTTCAACTAAGATCACATATGTGTTGTTACATTTCCAATCCATTTCTGTTTTTTCTACTGTGACCCACAAAATTTATTCAATTTGTACTTAATTAAACTAAAAAGTTTCAGCACAGCAAAAGAAACAATCAGCAGAGTAAACAGACAATGCACAGAGTGGGAGAAAATCTTCACAATCTATACATCTGACAAAGGACTAAGATCCAAAATCTACAACGAACTCAAACAAATTAGCAAGAAAAAAACAAACAGTCCCATCAAAAAGTGGGCTAAGGACATGAACAGACAATTCTCAAAAGAAGCTATACAAATGTCTAACAAACATATGAAAAAAAATGCTCAACATCACAAATGATCAGGGAAATGTAAACCAAAACCACAATGCAAAACCATCTTACTCCTGCAAGACTGGCCATAATCAAAAAGTCAAAAAATAATAGATGTTGGCAGGGATGCAGTGAAAAGGGAACACTTCTGCACTACTGGTGGGAATGTAAACTAGTACAGCCACTATGAAAAACAGTGTGGACACTCCTTAAAGAGCTAAAAGTAGAACTATCATTTGATCCAGCAATCCCACTGCTGGGTATCTACCCGGAGGAAAAGAAGTCATTGTACGAAAAAGATACTTGCACAGACATGCTTATGGAAGCACAATTCGCAATTGCAAAATCGGGGAACTAACCCAAATGTCCATCAATCAATGAGTAGATAAAGAAATTGTGGTATGGAATACTATTCAGCCATAAAAATGAAACAATGGCATTTGCAGTAACCTGGGTGGAATTGGAGACCATTATTCTAAGTGGAGTAACTCAGTAATGGAAAACCAAACATTGTATGTTCTCACTCATAATTGGGAGCTAAGCTATGAGAATGCAAAGGTATATGAACGATGCAATGGATTTTGGGGACTTGGGGGAAAGGGTGGGAAGTGAGTGAGGAATAAAAGACTACAAATTGAGTACAGTACAGTGTACACTGCTTAGGTGATGGGTGCACCAAAATCTCACAAATTACCACTAAAAAACATACTCATGTAACCAAACACCACCCATTCCCCAAAAACCTATGGAAATAAGAAATAAAGTGAATTAATCAGTTTTCAAAAATCAATTCAAGATGGATTAAAGACTTAAACGTTAGACCTAAAACCATAAAAACCCTAGAAGAAAACCTAGGCATTACCATTCAGGACATAGGCATGGGCAAGGACTTCATGTCTAAAACACCAAAAGCAATGGCAACAAAAGCCAAAATTGATGAATGGGATCTAATTAAACTAAAGAGCTTCTGCACAGCAAAAGAAACTACCATCAGAGTGAAGAGGCAACCCACAAAATGGGAGAAAATTTTTGCAACCTACTCATCTGACAAAGGGCTAATATCCAGAATCTACAATGAACTCAAACAAATTTACAAGAAAAAAACAAACAACCCCATCAAAAAGTGGGCAAAGGACATGAACAGACACTTCTCAAAAGAAGACATTTCTGCAGCCAAAAAACACATGAAAAAATGCTCATCATCACTGGCCATCAGAGAAATGCAAATCAAAACCACAATGAGATATCATCTCACACCAGTTAGAATGGCGATCATTAAAAAGTCAGGAAACAACAGGTGCTGGAGAGGATGTGGAGAAATAGGAACACTTTTACACTGTCGGTGGGACTGTAAACTAGTTCAACCATTGTGGAAGCCAGTGCAGCGATTCCTTAGGGATCTAGAACTAGAAATACCATTTGACCCAGCCATCCCATTACTGGGTATATACCCAAAGGACTATAAATCATGCCGCTATAAAGACACATGCACATGTATGTTTATTGTGGCGCTATTCACAATAGCAAAGACTTAGAACCAACCCAAATGTCCAACAATGATAGACTGGATTAAGAAAATGTGGCACATATACACCATGGAATACTATGCAGCCATAAAAAATGATGAGTTCATGTCCTTTGTGGTGACATGGATGAAATTGGAAATCATCATTCTCAGTAAACTATCACAAAAACAAAAAACCAAACACCGCATATTCTCACTCATAGGTGGGAATTGAACAATGAGAACACATGGACACAGGAAGGGGAACATCACATTCTGGGGACTGTTGTGGGGTGGGGGGAGAGGGGAGGGATAGCATTGGGAGATATACCTAATGCTAGATGACGAGTTAGTGGGTGCAGCGCACCAGCATGTCACATGTATACATATGTAACTAACCTGCACATTGTCCACATGTACCCTAAAACTTAAAGTATAATTAAAAAATAGTAAATATTTAGCTACATTTTAATACTTTACATGTTATAACAATATCATTAATTTTGTTGTTTTTAAGCTTTATTTGTACTTGTAAATTTTTATTTTGTAGTTACTTAAGAACTAAAGGCAAAAGTGATTTATATTTTGCAATTCTGTTATTTCAATAAAAATAGTCCTTTTTATTCATTGGAAAAAAAAGAAAAAAAGAAAAATTTCAATCTTAATTCTTTAACAGATGATCTTAATGATCTTACCTGAATTCCATCATCAGTGATTCTATAACATTCAGATACAGAAAGTTCCTTCAATTTTTTATGTCTGGAAAGCACATTCAAACCCTAAAAATATTTAATATAAAGATCATTTTGTGATTATCATTTAGTATGGAATATATAGTTCCAATAACCATTTATACAAACTGACAACATAAAAAACCATTTATGAAAACTAATAAATTTTAGTTGCTGTCATATTTCTTTACACTTAACAAATCGTAAGACCACTTAGATTAGGCAATGCCATTAAGTAAAATTTTCAGGTTGTCTCTAATGTTTTACAAAAGCTTTTATGGAATCCCAGAGTCAGAAAACTCCTTAGGAGGTTATTATCTTGCCACTTGTTTCCAGATAAATGTTATCTGAATCAATATAAACAAATCCAACTTACTAATTTATTTTGAAGATACTTCATGTGGATAAAGAACCTATTTGTTAATATATTTTTATTTATGCCTAACCAAAACATCTAAAAATCTTTAGCTCATTTTATAATGATTAATCCCTTGAAGAGGAAGAGAATAGATCTTTATATAAAGGCCTAGAGACAGATAATCATTCAGTCATAGATCATTTCTTTTTCAGGTTAAAGGCCTTGGATTTTTTTAATTTAAAAAAAGAGATTGCACTTTCAGCCATAATTTTTTTTATGTGTGCTTGTGTTGTCCCATTTCTCAGTACTTTTTCCCCAAATTTACTGGCACAACACTCAGATAAGGAACTGACTAATGTGGCTTATTGATGCCATCCTTCTGTTTTTCAATCAGGATCACATTACTTTTATGTAATCCCATACAATGTACTTCTTAAACTAGGTGGACAAGAGCAGGGTTGTTCCCCCCACCACCCCCCAACCCACCCCTCACCTGCCGCCATTCTATGATTCCAGGGCTGGCTGGCAGGGAAAATACCAGAAATGACACATAGATTTGTCCTTTTTATATTTTATTTGCAGGATTGGTTTATATTTTATCGATCTTAAATACAACATTTGGACCACAATTTAAAATGGGCTATGCAAATATTATATCTTGTTTTTTTTGTTTGTTTGTTTTGTTTTGCTTTGCTTTAATTCCCAATGCACAGATTGGGCCTTCTCATAAAAAAAAAAAAGCCTGTATTAATAAAAATGTTTTATTTAAGCCTCTGCTTAAACTATGATTTCTAATTTCTTTTAATGGTATTGCATACCACTCCAAAATAAAATCTGTGAATTCTTTTAACTTTTTAAAAACTTTTATTTGCATTTATTTTATGCTGAATTTATTCCTGTGCCATAAGTTTTTATTTGTTTCTTCAGTTTCTTCAGGAATATCTTTTTCTTCTATGCAACCTCATTCTTTCAATTTGATTGTTGACTGTGGATTCTTTTGCTAGGAACACATTATGTTTTCTGCCTCCCTGTTTCAAAACAAAGTCTGACCAAATCCTGTGGAGCCATCACATGTGGTCTGGGTTCCAGATGTGGATGCTATTTTATTCATGTTAAAAGAATTGGAAGAGTTTAGATATTCCCCAATAGAATCCAAATTGTTTGAACACAAATATCAAGTAACAGATGCAAAGTTTGTCTCTTTACCCTATACTTGATAATAGCTAAGTATGTTTTAGTATGCTATAGAAAATTTGTCCTATGAAACTATCTCTGAAGTTTTCACTTAGATTTCACTTTTATGTAGTCAAGTTAGAATTTTTTAAGATAAGCTGTAAATGAAGTGCATTTGCTAAATATGACATATAACAACATATATGCTTACTACTTTATTCAAAATCATTAAAAATTAAAATATTAAAACAGAATGTCATGTCTCATCACTGTAATTGTTCATTAAAACATATGGCCTAAAAATTGAATTGATCAACATTATTAGCCATTAGATAAATGCATAATGACATACCACAACGTACCTACTAGGATGGCTATAATTTAAAATACAGATAATAAAATGCATTGGTGAGGATGTGGACAAACTGGAACTCTCATATACTGCTAGTGGAAATGTAAAATGAGCCAGCCACTTTGGAAAACAGTCTGCATTTCCTCAAAAATTAAACATAGAGTTATAATATGACCCAGCAATTCTACTCCTAGGTTTATACCCAAAAACAGTGAAAACATATGTTTACAAAGACTTGTACATGAATGTTTATACCAGCACTATTTATAATAAAATCCATGCATTCTTCAACAAATGGTGCTCTTCAATAAGTGGTGCTGGGAGAACTTGATATCTGTATCTAGAAGAATGAAACTAGACTCCTGTATCTCCATATACAAAAGTAAACTCAAAATAGACTAAAGAATTAAACATAAGACCTGAAACGATAGAGCTATTAGAAGAAAACAGGGGGAATGCTTCAGGGCATTGATCTTGGCAAAGATTTTATATAGCTAAGACTTCAAAACCACAGGCAACAAAAACAGACAAATGGGATGATATCAAACTAAAAAGATTATACACAACAAAGGAAACAATAAACAAAGTGAAGAGACAACCTATAGAATGGGAGAAGACATGTGTGAACTAGTCATACAACAAAGGACTAACATCCAGAATATACAAGGAACTCAAACAACTCAATAGCAAATAAACAAATGATCTGATTAAAAAGTGAACAAAGGAACCAAGCAGACATTTCTCAAAAGAAGACATATGTGAGGGCGATGTGGCTGTGATATCTGTCACCCCATTGATCACCAGGGTTGATTCGGCTGATCTGGCTGGCTAGGCAGGTGTCCCCTTCTTCCCTCACCGTTCCATGTGTGTCCCTCCCCAAAGCTGCGTGCTGGGTCAAAGAGGATAGCCAACCCTGATAGAGGAGGATGGGTTATTGGTCTAGGATACAAGTAGCTGCACTCCCCTGCTTGAACCTCCAAACCTCTCAGGAAGACATACAAATAGTCAACAAATATATGAAAAATCATCATCAGGGAAACGTACATCAAAGCCACAATGAGATGTCATCTCACCCCAGTTAGAATGGCTATTATCAAAAAGACAAAAAATAACAATGCTGGTGAGGATGCAGAGAAAAGAGAACTCCTATACACTGTTGGTGAAAATATAAATTAATACAGCGATTATGGAAAACAGCATAGAAATTTCTCTAAAAACAGAACTATCATATGATCCAGCAATCTCACTAGTGGGTATTTACCCAAAGGAAAGGAACTCAGTATATCAAAGGGATACCTACACTCCCATGTTTACTACAGCACTACTCACAATAGCTAAGATATAGAATCAACCCAAATGTTCATCAACAGACAATTGAATAAAGAAAATGTAGTATATATACACAATGGCATACTATTCAGCCACAAAAAAGAATGAAATCCTGTCATTTGCAGCAACATGGATGAGCCTGGAGGACATGATGTTAAGCAAAATAAGATAAGCACAGAAAGATAAATACCACATGTCCTCACTCATGGGAGCTACGAAAAAGTAGAGTACAATTGTGGGAATTAGAGGATGGGAAGAGTGGCAGGGAGGGAGGATGGGGATTGGTTGGTTAACAATTACAAAATTATAGTTTAATAGGAGGAATGAGTTCAGGTATTCTGCAGCACTGTGGGGTGAATATGGTTAACCATAATTTATTGTATATTTTCAAGAAACTAGAAGAGAGGATCTTTAGTGCTCACAACACAAAGAAAATGATAAATATTTGAGGTGATGGATACTAACTACCATGATTAGATCATTACACATAAGGAAATAACACTCTGCATTCCACAAATATGTACAATTATTATGTGTCAACTAAAAATAAAAGAAAAAAGTGGAAACCCAAATGCCTATCAGTTGATGAAAGGATAAATAAAATGTTAGGTCCATACAATGGAATATTATTTGGTAATAAAAGTAGTACTGATGCATGCTACTATATGAACGAAACTTGAAAATATCATCCTAAGTAAAAGAAGACAGACCCAAAAGGCCACATATTGTTTGATTCCATTTGTATGAAGAGTCCAGAATAGGCAAATATATAAAAACAGAAAGTAGATTAGCAGTTGCCTAAAGCAGGCTCAGGGTGGGACAGGCATAAGGAGTGACTGCTAATGGGAAGGGCTTTTCTTTTGGGAGTGAAGAAAATGTTCTGGAATTAGATTCTAGTGGTAGTTCCACCACAAACAAACATACTAAAAACCACTGAATTGTATACTTTAAATTGGTGAGTTTTATGGTACATGAATTATGTCTCAATAAAAAATGTTTAAAAAAAGATTGATGTAATAATTGTATAAGTACATAAAACTCAGAAAATATTCCTACAGCATCCTTAAGTCCAAGATGAATACAGATGTTACCCACTTTTAATATATTTTTGTTAGCAACTTCAGACCCTGATGACAAAAATAGTAGCAAAACGGGGAGCAAGAGATGTCACCCTGCTCATGTGTTAGACAAGTAACTAGAAGCCCTTTCTGCTGTAAGTAAACACATCTTTGTAACTGAGCAGCAACAAATCGAGCCGGCAGAGATGAGGCCTCCACTAAAAATTGCCTCATGCTGGTTACAGGAGGCCAGTGAATTTCACTGCCTAATAAGTGAAACACACTATTTCAGGCAACAGGATTCACTTTTAATGTGGGTTTTTTTTTTCTCAGAAACTTTTTAGATTAGTGACCTAAAGAATGTCAGAGCCAGCAAGGTAAATATTCTGTTTGGCACTGTGAGGTTCATAAATGCTCCAAATTAGGAGGTGTTCTCTGAAACAAGTGACATTTACATTTTACAGATTTCTGATGCCAAGGTTTTAGCCCTGGGAGGGACAGGAAGAGTGGAGTGGGAAGAGTGGAGTGGGAAGACAGGCCAAAAATGAGGAGGCAAGAGGTAACAGCAAGATAGAGTGACTCGGTCTCAGTGGGGCAAAGGGCAGATTGATGCTTACCTTTCAGGAAAGCTGTGGCATCACTGCAATGGAAATCATCCTTGGTCTCCCTCATAAGTCAGCCAAACTCATGAATGCTTTTGCTGGAGAGAGGTTTTGCTTTTATTTTCCCAAAGCATAAAAAGGGACTACATTTTATGGTCAGCTGAAGTGCAGAGGAAAGCAGCTGGAGTGGTGGCCTGGGGAAGTCACCAGCATTGCAAGTTGCATGAGAATGTGAGGCACCAGAAATTCACAGGAATCCTGGGGAGCACTTTGCTCCTCCATTGCTAATGGAATTAAGGGGCCTGAATCTTAGGGGCCCAGGAGTCCTGAGTGGAAAAGTGGCTTCGTTATAGCTCCAGTATCACGTTCATTGAGGGGCATATCAGGACATAAGGCTCAAAAGGAAGCAAGCACCAAGTCACAAGAACCTCGTACATTATTCTAAGGAATCTGGACTTCATCCTATGCAACAGAATTAAATAGAACTTTCTCTCTCTGGGGAATATGAGTGGGTACATAAGTCACTATAATGAGGTTCCTTATGTACCAACTCATTCTCTACAGAAAGAATGAAGTATGTGTTTCAAGAGAGCTATAGGGACCACACAGCAGGGAATGAATGCTTCCAGTTGGAAGAAAGAGATGGCAGTCTAGAAAAGAGTTTCACAGAGGAAGGAGATTTTGAATCAAGCCTTAAAGATTAAGTATCATTTTGACAAGTGAAACAATGGGAACAGTGTTTCAGGCCGAAGAAATAGCATGGACAGAGACTTCATGTGCAAAGTGTGAGTTGTTGGGAAGTAGTTCAGTTTGGGGTCACTGGGAGTAGTGGGAGGGAAGATGGAACACTGCCAGGAACAGACACATGCACACAGACATTTGAGAGCAGACAAATCCTTGAACACTACACTTTCCCCACACTTTTTCATCTGGAATTGTTTAGCTGATGTACATAGACAATGTCAATGAACTAGTTACCAAATGTTGGAATGCTCTGTGTGTGTGTGTGTGTGGTGTGTACTTACTATACGGCTGAGTCATACTACATCTGGCTTAGACTATCACCAACATAAACAGAAAACATGCTTCCCCAACTCTCTATTTTGAAAATATTCAAATGTACGGAAAGGTTTAAAGAATGGTTATAAAGAATACTGACATACACTTCATATAAATTCACCAATTATAAACATTTGCCACATTTATTTAGTTGAGTGTGTATATGAACATACATATTTTATTCATATATATGTATGAATAAAATTTTATATACATATGCATAGTTTATATATAGTTATATATATATACACACACATATATATATACACACAAATATACATAAATTTCCCTGAACTACTTGAAAATAAGTTTCAGATATCATGATGCTTTATCCCTAAATATTTCATGTGCATCTCCTTAGGAATAACGACATTTTCCTATGTAACTATGTAGTATTATGCATATATAGTATAGACATATATAGTATTATGACACCCAAGAAAATGAACAGTAATACTGTAATATCTAGTACAAAGTCAACATTCAAATTTTTTTGTATCCAAGACCCAATTTGTGCATTGGATTTGGTTATCATGTCTTTTTAGTCTTTTTTTCTTTAAATTTTTCTTTTAAGACATTGACTTTTTTTAAGGGTCTAGGCCAGTTATTATGCAGAATGTCTCACATTCTGGATTTTTCTAATTGTTCCTTATGATTAGATTCAAGGTAAACTTTTTTTGCAAAAATACTCCTGAATTATTATAGCATCCCATTGGGAGGCACATATGTCCAGTTGTTCCACAACTGGTGATGCTGTTGGGCCACTTGGTTCAGAAGATGACTACCATAGATCTCTTTATTAGAAGAGGTATATTTACCCCTTTTTATTTAAAAAGTAATTTGTTGAGATGTTATAGTACACCCAGAATATTCTGCAAACATGAGAAGTGTTTGTTATAAAGAATATATAGTAACATACTTAGGTTCAAAAAGCAGTACACAAAATTATATCTGCAGGCCGGGCGCGGTGGCTCATGCCTGTAATCCCAGCACTTTGGGAGGCCAAGGCAGGTGGATCACCTGAGGTCAGGAGTTCACGACCAGCCTGGCCAGCATGGCAAAACCCCATCTCTACTAAAAATACAAAAATTATCCGGGCATGGTGGCAGGTGCTTGTAATCCCGGCTACTCGGGAGGATGAGGCAGGAGAATCGCTTTAACCCAGGAGGCAGAAGCTGTAGTGAGCCAAGATCGTGCCACTGCACTCCAGCCTGGATGACAGAGTGAGACTGTGTCTCCAAAAAAAAAAAAAAAATTCACATCTGCATATGTGTGTGTATAGTGTATGTATATGTGTATTAAAAGAAACAGACGTTTTGGGCAGGGCGCAGTGGCTCACGCCTGTAATCCCAGCACTTTTGGAGGCCAAGGCGGGTGGATCATGAGGTCAGGAGTTCGAGACCAGCCTGGTCAATGTGGTGAAACCCCGTCTCTACTAAGAATACAAAAATTAGCCAGGCGTGTAGTCCCCGCTACTCGGTAGGCTGAGGCAGAAGAATTGCTTGAACCCAGGAGGCGGAGGTTGCAGTGAGCTGAGATTGCACTACTGTACTCCAGTCTGGGCGACAGAGGGAGAATCTGTCTCAAAAAAAAAAAAAAAAAGAAAAGAAATGGACGTTTTGGAGGGTGCGCAATGATATGAATATGTTTTTTCATTATTCATATTTCTTTTTGTATTACTAGTGTTTGTGAAAATAGCATAATTTGGAGGAAAAACCCAATATGTGTCTGTTATTGAATATTTTTGTGTATCAACAAAGAATTATATAAAATATTTACACTAGGCTTTATTTCTTTATACAAAGCAACACAGTTCTGGTTAGTTTACTTTCTATTCTAAACAAACCATCAGCACAAATGTGCTAATATTCAAGCAAAGTACTCAGCTATGAATGTTAACATGTACAAGTATTATATACATAGATGAACAGTTTTACTTTACAAAAATTGATGGATACTGCTCTATCTTCATATTACTTGACCCAGCTTTGAAGCCTGACTCTGCTGACCATCCCCTGCTTTTTGAAATAGCATCTTCCTTGTTTCTCATGATATTACTCTGACCTCTGTCTCCACCTACTTCTCTGGATGTTCGTTTTCAGTTTCCTTTGTAGGTTCATCTTCCAAATCTATTCAATACATACTGATGTTCCCTGGAGCTTGGAACTTGACCTTCTCTTCTCTTTGTGACTCTCATCCATGGCTTTGACCACTTCAGCCATCTCTAGATCTAGCCCAGATCTCCCTCCTGAGATACAGATCTTGTTCTCTAACTGATAACTAGACATCTGAATGTGTCATAGGCACCTCTAACTCAGCACTGTTACTTTCAGAGAACTAGAATTCAAACTGGAAGCCATGAGATTTCATTGAGCTCTTCCTATTCTTTTTGCTAGCTTCAGTCAGGAGTCTGTGAAAGATGAATGCTCATGATGGACTTTCCTTTGATTTAAATACAATGGCTCCTTCCTCTGCATTTTGTACCTTTATGACCCTCTTTATAGGGCTCCAATTTCTCTATATGGGAAATCTATATAACCTAGGGTATTTGATATTTGAATTCAGGATATTGGAAAATGCACTCTATGAAATAAGATGGAATGGGGCACCCAGGACTCCAGGATGTAGTTACTGGGGGTATAGATCATGGGAAATCTAAAAAGTCCCCCGACAGTCAGTAAACATAAGAAGGCTTCTTTCATGCCTTTTTAATTTGTTTTTAAGGATAAAACAGAGTATAAGTTTTTGCTGTGATAGAGGGGATAAAATTGGGGGGGGGGATGGTACTGAAAATCCTTGTGTGAGTTTTCTTTCAGAAATGCTTGAATTTGAACACACTGAATTCCTATGATTCCAGATATCCTGAGGAAAACAAAGCAAAGTAAAACAAAACAAAAACAAAGATTCCAAAAGTCAGATGGATGTTTGTCTTCTCTGTCACCCAGAATCAAAGGGGCCCATAGTTTAGAGAGATGTGCTAGTACTAGTATTAAACATGTCCAAAATGGAATTCAGTATCTTGTCTCCAAGCCCTAATTGCTCTCCTAGGTTCTTTTCCTGGTTTGTGGCACCACCATGTTCACAACTGACCAAATAAAAAACCTGAGCATCGTCTATGTCTCCTCTCTGCCTCCCTGTTCCCCATATTCAGCCAATGAATAAGCCCTACCAATGCCACCCCCTAAATATCTCTCAAATCTGCCCCCTCTGCCGCCACTATCAAAACCTCATTATTTCTAGCTATCATTGCAATTGCTCATCCTTTCTTCAATAGATCATCCACACTGCCACCAGAGTTATGTTTCTTGTGCACAAATCTGTCCTGCTCTCCTACTCAGAGTTCTTCAATGGCTCCTACTGCATACTGCATGTAGCCTGAATTGCTGTGCAGGGCACTCAAGGCCACCCACATTCTGCCCTCCATCTCTTTCTCCAGCCTCATCTCCCTCCACATCCCCTCTCTTCTCTGGCCATGCTCTGACAGCACTGAGTTATCTGTGAATCCCAACACATAACCCTCCTTATGCCTCCAGGCCTTATCATCTGCTTCTTCCTCCAGCTTTCAGCTGCATCCCAAAAGCTAAAAAGCTTCCCTTGACTCCTCCACAGAGACAACAGAGACAAGTGTTCATTTTTTTTTTTAAGATGGAGTCTTCCTCTTGTCGCCCAGGCTGGAGTGCAATGGTGCAATTTCGGCTCACTGCAACCTCTGCCTCCTGGGTTCAAGCGATTTTCCTGCCTCAGCCTCCCAAATAGCTGTGATTACAGGCGCCCGCCACCATGCCCAGCTAATTTTTGTATTTTTAGTAGAGATGGGCTTTCACCATGCTGGCTAGGCTGGTCTCGAACTCCTGACCTCAGGTAATCCACCCTCCTTGACCTCCCAAAGTGCTGGGATTACAGGTGTGAGCCACCGCACCCAGCCAAGTGTTCATTTTCTAACTCATCTGTGCTGTTGTGGTGCAATGCCTCCATCTCCTTTTCAGCAAACAAATCTTATGTCAGAATTCAAATAAATAATCACTAAGATGCATATAGTGCTTGCCATGTGCCAGCTTACATGCATTGCCTTACTTAATCCTTATAACAACACTGTGAGGTAGGTAATATTATAATCACCATTTTAAAGAGAAGGAAATGGAGGCACAGAGAAATTGAGTAACTTGCCTGCGGTCTCAAAGTGCCATGGCACCAGCTGAGATATGAACCCATACTCTGAATTCATGCTTTTAGTAACTTTTAACTATACAGTGATGTTGCTTTTCTTGTTGTTATTTTGCCATTAGACTGTACCTTGAGACCAGTACTCTTTCAGTTTGGTACTCCCAGAACTTAACAATGTGTATGATATATAGTTGACAATGAGTAAATATTTGTTGAGTGAATCAGTCTACCTATAAAATTATCTATTTATACGGACTCAATTTTCTCTTATCTTGCTGGCATACTCTCAGAATTTTTGGATGAAATGCATTTCCGTTTGGAATTCTTTGAATCAGGGTTTACATTTCACATGCTTCTTTCTGAAAGATTTGCTCTGTTTGGTATTGCATACTGCATTCTTTCAGAAATAAAGAACAAAAGTTATACTTGGAAATATTTATTATCTCAATTAGCACATCCTCTTTCTAAATTCACTGATAATACTGTCATGTACAATGTTCTCGAAAATTTCTCTTCATCTCCCAAGCGATCTTCCCTTTTCTACTCTAGTTAGTAATTATGCTTTTATAAATATAATGTACCTTTTCTTCTCAATATTTTATTTACTTATTTTTGTGTTTTTTTTGTTTGATTGTTTGTTTTTGTTTTTGTTTGAGACGGAGTCTTGCTCTGTCACCAGGCTGGAGTGCAATGGCGTGATCTCAGTTCACTGCAACCTCTCCCTCCCAGATTCAAGCAATCCTCCTGCATCAGCCTCCCAAGTAGCTGGGACTACAGGCACGCGCCACCATACCTGGCTAATTTTTGTTTTTTTTTTTAGTAGAGACGGGGTTTCACCATGTTGGGCAGGATGGTCTCGATCTCTTGACCTCGTGATCCGCCTGCCTTGGCCTCCCAAAGTGCTGGGATTACAGGGGTGTGCCACTGTGCCCAGCCTATTTTATTTTACTTTTTAAGAGACAGTGTCTCGCTGTATCACCCAGGCTGATCTCAAACTGCTGGGCTCAAGGGATCCTCCAGCATCAGCTTCCTCGGTAGCTGGAACTACTAGTCTTCTCAATTATTTTTGTTTATTTCTACTTAATCAATTGTTAGTATGAATTTTGTAATCATATTTCTTTTTAAAATGTATCAACCTCTCTGACCTAATTTATTGACCTACAAGTCTAAAGGAAAGCAAGCTTTGATCACCACACAGACATAGATTCTGTATTGTGATGCTTATAGAAGGAAGGAAAATTGGCATCTCTGTTACCTGAAAGTAGACCAACTTGCCTTGAGACTGTTTGCCTCCTACTTGATGGAGGTAGAGAGGAGAGTCATGCTGCCAAAGATCCATCTTGAGGGAAGTGACAGGCTCAAGTTGGTCGCTTCTGTTTGCAGTGTTTTTAGTAGGCACTTTGCTAGAAACAGGAGACAATGGACCATAACCTCTGTGAGAAGGAACCACTATCACTAGCTTGATGGGACCAACATAGTCATGTAAGGCCACTGGCTGGAGAGAAGGGCCTGAGGAGGACTAGGAGAGGTCCAGCTCCATATGAAAAAAAACCAAAAGCCCATAACTGGGCAGACTTCTTGTTATGTGCTTTTTGAAAATCCACGGCAAATCCATTTGTCTCTGAACTACCGTGCTTCCTTTCAACTCTCATTCTTCCTATTTCTTGAATCCCAAGTGATTTCATGTGTTTCCTGCTTTAGAGGTTTTGCTTCACTGGACTCAGGCTTTATTTTTGTGTGTGTTCCATGCAGATGGGTGGTCTCTTGCAATTGTATCATCAGATTAAGACACGCAGCTGTAAGTGCTTCCACTCCAGCCCAGAGCATAGCTGAGACAATGTGGAATTTAAAGAAGACTTAAGTGTTTGGTTAAGAGGAAGGAAATGGTGCCAGATTCATTCATTCACTCACTGATCAAACATTTTATGTGCCTCCTATGAACATCTTGCTAGGCATCCCAAAGATGGGATGGTCCTGTCTCTGCTCTTGGGAAGCTTACAGTGCTATAGGGAGACAGGCATGGAACAGACACTAGAATATAACAAGCTGATTGCTTCAGTAGAGACATATACAAAGTGCAGTGGAAATACAAAGAAGGAGATCCTAAGCCTGCCCAGAAATTCTAGGAAAGCTTCCCCACAGCTGAAACTTAAGAGATAAGCAAGGCCAGGCATGACAGCTGACGCCTAACATCTCAACACTTTGGAAGGCCAAGGCAAGAGGATCACTTGAGCCCAGGAGTTTCAGCCCAGCCCAGGGAACATAGCAAGACCCCATCTCTACAAAAGAAAATTTGAAAAATCAGCCAGTCATGATGGTATGTGCCTGTAGTCCCAGCTACTTGGGAGGCTGAGGCAGGAGGATCACTTGAGCCCAGAAAGTTGAGGCTGCAGTGAGCTATGATGATGCCACTGCACTCTGGACTAAGTGACACAGAAAGACTCTGTATCCAAAAAAACCCAAACAAACAAACAAAAAAAAAGAAGAATTTACTAGGTGGACAAGTAGTGGAGAAGGTGTTTCAGACAGAGGGAATAACTTGTAGAGATGGGGAAACAAGAACACAGCATGTTTGAGGAGCTGTAGGAGAGTCAGTTCTGTGTGTCTGGAGCTGAGGATGAGAGGCGGGAGTCAGCTGGAAGCAGGGCTGCAGGGGTGGCCAAGGGCCGCCTCAGGAAGAGCTTGGTCCACCAGCCCATTGATACTGTAAGCAGTGTGGAGTCCCCAAGGAACTCTGAGCCAGGGAGTGATAGACTTAGACATATATATATATATATATATATATATATTTTTTTTTTTTTTTTTTTTTTTTTGAGACAGAGTCTTGCTGTGTCGCCCAGGCTGGAGTGCAGTGGCGCAATCTTGGCTCACTGCAAGCTCCGCCTCCCGGGTTCATGCCATTCTCCTGCCTCAGCCTCCTGTAGCTGGGACTACAGGTGCCTGCCACCATGCCTGGCTAATTTTTTTTGTATTTTTGGTAGAGACGGGGTTTCACCGTGTTAGCCAGGATGGTCTCGATCTCCTGATCTCATGATCTGCCCACCTCGGCCTCCCAAAGTGCTGGGATTACAGGCGTGAGCCACCGTGCCCGGCCAGATATTTTTTAAGTTTTGTTTTTTACTGACACAAAGTAATTGTGCTTATTTATGGGATACAGTGTGATGTTTCAACACATGTAGACATTGTGTAATGATCAAATCAGAGTAATTAGCATATCTATCACCTCATTGATCATTTCTTTGTGGTGAGCACATTTAGAATCCTTTCTTCTAGCTACTTTGAAATATACAATAATACATTATTGTTAACTATAGTCACCCTGCTGTGCAATAGAACACTAGAACTTATTCCTCCTATCTCACTGTAACTTTGTACCTATTGACCAACCTCTCCTCATCTCCCCTCACCACTCCCTCCCCAGCCTCTGGTAGCCATTATTCTCCTCTCTACTTCTATGAGATCCCCTTTTTTCAGATTCCGCATATGAGTGAGATCATGAGATATTTGTCTTTCTGTGCTTGGATTATTTGACTTAACACAATGTCCTTTAGGTTCATCCATGTTGTCACAAATGAAAAGATTTCACTCTTTTTTGGGCTGAATAGTATTCTATTGTGCATATATATATATCACATTTTTAAATCCATTCATCCATTGATGGACACTTAGGTTGATTGTATATATTGGCTGCAGTGCACACGGGAGTACAGATATCTCTTTGACATACTGATTTCATTTCCTTTGTGGTTTTTTTGTTTTGTTTTGTTTTGTTTTGTTTTTGAGATAGTCTCACTCTGTCACTCAGGTTGGAGTGCAGTGGCACTATCTGGGCTCACTGCAACCTCTGCCTCCTGGGTTCAGGCAGTTCTCATGCTTCAGCCTCCCAAGTAGCTGGGATCACAGGTGTGCACCACCATGTCCAGCTAATTTTTGTATTTTTAGTAGAGACGAGGTTTCGCCATGTTGGCCAGGCTGGCCTTGAACTCCTGGCCTCAAGTGATCCGCCTGCCTTGGCCTCCCAAAGTGCTGGGATTGCAGGCATGAACCTCTGTGCCTGGCTTGATTTCATTTCCTTTGGATATATACCAAGTAGTGGGATTGCCAGAACATATGATAGTTCTATTATTAATTTTTTGAGGAACCTCGCTAATGTTTTCCATAATGGCTGTACTAATTGTAATTTCCATCAACAGTCTATAAGAGTTCCCCTTTCTGCACATCCTCGCCTGCATTTGTTACTTTTTGCTTTTTGATAATAGCCATTCTAACTGGCGTGAGGCAATAGCTCATTGCAGTTTTGATTTGCAGTTCCCTGGTGTTAATGATGTTGAGTATTTCTTCATGTACTTGTTGGCCGTATACATGTATGTCTTCTTTTGAGAAATATCTATTCAGGTCTTTTGCCCATCTGATTATTTGTTTTTCTGCTATTGAGTTGTTTGAGTTCCTTGTATACTCTGGATATTGAACCCTTGTCACGTAAGCATAGTTTGTAAATATTTTCTCCCATTCCATAGGTGGTCTCTTCACTCTGCTGTTTCCTTTGCTGTACAGAAGCTTTTTAGGTTGATGTAATACCATTCGTGCATTTTTTTTCTTTTGTTGCCTGTGTTTTCGAGGTACCATCCAAAAAAATCTTTGCCCAAACCAATGTCCTAAAGTGTTTCGTCTATTCTTTATTCAAATAGTTTCATATTTCTGGCTCTTACATTTAAGTCCTTAATCCATTTTGAGTTGATTTTTGTATATGGTGAGAGATAGGAATCTAGTTCCATTCTTCTGCATGTAGCTATCCAGGTTTCCCAGCACCATTTATTGAAGAGAATGTTCTTTCCCCAATGTGTGTTCTTGGTGCCTTTTTCAAAAATCAGCTCGCTATAAATGTGTGGGCTTATTTCTGGTTTCTCTATTCTGTTCCACTGGTCTGTGTGTCTGTTTTTTATAGACAGACTCAGAACACTGCAGCAAAGGTGAGTACGAGAAACAGTGCTTGAACTAAGCCAGGGGCAGTGGGGATGGAGAGGAGGCAGATGGGCAGTTATAAGAGATGATTAGACTCTATCAATGACTATTAAAGTTCTCACATTGGCTTCTTTCTATTCTAGTATAGTATTTAGTAGTAGATTTTTTGGCTAGAAATACCTGAAACTAGATAGCCTTATAACACATACAATTAAAACTAACATGGAAACGGCATGCCAATATTCAATTAGAGTTCTTCTTTTTGCAATTCAATTTGAAAATAATCTGTATGCTATCAGTAATTTAAGACCCATTATTACTGTGATAATAGTAATAGGTAACACTGCTCTAGGGAACTATGCTGTAATGTGGCAGAGATAATATACAGCACATTAGGAACTCAACAACACTTATTTTTTAAAAATCTAGAGACATTAACCATCACCATATGATTTATGTTTTCTTAAAGAAAGAATGAATCCATAATACAAACCCATTGATATTGCCTTGAAATGATCTAGATTGAGAAGTGTGATTTTCTGATAATTATGGACAACATGATCAATATTTATAATAGAAAAAATAATGTCATAAATATAAAAATTGGCACTATTAACTTATGTCAAGATGCTTTTTTGTCATTATCATCAGTGATTACTTGCTCAGCATCTGCCCCTACCCAGGCACATGAAGAACGGAAGGAGTCGCAGACCCAGGCAGGAGGTGTAACATACAGAAAGGTCCTGAGGTAGGAAGGGATTTGGCTTGTTTGCAGAGCTAAGTGAAAGCAGTGTGGCTGAGGGAAAGGAAATGAGCAGAGCAGGGGCATGAGGTGGTCCTGGAGTGGTAGACAGGGGTTTCTTTAATTAACAGTAAATGTTCTTTCAAATTTTGGTCATAGCTGGGTGTAGTGGCACTTGCCTATAGTCCCAGCTACTCAGGAGGCTGAAGCAGGAGTATTGCTTCAGCCCAGGAGGTCGAGGCTGCAGTAAGTTTTGATGGTGCCACTGCATTCTAGCTTGGGGGACAGAGTGAGACCCTTTCTCTAAAAAAATTTTTCTTTCTTTAATTCTCATCTTTCTGTGATTTAATTTCTCAGTTTTATTAGACACTGTTGTTATTCCCATTACACTCCACACTTGACTACATCACCTGGTTCTCTTACAATCTTTTTGACCTTCTTTCTTTAGTCTCCTTCATGGATTCATCTTCTTCTTTCCACTCCTTAAACACTGATGTTCTGCTATGTTCTTCCTGGGAGTACATTTCTCCTCATGCCCCTATGCCCTCCTTGAGGATCTTGGCCACATTCACACCTCCATGAGAATGACTCCCCCATCTGCAGGTCCGGTAATCATTTCTCTCCCAATCCTTTGGCCTGAATATCCCACAGATTCTAACTCAATCTGATAAAACGAAAACCATCTTTCTCTCAAAACCTGTTATTTCTCCTATATTACCTATCTTTTTAGAGGTGGGACCTCCATCCTCCCAAAGCCAGATTTTAAAAAAAAAATTTTAATTTTTTTTTTTTAAGACAGGGTCTCACTTTGTCACCCAGGCTGGAGTGCAGTGGTACAATCTCGGCTCACTGCAGGCTTGACCTCCCGGGCTCAAGTGATCCTCCCACCTCAGCCCCCCAGGTAGCTGGGACTACATGCGCATGCCACCATGCCTGGCTAAATTTTTTTTTTCTGTATTTTTGTAGAGATGGGGTTGTGTCACGTTGGCCAAGCTGCTCTTGAACTCCTGAGCTCAAGTGATCTGCCCACCTCAGCCTCCCAAAATGCTAGGATTACAGGCGTAAGCCACCACACCTGGCCAATTTTTAATTTTTTTATTCCAAAGCCAGAACTTTTAAGTCAATTCTTATCCTCCCATCCCTCCACCGAGGTCCCCATTTTCCACAATAATCAATCACCAAGTTCTTTCGGTTTTAGCTACTAAACATTCTTTAATATGTCCTTTCCATGCTTGTTCTAGCCTCTGACCTAGTTCAAGAACTCCTCATCTCTTCCTTTAACTACTAAAATACCTCCTATTTCCCTCCCTGCCCCCAGTCCTTCTCCTTTTCAGTCTGTCCCCCAGAGAACAACTCAAATAATCTACCTAAAATGGAAGGCTGACTATGACTATGACTCCCCTACACATCACCCATTGGTTCAAGTCCAATCTCCTTGACACAGTATGACATTCCCTCCATGATATCTTTTTTATATAGTGTATTCTAGCAGGACTAAGCTACATCAAGTTCCTTGAACAAGGATACATTCACATGCTTCTGTGTTGGGCAGGCTGAATTAAGAGATCCTTTCCTCTCCTCACCTCTATCACTATGCCTGCCCCATCACATCTAAATTCCCCACACCCACCCTTCCAAATTGGGCTGCAGAAAATAGGTCTTACTCACATTTGTTAATCCTAGAGCCTAGCATTTTTTTCCTTCATTCAATGAGCAATTAATCTAGTGCCTACTACTTCCCAGGGTTCTGGGAAAACAACGTTTCAGTCTTCATGGATCTGATATTCTAGTGAGGGGACTCCAGGACCTACATAACAGGCGCTCAAGATCTTGTACTCATAATAAAAAATTCTGAAAATCAAGCAAATGAAAGAGTCTTTTTAAACCACTGTCTAAGCACACTGTCTGGGACACTGCCGTGACTCACTTTTCCTTTAAACAACAAATATGGCGGTGACTAAGGCAACTTAAGTAACAGACTGAACTGCCCTCACCATGGATCCTGTGGTCTTTAGCAAATGATAATCCAATTAACTAGCAGGAAATATTTTCCCACATACATGGAGATATAACCTCACATTCAAATAATCCTCTGGAGCAGGAAGGGAATGAATAATAGCCCATTTAAGTGAACATTTTGAAAAGCTGTAGAAGATTAAAGATTTCTAAAGATACCTTAAGATATTATCACATTAGTAAGCTATTTCTCCCACTTAGAAACCCTATCCTGTTTATATTAGAAGAGGCAAATTGACATATTTCCTCTTTCCCTAATATGTACTTGGTAGGTAACTTCCTAAACAACTTTTATTCATGGATGATACAATAAATGATTCACTATTTTCCACAAAAGGAATAACTGAGGAGAGTAAGATTATTATAAGAAACACAAATCTTGAAATAACTGTGTTCTCCTCTTTGCTTCCCCCATTTAAGTTAGCTCTCTCCAATAAACATCTTTCTGGATTTCTAAATGTCTGGATTTTTGCCTTTGCTGATCAACTTCTTCATGAGTTTTCATGATTTTTCAGAACACAGTGTCCCTTTAGCCTCTCCAACCCCAAAGAGCTCTTCTACTTTTGAGGTGTGAATTTCAATTAGTTTCCTGAGCAACATCTCTATAAAGCTGTCTTGCAAGTGAATCAAACTAAACATGTTCGTTTTCCCAACCTGCAGCAAACCTGCTCCCTGACTGTGTAAGGGACACAGCTCAGGAAGGCACACCATCCTTTATGCAGATGCTCAAGCCAAAAATCTGGTGCCATCCTTGATTCACTCCCTCTCTTCCTTATCCTCACATTCAGTTGAGCTCTATCTCATTGTTTCTTCTTCCTCAGTGTCTCCCAACTGTGCTGACTTTGCTACATGCTTACTGCCCTCTCCCTAACACAGGCGTTCATAACTTTTCACCTGGATGACTACTTGATAATTGGTCACTATGCATCTGTGATTCCCATATCTGTCTAGCAGATAGAAGTGAGCTTTTCGGAATATAAATCTGACCATGTTACTGTTCTAACTGACAATACTGAATGTCCTTCCACGGTCCAAAGAGCAGAGTTCAAATTCCTTAATGTGGCCTCTGGGCCCTCAGTGACCTGACCCCTGTCTACCTCTCAAACATCATCTCTCACCATACTTCTCGCCAATAAGCCATACCCAAATGTGTAGGTTTCTTGATATCTCACACTTTTAAACCTCCATGCCTTTGTGCAGGCTGCTTCTTTGGCTCACAGAACACCTTTCTTCTCTGGGAAAAGAATCTCTGAGCTAGGTTAGCTTTCCCCTCTCTGTTTTTCACACTCATCATACTTTGTAACCACTTGCCCTACTCCTGTCTTCCCACTAGAATGTAAGTACTAGGAAGAGGAATCATGTCTGTTTTGTTCATTCCAGTATTCTCAGCACTGAGCACAATGTAGTCAGAGTAAATACTTGTTAACTAAATGTGTAGTGTGATTCTAACTGAAAATTCACCATTAAGAATTGAGAATGAACATAATTATTAGAAAACATGGGAAATTTTCTCCCAAATGGCACAACTGGTCACATTTGATCTTTGGTGGGTATCTGTAACATTCCAGAGTTTAAATCCTGAATGTTACGTCTGTAGTCAAATTTGCACTTACTCAGACCTATAATCAATCAGGCTGGTGTTTAGCTGCCCAAGTTGACATCCGGGCTGACTCATTTTAACTTCACTGTTTGAGGTTAGCTTCCTCAGCTGTTGTAGCACTGTAATTGTCAATCATTTGCCTTTTAGTTCAGAGTTTAACTGACTTGGAGGAAGAAAACAACAGAAGACTTATTTTTTTCAATCTTTTAGCAGAAAACAATTAGTATACTTCCCCATAGATATCCATTTACAATTCTCTTAAATTACATATATGCTTCAGAAGAAAATAAAAACAGAGACTAGAACTCGAGGCCATACTCCTAAGTTTTTTGTTTTTTGTTTTCTTGAGACAGGATCTTACTCTGTTGCCCAGGTTTCCCAGGCTGGAGTACAGTGGTACAATCACAGCTCACTGCAGCCTCAACCTTCTGGGCTCAAGCCATACTCCCACCTGTCAGCCTCCTGAGTAGCTGGGTCTATAGGTGCACATCACCACACCCGGCTAATTTTTGTATGTTTTGTAGAGATGGGGTTTCATCATGTTACCCAGGCTGGTCTCAAATTCTTGGGCTCAAGTGACCCGCCTGCCTCAGTCTCCCAAAGTGCTGGGATTACAGGCATGAGCCATCGTGCCTGGCCTATATTCCTAAGTTTTTAACTTGTCCTCTGTAGATAAAATTTTAATATACAGTCTTTAAAAATAAAACCTGAGCTTTCCTCAAATGCTAAAAACTAAATAAAGCATTTTAACCTTTACTCCATTCAGTCAACAAATATTCCCCCAGGCACTTCAGCCTTGTGGTAAGTGCTGTGGGGGAATTATATTTTGATGTGTTTTATAATGTGCTTTGATTCTCTACTTCTTGTCACTCTGTGACCCTTCAGACAACAGCTGGCGATTCTGCTCCTATGTGTCAGGAAAAGGTTCTTACAAAAGAACACAGGATAAAAATCCTGGGCCTTTAAGCTTCAAAAGCCCAAGCCCTGAAAGACTTGGGGCATAACATTTTTCAAAACCATGTAATCAGTTGGAACATTTTTTCCACCCCCAGATTAGGAAAAGAATCTATGTCAAAAGGAAAGGAGCAAATATGAGAAAAGGGGAGAGAAGAGGTGGAGGGGAAGAAGATGAGAAGGGAGAGGAGGAAAGGAGAGGACAGGGGAAAAGAGGAGGGGAGGGGAGAGCCAGAGGGAAGCAAATGCTGAGAAATTCATCATATGGGGGGTCTGTTCTAGACCTTCTCACTTTCTATCCAGCTAGAGAGAAAGTTGGAACCCCCGGGTAGGCTTGGGGGCCTAAGTAGATGGGAACCCATTCCACCTTTCCCAGTAGGGTTCATAAAAGCAATAAGACAGAGTGTTCCTGTGCTCGTCATTGTATCAGTTAAGAGTCAACGGGAAAAGCAGAAACAACCCTGAGCATGCAAAACTGAGGAGATTTAATTTTAATGGGGGAATGGCTACATAGGTGGTAGAGAAACTGAGAAGCCAAATGGGACAGTGACAAAATCTAGAGCTTAGCAGCAGTAGGAAGCCACTACTGTCCCTATGCTGGAAGGACAATGGGAAGATATGATGTTATTGAAGCCCAGAGGCCGACTTCATTCAGGGAAGCTGGAACCACAGCAGGCCTGTGGTTCAGAGGGGAGTAGAACACTAAGGAAATGCAGCTGATGATGATGATGCAAAGAAAGGTAGAGGAAAACCCTGGAATGTCCCTTCTACTGGCCCTGTAATCACTCAGAAATGTCTCACAAGCACCAACCCTAACATGGAATCTAGTTGACTTGTGTGAGTCACCCTGTAGCAGAGCAAGGGGAGGGTGAGTCATGAGTTTGAGGGCAAACACATTCATGATGTGGGAGCAAGAAAATGTCTCCAGCAGGTGTCTAGGACTGTGGACCTAAGACAGCCTCACAGGATCTCCATGACCCAGGAAGACCCAGAGGAGCCCAGAGCAAGGCAGACACGACAGGGAAACCTGAAGACTTGAAGGGGCCTTGGAGTTGGAACAAGGAAGAGACATCAGGGATCCACCTGGACGGGAAACTAAACACCAAATGGGCCCTCGTACATCTCAGTGAATTCCAGCTTGGACAGAAGACAACATTGAGAAGACCAGACACTGACCCTGCCATAATGAGTTGACTCCATGGTACTGCTTCCTACCCACAATCTCACATCACTCATGGACGATATGGAAGGGAAGAGGAGGTCATCTAGCAGAAAGGAGGCTGAATCCAAGTTCATTCATAGATAAAGAAAGGAAAGAACCTAGACCAATGAACAGATCTAGTCCTTCATTTAAAAGACCCCACCGAATGTTGACGAAGGATAAACACATAACAGATGTCTGCAATGCAGTGAGAAATAGAAACGGTTCATGTTAAAGGATACACTGGGGCTGGAGATGCAAGCAGAGAAATTCCAGTGCTTGCCTGCAAGGTAGGGCTTCTCAGAGAAGGCCCTCATAGACAGTTGATATTTCAGGGATGAATAGGGATTTAGCAAGCAGATGGAGGAGGGATCCTTACCTCCCTATATCTTCCTATATCCCTCCTATATAGGAAGGATATAGGATATAAGATATTGTCTTCCTATATCCCTCCAAATGCATGATTTTCAAGAGAAGTCCATATATTCCTTGTATAACTATAGCCCATAGTTCTTTCAGAAACATGGCAAATCTCTCAGGGTTATCCTCCTTTTGATTAGTAAATGGGGCAGTCCCAGAGGGATAAGATGGATGTGGCCTGAGTCTCAACCCTGATGAATACAATCAGCAGCTTGCAGGAAATGAATTCCATATCCTTTTGTAGATTTGTTGAGGCCATTTCTAGAGTTTAGTCTTGAACTAAAGACTTAGATCTCAAGGCATTCGGGTAGTCTCATAAAATGTGCAATCCGTAAGAAAAATATAGTTAAGCCATCTAACATATATTATCTCCATACTGACCAAACTTCTGTAATGAAACAAATCTCAAATTATCATGACATACTCTTATCTGTCATGACTTTCCCCAAAATACTGTATTTTGCTATTTTTTAAACAGAGAAACATGACTGTTGATTCAAAGAAACTTTTCTATCACCCTTCTAGAAACAATATCCCTAAACTTAACTTTTATAATAGAATAACAAATAAAACATATTATTGTTCTCTCCATTATTTACAAAATAGCAAATAATTGTATTATAGAAAACAATAAAAGTCATTGTACTGTTTTGAATTTTTTTACCTCATTAGAGATGTCTGTTCCAGAGAGATCTATTGATACCAAGGAAAAGATGTTTACAATATATCCAATTCCTTGGGCAGTCAAATGTTCACAATTTCGTAAACTCAAGTAGTTTAAATTAGGGCAGCTAAAAGAAAGTAGCATGGATTAATTTTAGCTGTCAATCATATTGTCAGTAAGCAATTTCTTCATATAAAAACTATCTTGGGAAAACAAATGGTATTGAAGCAAAGATTTTCCTTTACTCAACATAAAAGTAAGACTAAAAGTAGAAAGTAATTTGACATTACAAAGTTGCATGAAAGGGCAGTAGATTATTATATGACTTTCTTTCTGTAATTTAGTTTCGTATTACAATTTCTAATAAGGAAAAAATATGTCACATATCAAAAACTATCATGTAAGTACCATAGTGAATGACCACTAAAAGTGCAAGTTAAGAACCCTACTTATCCCTTACAAGTTTGCTACAGGAATTGTACAAGACCTCTGACAAGAGGGGAGTCAAGAATAAACCAGCCAGAACACCCCTTGGGAAATGCTGGAGTAAAGATAATCTCCTGGAAAAGGGAGATTAGAGAAAATCTCCTTGAAAAAGTACAGGGAAGCCACCCATATCTAGATATTCATCATTTCAGGAACGACTCCCTCAGATGTAATTTAAATATAATAATATAATTTAAAAATTGGTCCAATCTATGACTTCAATGTCTTTCACATGGTTTCACTGAACATTTAACCAGCTTCTGGGCATCTCTGATGTTCCCCCAAATGTCATGAAATCTTTGCTTTTAGGTGTCTCATGTCTCCTATTATCAAATATACAATACTAATGATATGATGTAAAAGACTGTTTTATCATACCGCTCAGATAGTTTCATAACAGAGGCATCACTTAGCCGCACACAGTTGCTTAAATTTAGCTCTCTTATCCTCATGCTTGCAGGACCATCAAGAAATTGCTTTAGTCCCATATCACCAATTCTGTAGGAAAGAGAGAAAAATTTTACATGTGATTCTATATATAAACATATAGAATAGTATTAAAGTAATAGCTACCATACCCAATATATTTCTAAAATAGCAAGGTAATATCTATATACTGGTATTTTGTCAATATTTTAAAACCAAATTTGATTATATAGATTTTAATGTAATAAAATGTATAAATGAGAGGAATGGGAGAAGTATTAATTAAAATGTTATTTCTGTTCCTTTGTTCATAATTTTTAATAAGACAGATGGCCCTCAAGGTCTTTTTCTCTTGGGTTAAAAAGTGATCAAGTTAAGTAGTCCCTGATACCATTTCCTGCAAAAGAAAAAGATCAAAACTTAGGAGAGTGAGAACCAAGACTAAGAGTCAAACTACTGCCATGATTTTGGAGGAATTTTCACTAAATACAAGGTCAATTTGCTGGATAGGAAACCCAATATGAGCCCTTTGGCTTCTTTCCTTCTGAATCAGAGAAAACCTGATGCTGGAAGAAGACCTTGACCTCAGCCTTCCCAAACTATCCTAATCAGAAACTTCTTCTGTGTGTCAGTGCCATAACCCTACCATGTTGATCTTGCTTTATAAATGGCTGGATGTCTGTTTGGCCCATCAGTTCCCTGTCTTCCATTGGGATCTTCATTTCTAATTCCAATTGAGAACCACCAGATCCTTCTAAGAAGCATTTCAGCAAATAAAGCAGGACAGGAGTTTCCACCATTGCAATCCTAAGAGGCAGTTTCACAACAGCTCTACAGGTGGGCGTACAGATGGGAAGAACACTGGGAGCAAAACATACTGATTGCTGACATCCGTTTACACCCTCCGTTTGTTCAGATTTGCAAAGAACTGAGCAGTTAAGGCAAAAGATATCCTGTTTCAGCTGAATGAGCCATAGTAGGTGGATGCGATGCCTGTGTGCCCATCAACCTTCCACCTATAAGAGGGGGAGTGTGCCAGCACCTAGGAAAGCAGTTAAGGATGTGTGTGTGTGTGTGTGTGTGTGTGTGTGTGTAGAAATTCATATTATAGTCAAGAAAGGATTAAAAGTGAATGGAAAAGATTATTGAGGTAATGATCCAAATTAATTGGTTAATACATTTAGGGCCAAACCTGGATATCAAAAGTATCCATGCTGTTTTTTTGTTTGTTTGTTTGTTTTTTAATACACAAGCTGGGGTTTCATCCCTAAAGATTCAGACTCAATAGCTCTGAAGTGGGGCTTGGGCATCTATAGTTTTTTTTGTATGTTTGTTTGTTTGTTTTTGAGACCAAGTCTCTCTCTGTCGCCCAGGCTGGAGTGCAGTGGCACGATCTCAGCTCACTACAAGCTCTGCCTCCTGGGTTCACACCATTCTCCTGCCTCAGCCTCCCGAGTAGCTAGGACTACAGGCGACTGCCACCATGCCTGGCTAATTCTGTGTATTTTTAGTAGAGACGGGGTTTCACCATGTTAGCCAGGATGGTCTCGATCTCCTGACCTCGTGATCCGCCCACCTGGGCCTCCCAAAGTGCTGGGATTACAGGCGTGAGCCACCACGCCCGACGGGCATCTATAGTTTTATTCAGCTCCTCAGGTGATTCTGACACCTTAGGATTTTTACTTTTAAATTCTTTTAAATATGTATTTTTAATTTATCTTTTTGTTGCTGATTCCCATTGCTTTGTAGAGAGAGAATACCATTTGTTGATAAAAATAGTTTGAAAGTTGCTGGAACTTGCTTTTAAATTTTGTCCATGCATGATTTTTTAAAGGATTGATGTGTGTTTGAGAAAAACAAAAATTCTTTAACTACCCAACTTACTATTTTAGGTTTAACTCTTATATGTACATATTAAAATCTTAAAACTCTGAAATTAAGCTTAATCTTTTTACCCTATATGTTATACTTTTTCATCCTCCCTCTGTTGTCATTTCTTCAGAATGATCTCCCAGCTCTATACTTCTCTCCTCTGTGAGTTCTAATCTGCTGATCAGCATTCCATTGTTTATTTCAATAACTATATTACATCATTTGTTTCTAAAAGTTAGGTTTTTTTCCCAGATAAATCTAATTGTTTTATTATGTTTGGTTGTCTGCTCATATTTCTGATCCCATTTTTTATTTCTTCAAACATTTCATACATGTTTACTTAACAATCCATGTCTGACAATTCCTGTATCTGAATTACCTGAAGGTCAAATGTATCTTGCTGTTTCTGTGACTCTTTCTCATGGTGACTTATATCTTTGTGCATTTTGACAATCTTTGACTTTGAGCACCTATTTATTTGATCTTAATCTCTAGCCTGAGAAGCTTTGTGCTAACTTCTTCCAGGAGCTCAGGAACTACCTACCTGAGACCACTCTGCCCCCTTAAAGAGGTACAAACCCTACAGAAGTCTCAGGTTCTGCCTCCCTACTTTGAGTCTTGCTCAGAGCTGATTCTCTCAAAGGCAATTGTTGTCATAAAATTTGTGCTCAGAGCTGCTCAACCTTTTGTGTTTGCTGGCTATTCACTATTCATCTCAAGGAATTTGTTCATTGAGAGAGTAGAAAAGAATGAGGGGATTCAAGGCTACTGGATATTTCTCTTACTCTTTGTGAGCTCAGCAGTATATTGAAAATATATTTAATCACGGATCTGAATATTTTTGGCAGAGCCCTTTGAAGTGTCTTGTCACCTCTACTTCTGGAGGCAGAAAACTTCCATTTAAGATTAATTAGGCAAGGCGCAGTGGCTCACGCCTGTAATCCCAGCACTTTGGGAGGCCGAGGCAGGTGGGTCACCTGAGGTCAGGAGTTCAAGACCAGCCTGGCCAACATGGTGAGACCCTATCTCTACAAAAATACAAAAATTAGCCAGGGATGATGGTGGGTGCCTGTCTACTTGGGAGGCTGGGGCAGGAGAATCATTTGAACCCAACAGGCAGAGGTTGCAGTGAGCCAAGATTGCACCACTGCACTCCAGCCTGGGTGACAGAGTGAGACTCCATCTCAAAAAAAAAAAAAAAAAAAAAGAATAATTAACCCGCAGAAGCCTGCACGAAATGCAAGAATGAAATTCAGTTTTATTTCACATATTCATACAGATAGAATTAGTTGATACACACTTGTGTATGTAGTGTGTGTGTGTGTGGGGGGGGTGGGTGTCTCACTGTTATCATTACTATGTAACAAATTGATCCAAACTTTGTGGCTTAAATGGCAAACATTTATTATCTCCCAGTTTCTGGACCTCAGGGATTTAGAAGTGAACTAGAGTGGTTCTAGCTCAGGGTCTCTCATGAGTGTGTAGTCAAGATGCCAGCTGGAGCTTCAGTCATCTGAAGGTTTGACTGGGGCTGTAGGGTCTGCTTCCAGGCTCACTCACATGGCTGTTGGCGGGAGGCTTTAATTCTTCACTGGCCCTTGGCTGGAGCCCTCATTTCCTAATCCAGGTTTTTCCCATTCCAAACCCTTATATCTCCTCCAGCTCCCAATGACCCATGCTGCCTCCCCATTTTAATAACAGGCAACATAGGTTGAGATTCTGTGTAGTGGGCCAGTGCAGTGGCTCATGCCTATAATCCCAGCATTTTGGGAGGCCAAGGTGGAAGGATCACCTGAAGCCAGGACTTTGAGACCTGCCTGGGCAATCTAGTGAGACCCCGACTCTAGAAAAATTTAAAAACTAGCTGGATATGATGGAGTGTGCCTTGTAGTTCTAGCTACTTGGGAGGCTGAGGCAGGAGGACCACTTGAGCCCAGGAGTTCAAGGTTACAGTAACTGTGCAACTGTACTTCAGCCTGGGCAATAGAGCAAGACCTTGTCTCTAAAAAATAAAAATAAATAAATAAAAGATTTTGTGTAGCTTAGATTATTATGCTGACTTGTGCTTTCCCAAATATTAGCCAACTTCAATGTGGATCAAGTACTATTTTGTGGATCAAATGCTATTTTGTTATTATCTGGCCCTATAAGATTATAAGAATTCTACATAGGTAAGAGTCTGAGCTACCCACTGGGGAACAGGTTTCAGCAAGAAACCTCTTGATCCTTGGCCGGGTGCAGAGGCTCACACTTGTATTCCCAGCACTTTGGGAGGCTGAGGCAGGTGGATCACTTGAGGTCAGGAATTCAAGAACAGCCTGGCCAAAGTGGTAAAACCCTCTCTCTACTAAAAATACAAAAATTAGTCAGGTGGGCTGGCACACACCTGTAATCTCAGCTACTCAGGAGGCTGAGGCTAGAGAATCACTTGAGCATGGGAGGCAGAGGTTGCAGTGAGCTGAGATCGTGCCACTGCCCTCCAGCCTGGGCAACAGAGCGAGACTCTGTCTCAAAAACAAAACAAAACAAAACAAAACAAAACAAAAAAACAGAATTTGCTCCTGAGAATACCAGGAGAGTAGTCCAATAGTGGCCCAGCTAAAGAAAGGATTTCAGTAAGAACCCACCCTCTGTCCATTTGTCAGAAATTCTTCACAGAGGAAAAATCTATCCAGTACCCAAGAGGAAAACCTTCAATGAGATTGGTTCTTCATAAGCAAGTCAGAAAGTCCATGTGGGAAAAGATCATGTTAACTGAACTAGCTATGGAAACCCTCAATAGGAAAGGTAGCCTGTAAGTATTCCTGTGAGTTTCCTTAATTTTACAAGGGTCCATAATTCCTCACATCCTGAGCTTCCCCTACACCCCATATAATCAACCTGGGTTGGGAGCCCCTCTTTCTTATAACTACAGAACTCTGCACTTACCTCTACTTTAACACATGAACTCTTGACTTTCATGTTTACCCCACAAACCATAAGTTCCTTAGGAGAGAACCTGGCACATACTAGATAATCAACGTTTCTTGAATATATTACTGAATGACTCATTACCTTACACAATTTGCCAAATTCAACACAGTCAGTTGCTTCAAAGGTGAAAGGGATCTGAGGCTGCTGTCTGTTATTCCCTTGCAGTCAGCCATATAAATGTGACTGAGATTTGGATAATTCTTGTCTATAAATTTGAAGGATGCATCAGTAACCCTTTTATTTCCTGTTTTTAAAAAACAGAAGAAAAGACAAGTATTGTATTTAGAATGCCACAAGAGTAAAAGTAAACAATAATGCTGAACCACATTTTTAATATAACAGACCTTCAAATCGGATCTTTCTGAGTTTACAAGCAGAAAGAGCTCTGAAAGTACAATCGGAGATATGCGGTGCACCAGTGAAAACCAGCGATGTAATACGAGAGCATTTTTCAACTAAAGCCTTTAGAAGAAAAAAATGATTAAATTAATCAAGTGTACAGAACAGGTTTAGCAAGGTAATGAAGTCACTTTTTCCTTCAATATATTAGAGACAGACATGTTAACTGTTAATTTTCCTAATTTCAAAGACAACTGGATTTTTCCATACATTTTAATACACCTACATTTGACTAATGTGGAGGAATCAGAATTAAATCACGTACTAAGAGTATGGGAAAATATGAGAAATGGACTACTGAAAAAAATTACTACATTTGGCAGCTTAGCATGGAGAACTAAACTCAAAGTTTGTGCTTAGGCTGTAACATCACTAAAAAAAATCCTAACTGTGAAACAAGGTTTCTTAGGATATTTAAGGATTCACATGTTTTCAAGGGTATGTGCATGTGTGGAAACTTTTCAATGATTTTATTACTATTTTAAAATAACTAAAATGAAAAGTCCATTCATATTTTTCAGTAATTCAAGCCATTAGAACATATATCTATCTTATGGGACAGAAAAGTAAAGGTACTTCCCAACTACCTACTTTTACACAGTTGTCCGTCAGAGTTGGCATGTCATTAATGGTAAGATGCATAATTCCAGTGCAGCTGTTTGCAATGTACCTGAAGCCTTGGACTGAAATCTGAATTGTACAGAGTAGAAAATAATGGGAGAATGCATTAGCATGATAAAAATCCAAGGGAGTAATAACCAAAGATACACCATAATTTTGTTACTATGTTTTAAAATTAACCATAAAATGTGGCAGACACAAGAGGGAAAGAATCTAGTCTTGATTTCTTTTTTTTATTTAATTTTTTATCGAGGTAAAATTTATATAACATAAAATAAGCCATGTAAGCCAGATGCAGCAGTGCATGCCTGTAGTCTCAGCAACTTGGGAGGCTGAGATAGGAGGATCACCTCAGCCAGGAGTTCAAGGCCAGCCTGGGCAACACAGCAAGACCCTGTCTCTTTAAAAAAATTTTTTTAATTAAAAAAAATTAACCACTTACATAAGTTATTTAATCATTCATAATGTTGTGCAACCAGCACCTAAATGTAGTTCCAAAACATTTTCATCACCCAAAAGGAAATCCTGTACCCATTAAGCAATTGCTGCCTATACTCCTTTCCTCCTGGCCCCTGGCATCATTAATCGGTGTCCTGTCTCCATAAATTTACCTATTCTGAATATTTCATATAAATGGAATTATACAATATGTGGCCTTTTGTTCCTGGCTTCTTTCACTTAGTGTAATGTTTTTGAGGTTCATGCACATTGTAGCATGCATGAACACCTCAATCGTTTTTATGACTGAATAATATCCTATTCAATGGAAAAACTACGTTTTAAAAATCCATTAATCTGTTAATGGGTATGTGGATTGTTTCCATCTTTTGGATATTGAATATCTACACGCATGTACATCTATTTGTTTGAATATCAGGTTTCAATTCTTTTGGGTATATATTTAGGAGAAGAATTGCTGGATCATATGGCAATTCTATGCTTAATTTTTAAGAACCACCAAAATGTTTTCTTCAGGTGCTGCACCATTTTACCTACCCACCAGAAATCTATAAGTGTTCCAATTTCTCCACATCACCAACACTTATTTCCCATTAAAACAAATTTCCTTGTGGGCTTGAAGTGGTACTCCATTGTGATTTTCATTTGCATCCCCTTAATGAATAATGATATGAGTATCTTTTCATGTACTTGCTAGCCATTGGTATGTCTTCTTTGGGAAAATGTCTAGTCAAGTTATTTGCCTTTTTTTTTTTAGTTGGGTTGTTTGTCTTTTTGTTGTTGAATTGTAAGAATTCTTCATATATTCTGGATACCAAGTCCTTATTAGATGTACGACTCAAAATTATTTTCCATTCTGTAGGTTGTCTTCTCATTTTTTAAAATCATGTACTTCGATGCATAAACACTTTTAAGTTTGATGAAGTTCAGTTTATCTATTTTTTCTTTTGTTGTTCATGCTTTTGGTGTCATATTTAAGAATGTATTGCCAAATCCAAGGTCATGAAGATTTACCTCCTATTTTTTCTTCAAAAGGGTTTATTATTTTGGCTCTTATATTTAGGTTATTGACCATTTTGTGTTAATTTTTATACATAGTGTGAGGTAGGGGTCCAACTTCACTTTTTTTTCATGTGGATATACAGTTGCCCCAGTGCCAGTTGTTGAAGAAAGTATTCTTTTCCCCATTGAATGGTCTCAGCACCCTTTTCAAAAGACAATTGGCCATAAATGTATAGATTTATTTCTGGACTGTCAATTCTACTCCATTGTTCTATATGTCTATCCTTATGCCAGTGCCATACTGTTTCAATTACTGTAGCTTTGTAGTACCGATTTCTTTCTTTTCAACTATCATTATCCACATTAATGGAAAGACCAGTGGCAGAGAGTGTCCGAAATAATGACTGATTCAAAGATCAAAATATTTGCCTATAATGAATTACCTTAAGATAATTTGTTATTTAGACTGCATTTCCTGTAACAAATGGACACAGATAGGAAATCAGATTGTGTTCAGATTCAGTAAAGGGAAATTGAGATGCTGCCCAGAAGCAGACAGAAGGGGAACTCCCCTGAAGGGTCATCTCCAGAAGAGTATGACAGGGACAATGAGGAGCAGCAGCTACAATGGACCTCTAGGGAGACCTTTGGAGACTTCATTTGCGCCACCTCTCACTAAAGGTGACTTCCAAGGTTCTGTCATCAGAGCCTCCACCTATTCAGAAAAGACTAGCCAAAAGTTAGGGAACTGAGTGTCATAGCCCCAGGACAACCAGAGCTCAACTCAAATGTCACTTCCTTAGGAAGTGTTCCTGACCCTTAGATTAGACCAGTTTCTTGTTATATACTTACATCACCATGTAATTATCATAACTACAATTATATTCATTTTATGATTGATTAGTTATTAAATGAATCCCCTGTATACAGCTCCCAGCATGGTGCCTATAACAACTGATGAGATAATTGAGTAATATTATTACATGAATAAATGGAGGAATGTATGAATGGCTTCTGAGAACCATGTCTATTCAGTAGGTTCCCCTTCTCAGCAGACACTAATAATATGAGCACCCAGACAAAAGCCAAAGGAATTTTTATAGCTATTGAAATAAAAAGAAAAGAGAAAAAATGCTAAGGGAAGCCCTTGAAACCAGGGGCTGAGCATGCAGGCCTGATTTGCTACAGAAGCCAGGCCTTTGGGTTGGATTATATTTGGACAATTTTTCTACATTTCTAGTATTTTTCTATTGTGCTACAGAAGCCAGGCCTTTGGGTGGGATTATACTTGGATAATTTTTCTAAAAAGACTTTGGGAAATATGTTTCTAAAGCCTGAACAAATTTATGGCAATTCGTATGATGGGGTGCAATACAGTTACAAGTTAATGTTTTAGGAGAATAACTGAGCTCATGATATTATTTCATGAAGAAAAAGTTAATTATATAAGGCCTTGCTATACAAAATGTGGTCCATAGACCAGCAGCATAGGCATCACCTGGGAGCTTGTTCAAAGTACAGAATCTTAGCCCACCACTACTGACTTAGAGGCTGCACTTGAACAAGACAGGTGATTTACACACAGACATGACAGTTTGAAAAGTGCTAACTGGGAGGAAATGAAGAACAAAAACAAAGTATATCAGTCAGGGTTCTCCAGAGAAACAGAACCAATAGGATATACTTACATCCAAGTATATATACATACATACACACACACACACACACACACACAAACATCCAAGTGTGTGTATGTGTGTGTATGGAGAGAGAAAGAGACAGAGTGAGAAATGTATTTTAAGGAATTGGTCATGTGATTGTGGGGGCTGGCAAATCTGAAATTGGTATACCAGGCTGGTAGTCTAGAAACTCAGAATTTCTACATTGCAAGTCTTGCAGCAGAATTGTTTCCTCTTCAGGAAACCTCAGTCTTGGAGACCTGTCTTTATTCTTAACATCTTCAACTGAATGAAGTTCACCCACATTATAGAGGGGAGTCCACTTTACTCAAAGTCTACTGATTTAAATGTTTATCACATCTCAAAAATAAAAACAAAACAAACCTTTGCAACAACATTTACACTGGTGTTTGACCAAACAACTAGGCACTATAGCCTAACCAAAGTGACATAAAATTAACCATCACAGAAGGAAATACACCAAATGCTAATAGTGATTATCTCTGAAGAGTGGATAGTTTTCAAATTTTCTACAGTGACCATGTATAGTCAGAAAAAAAGAGAAACAGAAAAAGGCATCTTTGGGGAAAAGATAGCGTAAGGAAGCCCTTGGACAGTTTTTGAATCATCTCCTACCATAGACCTCTTCTTTCAGGGAAACACTAACTAATAAATGGCCCACGACTCTTTATAACTCTTCCTGCAATCCGTGTGTGCCTTACTTTCCTTCAAAGAGATGTTCAGGTACTCTTTTTTTGAATTTCCTACTGTGTTGGACAACTATGAGGGGATGAATGAATTAAATTTAGGAGTAAGATAAAGTCTGGGAAAGAGTGCAGAGTTTGGCAACAGACAAGACTGAAAAGAATTCCAGGCTGGGTGCAGTGGCTCACGCCTGTAATCCCAGCACTTTGGGAGGCCAAGGTGGGCAGATCACGAGGTCAGGAGATTGAGACCATCCTGGCTAATACGGTGAAACCCCATCTCAACTAAAAATACAAAAAAATTAGCCAGGCATGGTGGCACACGCCTATAGTCCCAGCTACTCAGGAGGCTGAGGCAGGAGAATCGCCGGGAGGCGGAACTTGCAGTGAGCTGAGATTGCTCCACTGCACTTCTTCAGCCTGGGCAACAGAGCGAGACTCTGTCTCAAAATAAAAGAAAAGAAAAAGATTCCAGGTGGAAGGTAAGCACAAGTGGAGGCAAAGCAGTGGGAGTGCTGGTCTTGGCTGAAGTGGCAGGATCACTCTTGGGATGAATAAGAAAAGTTGAGTAGGTAAGGAAGGAGGGAAAGCTAGTAGAAGACTGGTAAGGCAAGAATGAGGTGGTTTTTTTGTTTGTTTTTGTTTTTTTTTGTACTGCTATGAATTCTTGAGTAAACTTTTTATAAGTAGCCCAGAGCAAAGTCCAGGGGAGAGGAATGAGCCTTTCAAAACATGAACAGAGGAGGAGAGAAGAATGCTGGGTTTGGAGTTAGCTGGGCTGGTTTTGAGTCTGGCTCTACCTCTTTCTTGCTTATAACAAAAAGTAGCTCAACCTCTCGACTCTTAGTTTCCTCATCTGGAAAATGAGCATAATAATACCCATTTTAGGAAATTCTTGAGAAAATAAAATGAGGCAATGTATATAAAAGTGATTAGCTAGCATAATGTCTGGCATGTAATATTGTTATCACTTTTCCTGTTATTGTTCTTCTGGGCACATTTTGCTCCCATGGGAAAGAATCAAGAAGCAGGAGTAGGGGGTCTTGAGAACTCATTGTGGTGCAGCCCTCTTACTGCAAACAAAGAAATGGGATTCAGAGAAGTTGTGTGATCGGAGAACAGGTTCTTTATCTATTCCTCACAACGTGGCCCCAGTGCTGAACATAGTGTCTGACACAGAGTGGGTGCTCCAGAAATGTTGAATGAATGAATGAATGGATTATCTTGAGTCACATAGCAATGGCAGAGCCAGGGCTAGAGGCCACCTCTTCCTATTATGACACACAACCCCAGGTTTGAGAACTGTTTTTTGTTTGTTTTTAATTTTTATTATTATTATTATACTTTAAGTTCTAGGGTACATGTGCACAACGTGCAGGTTTGTTAAATAGGTATACATGTGCCATGTTGGTTTGCTGCACCCAACAACTCGTCATTTACATTAGGTATTTCTCCTAATGCTATCCCTCCCCCAGTCCCCCACCCTCTGACAGGCCCCCGTGTGTGATGTTCCCTGCCTTGTGTCCAGGTGTTCTCATTGTTCAATTCCCACCTATGAGTGAGAACATGCAGTGTTTGGTTTTTTGTCCTTGTGATAGTTTGCTGAGAATGATGATTTCCAGCTTCATTCATGTCCCTGCAAAGGACAAGAGCTCATCCTTTGTTGTTTTTTATGACAATTCTAAATTCCCCCCATTCCAGACCTTAGTTCATAACCCTAACATTAATATCTCTAATAATGGTTTTCATAAAACATACAATCTTTTCTCTCTTGCTGTCTTTGTAACACGTTCATGACAAGATTTCCTGAACAAGAGGGAAAACGATAGCAAAAAGCAGCCACAGCTGGGTGATCCTTACAACACAGCCCAAAACTTGATGCTATCAACCAATAAGATTAGTATCCAGAAAGTGGGGGGTGGGGGGTAGGGCTCTGAGAAGGACTCTTTAGCTTTGTCCTGGCATGAAGTACTTAGTTTCCTACACAGTTTACATTAGAATATCCAAAAAGATATTTGGCTAATATTTTATGACTCACATATTCCTCCCAGAATCTTTTAGGCCAAGCAACCATTAGTTGTCCTTCCTCTTCCTAAAATAATAGAGATATAAGTCTGAAATTAAAAATTCCTCTCTAAAGGAAAAAGCAAAATATGTTACCAAGTTAAAATTCCAGGTCTCATCACAGCTGATATCTGTGCATTTTCTGTGTAGGATTTTTACACCTGAGATCTGATTCCCGTTTGGTTGTAAAGTGATTTTGGCTTCCATTTTGACACCAACTGGAGCCCTGCCACCCTGTCCTTTGCTGGTTAAGCCCCCACTGATTGGGAAGTTGAGGAACTTGGCCTCACCAGTGGTGTTCCAACCACAAGTCCCAGCAGACAGCTACTGCTGCTGATGGGGGCAGAAAAGCTTTGGTGATCACAGGAAAATTCTCTCCAGCTGCCTCTGGGTGGGTCTCAACCCATCATCATGAGAAGACAGACCTGTCTGTAAAGGAATTGAGTTGTCAGTGAGCCACATACTTACTAAAGACCAAAGTGCAAAGCACAAAGGACTAGCTCAGATCCCTCTGCCGCTCTAAGGTAGTAAAAAGAAGGAAGAGACTTAGTGACAGGGATGATAACATCATATGAAGCTTCCACTTCCCACTCCTCCAAAACTGCCTGTGAGTCAGCTAGCTCAGCAGCACAGAAAAGACATATATGCAGAGCCAGACCCTCTAAGGCAGCCAGAAATATCCATCTGAGATAGACATGGCCCATGCTGTGTTTCTGTACCACCTCCAGCTGTTTCTCACATTCTCACAGCACTGCATCCAATGACTAATAGGTAGTGTGATGACTTTAGTAATATCCATATATTTTTATGTCCTCTTAGTGAACTCAAAGGAGCCTGACTTAGCAAGTAGAATGAACTGTTGGAGAGAAAAACAAAGCTTTCCTTCAAAACTATTATGGAACATTGTTTTATTGCATTCAAATGCACCACAAGCATCTTTAATAGCAACACTTCCTAGGGACTGTGCTACGAGGGTTTGACAGACTCTCAAATACCATGTCCTCTATAGGGACAGGAAGAGAGGTCTGGTAATTGTCTTTCTCGAGGTCCTGCCAATCCCTCTTTAGATGATCCTGTATTGTCTAGGTCTATATATTGTTCACAGCCATCCCCATCTCTATGGTCTGAAATCCTATCCATTCACTACGCACTTCTTGCTGGTAGTCCTCCCTGATCACCTCAGGTAGACATGTTTCTAACTCTTACATCTGAGCACCAAAGCCTGTGGTCTACACTCTCCCTGCATTTTATATCCTCTGCCTTATATGACAGTTACCTGCACACATGTCTAGTTTCCCTCCCAAGAAGCATGGACAGCATCTTAGCCATAACTGTATCGTTTACAGTACAGCACAGTGCCTGGTGCAGAGTGTTTGTTAATAGACCAAGTAGTTGTTGAATGAATTGTTTGTAGAATATAAATTAGAATTAGTAGTTTCAACGGGATGGCAGTCAATATGGTCAGTTGTTAAACATTGCCATATTTATATAAAAACACTGGACAACCAAACATTAAAAAAAAATTAATTTTCCAGTGTGAGTGAGGAACCAGGACACAAGCTGAGTGAAGCCTACAGATGCCAGGAAGGCTTGCATGCTTGCCAACTCTGTGTGCATTTACTGCACAATGACTCAGAGCTGGGATCTGTCAGAAGCAGGCTGATCCATCCTAAACTTTGCCATTCTAGAATACACTAATTGGTTCTTTTCCTCAACCAGTGGCCAAATTGTTCATAGTTTCCCTTGTATTACTGAGAAAATCACAACCATAATACTTTTTTCTTACAACACAATGATCCACAGAGCTACTTGGTTTGTCTAGATTTATTGAACTAGATGGTGGCTTTACAGCTACAGTTCTAACCACATGCTCACCCAGGTCCAAGACCAAAATAGAGTTTTGTAAGCAGTTCATGAAATTCTGTGTCATTTCACAAGATAGGGAGAAGAGAATAAGAAACCAAAATAAGTATGTTTCCAGAAAGAATAAAATTTTTTCAAACCCTTTTTTCAGGAATAGGAAACACGATCTTAGTCCCCTGAGACTCATCACTTTGTCATCTGATTCTTCAAGATCTAAAAATTTTTGCCAGATGTTTCATTTTTACCACTTAATATAATAAACATCCTTATACATTTTGCCTACAAAGAGATTATATTAAGCTGTGGATGTTAAACAATAGGTGTTTGTTACTTTCTTTAATTTTTAATTTTCACTATGAACATAACTGTTATGTTCCAATGAATAATTTTAACAACCATTTAAATTTATATAAGTCCGATTTACAAGATATATAAAAATGTTTTCATAAATTCTACAATTTTTTTTCAACACAGGTTGAAGTCTGGTTCAGAAAGGACACAAACCATTCCTCTAACAGGGAAACTGAGGCACAATAACTGACCCAGAAAAGCAGGAATTGCACTGTGATTTTTTTGACTCATAACTACTTTTCCACTAGAACTCCTCCTTATTAAATGATACTTAAAACCACATATTTTTTCAAATACAAAATGCAACAATTTTTTTAACCATATGTAGTATAGCACTTTAGTTTCACAAATGATATTCTTATATTAAAAACCAAGGTAGTACATACTCAAAATGTGTCACTTCCTCATTTTTACCACATTAGCATTATCTATGTTCTTGAGGATATTAATGTCTATCATTTCTCTAGAATATTACACAATAATGTGCTACTGCATATCTCTTCCCAACTTCCTGTTGGTAGCTTAAAATAGGCCATGGTGAGAGTATTTACACCATAGAATTCAGCCAACACTAAAAAGTCAGGCTTTTCCTGCCCTTTATTATTCCATACAATAAAGGAAAATGGAATCAGCCAAATATAAGTGCATCACAGTTTTGAATTTAACTGTTTCCAATTCATTTTGATACATAATCTGGTCATTCACAACTGGTTTAGCTGGTCACAAAACTCTTGTTGTTCCAATTAACGTTTATTGACAGACTTCCAAATCTATACCTTCACTCCCAGCTCTCTTCCAAGGACCAGACTTCTACTTCCAATTTGTTCTTGTCATTTGTACCCAGATGTATCACAGCAACCTGAAATTTGGCCTTTCCAAAATAAGATTCACTATTCTTTTTTCTCCAATCTTGCTCCTTTTTTGGTTATCTTGTCTAGTTACCATTTAGAAACACAAAATCCTAAAGCTGAAAAAGACCTTAGAGGTTATTTAGCCCAGCCTAGCCATTCTACAGGTGAAGGAATCGAGGCAGAAAAACCAAGTAACTCCAAGGTTACACAACTGGTTAGTAGCATAACAAGAAATAGATCCCAGGTCTCCTAACTTCAAGAAAGGAGAGGCTGGGCGCGGTGGCTCGCGCCTGTAATCCCAGCACTTTGGGAGGCCGAGACGGGCGGATCACAAGGTCAGGAGATTGAGACCATCCTGGCTAACACAGTGAAACCCCATCTCTACTAAAAATACAAAAAAAATTAGCCAGGTGTGGTGGCGGGGACCTGTAGTCCCAGCTGCTGGGGAGGCTGAGGCAGGAGAATGGTGTGAACCTGGGAGGTGGAGCTTGCAGTGAGCCGAGATCACACCACTGCACTCCAGCCTGGGTGACAGAGCAAGACTCTGTCTCAAAAAAAAAAAAAAAAAGAAAGAAAGGAGAAGGATGAGGAGGGAATGGGGGAGGGGGAGAAGAAGGGGAAGGGAAAGGCGAAGGGAGAGAAGAGAGGCGGAGAGGAAGAAAGAAAAAGAAAGAGAGGAAGGAAGGGAGGGAGGGGAAAGAAAGAGAGAGAGAGACAGAGAAAGAGAAAGAAAGAAAGAAAGAAAGAGAGAAAGAAAGAAAGAAAGAGGAAAGAAAGAAAGAGGAAAGAAAAGAAAGAGGAAAGAAAAGAAAAGAAAGAGACAAAGAAATTCCTCCCCTGACTCTTGCTTTGCTTATGCAATCTCCATTCAATTTGGCTAGTACATTCATCCCTGGACATGCCTGTGTGGCTTTCTCCAACCTCCAACACAAATCCCAGGGGTGAACAAGTAAGACCTTCCATGATCTCTGCTTCTCTGAAAGGAGAAGGTTGGAATTTATGTAACCTAGAGAGAACTGAAATGACCTTGGAATCTTCCAGTTTGCAGTTTGTACAGCCTACCTTTAAGTTTCGTGGGCTCTAGAGAGATTTAACAGTACAAGAACTGATAAGCCATTATTACTGCATTGAGTATTATAATCATTTGAACATTCCTAGAATACTGTCCCTTTTCATTTTTTGTTGATTTGTGTATAGTGATTAAAATATAATTGGTGAAAAAATAGAGTGCACATGGTGACTCATGCCTGTAATCCTGGCACTTTGGGAGGCTGAGGTGGGAGGATTGCTTGAGCCCATGAGTTTTAGACTGGCCTGGACAACATATTGAGACCCGTCTCTAGAAAAAAAATTTGAAAAGAATTAACCAGGCTTGGTAGCATGCGCCTGTAATGCCAACTACTTGGGAGGCTTGAGGCAGGAGGATCCCTTGAGCCCAGGAGTTTGAGGCTACAGTGAGCTATGATCACACCACTGTACTACAGCCTGGGTCACAGAGAAAGACTTTGTCTCTTAAAAAAAAAAAAAAAGAGAGAGAGAGAGAGAAAATACTTTCATTTTATATTTCATAGCTTCCTAGGCACTTTTCTTTCTGTAAATTTAAAGAAATATCAGACTTGACCTTACCAAGAAAAGAGATCATCAAGCCTTGCTCTAGCAAGTTACCAACTTCCCACTACGTAACAGGCATCCTGAGCTTCCACCTGAAGCACCTGGGGAGGCATGCCCTGAAATTGGCCACAGTCTCATTCATTCATTTGTCAAGCTTATCAAAGTCCTACTATGAGCCAGGTATTGTATTATTTGCTAAGGATACAGATACACAATTATATAAGGCACCATCCCTGTTTTCAAAGAGCTTACCTTGGGAAGGAGAGCAGACAAGCAAGCAGATAATTGAATATGTAGAGAATGCTTAGTGAAAAGTACAATGATAAAAGTATACACAAGAGGGATACTAACCCAGCTTGGAATAGGGCAAGGAACGGCTTAGTGAGGCCCTTCTAGAGAAGGCTGTGATTGAACAGAACCTTGAAGGATAAGTGCAAGTTAATGTGGTGAATGGAGGAAAGGGACAGTAGCAGGATGTCCAGGCAGAGGGCAAAAGGTGAGCCTAGTGAAACAACTGAGGCTGGAAATGAAGAACAGGGGAGGCACCGAAGCAGAAACCCCTATGGCAAGCTCCCCTACTGTCTGGTTTCACTATCCTAAATGTAAACATATAAATCTGAAACACGGTCCAAACTCCTCACTTTTCATCCAGCTTCTTCTCCAACTCCACATTCAGAGTTGTTGGTTTCTAGGCATTTGGGCTTGAACCTGAGCTTGAGTGGGCCTCAGCCTTGCTTCCCAGCATGTCTGGTTGTTCCATGCCTGGCTTCCTGCAGAGGGCCATAACCCATCGTTGCACACAGTTGAAGATACATGAATCTGTAGGGAAAGTGGCTACCCCATGATAATGTCAATGGGAGAATTGTTGGAGTTACACATAAACAGAGCAGAGGATAAAGGGAAAGTAAAACCAGGAATCATCACCCTCCCAATTGGCACTTTCTCATGTACAAGTAGGATAGCTTTGTTCTCCCCATTAAAACTCTTTCTCCTACTCATATTTTCCATTCTGAGACTCCAAGAGAAACACGGACATATTTTAGAGAGCTCTGAAATGAACTGGGAACTAATGTGAATCTCCTTGGAGCATTTTAGCTAGTACATTTTATCCATTCATTCATGGGAATATTTAAGGAAAGACTTAGAGGAAGTTAACCACGAAGATATCTGTAGAAAGATTCCAGACAGGGGAACAGCCAGTGTGAAACCCTGCAGCATGAGCCTGCTTATGTTTTTGAAGAATAGAAAAGAAGCCAGAGTGGCTGGAGTAGAGTTGGCAAGAAGGAGAACAAGAAATACTGTCAAAGGGGCAACTGGAAGATGAGACAGATTTCTCAGGGCCTTGTAGGTCCTTCCAAGGCTTTTCTTTTATTAAATGAATAAGAAGGCTTGCCAGGTACTTAAGCAGAGGAAGGACATTGACTTGGGTTTTTAAAGGATGCCTCTAGATATTATGTTGAAAGTAGACTTGCAGGAGGCAGGGGTGAAAGCAGAAAGGCCAGTTAGGAGGCTATTGGAATAACCAGGCAAGAGATCATGGTAACTTGGACTGGGGTGGTGGCTGTGGAGATGGTGGTTGGATCCTGATTAGATTCTGCAGGAATAGTCAACTGCACTTCCTAACAGAGTGGATGTGGAGTGAGAGAAAAGAGTCAAGGGTAATGTCTTAGTTTGCTAGACATGCTGTAATAAAGTACCACAAACTGGATGGCTTCAACAACAGAAATGTATTCTCTGGTTCTGGAGGCACAAAGTCTGAGATCAAGGTGTTGGCAAAGTTGGTTCCCTCTGAGGGCTGTGAGGAAGGATTTGTCCCAGGCCCCTCTCCTTGGCTTACAGTTAGCCATTTCAGGTTCACATAGCATTCTCCCTGTATGCTTGTGTCTGTGTCCAAATTTCCTTCTTGCAAAAGAACAGCCATCATACTGGATTAGGTTCCACCCTAAATGACCTCATCTGAATTAATTACATCTGCAATTACCCTATTTCCAAATAAGGTCATATTCTGAGGTACTATTGGGTGTTAGGACTTCAACATATAAATGTTGTTCATTCCATCAATGAACAATGGATTCCATCAATCCATAATAGATGGTGCCTAGATTTTTGGCCTAAGCATCTATAAAGATGGAGCTGCCATTAACTGAGATGGGGAGGGCTGTAGTGGAGCAAGGAGCAGGAATTTTTTTTTTTTAAGATACAAGAGTCTAAATTTTGAGAGAAATGTCTGGGTTGGAGATATATAAATCATATACATGAGATACATATACTTTTAAATACATATATTTTATATATATGTATATGTGTGTATCTATATGAGGAAATATGGTATATGTGTGTATATATATGATTTTATATATATATGAGTGCTTGTTATTGTAGGTGATATAAAGCCATGAGACAAGATGAGATCATCAAGGGAGTAGGTATAGCTGGAGAAGGGAAATGGATCAAGGACTGAACCCTGGGGCCCTCTGTGCTTAAGGGATTGAGAGATGAAGAGGTAACTTAAAGAGGCACTTTAACAAATACTATTAAAAGTAGGAAAAGAGAAAAATAAAATCTATAGCACGATATAATTTATGAGAACACAAGAATGCATAGAGATTTAAGGAAACATAAATTAGAGGGGTTGCTTGTGTAGGGGGAGGGGAATATAAATGGGAAATACGAACAAAAGGAAATAAAATTAAACAAGAGAGGGGCCCTGCACAGACTGATTATGGAAGTTTGCCATGAACTGAGGAGTATAATTAAATCTGCTCTTGGTATCTGAGTTCCAAAATAAACAAAATAAATCCAATGTGAAATAAAATAGAAATCCCTGGTTATGTTTTTTCCCTTGAGTTCTTTTTCTTTCCTGCACAATATTGCAGAGGAAACACAGTATTTTTAAACTTCTTAACTTCTTTTAGTGAGAATAGTCACCATAGGAATTCCTTATTGAGATCTGACACTTTGATCAAAGAATATTTGAAAAAAGGAGAATTGAGTGAAACTTAGTTACTGTGGAAGTGAATATAAGATGACTTTAATACTTATTGCTAGTTTCTGAGAAGGAATGAATATTTATCAGCATAAAAACCCACTCCAAGTTTGAATGCTGTTCTCCCACTCCTTTTGTAATATACTTATAACATTGCTATAAAAATTAATTACATGGGTAAAAATAGGGAGTAAGTATGGGGCGCCACAGCATCAGCTTTCCTGCAGAAACCACATCTCTAAGTTTTCTAAATCATAAAAGTGTCATTAGGATTGGCACAACCAATTTGTAAAACTAACAATATCAACTAAAGCCAAACAAACACACCTGACAACCCAGCCACTCGACTCCTATACACACACACACATACATATATATGTGTATATATACACCCATGTATATATTGTGTGTATACATATATATCCATGTATATATAAATACACAAACATATATATATCAAACAAAAATGTCTGCTGTGTTCACCAAAAGCAACGTACATGAATGTTCATAGAACTTTGTATACTTTTCTTTTCTTCTCTCTTTTTGAGACAGGATCTCATTCTGTCACCCAGGCTGCAGTGCAGTGGCGCAATCATGGCTCACCGCAGCCTCAGACTACAGGCATGTGCCACCATGCCCAGCTAACTTTTTTTATTATTTGTAGAGACAGGGTCTCCCCTATGTTGCTCAGGCTGGTCTTGGACTCCTGGGTCTCAATCCTCCCACCTCAGTCTCCCGAAGTGTGGGGATTACAAGCATGAGCCACCGTGCCTGGCCACTTTTCTGTATTATATTTTGGCCAAACTTACCCCAAAAAAGTCATTAGGGAAGTTTCTTTGTTCACTAGGTCCCAACTGTCAGTGCCAGCAAAGTGGGAAGTAGATTTCATCTGGCATCCTGGATGTTAAGGATTGCTCTGCGGTCAATCACAAGCATGTTGAAAGCAACAAATTCAGATACATCGTCAAACATGAGCATGTGACTAATGGTGAGAAACCTTCACAACTTTCTCTCTTGCACTTCAGTGATTTTCTCGAGTAAGGCTCTCCCTAAAGCACATCTGGAAGTATTCTTTTATTTTTATTTATTTAATTTAATTTAATTAATTATTTATTTATTTTGAGACAGAGTCTCACTCTGCCGCCCAGGCTGAAGTGCAGTGGCACAATCTCGGCTTACTGCAACCTCCATCTTCGGGTTCAAGCGATTCTCCTGCCTCAGCCTCCTGGGTAGCTGGGATTACAGACTTGCGCCGCCATACTTGGCTAACTGTTGAATTTTAGTAGAGACAGGGTTTCACCATTTTGGCCAGGCTGGTCTCAAACTCCTGACCTCAAGTGATCTGTCCACTGGCCTCCCAAAGTGCTGGAATTATAGGCGTGAGCCACCGTGCCCAGTCTGGAAGTATTCTTTTAAACCCCAAATGAAAGCTAAATAGAAATTACAGACTCAACAGAGTTGTATCAGTTTCTTTCAATTGCAATGATGGAGACCCAACATAAGCTAGCTTAGCTAGAATGGGAATGAATGGTGTCTTCAATCGCAAGTCCAGTTAAACAACATATCATCTCTCTTCAAACATATCATCTCTCCCTCTTGGTAGGCTTCTTTGTGAAGATTTCATTCTCTCTCCCACAGCAAACAAATTTCTTCTGTGCTGCTGGAGAAGAGAACCACAAAGTGGCCTAGACCTATACGCTCCAGGCCCTGCAAACTCAGGGAGCACAGAATCTATATTTCCCAATGTTAAGTATCCAGAAGATTCTGAATGGTTTTGTTAGGGTTACATGCCCTTCCTGGACAAATCTTAACCCCTGAAGATGGAATTTATGATTGACCAGGCCTGGATCAAATGACTAGTAGCCATGGGAAAATACTAATACCAGTACAATGTAAGTACATTTGCAAGTTATGATATTCATTAGAAAATCAGTCATGTTAATTAAAGAACCTACAGTGTGTATCTAATCCCCAAAGAGGCTGGGCACGGTGGCTCATGACTGTAATCCCAGCACTTTGGGAGGACGAGGTGGGCAACCTGAGGTTGGGAATTCGAGACTGGCCTGGCCAATAAAATACAAAAATTAGCTGGGCGTGGTGGTGCATGCCTGTAATCCCAGCTACTCAGGAGGCTGAGGCAGGAGAATTGCCTGAACCCAGGAGGTGGAGGCTGCAGTGAACCGAGATCACACCACTGTACTCCAGCCTGGGTGACAGAGTGAGACTCCATCTCAAAAAAATAAAATAAAATAATAAAATAATCCCAAAATAATTCAGAATACTTCTAAAACATATGTAATTGATTTTCACTTTTTATTGCAGCTCTTCATCATCATTTATTTTTTCTAAGAAATATAGTTAAACTTCTTTCATAATATCATATAAATACATTTTTCCTGTTTTTGGACAACAGCAGTGGGCATTAAAGTTTAGTCCATGACATATTTTGTTTACGTTAATCCAGAGCTCCTAAAGGACAGGGAGGCTGTTTTATTCATCGCAGTGCCCAGTATGCATCAGGCACTCAACAAATGCCAGCAAAAAGCATTTAGGTGTAAGCTCCTATTCTCAAGGCTTTTTGTTTTATTGAGACCTTTTTTCTTGGTCACATATATTAACATATAACTTCCTAATACAACATTCCAAATTTATAAAAAGAAAATAGATTCTAGTTTCCAAGAGAGAACCTCTTCGAGGTGAAAACCTTAAACATCTATGAATTGTCAATTTTCCTTCTATGAAGCTATTTTTGTACTACACCCAGAGCTGAAGAGGTAGATAGAGCCTCCTCAAAAGACTTAATAAGTCACTCAGAAGCAGTAACATTCAAACTTCACCGGTTCTTCATGAAGCTACAGCAGCAGCAATTACTAAGATATCTGTGCTTCACGACGAACCCATTTCTTACTCTCACTGGGCCTAAAGGGGCTCAATTTCAAACTCCACAATTTCTAGTGCCTGAAACAGTGCCTGACACTTAGAGGTAAATACTACTGAATTATTAAATGAACAGATGGAAATGAAAAAGGGATGAATGAAAGAAACTAACATTGTTTTGCATAATGATGTGAAATACTAACTTCATTGTGTTTTGAGGCTTACAAATTAAGAAGTGATTAGGAAAGGAATTCAATTCTTTACACATTTAGAAACTCAAATACTTACTGAGGCCAGGCAGGCAATGCGATTAAGTGGTAGCAGTCCAGGTGTGAATGCTTGTGCTGACCTTACTGAGTGGAGGAGAGGTTGGCAAACAGTGGTCCATCTCGAGGGAGGGAGGCTGACTTAGCTCCAGCCCATTGTGGCCATATGGAAATGCAGGTCCAATTCTGCTAGTTCTTCCCATTTTTAAAGAGAAGCTTGAAATCTAGAATGTTTTGTGAAAACTCCAAAATTTTACATATTGGCTTGAAATTTAAAGACAGATTATGTGTGTTTTGCAGTATTTATTTTATTTTTAATTTTTGTGGGTACATAGTAGGTGTATATATTTATGGGTTACATGAAATGTTTTGATACAGGCATGCAATGTGAAATAAGCACACTATGGAGACTGTGGTATCCATCCCCTTAAGCATTTATACTTTGAGTTACAAACAACCCAATTACACTCAAGTTCTTTTAAAATGTACAATTAAGTATTATTGACTATAGTTACCTTGTTATGCTATCAAATAGTATATCTTATTCTTTCTATTTTTTTTATAACCCATTAACCATTTCCACCTCAACCTCAAAGCCCCATTATCCTTCCCAGCCTCTGGTAATCATCCTTCTACTCTCTATGCCCATGAGTTCAATTGTTTTGATTTTTATTAGATCCCACAAATAAGTGAGAATATGCAATTTTTTTAAATACATCTCACAAATAAGTGATGGGGGATGTTTTTCTTTCTGTGCCTGACATAATGATCTCCAGTTCCATCCCTGTTGTTGCAAATGACTGGATCTCATGCTTTTTTATGGCTGAATAGTACTGCATTGTCTATATGTACCACATTTTCTTTTTCCAGTCATCTGCTGATAGACACTTAGGTTGCTTGCAAGTCTTAGCTGTTGTGAACAGTGCTGCAACAGACATAGGAGTGCAGATTTCTCTTTGATATACTGATTTCCTTTCTTTTGGGTATATACCCAGCAGTGGAATTGCTGTATCATATGATAGCTCAATTTTTAGTTTTTTGAGGAACCTCCAAACTGTTCTCCATAGTGGTTGTACTAATTTACATTCCCACCAGCAGTGTACTATGGTTCTCTTTTCTCCACATCCTCACCAGCATTTGTTATTACTTAACTTTTGGAGAAAAGCCATTTTAACGGGGGTAAGATGATATCTCATTGTAGTTTTGATTTGCATTTCTCTGATGATCAATAATGTTGAGCACCTTTTCATATGCCTGTTTGCCATTTGTATGTTTTCTTTGAGAAATGTCTATTGCATCATTTGCCCATTTTTTGATAGAACTATTAGAATTTTTCCTATAAAGTTGTTTGAGCTCCTTATATATTTTGTTTTTTAATTCCTTGTCAGATGGGTAGTTTGCAAATATTTTCTCCCATTCTGTGGGTTGTCTCTTCACTTTGTTGATTGTATCCTTTGCTGTGCAGAAGCTTTTCGACTTCATGTGATCTCATTTGTCCATGTTTGCTTTGGTTGCCTGTACTTGTGGGGTATTGCTCAAGAAATCTTTGCCCAGATCAATGTCCTGGAGATTTTCTCCAATGTTCTCTTGTAGTAGTTTCAAAGTTTGAGGTCTTAGATTTAAATATTTAATCCATTTTGATTTGATTTTTGCATACATTATGTATATAGTGTTATTCTTCTCCATATGGATATCCAGTTTTCCCAGCACCACTTATTGAAGAGACTGTCTTTTCCTCAGTGTGTGTCCTTGGCACCTTTGCTGAAAATGAGTCCACTGTCGGTGTATAGATTTGTTTCTGGGTTCTCTATTCTGTTCTATTGGTCTATGTGTCTGCTTTTATGTCAGTGCCATGTTGTTTTGGTTACTTTACTTCTGCTAATTTGAAGTTAGGTAATGTGATTCTTCTAGTTTTGTTCTTTTTGCTTAGGATAGCTTTGGCTATTCTGGGTCTTTAGTCGTTCCATATAAATTTTAGGATTTTTTTTTTCTATTTCTGTGAAGAATGTCACTGGTATTTTGATAGGGATTTCATTGAATCTGTAGATTGCTTTGGGTAGTATGGACATTTTAACAATATCAATTCTTCCAATCCATGAACACAGAATGTTTTTCCAATTTTTGGTGTCCTCTTTAATTTATTCATCAGTGTTTCATAGTTTTCATTATAGACCTCTTTTACTTTTTTGGTTAATTCCTAGTTATTTAACTTAATGTATGGTTGTTGTAAGTGGGTTTACATTTTTATTTCTTTTTCATATTGTTCACTGTTGGCATATAGAAATGCTACTAATTTTCGTAGGTCAATTTTTTATCCTGTGACTTTACTGAATTTATCAGTTCTAATAGTTTTCTTGTGTAGACCTTAGGTTTTTCCAAATATAAGATCGTATCATCTGCAAACAAGGATAATTTGACTTCTTCCTTTTCAATTTGGATGCTCTTTATATCTTTCTCTTGTCTGATTGCTCTAGCTAGGACTTTCAGTACTATGTTGAATAACAGTAGTGACAGTGGACATCCTTATCATGTTCCAGATCTTAAGAAGAAAGGCTTTCAGTTTTTCCCTATTCAGTATGATACTAGCTGTGGGCCTGTCATACATTGTTTTTATTATGTTGAGGTATGTTTCTTCTATCCCTAGTTTTTTGAGGGTTTTTCTTATGAAGGGATATTGAATTTTTTTTAATTTTTTTTCTCTCCTGCTCCATAATGCTACGTTGAGATGTTGAATTTGATCAAATGCTTTCCAGCATCAACTGAAATGATTATATGGTTTTTATCCTTCATTCTGTTGATGCTATGTGTCACATTGATTTATTTGCATATGTTGAACCATCCTTGCATCCCAGGGATAAATCCCACTTGGTCATGTTGAATGATCTTTCTAATGTATTGTTGAATTCAGTTTGCTAGTAGTTTTTTGAGGATTTTTGCATCAATATTCATCAGAGATATTGGCCTGTAGTTTTCTTTTCTTTTCTTTTTTTTTTTTTTTTTTTTTTTGCTGTATCTTTGTCTGGTTTTGGCATCAGGGTAATACTGGCCTCATAGAATTAGTTTGGAAGTACTCTTTCTTCCTCTACTTTTCAGAATAGTTTGAGTAGGATTGGTATTAGTTCTTCTTTAAATGTTTGGTAGAATTCAGCAGTGAAACCATCAGGTCCCAAGCTTTTCTTTACTGGGAGACTTTTTATTACAGCTTCAATATCATTACTTATTATTGGTCTGTTCAGATTTTGGATTTCTTCCCTGTTTAATCTTGGTAGCTTGTATGTGTCTAGGAATTTGTCCCTTTCTTCCAGATTTTCAAATTTGTTAGCATATAGCTGATCATAGCAGCCACTAATGATCCTTTGAATTCTGCAGTAACAGTTGTAATGTCTCAGTTTTCATTCTGATTTTATTTATTTGGATCTTCTCTCTTTTATTCTTTTTCTTTTTTTTTATACTTTAATTTCTAGGGTACATGTGCACAACGTGCAGGTTTGTTACATATGTATGCATGTGCCATGTTGGTGTTATTTTTTTTCTTAATCTTGCTAAACATTTGTCAACTTTGTTTAACTTTTCAAAAACCCACTTTTTGTTTCATTGATCTTTTTTTGTTGTCATTTCATTGATCTTTTTGTATTGGTTTTTTCATTTCAGTTTCATTTACTTCTCCTCTGATCTTTATTTCTTTTCTTCTAATAATTTTGGGTTTGGTTTGCTCTTGCTTCTCTAGTTCTTTAAGATGCATCATCAGATTGTTTATTTATAGTTTTTCCTCTTTTTTGATGTAGGCACTTATAGCTATAAACTTCCCTGAGTATTGCTTTTGCTGTATCCCATAGGTTTTGGTATGTTGTGTTTCCATTATCATTTGTTTCAAGAAATTTTTCAATTTCCTTCTTAATTTCTTCATTGGCCCACTGGTCATTCAGGAGCATATTGTTTAACTTCCACATATTTGTATCGTTTCCAAAATTCTACTTGCTATTAATTTCTAGTTTTATTCCATTGTAGTCAGAGAGGATGCTTGATATTATTTCAGTTTTTTTGAATGTTTTAAGATTTGTTTTGTGAACTAACATATGATCTATCCTTGAGAATGATCCATGTCCTGAGGAAAAGAATGTGTATTCTGCAGCTCTTGGATGAAGTGTTCTGTAAATATCTATCAGATCCATTTTGTCTATAGTGCAGATTAAGTCTGATGTGTCTTTGTTGCTTTTCTGTCTGGAAGATCTGTCCAATGCTGAAAGTGGGGTGTTGAAGTTTCCAGCTACTATTGTATTGGGGTCCATCTCTCTCCAGCACTAATAATATTTGCTTTACATATCTGGGTGCTCCAGTGTTGGGTGCATATATATTTAAAATTGTTATATCTTCTTGCTGAATTGGCTTCTTTATCATTACATAGTGACCTTCTTTGTCTGTTCTTATAGTTTTGGTCTTAAAACCTATTTTGTCTGATATAAGTATAGTGACTCCCATTCTTTTTTGGTTTTCATTGGCATGGAATATCTTTCTCCATTCTTTTATTTTCAGTCCATGTGTGTCTTTATAGATGAAGTCTGTTTCTTGTAGGCAAGAGATCAATGTATCTTGTTTTTTCATCCATTCAGCCATTCTATATCTTTTCATTGGAGAGTTTAGTCCATTTACATTCAATATTATTATTGATAAGTAAGGACCTACTTATTCCTGCTATTTTGTTATCTGTCTTCTGGTTGTTTTGTGGTCTTTTTCTTCTTTCTTTCCTTCCTGTCTTCTTCAACTGAAGGCAATTTTCTCTGGTGATATTATTTAATTTCTTGCTTTTTAGTTTTTTGTGTATCTACTGTATGATTTTTGGCTTGAAGTTACCATAAGGCTTGCAAATACTAACCTATAAACCCATTGTTTTAACCTGATAACAACACTGTTTGCATAAACAAACAAATAAACATACAAAAACTAATAAAAATTCTATGTGTATTAGTCCGTTTTCATGCTGCTCATAAAGACGTACCTGAGACTGGGAAGAAAAAGAGGTTTAATTGGACTTACAGTTCCACATGGCTGGGGAGGCCTCAGAATCATGGCGGGAGGCAAAAGGCACTTCTTATATGGCGGCAGCAAGAAAAAAACGAGAAAGATGCAAAAGCGGAAGCCCCTGATAAAACCATCAGATCTTGTGAGACTTATTCACTATCATGAGAACAGCATGGGAAAGACCTGCCCCCATGATTCAATTACCTCCCACAACACATGGGAATTCAAGATGAGATTTGGGCAGGGACACAGCCAAACCATATCACTATGCTTTAACTTTGTCCCCCTGCCCCACTTTTTAACTTTTTGATGCTTCTATTTATATCTCATTGTACTGATTATGTCTTGAAAAGTTGTTGTAGTTATTTTTAATTGGTTCATCATTTAGTCTTCCTACTTAGGATAAGAGTAGTTTACACACCACAGTTATTGTGTTATAAAATTCTGTGCTTTTCTGTGTACTTACTATTACTGGTGAGTTTTGCAACTTCAGGTGATTATTTATTGCTTGCTTTTCTTTCCGATTGAAGTACTCCCTTTAGCATTTCTTGTAGGACAGGACAGTTGATGAAGTCCCTCAGCTTTTGTCTAGGAAAGTATTTATTTCTCCCTCATGTTTGAAGGATATTTTTACCAGACATACTATTCTAGGGTAAAAGTTTTTTTCCTTCAGCATTTTAAAAATGGCATGTCATTCTCTTCTAGCATGTAAGGTTTACACTGAAAAGTTTGCTGCCAAATGTATTGGAGCTCCATTGTATGTTATTTGTTTCTTTTCTCTTGGTGCCTTTAGGATCCTCTCTTTGTCCTTGACCTTTGGGAGCTTGATTATTAAATGCCTTGAAGTAGTCTTCTTTGGGTTAGATCTGCTTGATGTTCTATAACCTTCTTGTACTTGGATATTTACATCTTTCTCTAGGTTTCTGGAGGTTCTCTGGTATTATCCCTTTGGTTTTTGTTTGTTTGTTTGATTGGGTTTTTTTTGTTTGTTTGTTTTTGTTTTTTTTGGTTTTTTGAGACTGAGTCTCGCTCTGTTGCCCAGGCTGGAGTGCAGTGGCACAAACTTGGCTCACTGCAACCTCCACCTCCCGGGTTCAAACAATTCTCTTGCCTCTGCTTCCTGAGTAGCTGGGATTACAGGCACCCACCACCACGTCTGGCTAATTTTTATATTTTTAGTAAAGACAGGGTTTCACCATGTTGGCCAGGCTGTGTTATTTCCCTTTGAAAAAACTTTCTACTTCTATCTCTTTGTCTACCTCCTCCTTAAGGCCAACAATTCTTAGATTTGCCCTTTTGAAATTATTTTCTAGATCCCGTAGGTGTGCTTCATTGTTTTTCATTCTTTTTTTTTATTATTATACTTTAAGTTCTAGGGTACATGTGCACCATGTGCAGGTTTGTTACATATGTATACATGTGCCATGTTGGTGTGCTGCACCCATTAACTCATCATTTACATTAGGTATATCTCCTAATGCTATCTCTCCCCCATTCCCGCCCCCCCACAACAGGCCCCGGTGTGTGATGTTCCCCACCCTGTGTCCAAGTGTTCTTACTGTTCAACTCCCACCTATGAGGGAGAACATGCGATGTTTGGTTTTCTGTCCTTGCGATAGTTTGCTGAGAATGATGGTTCCCAGCTTCATCCATGTCCCTACAAAGGACATGAACTCATCCCTTTTTATGGCTGCATAGTATTCCATGGTGTATATGTGCCACATTTTCTTAATCCAGTCTATCATTGATGGACATTTGGGTTGGTTCCAAGTCTTTGCTATTGTGAAGGGTGCCGCAATAAACAAGACATTTATGCAGCCAACAGACACATAAAAAAATGCTCATCATCACTGGCCATCAGAGAAATACAAATCAAAACCACAATGTGATACCGTCTCACACCAGTTAGAATGATGATCATTAAAAAGTCAGGAAATAATAGGTGCTGGAGAGGATGTGGAGGAATAGGAACACTTTTACATTGTCGGTGGGACTGTAAACTAGTTCAACCATTGTGGAAGACAGTGTGGCGATTCCTGAAGGATCTAGAACTAGAAAAACCATTTGACCCAGCCATCCCATTACTGGGTATATACCCAAATGATTATAAATCATGCTGCTATAAAGACTCATTCTTTTTTATTTTGTCTCCTCTGACTGCATATTTTCAAACAGTCTTTAAGCTCACTAATTCTTCTGTTTGATCAGTTCTGCTATTAAAGGACTCTGATGCATTCTTCAATATACCAATTGCATTTTTCAGCTCCAGAATTTGTTTCTTTTTAATTATTTCAATCTCTTTGTTAAATTTATCTGATAGAATTCTGAATTTCTTCTCTGTGTTATCTTGAATTAATTTGAATTTCCTCAACATAGCTATTTTGAATTCTCTGTCTGAAAGATTACATATCTCTGTTTCTCCAGGATTGCCCCTTGGTGCCTTATTTAGTTCATTTGGTAAGGTCATGTTTTCCTGGATGGTATTGATGCCAGTATTCTTCGGTGTCTGGGCATTGAAGAGTTAGGTATTTATTGTAGTCTTCACTGCCTGGGCTTATTTGTAGCCATCCTTCTTGGGAAGGCCTTCCAGATATTTGAAAGGACTTGAGTGTTGTAATCTAAGCTGTATCTGCTTTAGGGGGCACCCCAAGCCCAGTAATGCTGTGGTTCTCGCACACTTGTCAAGGTACCACCCTGTTGGTCTGGGACAAGATCTGGAAGAATTCTTTGGATTACCAGGCAGAGGCTCTTGTTCTCTTCCCTTCTGTTTCCCAAACAGAGTCTCTCTGTTCTGAACCACCCAAAACTGGTGGTAGAGTGAAACAAGCACCCCTGTGGCCTCCACCACTATGATTGCACTGGGTCAGACCTGTAGCTATCACAGCACTGGGTCTTGCCCAAGGCCTGCTGTAACCACTTCCTGGCTACTGCCATTGTTCACTCAAGGCCCTGGGGCTCTACAATCAGCAGGTGGCAAGGCCAGCCAGGCCTGTGTCCTCCTCTTCAGGGTGGTGAGGTCCCCCAGACCCCAGGTGAGTCCTTAGGTGCCCTCTGGGAATCAGGGATTAGAGTCAAAAACCTTAGAAGTCTACTTGGTGTTCTATTGCACTGCGGCTGAGCTGGCATGCAAACTATAGGATGCAGTCCTTCCCACTCTTCTGCCCCTTTCCAAAGGCAGAGGAACCTTACCCTGTAGCCACCGCCACCCCAGGCCATGAGTAGTATTGCCAGGCTACCAATGATGTTCTCTTATGGCCCAAGGGCTTTTAAGTCAGCTTGTGGTGAATGCTGCCTCACCTGGGACTCATCCTTCAGGGCAGTGGGTTCCCCTCTGGCCCAAGGCAGGTCCAGAATTGCCATACAAGAGTCAAGTCCTGGAATCGCGGACCCCAAGAACCTGCCTCGGTGCTCTACCCTCCTGTGGCCGTGCTGGTATCTAAGGTGTAAGACTGTCCCCACTGCTTTTCCCTCGCAAGCAAGAGTTTTGCCCCATAGCTACCCTAGCTGGTAATATGCTGAGTCTCACCTGAAGCCTGCAAGTCACAGAGGCTCACCCAAGGCCCTCAATGTAGTAGCTGGGTATTGCTGCTAGTTATTCAGGGCCCAAGGGCTCTTCAGTTAACAGGTGATGAATGTTGCCAGGACTGGGTCCCTTCCTTCAAGGCAGCAGGTTCCCTTCTGGCCCAGAGTGTGTCTAGAAATGTAACTTGGGAGCTAGAACCTGGAACGAGGGCCTTATGACTCTAACTGGTGCCCTATCCTGCCGTGGCTGAGCTGGTATCCAAGATGCAAGACAAAGTCCTCCCTACTCGTCCTTCTCCTCTCCTCAAGGGAAAGGAAGGGGTCTCTTTTGGATCGATGAGCTGTGAGGCTTGGGGCTGGTTGAGGGGCAATGCCAGTACTCCCTTGGCTGCTCCAGCTGGTGTCTCAGTATGTCATGTACCCCTCAGTCCACTGTCTCTGTGCCTAGTTGAGCACTAGGATTTGCCTAAGGGTTACAGTCCTTATGGCCTAGACTGCCTTTCAAGTTTACCTGGAGGCACAGCGCACTGTAGCCCTCAGTGGTGAGGTTTGTAGAACTCAAGTTCTGACTGCTGGGACTGGCAATTCCCCTGTGTCTAGGCCTGGGTTAAATGCTCCCTCCGTGGGTGGGCATCAGCTGAGTTTGGTCCAGTTTTCCTCTCTGATCCAACAGGACAGCACTAAGTTCAATGCCTCACAATTGGTGTATTTTCCCTTCCCCAGCACCCAGAGAGGCTCTCTGCACCATGTTGGAGGGGTGGCACTGGCGATTCAGGACTATTGTTTCTATCTCTTCAATGACTCTTTCAGTCATATGAAGTTAAAACCAGGTACGATGACTGCTCATCTGATTTTTGGTTCTTATGAAGGTGTTTTTTCTTTTTCTTTCTTTTTTTTTTCTTTGTGTGTTGGGGGGAGGGGGTCTTTATTCACATGGAGTGCTGTATGCGATGCCTGGGAAAAGCTCTCAGCCTGGTGTGTGCTTCAGCGTGGCTCGGGCTCCAATCTCTGTTTTCCAGTTTGTCACGGGCTCTCAACTGTAAATAGCCTATGCCCTGCTGGATGCCACCTTCTTAGACACCACGTGAATCCCCATGCACTGCTCCTCTTACCCCTTACCACCACCAAGCAGCTATTAGACACCTGAGGTCTCTGTCCTGTTAGTACCATGGGGCAGAAAGGTATGATACCTTTTTTCACCCATAAGGGTGACAGCCAACACTCCTAACAAAATACAGGCGTGCAAGAGAAAAGCATTAACAAATTTACTTAATTATTTGAGGCAAGGTCTCACTCTGTCTCCCAGGCTGGAACGCAGTGGTGGGATCACAGCTCGCTGCAGCCTCAATCTCCCAAACTCAGTCAATCCTCCCACCTCAGCCTCCCAGGCAGCTGGGACCAGAGGCATGCACCACCATGCCTGGCCAATTTTTTGCATTTCTGGTAGAGACGTGGGTCCCACCATGTTGCCTAGGCTGGTCTTGAACTCCTGGCCTCAAGTAATCCTTCTGCCTCAGCCTCCCAAAATGCCAGGACTACAGGCATGAGCCACCGCGCCCAGCCTAAAAGCATACAAAGGTGTTTTTTCTCTGTAGATAGTTGTTAACTTGGTGTCCTTGGGTGGGGAACAATGGGTGGAGCCTTCTGTTCCACCATCTTGCTTCACCTCCTCCAATTATGTGTGTTTTGTATGCATATCTGGGCAGTAGGTCATAGATTTGAAGCCTCTCATTTCAACTTTACTGTGTCTGAGAATATTTATCCTTAGGACACTTGTGTATACATTTGTGTGTTGTTGCTACAATAATTGCCTCATGGTAACTGAGAAATTGATAAGAAGAAGGAGGTAAGTCATACCATGAGGAGGGTTTAAGCACAACGGCGAGTTAGAAAAGTACTGAAGGATTTATAGTTAAGGGGCAGGCTTATCAGTGGGATATGTCAAGCACATTAAGTTGTTCCTGAGTTTGCAAATATTTTTCTCTGTGATTGGGCCATTGGCATTTGCTAATTGGTGCCCATCAAAGTTAGGCTTCTACCCACCCACAGGAACTGAGAGATATCTTCTTTGATGATTATATATCAAAGGGATAGATCCCAGGTCCTTGAGGAAGACTTTCCTGAGTTGTAAAACTGTCAAGAAGCTTTTGTTAAAAAGACATCTCAAAGTAGGCAGAGAAAGAACTTATAATTCCAAGTTTTCTAAAACAAATGCTCTAAGAAACAAGAAAACAAGAAGTCAGGGCCTAGAGTCAGTAAGAAGCTGGTCTAAAATTCAGTCATGCTGAGGAGAACGTCAATGCCATCTCAGTCATAAAGTTATGGTAGATGTTGATGTTTAAAAAGCTACACATCAGCAGATCAGTTTTAAACAAATATGAATGTTAGATGTTTACAGCCCTAACTTAGAATCCTCCCCTCCTTGCCCCAACTCCCTCCAGACCACCCAGGGCATCAGGATACCACAAGATGTCAGTGGAGGTGACTAGGTAAGAATTCTATCCATTCAAGAACCCTGGGGGAGAAACCCATGCTGCCCCTGTATTTCCCACTATCCCAGGGAACTCTGCCTGCCCCAGTATCTAGCAACAGATGCTTAAAACTGTACTAGTACCATGTGCTTTCATCAGCTGTGCAAACTTGGGCAACTTATTCAACCACCCTGAGCCTTGGTCTCTTCATTTGTAAATAAGCATAGTAAATACATACCACCACAGCACTGTATCAGAAGTAAATCTGATCTGTGTATAGCACTCAACACAATGCTTGGCATATGGTAATGACTCAAGAAATGATAACTATCAATATTTCAGCCAGTTCTCACCTATGCTATTATTCTCATAGAATAATGAACATACTATGACACCAAATTAATAAAATACACAGAGAGGCAGAAGAAAATAAGTTAAAAGAATTATGGCTTAAATCTTTTGAAATTAAAGCAGAAGAAACTATCAATGAGGCAGTAGCTACATCCAAAGCGCCATGCCCTATCCTCTGCAACTTGATCCAATTTTCTGCCCAACTTTCCAAGTCCTGTTCCCTCAAACTTAAAATATTTTCCCACGCAGATCTCAAATCTTCATGTTATTCAGCCCAACGGTGTAATGCAATTTTTTAAATTATGAGTTTTTGTTGTATTTTCTTTTCCTATTTATCACTTATAGCATTTTACCCCCCCCCCCCCAAAAAAAAACCCATGTGGGAGTTAATTGACTTTTCAGGAATCCCATGCAAAATTCTCCCTCAAAACATTCTCTTTGTTTGTGTCTTGGTAGCAACTCCAGAGTTTTCAGGACTTGGACTCTGCTTTAGACTTGTGCTCAGACTGTCTCCACAAAAGTGGTCCGTTTCCTCATCCAATGAGCTCTGCCTGTTTGTCTGTGTGACACTCCAGTGGAAGGAAGCCAAGAGCCTATAATAGCGATCCTGGGGAAAATTTCAGCAGCTGGGGCCATGTAATTTAAAACCTCTGAAAAGTGTGCTGCGGTCCGTGCACAGCATTAGTATAACGTGAGGGCTGAATGCAGCCCATTCTCTGGAGAACTTCCTCACACACCGCAGCAAAGAGAAGACTGAAAGACAAACCTGGGTGCAGCCAGAGAGGTCCAGATAGATGAGCTTGTGGCATCCATTCCCCAAGTTCAGGTACTGTAAGCCTTTGTCTGTGAACCGTCTGCAATAAGCCAAACTAAGATTCTGTAAGTTGTGGAAGTGCCTGAAAAGACAAAAGAGAGGAAGGAAAGTATTATACTTCCGTTGTTCTCTCAAATCTTTCTTAAGCCACTATGACAAAGAAAACTGTAAATTCAACTCTTCTTCTTGCAGATGTTCAACATTTAACTTTACTGTTAACTCTCTACCTGTTAATTAAAGGAGACTACAGTGTTATATAAGGTAACACACAATACATTTAATACCTTGTAATACATTTCAAGTGAAAGTATTAATAGTTCAATAATATTTGCCTAGATATTTAAGAAAGTTGACTGGGATAAAGCTTTTTTGGTGTGTGTGAGGTGGGGGAGGCAATCATATTGTTTGGAAGTGAAACCAAATTTGCAGAGTGTATTGTTGCTTTTAGGTTTTATCTCTGGAGTACCAAAATAATGTGCAAAATATATAAAAGGACAAATCCTTTGTAAACATTTAAATGGAGACTGTTACAGGAGAGTGAGGATTTGGGACAGAAGGCAAAACTGAATATGACCATGCTCTTAAAATAGATCTGATAAGCAAATGAGTTTAAAAAATAGGTTTAAATATGCATGAGTTTGTGACAGTTTCATTATTATAGTTAAAGAAAGACTAATTGATATGCAGAGTTTAAGCATGGATTAAGAAGACCAGTTTGCAAATAAGCAGGCAACACATGAGAAGAATCAAAAGCAACATCAGAGACTATAAATCTCGCTGGAGTTGAAACAGATTAAATATGGTATTACCACAATGACCAAAATGACAGCTTCCAGAAAAAAGTAGGGTAGTTAGGATGAGCCTGTACTACCATACGAGGGCTCGCAGTTTGAGGACACTCCGTGGACAATTTCCCAAGCCCTCCAAAGCCTGGAACTTTTTTTTGAGACGAAGTTTCGCTCTTGTTGCCCAGCTGGAGTACAATGGTGAGATCTTGGCTCACTGCAACCTCCTCCCCACTCCCCCAACCCCTGGTTCAAGCGATTCTCCTGCCTCAGCCTCCCAAGTGGCTGGGATTACAGGCGCGTGCCAACATGTCCAGCTAATTTTTGTATTTTTAGTAGAGACAGGGTTTCACCATGTTGGCCAGGCTGGCCTCGAACTCCTGACCTCAGGTGATCCACCCGCCTTGGCCTCCCAAAGTGCTCGGAACAGGCATGAGCCACCGTGCCCAGAAAGCCTGGCACTTTTTAAGAGGTCAAGGATTCCCACTACTATCTGCTCTTCTAATGGAATTAGCAATCATGCTCTTAGTTTGTGATATGCAACAGCTTAATAGCAAATTAGAAAGCAAAAAGAATGAAAAGTGAGGAGAAAATGCTTCTCTGCCTCTCAAAATCACACAGGTGAATAAAGTTTACCTCCCATAAATGGGAAATAAGATATACAAGCACTGACCATTAATCAGATTTTGAAAAACACATCTATATGATATAATGATTTGCATGCCATAGCGAATTACTTGATTCAGAACACACATCCCGATCTGGGAAGGGCTGTGTACGTGAGATTCGACAGAGCGAGGGGGAAGGCTTTGGACTCACCAGTGACTAGGTGGGCAGGGCCTGAAGGAGAAAGCAGTGCTAATATCCCAAAGACACGCCCCCTCTCTTGGGGCTGTCGAGTGGACTGAGCTGTGCTAAAGTTTTGGAAATGCGTTATCTTCCTCTCCCTGGGGTACACCCTGTGATTCAACTGAGTACAATTTTCTTGGGGTGGGGAGAGGCACACCAGGGTGTCATTTCTAGCAATCCTTTAGCTTTATAATCTGTAGAAAGGAGTTGTGAGGCAGGCCGCGTGACACAGTGCAAAATACACAAGGTTTTTGAATCCGGCCAAATGAGATGTAAATCCAAGCCCTGACACTTACTGCAACCTCCCTAATCTCTCAGAGATTGTTTTCTCATTTGTTAAGTGGAGATTAAAATATTTTTTTTTTTTTTTTTTTTACACTGATCAACTGTGGGGCCTCCAGCTTTCCTGAACCTCAGTTTTCTCATCTGGAACATGGATGTAATCTGGTCTGCTTGTTCCCTTTAAAGATGTGACAATTAAATGAGAATACAGAAGTAACAGTATTATCTTGAGGGTGATTTTAACAATCAAAATCGGCAGGGACATAGTAGAAGATTTAAAACTATATGTAATATTATTGCTACTACTATGTGAAATGATAGTAACACATTAACTATTTTTATGGACTTTGTATTATTCTTCCATTTAATGAAATGGATACTTATCTCCAAGAGTGGTGCATACAATAATTCCAAGAGTTTGAAGGATTTCACATTGAATGTATACCTCGATCTACACCTAGTATTCAATTTCTTTAAATCCATGTGATCAGTTAACAAATATCAAAAATGAGAACTGAGCTAGGAGTGCTTAACTTTTTTTAATGTCACAGACACCTTTGGCTTTTGGCAGTCAGCTGAGGTCTCTGGCCCCTTTCTTGGCATAAAGTTTTTAAATGCATAAAATAAAATATATAAGATTACAAAAACAGCCAATTATATTGAAATACATAATTACCAAATAAAAAAACATTTATGAGTAGAATAGTAATATATGTGCTTCTTTATTAACATATTAAGTAAGATTTTGTGGCAGTTCTAATAACTGCTGTGATTGTGAACTATCAGTGATATTTTGAAATACTTATAACAATTGAAATGTGATAAGAATATATTTGTGATTTATATGAGTAAAAATGTCCCAGAGACTGCTAATACTTCTGTAGTTTTTACCTACATTTCAATTACAGTTAATAAAAGTAGAGATGAGTTTCTTCTTTTTTTTTTTTTGTTTGAGACGGAGTCTCACTCTGTTACCCAGGCTGGAGTGCAATGGCATGATCTCGGCTCACTGCAACCTCCACCTCCCAGGCTCAAGTGATTCTCCTGCCTCAGCTTCCCAAGTAGCTGGGATTACAGGCACCCACCACGACGCCTGGCTAATTTTTTTTGTATTTTTATTAGAGACAGGGTTTTACCATGTTGGCCAGACTGGTCTCAAACTCTTGACCTCAGGTGATCCGCCCACCTCGGCCTCCCAAAGTGCTGGGATTATAGGCATTAACCAGTGCAACTAGCCGAGATGAGTTTTTTATATCCCCCATTAAAATTCATGGAGCTCCTGAATTCTATCCCTGATCCTCTTGGGGGAATCCACTGCTCCCCAGCTAAGAACCTCTGGTTTAGATAAAAGAGGCTGTTCATTAGACTAAGTGACTCCTGGATTGAAAATCTCTGGATAGCTCTTTTCACAGTGGAACCTCATGGAACCATCAGTTTGAAGGCAAAGCTCAGGAATCTTGGGTGGCCCTGTAGGCCTTTCTAGGGATTTACAGTTCTGCAGACTTAAAGCTGCTAGGGACGGGAAAAGTGTCAGTTGACAGCAAAATCACAGGTGGCAAATTTTGTGCAATACTCATACTCTTTATTCTGAATTTTGGCAAAGACGCGTGTCCCCTACATGAGTAAGATCTGATTCATCATTTTCCCAGCCCAGAGAACACTTGGTAATTCTAATTCTGCTTTGAGGCAATGTTTACAGCTTGTTTTTATCTTTTTCTAATTATTTGATAACTGTTTCTTATGGGGGGGGGTGTGAGTCCTCTCTTTGTGATTTATTTATTTATTTTTCTGCTACCACTATAATCTTTAGAGAAATTACAATTCTTATAGAAACTACAAAGATTTTTTTTTCTCCTTTCTTTTGGGTTTTTTTCCATTAAAGAATTGAAGTCATTTGTGTTAAATTTCTAACACCTGAAGGACTTACTACTAAGATGAATGGAAAAGTATGTATTTAAATAAAAAATTCTCTGAAAAAAATCACCAAGACAAGGCCTACTCTGTAAAAGAGGGAATTTGCATGTGGATTCTTTTGAGTTGAGTGTTGGGCTCTCTGGTTTCACAGAGGCATTTCAAGTAATAGAATTCTGCAGAAAACCTAAATGGAGTGATCTGGCCTTCTATTTACAGGGTAGACCTTGAAGTTGTCCAGTCAAGACAACAGCTTACTTTGTCTGCCCCACTTTGATAGGCACTGGTGAGACTATAGATCATGATAGTTCCTGATAATAAGAAATTTCCAAGCCAATTGAAAGGTCAATTCATCTATATAAAAAACAATTGGATACTACTCCACTATAGCATTTAAGACTCAATTAAAGAGCAAAGATCATAATAGCTTTACTCAGCACTGTATGCCCAGAACACCTTGCACATACTAGTTGATCAATACATGGTGAACAAGTGAAAGAAGGTTGTTATTATAATTCAGGAAAAGGAAAAATCACTGCAGACTTCTGGTAGATGGCGAGACTTAAGGTGTGAAGGCTGTAGATTAGCCATGAGAAGGAGAAAGGCACTGCAGCTATAGAGAATGTGAAGCATGCAGCAATCAGATGACTGGAGTTAAGGGCTTCTCTTGGGAAACCTAGGCAGAGAAGTTTGGTTGGAGAATGTCAACGAAGAGTAAGGGAAGAACCTAGACCTTAAGCATGTCAAAGACATGATAGGAAGATTGTTCCAGGATGACACTTCTTGTAGCGTGAGATAGAACAGATTGAAGGGAGGAGAGACCAGAGGCAGCACCACCAGGATACTGTGCCAAATGAGGTGCTGAGAGTGCCACCTAGGTTGTGACAATAGGAATAAATAGAAAGTGTTTAGTTCCGGAAACATTTAGAGGCAACAAATTTCCTGGAATGGGCATGAGCTTTAGGCAGCCCTCATTTTCAACTTTAGAAAACTGAACAAGTCCCCAAAGAAGTGAGAAAAAATATTCAAATAAAAAGCTGGCAAATCATTGTTGCCAAGGACAAACAAATTACATTTTTCTCTTGGCAAGTACTTTTTTTGGAAAGAAATACTAAAAGCAATGAAGAGAGAATGACAGCAGAAACAACCAACATTTCTCTGCTTATTTACAGTTTCGAGAACATTTTTGCATACCCAAGCATATTTGAAACAATGGAAAATAGAGCAAAAACAGAGAATCATTATGAAATGTATTTTTATCATAGATAACTTAGTATACTTTTTTATATGGCAAAAAAATCAGTATCAAGTAGTATCTATTCTGAATATTCTCTCAATGGCAAGAACTAGAAGGAAGAGCCAAACAAAATTCTTATTTTGGGTCCTACTTTTCTATCTATTGCCTACTAAAGGTATAACTTCATTTGTAAAATAAATGTCCCTAAGAAGATATGCATAGCTGTCATATTACCTTCAATTTCTAAGGAGAAAAAAAGCCATTTCAATGTATGATTGAAAATAAATATGTTTTAAGTTAAAAAATAATTTGTAATGTGATATAAACTACACCCTGGGTCACACAGAGTGGATCATGCCTATAACCCCAGCACTTTGGGAAGCTGAAGCAAGAGGATTGCCTGAGGCCATGAGTTTGAGACCAGCCTGGGGAACATAGTGAGATCTTGTCTCTACAAAAGATTTTTCAAATTTAGCTGGATGTGCCCAGGAGTTTGAGGCTGCAGTGAGCTATCATCACACTATGTAGCTGGGTGTAGCCTGGGTGAAAGAGCAAGGCCCTGTCTATAAACAAAACAAAACAAAAAAATGGCTCCCAAATCATCTACTTTGTAAGTTCAGATTTTCACCAATGATTTATGGATTTTATAATACTCTTTTTCTATGTTTATGTACATACATACATGTACATATATTCATATATATACACATACACACATATACACACACACTTATATATCATAGTACAGAATGCCTAAAGAAAGAACTGAGTGGTATTCAATATTACAGGACTGGAGGATCTTAAGTAATTCCTGAAACAGTGTTAGAGAAACCTCAGGGACCTCCCACAGTGGTCACTGGAGCCAGCTTGCACAGCTCATGGGAGTTGATTGTTAGCATCTCTTCCCAACTCCACATTCAATGACATTGTGTTGATAGCTTAAAATCGGCCACAGTGGAATTATTTACACCACAGAAATCAGTAAACACTAGGAATTGGTGCTTCTCCTCACCCTTGCCACCAGCCAGTTGTTAAGCATTTACCAGAACACTGCTGTTCCTAAAATATATTCCAAGAATTACTGCTACAGAGAAGGCAGTATGCTAATGAAAAGGCATATAGAAATAAAAATGATGAAAGAGACAACTTTGAAGGACAGGAATAAAATCGGATCTAAAAATAAAAGGAGATTCTTATGATAAACTCTAAACAAATGCATTGAAGCATTAAGAATAAAAATGCCTTCCCTAGCTGAGAAAAAATATATTTTAGTGTTCAAAAGGTTTAAAATGTACCAGGAAAAATTAATTGAAGGAACACAATTAAGCTTGGAAATGTCTTTAATTTCTCAGAGAAAAGGAAAGTCTTGCAAGCATCTCTTAGCAGGAAAAAATAGGTTACCAACAAAGGAACAAAAAATCATGCTAGCTTCAGACTTTCTATAACCTGAAATATCAAAGTTTATGGACCAATATCTAAAACATTAGGGTTTTAAAGATAAAATACAGAACATGATTCAAGAACTATACATGAAGAGAAGTTTCTGTTTATCCTCCAAGATAATAGTCATTTTCAGAGATCAATGGCTAAACTATCTGACTCTCATGCATCTTTACTGAAAAAAGATTTTTAAAATTATATTTCCAGTTATCATCAGATGAATCAAAAGGCTAAAGAATAAGTAAGCTGTGAGAAAAAAAGACCATCAATGAATGGCCTAGAGTTAAGACTACATACTCATTATAAATATAATTACAATATTGAGTGCAAACACTACAATTCGATATTAAAAAGAAAGTTAAATGATTAGCAAAACCCACAAATAATATGTGTGTTCATACAGGGGAGTAGGTGTGCAGGGGTGTCAAGTTCAAGGGAGAAGTAGAGGGACAATTGAAGTGTATTAGATCACTGTGTACCACAGGAGTAGTCAAAAGTTATTGTTTCATCTTGACTTTGGTAATTAGATAAATGCCTGTTAAAGTATGTTTTTAAAAACATGCCAATAGCCACTAATTAGAATACACAACAGAATGTGTATGTACCTTTCGAATACCTTCAGATTATACAAGTAAACATAGTTCACAGAGCAAAAGACAGAAATACTGAGTACAGTGCAGTAACATAAAAATCAAAACATAAAACAAGATGATAAAAATAAAACCATACACTCAGTTTTTTTTTTCTTGAGACAGGGTCTTACTCTGTCACAGCACAATCATGACTCACTGCAGCCTCAACCTCTGTGCTCAAATGATCCTCCCACCTCAGCCTCCTGAGTAGCTGGGACTACAGGTGCATGCCACCACACCCAACTAATTTTTGTATTTTTTTGTAGAGATGGAGTTTTACCATGTTGCCCAGGCTGGTCTCAAACTCCTGGGCTCAAGTAGTCCGCCCACTTCAGCCTCCCAAACTGCTGGGTTACAGCAAGCCACCACGCATGGCCCATACACTCAATTTTGACAATAAATATTGATCTTTTAAACTGCTCTCTTAAAAAGGCAAAGAGAATGAATTTAAAAATAGAAGTTAGCTACATGCTACATATAAAAGATAAACCTAAAATCCCGCATCACAAAGGTTAAAAATACAGAGAAATGTAGTTATTCCACAAAAAGAACAAGCAAAAGAAAACAAAGGTTAACTATGTTGATAACAGTTAAAAACTTCAGGCTGGGCGTGTTGGCTCATACCTGTAATCCCAGCACTTTGGGAGGCCGAGGTGGGCGGATCACGAGGTCAGGAGTTCGAGACCGGCCTGGCCAACATGATGAAACCCTGTCGCTACTAAAAATACAAATATTAGCCTGGCGTGGTGGCGGGCACCTGTAATCCCAGCTACTCGGGAGGCTGAGGCAGGAGAATCCTTTCAGCCCAGGAGGCGGAGGTTGCAGTGAGCCGAGATCACTTCATTGCACTCCAGCCTGGGCAACAGGGCGAGACTCCGTCTCAAAACAAAGCGAATTCAAGGCAAAGAAACATCAACCAGCATAAAGAATATCATTTTATGTGAATAAATGCTATAATCTGTAATGAAACATGATGCTTACTAACCTTTGTTAATAAGGTTGTAAAATAACATCAAAATAAAGAGAAGCTTGATCATAATAGGCAACTAATATATCACTATTATAATGATGTATCAAGAATTTATATGTATATACACACAGAAATTTTGTTCTCTATAAGAAACTCTGGGCCGGGCACAGTGGCTCATGCCTGTAATCCCAGCACTTTGGGAGGCCGAAGTGGGTGGATCACCTGAGGTCAGGAGTTTGAGACCAGCCTGGCCAATGTGGTGAAACCCTGTCTCTACTAAAAATACAAAAATTAGCTGGGTGTTGTGGTAAGTGCCTGTAGTCCCAGCTACTTGGGAGGCTGAGGCAGGAAAATTGCTTGAACCCAGGAGGCGGAGGCTATGGTGAGCCGAGATCATACCACTGCACTCCAGCCTGGGCGACAGAGCAAGATTCCATCTCAAAAAAAATAAAAATAAAAAATAAAAGAAGCTCTGTTTTAAGCATCCACGGATGATTTTTGGAAATTAATTATAAACTAGTCTACCAAGAAATCTCAATAAATTCCAAAAAGTAGAAATAATTCAGTCCACATTTCTTGACTAGAGTGCCTAATTAAAAGCAGAAGCTCAACTGAAGAAACTTCAACTACTTAGAACCAAAAATTTTGCTCTAAATATCACTGGGTCAAGTCCAGGCATGGTGGCTCACGCCTGTAATCCCAGCACTTTGGGAGGCCAAGGTGGGTGGATCACTTGAGGTCAAGAGTTTGAGACCAGCCTGGCTAACATGATGAAACCTCGTCTCTATTAAAATTCAAAAATCAGCAGAGTGTGGTGGCAGACACCTGTAATCCTAGTTACTCAGGAGGCTGAGGCAGGAGACTTGCTTGAGCCCGCGAGGCGGAGGTTGCAGTGAGCTGAGGTCGTGCCACTGCATTCCAGCCTGGGCGACAGAGGAAGACTCTGTCTCAAAAAAAAAAAAAAATTAAATAAATAAATAAATAAACATTACTGAGTGAAAGAGGAAAGCAAATATAGAATAGTTGGTTTAGAAAGTTAAAACAATACTTATCAAGTTATACAAACTTTTCCCAAATTCTTATTTAGAAGTCATTTCATGACCATATTTTTTTTATTACTTCTAAAAGGAAAGAAATCAAATCATGCAAATGCAAAAATATAAATTAGTTCCTAGTTTAATTATTGGTTTACTGATAAGTATCTAATGACTGGCTTTCCAAAAAAAGTATGCATATAAATGTATGTGCATTTACTATAAAATTTTATATTTTACTATTTTGCGGATATAAAGGATGTGTAGCACGCAACTTACAAATGATAAAACATACCATATTCTTTACTGTTAATTCCATGTAGCCAATCAATTCTCACACAATGTTTTCATTGACTTTTGTCAATGAAACTCTTATAAATGTAGCCAGCCAACCAATGGTTGAAATTAAAGAATGATGACTGGGCGTGGTGGCTCACGCCTATAATCCCAGCACTTTGGGAGGCCGAGGCGGGCGGATCACGAGGTCAGGAGATCGAGACCATCCTGGCTAACACAGTGAAACCCCGTCTCTACTAAAAATACAAAAAAAAAAAATTAACTGGGTGTGGTGGTGGGTGCCTGTAGTCCCAGCTACTCAGGAGGCTGAGGCAGGAGAATGGCATGAACCCGGGAGGCGGAGCTTGCAGTGAGCTGAGATCGCGCCACTGCACTCCAGCCTGGGCGACAGAGCGAGACTCCGTCTCAACAAAAAAAAGAAAAAGAAAATTAAAAAAACAAAAGAAATTGAAGAATGATTACAGTTCCAATATGAATTTTTTTATTAACATTAATAAGACACAAGGTGATATATGTCAAAGAGGTATGTCCAAAATCTGCTTGTCAATGATGTGAATGCCTTCTTTCCTAAATCAAAGAATAGTTTTCAAGTATTGAGAGAATATTTCCTCAATATTTTGTGCTATTTCACAATGTCGTGGCTACAGACATGACCTACTTTTAAATTTAATTTGCTTCATTCATTGTGTTCTCTATCACTTTAAGTCTAAACAATCAACTGAACAATAAATCAAGCCCCGATTTGTAGTGTTTGATGTTTTCCGTGGTATAGAATACTTCCATATTGGCCAATTCCAAGCTATCAATGAGAGGTCACCAAACACACAGTTGGGAAAAAATGTGCAGTAGCATTTTCACCGTAGAGATACAATGGACATAAATAACTACAAGAACACAGATAAAGTAACATGCAGAAAAATGTTAGAAAGTAATGAGTTTTTAGTATTTCTTGCCTGTATAAGAATTTTAAGGCCGGGCGCGGTGGCTCACGCTTGTAATCCCAGCACTTTGGGAGGCTGAGGCAGGCGGATCACGAGGTCAGGAGTTCAAGACCAGCCTGACCAATATGGTGAAACCCCATCTCTACTAAAAATACAAAAAAACTTAGCCAGGCGTGGTGGCGGGCGCCTGTAATCCCAGCTACTCAGGAGGCTGAGGCAGGAGAATTGCTTTGAACCTGGGAGGCGGAGGTTGTAGTGAGCCAAGATTGCACCACTGTACTCCAGCCTGGGTGACAGAGCAAGATGCCATCTCAAAATAAATAAATAAATAAAAAGAATTTTAGATATATAAGAAGGAATCACACATGATTTGATAAAAATTTTATTCAATAAATGATGCTGAAATAATTGGTTACCTATTTAACAACATTTAAAATGTAAAACTAGGCTGGGCGCAGTGGCTCACACTTGTAATCCCAGCACTTTGGGAGGCCAAGGAGGGTGGATCATCTAAGGTCAGGAGTTTGAGGCCAGCCCGACCAACATAGAGAAACCCCTCTCTACTAAAAATACAAAATTAGCCGGGTGTGGTGGCACATGCCTCTAATCCCAGCTACTTGGGAGGCTGAGGCAGGAGAATTGCTTGAACCTGGGAGGCGAAGGTTGCGGTGAGCTGAGATTGCGCCATTGCACTCCACCCTGGGCAACAAGAGCAAAACTCCGTCTCAAAAAAAAAAAAAAAAAAGTAAAACTATGCTTAGCTTAGGTACTGCAAAAAAACAGGCCTTGGGCCACATGGATTGTAGTTTGCTGACCCCTGATTTAGATCATCACTTCATTCATCTATCAAGATTAATTCTAGATTGATTATATATTTAAGTAAAAATACATGAACACACTAAAATAAGCAAATGTATATTAAATGCCTGGCAGGAGGAAGACTGTGTGTAAGAGCATCAGAAGAAATTTCAAAGGGAAAGCTTTATAGATTTGACTAAAAATGTGACAGCTTAATTAGTGGGATAAATAGAAAATATGGTGCCACTTCTTAGGCTGGTACATTTGCAGAAAATGGTTAGAGTCAGAAGATAAAGAAAATTATCACCGAGAATTTTCTGTGTAAGCTTTTCTTTTTTTTTTTTTTTTTTGAGATGGGGTCTCGCTCTGTCGCCCAGGCTGGAGTGCAGTGGCGCAATCTTGGCTCACTGCAAGCTCCGCCTCCTGGGTTCATGCCATTCTCCTGCCTCAGCCTCCGAGTAGCTGGGACTACAGGCACCCACCACCGCACCCGGCTAATTTTTTCTATTTTTTAGTAGAGACGGGGTTTCACCATGGTCTCAATCTCCTGACCTCATGATCCACCCGCCCCGGCCTCCCAAAGTGCTGGGATTACAGGCGTGAGCCACCGTGCCCGGCCTGTGTAAGCTTTTCTAAATGTCTCATCACCGTTATTTTTCAAAGGAGCTTAAAAAAGCTATATTCTCAAAAATAGTTCATTCTTTCACAATAGTTTGAGAAATGTTTTCCCAAAGTCAAATTTGAATCTCTCCTAGTGTGATCATATACCCTTCCTAACTGGCCTTTCTGTAATGAAAATAAAGAATAATTGGGCCAGGCATGGTGGCTCATGCCAGCACTTTGGGAGGCCCAAGTGGGCAGATCATTTGAGCCCAGGAGTTTCAGACCAGCCTGGGCAACATGGTGAAACCCCATCTCTACAGAAAAATACAAAAACTAGCTGGGCATGGTGGCATGCTCCTGTAGTCCCAGCTACTCAGGAGGCTGAGGCGGGAGGATTGTTTGAAGCCAGGAGATTGAGGCTGCCGTAAGCCATGATTGTACCATTGCATTGCAGCCTGGGTGACAGAGTAAGACCCTGTTTGAAAACAAACTAAAAAGAAAAATTTTTGATAAATTTGAATATTCTGTCAATTCTTTTGTTATTCTGTCCCTTCTCCTCCAAAAAAGAGAAGCAATATTCACGTCCAATGTTGTCAACACTCCATAAACGGTCAAAAAACAAGCAGTGTCAAGCTCCCTAGAGGTGGTGGGAGTCTCAACAGGTAGCCAGAGCATGGGAACAGGGATCTGGGACAAAAGTGCTCAAAGTTGGTAATCAGGATGTTGGCATTCTATTATAAAGAGGTCCGCTGGGTGTGGTGGCTCACGCCTGTAATTCCAGCGCTTTGGGAGGCCCAGGCGGGCAGATCACCTGAAGTCAGGAGTTTGAGACCAGCCTGACCAACATGGAGAAACCCCATCTCTACTAAAAATACAAAAATAGCCAGGCGTGGTGGTGGGCACCTGTAATCCCAACTACTCAGGAGGCTGACGCATGAGAATCGCTTGGACCCGGGAGGCGTAGGTTGCCATGAGCTAAGATCATGCCACTGCACTGCAGCCTGGGCGACAGAGCAAGACTCTGTCTCAAAAAAAAAAAAAAAAAAAGGTCCCAGACACCAGACTGGAATGTAAGGGCCAGAAAGCTTGAATGCCCAGAATGGGGGACCAGAAAGAAGCAGGCAAAGTCTAACTCAAGCTACTGGGCACATTGCTGTAAGAGTCACAAAAATGCTAGCCAAGGCAGACCAGTTCAGGCACCAGCTTAGGGACTTGAAAGCAGCAGACCCCTTATCAGAAAAGCAGTGCCACAGTGGTGGGGTGTTGATAAAGGGAGCACTGCCCTTGCAGAATGCTAGAGCAAGCCAGAGACTTTGGGAGCATAATTTTTTTCAGTGTCATACAAATAACACAAACATTACCTCGGCAGGAGTCGCATCGTCCTGTTGGTGATAGTTGTGTTAGACAGATTGAGACACAGGACCCCCGGGCAGCCCTCAGAAATGTGTCTCATTGATTCATCCTGCATGAAAAACAGAGGGAAGAGGCTTATCAAATTATAGCAGGCTTTGCAATTTCCCCATTATCTTTCTATTATCCCTCTTCCTGTTCCAGAAAAAAATACATGTAAGAGTTGGTTTCTTCATATTCTTTATCTACTATTAGGTTGAAATGAAATTAAATAGAAGCCAATGCTTTTGCTCAAAGCATCATTACTCCCTCCTTTTCCCTTTCCTTGGAAATCAAGTCTCATTCCATCACAATGACACTTCATTAAAATGTGAACCCATGCAAGTTCAACTCTGTCACACGAAATTTGAGCTCACATGTCAAAGTGCCAAACACTTCTGACTCTTCATATGCAGGAAAGCAATTAAAAACTGATCCATTTTAAACTTATTAAAATTATTCTGAAAGGCATACTAAACACTCTCAACAATGGAACTTTAGTAACAGTCCATATTTATACACATATACATTTATACATAGATGTGTGTGTATAATTAAGCTTCTGTGGTTCTGTTAACTAAATATTTTAAATAGCTGAACAGATTTTCACCAGATTTATGGTAAGTTTGAGATGGCTAAAATAAAATAGAGGCTACATACCAGTTGGGCAGGAGATTCAATGCTGGGAGTAGGGTGGGGGAGGATCTCAAAGATTCAAGCATCCTTCCCCCAGAAAGCTGAAAACTGAAGTAAGAGAGTAGTGGGACCATGAAATAAGAGAGACAGAAAAACAGAGGTTTCAAGCACAGATTCTAAGTTGAAATTTACAAGACCAGATGAATTGCAAGCTTTGACTGCAACAAGCTGCTTTTTGTATAGGTAACACTATATAAAATACAACGAGTAGCAGCAGGTTTTTATTTAATGATTGATGAATCTCCCCAGGAACATCAACAGGGCAGCCAGTTTAAGTATTAGTGGTGCATGCAATGTTTGACGCTACATCAGTCCCAGAAAGAATAGACCACTGCAGGTATCTATCTGTCTGGAAGAGGTAAATCATTACTAGGCTAGAAGATGTGGTTCTGAGAAGAATTCTGCATCAGAAATATGACCACTCCTAACACCACTAAAGATAGTAAAGGCTTATTTTCAACAGGATCATTGAGGTTTAACATTCCATTCATTACTATTTCCAGTAGTCATGGATTTTTAAAACAATAAAATCCTGCAGGTCAGAGCATCTGTCACACTCAGATAGGAATTGGTTGATTTACAGGGGCAGCAAACCACACCTTAAAGAGAACACAAGATTCTATTTGAAGCTGTAAATCTCTGTGATTCTGCTATAGGGAAGGTTCTATGCACCCATGCTGCATGAGAGGCCAGTGCAGAGCTTTTGATAAACACTACTCTTAACTACAGTATTCAAGCTGTCAGCATTTTTTCTAGATGCCCCATCACCAAAATGAAGGATTTGAATAGGTATGGATAGATAAAATGTGTACAATTTTTCCAAAAAGAATCTAGAGAATAACCACGTGTGGCACTGTATTTCAACACAATGAAAATCTGTCTTTGAAAACGTTTGGCATGCCAATCAAGTATCAAAGTGATTATACACTTGTTGAAAGACCTTGGCAAAATGCAAATGAGATGGGGCAAGGAAAGGAGAAAGAGCTCACTTAAACACCCTCAGAGAGGCAGCCACAAAGATGAAAATGTGGGGACCAGGAAGAGGAAGGTGGAGTAGCTTTATGTATCATAAAGAAATCTGACTTTCTGTTTGAGATGAGGAGGCAATCCATTCTTTGCATTTTCCTGTCTAAAGAAGCTTGGACATCCAAACAAAATTAGACCACTCCCATTCTCAGATTGAGATGAGGAGGTAATGCATTCTCTACATTTTCCTGTCTAAAGAAGCTTGAACATCCAAACAAATTTAGACCACTCCCATTCTTAGTACTTAAAAGAACTCAAGATTTAATCCCCAAATGTTTGAACACATAAATGCAAAAACTGAGTACCTACATTGCAGAATGACTTATGAATTTGTCCACAATGTACTCAAATCTTTCTGAATGTAATATATTTCATAGGATAAGCTTAGAAATCAAAGCTCTTCGAATGAGTGTTACCCAACTCCTTAAATGTAAGCCTGTGTCCCAGTCTACGTCTCAAAGGGAAAAACAATAGTAAAATGTAGCTGGATAAAATTATCAGCCCTGTATATTATTAGACTCCAAAATCGGACAAGACTTTGATGTTCACAAATTCAATGCATTGTTTTGACTTCCCTATTAGAGGGCCAAACTCAAAGAATATGATATCTTACTCAAGTACACAACTGAAGCTCCCTGAGGACAAGAACTGAAAAATGATTAGTTTTTTAATTCCCTCCAACACCTAGCAGAACACATTTAACATAGTAGGTGCTAAAACATCCACAGAAAGAGTAAATCCATTTGACAAACAACTTCATTATAATGACAGGCAGACATCTGGAGAATGTAGTAGTCAAGATTTAAAATCCTTCTTCATGAAGGAGCCCACGTTCACTTTGCTAGTGGAGAAAGAGTGCAACCAGAGAAAGCAGAACATTTTTTTCTCTGATGTGATATTTGACATGTCTGTCTATGCCTCCATTTCTTGCGGATGACCCTGAAGGGTACTTTTGAACATAAAGGAACAGCTTATTTATGTTAAAGTACAAGCCACTGAGAAGATGCTTAGTTTACAGTCTATGGTGGTTCTTTATGTTCTGCTGGACAGGGATTAAACAACTAATTTAAATGCTGACTCTGTGTGTTGAGGTAAGGAGTGGAGGAGTTCTGAGGGTCTTAACATTCTTCTGTACACATTCTATTTGTGTATAATGCCTTCCATGTTTTGAAAAGATGTTTTACTGTGGAAATGGGATGGATTTCATGGGGAAAAATTACTAAAGGAGGATTTTCAAAGTGCTCAGTTCTAAAACGGGAGATACATATGTAAACATAAGTGTAATACAGTGTGAAGTATCTGTGTTGAAGTACTGAGACCATATGTAGCTCAGAAGAGGGAGAAATTAATTCTGTCAGCTGGGTGCGGTGTCTCACGCCTGTAATCCCAGCACTTTGGGAGGCCGAGGCGGGTGGATCACTTGAGCTCAGGAGTTCGAGACCAGCCTGTCCAACATGGTGAAACCCCATCTCTACAAAAAAAATTCAAAAATTAGCCAGGTGCAGTGGCACGTGCCTATAATCCCAGCTAATTGGGTGGCTGAGGCAGGAGAATCACTTGAACCTGGGAGGTGGAGGTTGTAGTGAGCCACGATGGCACCACTGCACTCCAGCCTGGGCAACAGAGTGAGACTCCATCTCAAAAAAAAAAAAAAAAAAAAATTAATTAAGTTAGAAATTAACTGTCAAAAAGTGAACAGAATTGCATAGGGCCGGGGGTTGAGAGAAAATGAAGGGTGACTGTTGATGGGCATGGGTTCTGTTAGGGGTGAGGGAAATGTTCTGAAGTTGGTTGTGGTGATGGTCAAACAACTCTGTAAAAATACCAAAACCATGAAATTGTACACTTTAAGTGGGTAAATTTAATCTCAATATAAATATAAATTTATTATATCTCAATAAAGCTGTTTATTAAAGGTCAATAAACAAAGAGAATGGAAAGACCCGATAGCATTGAAGAGTGTGTTAAAGAATGAACAGGTGTTAGCCAGTTTGGGCTAGGGGTGGTGGGGAGGGAAGGGTAGTCATTTAGGCAGATGGAAAAACAAGTTCAAAGACACAATGAAATAGCATGACATGAACAGGGAACTTCAAGTGGTTCAGTATTGAAATAGAGTAGAATTTTGAAAGAAAAAACTAGAAAGATGAGGCTGTAAAAATGAGGCTGAGAGGTAGCAGGGAGGGGCCAATTCATGCAGTCTTTTCACCAGCGAGGAGGGCTTGGCCTTCATGGTGGAGCTGGTGCCTCATGATTGGCATTCCACAGCCAGGCTTTTCCTCCTATTCCCTCCTATCTCGTTAGGGACTTACTCCATGAGTTGCTTCAGCTGACTCTCCATCATCCTCTATAAACCTGTTTCCATTTCCCTGCCCCTGTTTTCCTTCTACCACTCTCTAAGACACTTTTCTGGAAAGATCAGTTTATGCCTAATGCCTCACCTTCTGACCTCTTCTCCACTTCACAATTCATTGCAAGTAGATTTCTGCTCCAATATCCCACTGAAACTGTTGAAGCAATAATTGGCAGTCCCTTCTGATTCTCAAATCTACAATGCATTGTTCAGTCCTTTTCTTACCTGTTCACTTTGGTTCTTTCTGAAACTCTTTACTCACTTTCATTTTGTGATACCTCTTCATTGTCAACCTACTTCTCTTACTATTCCTTCTGAATATCCTCTGTTCCTAAAAGTCAGCATTCCGTAAGGCTCAACTTTAAGTCTGCTCCTCTTCTCAAACCTTCTAAGTTGATCTTATTCACGCTTATGATGTTAATTATGACTTATACATAGATGTCAACCCAAGATGGAATCTCAATTCTAGTCAATGTTGTCCATTGCCTACTTGGTATCTCCAGATAGTTGCATTCACTAAATATTATTGAATATAATATGCCAAAGTTCGTGCTGTTGTGCTATGACTACCACAAAGAACAAGACACATCTCCTGCCCTTTGGGTCTCTTAGGCTAGTGAAGGAAGCCAAAACCCTATGGTTAAGGATACTTATCATAGGAACCTAGAGGAGCAGCAGTGAACCCAGCCCTGGGAGCCAGTGATGTCTTGGTAGAAGAGGTGATAATAAGACTTAAAGCTTGATAAAGAGGAAAGCACCACTTGGGGACAAAGGGAAAGGGCATTTTAAGCAAAGAGCAAATGCACAACTGCAAGGAGCAACTTGGAGCATGCAGGAAAAGGAAACTCAGCAGCTGTAGGCACTGCAAATTAGTGTGTACACAGAAACTGAAACAAGTGAGGCTGGAAAGGGAGGCAGAGGCAAAACCACAGAGGGTCTTCAAGGTAGAGTAATATTAAAGAGCTTTGGCTTTATCCAACTGTGTAGATGACGGCAGTGTGTGTAGCTGGTGGAAGATGAGAGTGAAGTAGTCATATCTGCCTTTTACAAAGAGTATAAAGTGCTCACAGAATGGAAGACAGGTTGGGGACAGAGGGAAAGACTGGAGACAGGAACCAGGAAGAAAGCAACTAGGGAAACATATTCATTTCCATCTTCTTTGGCACAGCTGTTGATAGCCATGAAGATAAAATGAGCCTATCATGTCTACTGGGGCCCAATTTTTTTCTGTCTCATACACACATACCATTAAATATAAATACAGTTCATTTTGGGTAGTCATTGAAGAATTTCTACTTGCCAGAGGCTCCAACACTGAGCATACATCTACATGATTAATATTAGCGTTGTGCAGATGGAGTAAAATTTCTTGTCAATGTTTAACATAGTTTGCTCTTTTCCACATTGAATCCCAAATAAGCACACAAGCATCTATTCTGCATATTGGCACCCCAATGTAGCAAGTCAATCTATATAAACAGCAGTAAAAATGGTTGCTTATACTCACTGTGAATGTTGGGCAGTCAGAGACATTCAACTCTTGCAAGTTCCTACAGTGGCCTAAATCAAATAAGTTACACGTCACTAAACTACATATTGCAAATGTTTAAACAAAGTTTTTCTATCTTACATTGAATGCAATGTATTCATTAGAAAACAAACAAAAACCTTGGCAAGTAACATGTTCTAAGTATATGGTTTCTTTCCCCAGAAAAATGGCTTTTTTGGGCTTCAGAATTAAAATACACAGACATGTTTATTATTGTTTGAGGATTATAGGAGTAAGGGGAAAAGAGAAAAATATTACTTTGGGAAAAACACTATATACTTAGAGCTTTTAGCTTGAAAGCACTTGAAGAAAACCAACCTGGTTTTTTGTGCCTGCTTTTTTATTTTTTTGTTTTCATTTAACATTTTATTATGAACATTTTCAAACATACACAAAAGTGGAAAGAATTGTACAATAAATATCTATATAGCCACTACTTGGATTCTAATTTATCTTTTACTGTATTTGCTTTATCACATATCCACCCACTCATTCATCTCTATCTATAGCCCTCAATCATCTTATTTTTGTATGCATTTCAAAGTAAGTTGCAGACACCAGTACACTTCCCCCCAAATACTTCAACATGTATATCATAAATAATTCAGCATGTATAATAATAAACAGAATAGTTGACATACAGAATACAATAGTTATTCTGTTTGTTTGTTTCGTTTTTTTGAGACAGTTGAGACAGGATCTTGCTCTGTCAGCCACGCTAGAGTGCAGTGGCACCATGTTGGCTCACTGCAGCCTCAACCTCCCAGGCTCAGGCGATCCTTTCACTTCAGCAACCCCTACTGTCATTCCCAAGTAGCTGACACTACAGGTGCATACCACCATGCCCGGCTAATTTTTGTATTTTTTGTAGAGACGGGGTTTCCCCATGCTGCTCAGACTGGTCTCAAGAGATCTGACTGCCTCAGCCTCCCAAAGTGCTGGGATTACAGGCATGAGCCACCGCACCTGGCCAGAATAGTTATTTGAGAGTAATTCATCAGTTCAACAAATACTTATCAAGGAGATATAGCAGTTAACGAAATAGACACAAATATTTTCCCTTAAGGAGTTTACTTTCTAGCGGGGAGACACTAACAGTAAACAAAAGAAGTTAAATACCATATCTACTTTGACAGATGGTGGTAAGTGCCATGGAGAAGAAAGAAGAAAAGGGATTGGGAGCACCCAACAAGTGGGAAGAAGTGTGATTTAAAATAGGGCTGAACAGGAAGTTTTCACTGAAAAGGTAACATTTGAGCCAAGACATGCAGGAGATGACAAGGACAGTGCCATTTACTCCAAGCATCTCTGGAGCCCACACCCAACATGGTTGGTGACTGGGAGACAGAAAAGGATAGAAAAAAAAAAGGCTCAGGAAGACAACAATTCAAGTCCTACCCTTGTGTGTGCATCTCAAGGCTGTGTTCTTTTAAAGAAGGAGAATTCTTTGAATTTCTTAAATCCGATGTGATGGTGAACTGCAGGCTTCGGTTTTCATCATGCTGAGTCCTAACATTTGTGACTACTTCCCCCGGGGTGGCCATGTGAAGCATCTTATGCGCATGAGCCTATTTTATCCTCCCAACAATATTAGGAGGTATCCTCGGTCCGTTTTACAGATGCTGAAGATGACCCAGGTTGATACAGTTAAGCAGGTAAGAGAGCCTTGATTCAAACTCAGGGCACAAACATTTGGCCTCTAACCCAGGCAACTAAGAGGGGAAGGAGCTTTCTACGTCACTGTTCTGTGGAACTAGAAGGCCTTTGCCTTAAAAAGTCTGTTCTTATCTGTCAGTAATACAGTGCTTGCAATGGGCCTTAATTTTTAATATATATTTTTTTCTCTTCCAGCCTAGGGACTCCACGTACCCCAGCTGGGTCTCATTGTTCCAGAACTGCATTAGTTAAGATTACCCAGACTTGGATTTCAAAGGAATACTTTCATTGTTCCGTCTGTAACACGAAGTAATTGGGGCCAGCTGGATGTCAGGATGCGTGTGGTTACCATTGTAATCTTGCTCTGCTTTTGCAAAGCGGCTGAGCTGCGCAAAGCAAGCCCAGGCAGTGTGAGAAGCCGAGTGAATCATGGCCGGGCGGGTGGAGGCCGGAGAGGCTCCAACCCGGTCAAACGCTACGCACCAGGCCTCCCGTGTGACGTGTACACATATCTCCATGAGAAATACTTAGATTGTCAAGAAAGAAAATTAGTTTATGTGCTGCCTGGTTGGCCTCAGGATTTGCTGCACATGCTGCTAGCAAGAAACAAGATCCGCACATTGAAGAACAACATGTTTTCCAAGTTTAAAAAGCTGAAAAGCCTGGATCTGCAGCAGAATGAGATCTCTAAAATTGAGAGTGAGGCGTTCTTTGGTTTAAACAAACTCACCACCCTCTTACTGCAGCACAACCAGATCAAAGTCTTGACGGAGGAAGTGTTCATTTACACACCTCTCTTGAGCTACCTGCGTCTTTATGACAACCCCTGGCACTGTACTTGTGAGATAGAAACGCTTATTTCAATGTTGCAGATTCCCAGGAACCGGAATTTGGGGAACTACGCCAAGTGTGAAAGTCCACAAGAACAAAAAAATAAAAAACTGCGGCAGATAAAATCTGAACAGTTGTGTAATGAAGAAGAAAAGGAACAATTGGACCCGAAACCCCAAGTGTCAGGGAGACCCCCAGTCATCAAGCCTGAGGTGGACTCAACTTTTTGCCACAATTATGTGTTTCCCATACAAACACTGGACTGCAAAAGGAAAGGTTTGTACTTTTCTTACTTTTTCATTTTCATGAATAACTTGAAATGCTCTTTGAATCTTATAATCCTCCCTACATCCCACCATGTCTTGGAATTCGTGATGTCACTTCCACCAGAAATCCTTCCCTATTGACAATGGAATTTACCACAAGTTTTTCTGGGGTCCAGACTCAAGGCAGTTGGTAATTAAAGGACAATGACAGGAGGGAAGGAGGTATCCTCAGGAGGGCAGCCATTTGGGTTCTACTCATTTGCACATCGCAAGCTGTCACTGTAAGGAATTCCTTTCATCTTAACTCCAATTTAATTTAGGTAGGTAAACCAAGGGGTATGAAAATAAGTGCAAATGCCATCTATATAACCTGACTTACACCGATTAAAGCCAAAACATGGTGTGCATCTGTGAGAAGATCACCTCAAAGAGAAAACATCTGCAGGACAGGACTGTGAGAGCACTCTGAGACAGAGTGAAAGTGATGGCCCTTCGGTATTTCTTATCATTTAGTCCCAAGGTTTTAATAAATGCTCCTATGCTCATGCTCCTTTTTTTTTTTCTTTCTTTTTTTTTTTTTTTTTTTTTTTTTTTGAGATGGACTCTCGCTCTGATGCCCAGGCTGGAGTGCAGTGGCGCAATCTTGGCTCACTGCAACCTCCACCTCCCGGGTTCGAGCACTTCTCCTGCCTCAGCCTCTCGAGTAGCTGATTTTAATAAATGCCTCTTAACATCCTATATCTTAATTATTTCCAAATTACCCAGAATAAAACAATAAAAATTTAAAGAACTAAATTTAAAATATTTAACCTGAGAACTATGAGACTAAGGAAATCTTTCTAGAATATTACCTACTTCCTGCAAATCATTACTGGGTTTTGCAACCGATGCAATCTTGTGCTAGTATTATGCAGGATTTGCACATGCAAGATAAAGTCATGAGCTAAGAAAACAGACGGGAGATTTTAGTAATGCTCTTGACATGTTAGTGAAGATTGATGTTCTCAAAGAGTGGTCTGGGAACTGCTAATCTACCCTACAATAACGAACCATGTAACAATGTCTATATGTTTCATTTCTGGCATGGTTTAATAATTTATTTGTAATATTAAAGCCAGATGTCATTAAGTGAGGTTCATATAGAGCACAGTATCATTTCTTCCACTTATTTTGGGAAATTTTGCTATGTTTTGTTTCTTTAAGGGCAAGAGAAAGGGGAAGTTCAGAGAGGAGGCCGTGGCTCCTCTCGAGAGAATGTTAGGCAGGAATTTATTAATGTTGTCAGGCATCCTGAACCAGAAGTAAATTTGCTCATTTACCAGCAAAGTCATGCTCAAGCCTTGCCCCACTGCCCCGCTCCCCTGCCCCCCACCCCAGCTGTAAAGATGGCACCTGGTTAGATCCCACAGCAGCAGCCATGTGGCACAGGGAGGTTTGCTTACCAAGACACCCTGTGAACTGTATATAATTCAGTGCCATAGGAAAGCAGTTACATACAGCTTCATAACCTGGGACATGCCATTCTAGGCTCCAGGTACCCACACACGCATGCTGTCTACAACTTCCAGGAAGATAGTAACATTCCCATTTACAGATGAGGAAAATGAGGCTCAAAGAGGTTCAGTCACTTGACCATGGATCTCACAGGTAAGTAGCAAAGCTAAGAAGTGAATCTTGGTCTATCTGAGCCAGAGCCTATGAGCTCTCTACTTCACCCTGCAATCTTCCAGAATTAATCTGAGCATATTCAAACAATCAGCTGTCTCAGCAATGCAACCATTAGAGAATTTCAAAGAGTAAGTAAATGTAGTTTTTCTATAGCCAGAGTGGGTAGAATTTCCCGGATATTGTTATGGTGAGTCCTTAGTGCTTCATGCTGAAGAGCATGTTTATTAGAATTTCCTTTGTGGTGCTTAGATTGAAAACTGGAATTATATATTTTTAATACTAATACAAAGCTACTCTCCTAGATTTTAGTTAGAATACTTGATATTGCTGAGGCTCTAACCTCAAGCTACAGTGAATTTGCACTTGCTGTATCAGGTGTAAATGAGAAAAGTAAATAGTATTAAGTTTATTAATTATCTGAGAAAAATACCATCTATACAAGATTTAAAACTTCTACAACGAGACTACACTGTGTTCTAAGAAGAGATAACATGTGAGGAAATGTCTCTTTTTCACTGCTTTTATGCTCTTGGGCCATTCCCTCCCCCAATGAGCCTATTTCTGCTTTTGTGTTTTTTTCCTTTTTTCCCATATTTTTCTCTTGAAAAACATCAGCTTATAAAAATAAGTACATTTTTATTGCTTTCTTCAACTTATTGTTGTGTAAACACAACCTTCCAGAAATGCCCCATAAATTCATACCCCCTGCTTTAAAAATACACATTATTTACTGAAACACAATATAAATAAGGTTTCATGACATACACACTTAGTATATGTAACACTGGGTCATCAAAGAACAACTTAAGTTCCTCCAAGTGTTAATGACTGTGTAATTCAGAGCCTATTATTTTAGATTATAAGACGAAGGGTAGGCCAGGTGCAGTGGCTCACGCCTATAATCCCAGCACTTTGGGAGGCCGAGGCAGGTGGGACACTTGAGGTCAGGAGTTCAAAACCAGCCTGGCCAAAAAGTTGAAACCCCATCTCTACTAAAAATACAAAAAAAAAAAAATAGCCAGGCATGGTGGCAGGCACCTGTAATCCCACCTACTTGGGAGGCTGAGCCATGAGAATCGCTTGAACTCTGGAGGCAGAGGTTGCAGTGAGCTGAGATCACGCCACTGCACTCCAGCCTGGGCGACAGAGCAAGACTCTGTCTCAAAAAAAAAAAAAAAAAATGAAGGGTAGCTTTGTCTTTTAATACTATCAGTACAAATGGCTTTCACTGTGGTTTATATAAATCTAGTGATTCATTTCATCATTTACTTTTCATTTTTTGTTATATTGCTGATTCCCATAAATTCAAAGGGAAGAGTCTTGTTTATTAAATTCCCTTTGGTAGTGCCTGCCACAGAGCCATGTGCTTTAGATTGATGATGATAACTGGACTACTCTTCTTTATTCTTTCAAAGCAGTAATTTAAGCAACCATTGAAAGTGAAAATACACAGAAGTTAAAAATCATGGCTAGAATTGAAGTGTGACAACCTGAGGATCGGTACAAGTATACCACATATACATGGTCACACATAGAGAACTTGCATACAGATTCCCCAACTCGGAGTTGAGACTTGCCCAGCTGACTTGCAATGAGTCAGATGGTGTGTATAGGGGACCTAATATGTGCCCATTCAACCACACAGACCTCAATGATCACTATGTATTTTTGCCTTAAATATCTAATGGCAAGAAAAAGAAATAATAGCTTTATTCACTGAGAAACAGGTACTTTGCCAAGAAATCCTAGTGTTTCAAAGGGAATAAATGTGAGACTAATTGAAAGGCATATTTATGCCATATTGAGGTAAACGGATTTGTCAAGAATACATGAAAGTCAGAGTTTTTAAACTGCTTTAGCTTCACATTGACCAGAATAGTTTACCATTTTTAAGGAGTTATTTTACTTCTAACATCAGATGGGGGAGAATTACGCAGGTAAATTACCCTTAGCTGCCTCCAAAGTTAAGGTCACAATTTTACTACAGCTTGAACAATAGTTAAGAATTTTGTATATGCAATAAACAGGGCCATTTATGTCTCTTTTCTTACTGCTACAAGCTTTCAGAGTAGTTCTGAGGTTGCTGACAACCAATATAGCCTGCTAAATGGGGAAATTACCTGGAGAAATTTCCTAATTTCCTCCTCAAAATCAACAAGATTTGGCTGGAGAAGGAGCAAGCTTGTAAGGGGTAATAATCAAGTAAATATGGTATTTGTTGAGGCATTTACCAAGAATTTGGGGTAGCAGTATATATGAAATGTGCATACCACATAGTACCTGGACTAGAAATAGGGGCATTGATCAAATTCTCCTTCTGGTCTGGGGAAATGTATATTTATATACTCTTTATCAAAAGCAAACACTTTGCATCAATATTTGCAATATTTGCAATTCTCATTGAAGTTCTAAGGTAAAAGAACTAAAGAATTTTTCTATTTATCAACACAGCAAATGAGATTTTCCTGTGTTTTTCTAAGCCACACTAGGAAAGCCTTTGTTTTGCATTTCCTGGTATTACTTGTGGATGCTATTTTTACCCAGGACTGCTGCTGACAATCCCAAAATGGATTCTGCAGTTTATATTCTTTTTCCAGCACCCACAGATCTGCCACATTGCCTAGGCCTAGTGTCAGGGTGTTCTCATAAACATTTTTTTCGACCCATTTATTTGTGGTTAACCCACTTTAGCTTGCCCTAAAATGGTTGCTCTGTCATCCACCTTCATGTCCAGCCCAGCAGATGTGGGTTCAATAAGCAAGTCCTGATAAACAGGCTGCTTTCTAGAACCTAGGAGGTTCTGACTTTGGTGACAAGGATGACCTACAGGTCTTAATGGCTTTATAGGGCCTTAGTGAGGACTCTGGCTTTCATCACAATTAGATGGGAAGTCACTGTAGGCTTTGCTGGGCTTTGATGGAATTTAGCGTATGCTAAGGCTTGTTTCATACTAACTTTCTTTGGCTTTAGATATCCCTTTACCCCTTCTCTTTAAGAGCTGATTCTTCAATCACACAGATATAACGGTGACCGAGGAAATGGGGGCAAAAAGAGCATAATAACGTAAATATTATTAAATTTTCCAGAGTTGAAAAAAGTGCCAAACAACATCCCTCCAGATATTGTTAAACTTGACTTGTCATACAATAAAATCAACCAACTTCGACCCAAGGAATTTGAAGATGTTCATGAGCTGAAGAAATTAAACCTCAGCAGCAATGGCATTGAATTCATCGATCCTGGTAAGTTCCCCTGTATAGCCCCTTCAATGGGTGGCAAGTGTTCTGTGATTTTTTTCTATGGCAACACTTATATACAGTAAATTCAGTTTAAAAGTAACTGAACTAAATAATAAAGTACAAGTTTTAATTAAACATGACACTTATACTAGGAGTTGTTTGCCACTCAGATAAATACTTGCCAAAATGCTGCTTTATGAAGTATGTAATACCACATATTACTACCATTTAATTCAGTTAGCCCAAATAGTGTGTTATAGATTTTTAAAGTAATATATGGCAAATGGTCAATAGTATACTAAAATGTAGTGGTTTTTTTTTTGTTTTTTGAGATGGAGTCTCACTCTTGTTGCCCAGACTGGATTGCAATGGTGTGATCTCGGCTCACTGCAACCTCTGCCTCTTGGGTTCAAGCAATTCTCCTGCCTCAGCCTCCCAAGCAGCTGGGATTATGGGCATGTGCCACCAGGCCTGGCTAATTTTGTATTTTTAGTAGAGATGGGGTTTCATCATGTTGGTCAGGCTGGTCTCAAACTCCTGACCTCAGGTGATCCGCCCACCTTGGCCTCCCAAAGTGCTGGGATTACAGGCATGAGCCACCGCGCCTGGCCAAATGTAGTGACTTTTTTTGTTTGTTTTTTTTTTTGAGATGGAGTCTAGCTCTGTTGCCAGGCTGGAGTGCAATGGTGCAATCTCGGCTCACTGCAAGCTCCGCCTCCCAGGTTCACGCCATTCTCCTGCCTCAGCCTCCCAAGTAGCTGGAACTACAGGCACCCGCCACCACGCCCGGCTAATTTTTCTGTATTTTTAGCAGAGACAGGGTTTCACCGTGTTAGCCAGGATGGTCTCTATCTCCTGACCTCATGATCCGCCCACCTCAGCCTCCCAAAGTGCTGGGATTACAGGCGTGAGCCACCATGCCTGGCCTAAATGTAGTGATTTTTAAAGGGAAATTCAAATTTGGAATTTTTTTTGCTATTCATTAAGCCCCATCTTGTTTAGAATAAATTAGAAACAAACTGCTAAGCACTAAGCTCAAATTAGGATAAAATGTGCTCAAACCAGAGCCAGACATATTATATCTAGTTCTAGATCAAGACCAATTCTCTTTCCCATCCTTCAAATCTCTTCTCCATTTGCTAAGCAAAGCCTCTGGCGAAAATGAGCTTGGTAAATTAAGTAAACACATCGGATTTGGAAAGAACTGAGAATTACTGCAATATTGACCAGATTTATAACATATATAACACAAGTGCTTTCACTAGGCTACTTCAATTTGAAAAGTTTTAACTATGAAAATGATTATTAAAATTATTAATAATGTAATGTAATGTTATAAACATTTTGAGTACAACTGTTTCCCCTGCTTTTCTTCATGATAATCTAATACCATTAATAGAACATTAGAATTTTAACACAATAAAAGTGAAAAATTAGAATGAACATTCTGGAGCCACAAGGGCATATTTTAGAGTTAACCTTTTTTTAAAAATTAGAAAAGCATAATTTTTTAAAATTTCCCAAGGGACAGCAGTATGCTACACTTATACCTTAGCTTGTTACAGATGATGCTAACTTGGGAGTATGTTTGAACTGTGAAGTCAAAAGCAATTTTCATTTTTCAATAAATAAGGATACTACAGACACCCTTCTCCCAAATGAAGTTAGCATTACATTAGTGTGCAAGTCAGTCACTGGTAGCCAGTGTCATGTCCACAAAGCCAGGGTACAGGGTAAAGAATCTGGAAGTGGAGACCCTTTCTTGCAAGAAAAACTCACTTCGACCCCCTATGATTCCATCTCCAACCTGACCAATCAGCACTCCCCACTTCCCAAGCCCCTACCTAGCAAATTATCTTTAAAAACTCTGATGCCTGAATGCTCAGGGAGACTGATTTGAGTAATAATAAAACTCTGGTCTCCCGCACAGCCAGCTCTGCATGAATTACTCTTTCTCCATTGCAATTCCCCTGTCTTGATAAATAGACTCTGTCTAGGCAGCGGGCAAGGTGAACCCATTGGATGGCTACAAACTAAAGAATCTCAGGACAAGCAAAAGCCATTCCAAAGGTCCTTGGGCAAGTGTCTAATTTCCTTCTGCTGTCATCCACAAGCAAAACTGTAGTTTACCAACTATCAATGCAAACAAGTTTTAAAGCTGTCTCAAAAAAAAAAAAAGATTATAATAGTTATTATATGTCCTAAGTTAAATGTATTAAAGTAATGAGTAACAGTGTGGCAATGTTTTAGTTACAACAAAACTAGTATACAAAGAAAACTTGAGAAAAATGAGAAGACAATGCAAAGAGATAGATAATAGTGTAAAATGGACTTGCCTTGCTTCTACTGATGTTTTTCACATGTTTCCCGTAACTGATACTTTTCATCAGTTGTGGAATTCCCATAATTGCAGGGATTCCTTTTCTGTCCTTAGGATCCCCTGAAGGCCTTTTAATCTTGTTCACCAAATGTGTGTTCCTTGCTGACACAAAATGGTCTCTACCATCAGTGGTGGTACTCTTTTTTCCCCCTTTGTTCAATTCAATCTCAGGAACGTATTTCCTACATTAATAAATATTTACTGAGCACCTACCAAATGCCAAGCACTTTCCTAGAACAAAAGTTCTTTTGAAACAAAAAAGTATCTTGGCAGTTAAGGCAAAATGACCTAAAGAAGTTTTAAAATGAAAGGTCTCCTATATTTCAGGGTCTTTGAGATGAAACCCTGCAAGTAGACTTACGTGAATGATTTTTGCTGTGGTAAGTATACAAATGCAGTGGGAGTTGCCAGACTTTAAAAGACGTGAATAACAATCATATAAAATGCCAGACATTGTTGTGGAAAAGAGAAAGAAGATACCCTACTAGGGGGTTTTTACCTCCTTTAAGAAACAGACTAAAACTAGTTTTCTCAAGTGCCTGAATATATATGGTTTAAATAACAATATACAACACTTTCAAAATAAAATCTAGGAATGTTTACATATGCTTTTAATCTCAAAGTCTAATGTCTTGAGAAAAGTAAATCTGTGAGATCACTGACTCACAGAATTTTAGCAAATAGAAAAAATCCAGTATCTTCAGAACACAAGGGCTGATCTTTTGTCCCCTACCCGCAAGACATTGCTTGGTACCAAAATAGAAAGTTATTTTTTTAAGGGGGAATTATGGGTTTTTTCTGAGAACAGATAATATGAAAATAGTTAATAGTATTGGTATGACCACATATTTTCCTAATTCAAAATAAGGACGCTATGCTCTACAAGAGTATTTTAAAACAATAATGAGATAATGTTTGAAATAGAAACAAAATATTTGTGAGTATTTCTGGAGTATCTGGCTGGTCCATATCAACTGGAATACAGATAACCCAGGTGTAGATTTCTTTGCTCTTAGAGGGTGAAAAAAGCTTTTTGTTGTTTTATTTTCAGTTATATTGGTTTTAATTATCCAGCCTCCAGCAAAATTAAATACATATGGATTCAAAGCTGATAGCTACCATAGTTTGCCAAAATACAACCAGATGTTTTCAAAATGTGGAAAAATTGTTTTTGGACTCTACAGGAATAGAACCCTTCCCCCAACACTGGGAAAAGGTTGTTTTCTAGGCATTTTCAGTGTTACTGATATCCCAGGAACTGTCAGATCACCACCCGGCACATTTTTCATTTTTATCTGCACTTGTCTTACATGCGAAATATTTTCTTAATTCATGTCTCTTTTTTGTAGCATCTTTTTTTCCCAAGTAAATACCAAAAAAAAAAAAAGCCCAAAATACATTTTTTAAAGCTAACTTAAAACTGAATATTGTATTCTAGTAAAACTAATCAAGGGAAAAGCTTTGAGTAACAATATATTTCACAATTTTGCATTTAGACACATTTACAGTGAAGAAATATAATTAAAAACAAAACCTTCTATCAATCCAGAAATTCTCTCCACAAAGGTAGTAACGAAAGAAACACTTTCATTATTGACTAAGCATTAAACCAGAATGTGACGCATATCACAGGCAATCCACTAAGAGACTGCAAAGACTCTCGCCACTATGTAACCAGGCAGATACCACCCATTACAGGAATCTCATCCCTGTGTAGCCAAGCAGATACCACCCATTACATATACGTTTTCAGGACAAGCAATAACGAATCCTTAAGGAAGAAGATTTGACAACACCTTTTGTCACACATAATTCATCCTAACTTTACCTGGTAAATGGAGTGACCATCTGTGTTAGCTTATTGGCCTTATTCAGAGAAAAATAAATTTCTGTCTTCATGACAGGAGGTAGTTTTGCAACTGGAAGCAAGATCTCACCAAAGTTAGGACCCCACCTTCCCACCAGAGCTGGGAGATGTCCTTGGAAAATACATTCTTGCATCATAAAGGTGACAAAAAGCCTATCTAGTCTTCAAAAGGATTTAAAGACATTTCAAAGAGAGGAGAAAGTACTTATAGTTAAAAGTTTTCTAAAGTAAAAGCTCTGAGAAAAAGAAAGGAAAAGAAATCTCTTTATTTTCAAAGGGGAAAATTAAGCCTCTTTTTAAAATTTGTATTTGTCCTTTCCATATGCCATACACTGTATTAACTCAATTACTCAGGCTCAATAAATATTTTCTGTTTCCAGCCGCTTTTTTAGGGCTCACACATTTAGAAGAATTAGATTTATCAAACAACAGTCTGCAAAACTTTGACTATGGCGTATTAGAAGACTTGTATTTTTTGAAACTCTTGTGGCTCAGAGATAACCCTTGGAGATGTGACTACAACATTCACTACCTCTACTACTGGTTAAAGCACCACTACAATGTCCATTTTAATGGCCTGGAATGCAAAACGCCTGAAGAATACAAAGGATGGTCTGTGGGAAAATATATTAGAAGTTACTATGAAGAATGCCCCAAAGACAAGTTACCAGCATATCCTGAGTCATTTGACCAAGACACAGAAGATGATGAATGGGAAAAAAAACATAGAGATCACACCGCAAAGAAGCAAAGCGTAATAATTACTATAGTAGGATAAGGTAGAAATTGTTCTGATTGTAATTAGTTTTGTATTTTCTATACTGGTGTTAGAAAACATATGTTTACATTTGATTAACTGTGTTGCCTATTTATGCAGGGTAATCCAGCTAAAGGAAGCTTTCTTTAATTATAAGTATTATTGTGACTATTATAGTAATCAAGAGAATGCTATCATCCTGCTTGCCTGTCCATTTGTGGAACAGCATCTGGTGATATGCAATTCCACACTGGTAACCTGCAGCAGTTGGGTCCTAATGATGGCATTAGACTTTCATAATGTCCTGTATAAATGTTTTTACTGCTTTTAGAAAATAAAGAAAAAAAACTTGGTTCATGTTTACATGCCTTTCGATAGCTGTTTGTGCATACTTAAAGATGATCAAAATGATTTTATACAAATGCTGTTATAATAAAATGTCATTCCCTACCCCTCTACTTTTTTTCAGTAAGTCATCTTATACATTAAATAAATTTCCATTTCTGATTTCTGTGCATTCCAAAATGAGGTCCTGATACATCCAAATTCTCAACCACTCTTCACTGATCCTTGCAAAGTACTGTCAAGCTAGACCTGAAAGGGAATTGTCACAAACAATAAGAAGAGAATGTGAGAATTACATTGGAAGCTGGTTAGAAGCTAGGACCCTGAATAACAGCTGTAGATGGTGTGAAGCATGAGCCCTGAAGAGGTATAAACACTCGTGAATATGGAGACACCATTTTTGTTTGTTTGTTTTTGTTTTTGTTTTGAGCAGGGTTCATACTGGGAATCCACCTGTCCGTGAGAAAGGGCCCTTCCTGCTAAGCTAGTATGTCGAGGAGCATAAAATAAAGAATGAAATTAGGATTTGGGGGCAGTATTTGGGATGAAGCCAGAATAAAATATAGGAAATAATACGAGGCCACTGAGGGAGGAGGTGGTGCCCAAAAGAAGCCCCGTGATTTGGGTTTGCAGGTTAAAATGAGCTCACCTAGAGAACTAGATCACCAGCAAAAGAGGAAATCAGTGGAGGATTTTAGACCCTGATCCCATCAGTTTGCATTTAGATAGTCATATTCTGCAAAGAGAAAAATAAAGTGAAAAGAAATATTCGCATGTCCTTAGTGAGATACTACTTTTTCCTTTTAATATACATTTTCCTTTCATGCTGAGTTGAATACATTTTCATTTCTTGTATCAAGGTATTCCTACAAAGTTTAGCAAATAACCACCTTATCTGATACTTGCACAAACTCCCAAAGCATGGAAGATGGTATATAACAAATAGTATTAGGCATTTTTTTTTTCTGAGATAAGAGTCTTGCTCTGTTGCCCAGGCTGGAGTGCAGTGCTCCAATCTCAGCTCGCTGCAACCTACGCCTTCCGGGTTCAAGCGATTCTCCTGTCTCAACCTCCCGAGTAGCTGGTATTACAGGTGCTCACCACCATGCCTGGCTAATTTTTGTATTTTTAGTAGAGACGAGGTTTCACCATGTTGGTCAGGCTGGTCTTGAACTCCTGACTTCAAGTGATCCACCCACCTCACCCTCCCAAAGTGCTGGGATTACAGGCGTGAGCCACACTCAGCCATGCACTTTTAAAGCACATGCTACATGCCAGACACCATGCTAAGAGCTTCACATATGCTACTTCTAATTCTCACAAAATCCCTCTGAGGTAGGTGATACTGTCTGCCTTTTATAGGTGAGGAATCAAGGTAGAGGGTTTAGGTAACTTGGACAAAGTCACACAGCTGGCAAGTGGCAGGGCCAGGATTCAGATCTGCCTAAGCCCTTTCTGCTATGCAGAGCTGCACAGCATTGTAAAAGTTATCCTTGTCCATGGCTGTCTGGCACCAGAACTTCCAGAACCAAACCCCAAAGAGGAGCAGGTACCAGGAAAGTGGGGGAGCACTCGTGAGGGCAGTTGGCAGGAGAAAGTCTTTTGTCCGAGACATTTAGATCTGTATTTATTTACAGGAAACAGAGAATGGGAAGCCAGAAGAACTGCCAGAGCTAACGCTTCAGTAAATAACTCTGGATTGTGAGTTTCTATTTTTATTTTATTTATTTATTTATTTATTTATTTATTTATTTATTTATTTTGAGACAGTCTCGCTCTGTCATACAGTCTGGAGTGCAGTGTTGCAATCTCGGCTCACTGTAGCCTTCGCCTCCTGGGTTCAAGCGATTCTCCTGCCTCAGCCTCCCGAGTAGCTGGGATTACAGGCGCCCACCACCACACCCAGCTAATTTTTGTATTTTTAGTAGAGACGGGGGTTTTGCCATGTTGGTCAGGCTGGTCTCGAACTCTTGACCTCGGGTGATCTGCTCGCCTCAGCCTCCCAAAGTGCTGAGATTACAGGCATGAGCCACTGAGCCTGGACTGGATTGTGAGGTTCTAACCACTCTGCCCAGTGGTCTGGGTCAGAGGTGGGGACTTAGAGACGTTACTTCTCCATGCAAATCCCTACATTGTTCACTATGAGGCATGAAAGCCAGCTACTACATTTCAAATGTTACCAGAGAGATGTAAGAAGTTCATTTATTTACAAATTCATTTATTATTGTTCATGAGCCTCAGAGTGGAATTTTAAGGACATAGGACCTGAAAGAGCCAAGATTTGATGATGGAAAAAGCCTGGTGTGACAACAGAATCACACTGGAGGCAAGAGGATTCTGGAATGAAATGAGATGAAACCTGATTCAGAGAAAGAGCCCAAGTTGTTCTCAGTATAATTTTTAGAGGCTAGTTAGGGATTTTATTGGTTGATTTTCATATTCAATTTAATCCCCAGGGATGTATTTGGAAATAAAGCTCCTGAACACATCAAAACAGAAATTAATCCAGGCCATCCAAAAGTAAGTCAGTAGGTATTGCTAACATCTCTCAGGGTCAAGACTGAAGTGGACTTTCAAATCTTAAGATTTGCCCCTTTTCTACATCAGAGTTAAACTTTTTCAGGGAAGTGTAGTTGATTCATGATGGAATGAACAATTAGACACTTCCTCTTCCACCAATTTCTTACTTTATAGTTACTCTTGTAACTTGCCTTTGGATGTCTCTTTTTTACGACAGACAATACAAGTTCATAAGGTTACAAAAATCAGTATATTTTACAGTAGTAAAAAATACTACTATCCTGAGATATACCTATTTGAACGTATATATCACTTGGATATTTGGATAAAATAAGTTAAAAAAAAAAACCCTTTCCTAGTCGTAAGATTCTCTGATTTTTCTGAAGTAAACAAGATTTACTATAAACGGAGTCCTCCTGAGTCCTGAGTTGGCTGTGACCTAATGCCTAGTTACTTGAGAAAGATATTTAATGTTAAGCAGCACTGCTTTTTCATTCATTCACCATTCCATCCTCTGGAGCCTATGCCCTGGATCAATTCATGTCTGTTTCTGAGAAATCTGAGTCTCCTGCTCTGGCAAATTGGCAAATCAAAGGGATTCAGTAATGAGGATCTTTTTTTTTTTTTTTTGAGTTGGAGTCTCCCTCTGTCACCCAGGCAGGAGTGCAATGGCACCATCTTGGCTCACCACAACCTCTGCCTCCTGGGTTCAAGTGATTCTCCTGCCTCAGCCTCCCGGGTAGCTGGGATTACAGGCGCCCGCCACCATGCCTGGCTAAATTTTATATTTTTAGTAGAGACAGAGTTTCACCATGTTGGCCAAGCTGGTCTCAAACTCCTGACTTCAAATGATCCGCCCACCTCAGCTTCCCAATGTGCTGGGATTACAGGACCACTGCGCCCGGCCAGTAATGAGGATCTACTTGTCTGAATTCTGTTAAGTCTGTGCCCTCATCTGCCTTTTAAGGATTTATTTATTTTCTTTTTTTTGACACAGAGTCTCGCTCTGTCGCCCAGGGTGGAGTGCAGTGGCATGATCTCGGCTCACTGCAACTTCCACCTTCCGGGTTCAAGCAATTCTCCTGCCTCAGCTTCCTGAGTAGCTAGGACTACAGGTGCCCGCCACCACACCCAGCTAATGTTTTGTATTTTTAGTAGAGATGGGGTTTCACCATGTTAGCCAGGATGATCTCGATCTCCTGACCTGTGATCTGCCTGCCTTGGCCTCCCAAAGTGCTGGGATTACAGGTGTGAGCCACCACGCCCAGCCTTTTTTTTTTGACACAGTCTCGCTCTGTCACCCAAGCTGAAGTGCAGTGGCATGATCTTGGCACACTGTAACCTCCATCTCATGGGTTCAAGCAATTCTCGTGCCTCAGCCACCCAAGTAGCTGGAATCACAGTTGCACATCACCATACCTGGCTAATTTTTGTATTTTTAGTAAAGACAAGGTTTCGCCATGTTGGCCAGGCTGGGCTCAAACTCCTGGCCTCAAGTGATCCGCGTGCCTTGGCCTCTCAAAGTACTGGGATTACAGGCATGAGCCACTGTGCCCAGCCTTAAATATTTTAAGATAACATTCTACAGTTAATTTTCTAAAATTTTACTGGTATAAGGATTACAACTGTTGTGTTCAATCAGCCAAACAGCCCAAAAGAGTAGCCAATATTTATCTTCAATCTAACAGTCAGAAAACCAATCTTCCCAGAAATGTGTGTAATTCTTGACACACCAATAGAGGAACTGATCTTAGCTGGGGTAGGGGTTGGTAGTGGGGCAGGAGAGACAATGGAAAAGCTAAAACATCTCTGAGAATTTTTTTTTAACTTTTATTTTAATTTCAAGGGTACATGTATAGGTTTGTTATATAGGTAAACTTGTGTCACAGGGGTTTGTTGTACAGATAATTTAGTCACCCAGGTATTAAGCCTAGTACATGTTAGTTATTTTTGCTGATCCTCTCCATCCTCCCACCCTCCACCCTCTGGTAAGCCCTAGTGTCCATCATTCCTCTCTATGTGTCCATGTGTTAAGAATGGTTTTTATCTTTGACACACTCAAGTTTTCTGGAATTAAAATGGGTTTGATTAAATAATTTTCAGTAAATTAAAAATATTACCAAGATAAGACAGACATTACATTTGCTTCCTTAAAAAAAATCAAGGTCTACTCAGGCTTGAATGCTCAGTTGTTTCTGTGATGAAGACAATTGTACTAAGAAGTACACTTCCAGAAAAATACTGCGTGAAATATATTTTAGTTACAAAATATTAAAAATTTAAAGAAAGAAAATGTTTACAGGCTATCTTGACCTCAGATACATATACAAACATATACATCCTATGTATAGTGGTTAAAACCTCACAATCCAGGCTGGGCATGGTGGCTCACACCTGTAATCCCAACACTTCAGGAGGCTGAGGCAGGCAGATCACTTGACGTCGGGAGTTCAAGACCAGCCTGGCCAACATGGCGAAATCCCGTCTCTACTAAAAGTCCAAAAATTAGCCAGGCATGGTGGTGCACACCTGTAATCCCACCTACTCAGGAGACTGAGGCATGAGAATTGTTTGAACTGGGGAGATGTGGTTGCAGTGAGCCAAGATTGTACCACTATATTCCAGTCTGGGCGAACCAGCAAGACTCTGTCTCAAAAAAAAACAAAAACAAAAACAGAAACACAACAATAAGAAAACAACCTGGTTAAAAATGGGCCAAAGACCTTAACAGACACCTCACCAGAAAGATAGAAGCATATGAGAAGATGTTCCATAACAAATGTCATCAGGGAAATGTAAATTAAAACAGCAATGAGATACCCCCACACACCTATTAGGATGGCCAAAATCCATAACTGTGACAGCACCAAATGCTGATGACGATGTAAAGCAACAGGAATTCCCATTCATTGCTGATGAGGATGTGGAGCAACAGGAACTCTCATTCATTGCTGATGAGAATGCAGAATGGTACAGCCAACTTTGGAAGACAGTTTGGCACTTTCTTACAAAACAGCACATACTCTTACCATATAATCCAGCAATCATGTTCCTTGGTATCTACCCAAAGGAGTTGAAAGCTTATGTCTACATAAAAACCTGCACATAAATGTTTATAACAACTTTATTCATATTTGCTCAAACTTGGAAGCAACCAAGATGTCTTTCAAGAGGTGAATTAATAAACTGTGGTATATTCAGACAATGGAATATTATTCAGCATTAAAAAAATGATTTATCAAGCCATGAAAAGACATAAAGGAAATTTAATTGCACATTAATAAGTGAAGGAAGCCCATCCAAAAAGGCTACATACTGTATGATTCCAACTATATGACATTCCAGAAAAGGCAAAACTATATAGACAATAAAAAGATTGGTGGTTGTCAGAAGCTAGCAGGGTGAGGGGGGATGACCAAGCAGAGCACAGAGGATTCCTAGGGGAATGAAACTACTCAGCACAATATTATAATGGTAAACACCTATCATTGTAAATTTGTCCAAACTCATACAATATTCAACACTAAGAGTGAACCCTATATAAACTATGGACTTTGGGTGATAATGATGCGTAAATATAGCTTCACCAATTGTAACAAGTGTGTCATTCTTGTGGGTGATGTTGATAGTGGGGAGGCTATGTATGTGTGGGGGAAGGAGGTATATAGGAAATCTCTATACCTTCTGCTCAATTTTGCGAGAACCTGAAATTTCTCTTAAGAATAAAGTTTATGGCTGGGCACAGTGGCTCACACCCGTAATCCTAGCAGTTTGAGAGGCCAAGGCGGGTGGATCACCTGAGGTTAGGAGATCAAGACCAGCTTGGCTAACATGGTGAAACCCCATCTCCACTAGCAGAGGTTGCAGTGAGCCAAGATCATGTCACTGCACTCCAGCCTGGGCAACAGAGCGAGACTCCATCTCTAAATAAATAAATAAATAAATAAATAAAAGTTAATTTAAAAAAAAACGAAAAGAAAGCTCTTAAATCAATAACCTAACTTTTAACCTGAAGAAACTAGAAAAGAAGAGCAAACAAAACCCAAGTCAACCAGAATAATAAAGACTGAAGTGGGCTAGGTGCAGTGGCTCACACCTGTAATCCTAGCATTTTGGGAGGCTGAGGCAGGAGGATCACTTGAGTTCAGGAGTTCAAGACCAGCCTGGGTAACATAGTCAGAGCCCGTCTCTACAAATTTTTTTTTAAAAAGATTAGCCAGGTGTGGCCACCTGTAGTCCTAGCTACTTAGGTGGGAGGTGGGAGGATCACTTAAGCCCAACAGGTTGAGGCTGCAGTGAGCTGTGATCATGCCAGTGTACTCCAGCCTGGGCAACAAAGTGAAACTCTCTCTCCAAAAAAAAAAAAAAAAAAGATTGGAGTGGAGATAAGCAAAATAGAAAATAGAAAATAGAGAATTAATAAAAATAAGGGTTTTTTTGAATATCCATATTTATAGTAGTATTATTCACAATACCTAAAAGACTGAAGCAACTTTACTGTCTATTATTGGAAGAATGGATAAACAAAATGTGTTATATACATACAATAAAATATTATTTACCCTTAAAAAGAAATGCTGACACATGCTAAAATAAGTAAACCCTGACGACATTGTGCTAAGTGAAGTAAGCCAGGCACAAAAGAACAATTATTGTTTGATTCCACTTATATGCGGCACCTAGAGTCATCAAATTCATAGAGATGGAAAGAAAGTAGAATGGTGGTTGCCAGGACCTAGGAGGAGGGCAAAAAGCGGATTTAGTACTTAATGGTACAAACTATCAGTTTTGTGAGATGAAAAAGTTCTGGAGATGCATCAGTGATGATGGTTGCATAAGAATGTGAATATACTTAATGCTACAGAACTGAACACATAAAAGTGGTTAAAATGGTAATTTTTAGGTTACATATTTTTTACAACAATGAAAAAAGAACCAAATGGTTGTTTGAAACAATCAACAAAATTTGCAAACCTTTACCTAGACTGACCAGGAAAACAAGAGGAAAGACTAATATTATTAAAATTAGAAATGAAAGTGGGTACATTAGTACTGACTTTACAGAAGTAAAAAGGATCATAACAGAATATTATGAACTGTTGTACCCCAACAAATTAGATAAACTGCATGGAATTGACAAATGCCTAGAAACACATGAACTACCAAAACTGACTCGAGAAGAAACAGAAGATCTAAATAGAGCTATAATAAGTAAAAATACTAAATCAGCAATCAAAAAACCTCCAACAAGGCCAGGCACCATGGCTCATTCCTGTAATCTCAGCACTTTGAGAGGCTGAGGCAGGTGGATCACTTGAGGTCAGGAGTTCTAGACCACCCTGGCCAACATGGCAAAACCCCGTCTCTACTCAAAATACAAAAATTAGCTGGGTGTGGTGGCACGCACCTGTAATCCCAGCTACTCAGGAGGCTGAGGCAGGAGAATCACTTGAACCCAGAAGGCAGAGGTTCCAGTGAGCCAAGATTGCACCACTGAACTCCAGCCTGGGTGACAGAGTGAGACTCCATCTCAAAACAAACAAACAAACAAACAAACAAAAAAACCCTCCAACAGAGAGCCTAGGACCAGATGGCTTCATGGGCAAATTTTACCAAACATTTAATCCTCAAACTTTAAACCAAACATTAATCCTCAAATTCTTCCCAAAAAATAGAAGGAAAAAATACCTCCTACCTCATTCGATGAAGCCAATATTATCCTGACAAGGAAGCCAAAGACATCACAAGAAGGAAAAACTACAGAGTAATATTCCTTTTAAATATAGATGCAAATATCCTCAAAAAATATTAGCAAAGAGAATCCAGCACCATATTAAAAGGATTATACACCATGATGTACGAACAAGCAAGACTGATCTCAGGCATTCAAGAGTGGTTCAACAGACGAAAAAAAAAATCAATCAATGTAATATACGCAATAATAATAGAAGGAAAGAGGGGAAAACCATTTCAGTTGACTTAGAAAAGGCATTTGACAAAATCCCATCACCCTTTTATAATAAGAACACTCAGTGAAGTAGGAATATATGGGAGCTTCCTCAATGAGCAATTGTGTAAGAAAAGAAAAAAAAGGGAGAATGGGTATGAGCTTCCTCTTTGGGCTGATGAAAATGGTCTAGAATTAAATAGTGCTGGTTGCTCAACATTGTTAATATAATAAAAAACACTGAATTGTACTCTTTAAAATGGTTAAAAAGGTGAATTTTATGTTACATAAAATGTATCTCAATAAACAAAAGCTTCCAGATAAGCATGCCTTGCTATTTCTCAGAAACTCATTCCACTGTTCAACTACCATTGCTATCATGAAAATCTTAGGTCAAACTGAAACCCTGAATGTTGCAACTTGAGTCCATTTCCTTCCTTCAGAAAATGCAGATGTATTTAATAGTATATTTTCTATGTATATTTCATATGTGTATATATGTGTGTATACACATATACCTATAGGGAAAGAGGGACAGACAAAAACAGAGAAACAAGGGGTGTTCCAAGATGGCCGAATAGGAACAGCTCCGGTCTGCAGCTCTCAACATGATCGACGCAGAAGACGGGTGATTTCTGCATTTCCAACTGAGGTACCTGGTTCATCTCACTGGGACTGGTTGGACAGTGGGTGCAGCCCACACAGGAAAAGCCAAAGCAGGGCAGAGCATCGCCTCACCCAGGAAGCACAAGGGGTCGGGGGATTTCCCTTTCCTAGCCAAGGGAAGCCATGACAGACTACCTGGAAAAATGGGGCACTGCTGCCCAAATACTGCACTTTAACATTCTTAAAGAAAATAATTTTCAACCCAGAATTTCTTATCTAGCCAAACTAAGCTTCATAAGTGAAGGAGAAATAAGATCCTTTACAGACAAGCAAATGCTGAGAGATTTTGTCACCACCAGGCCTGCCTTACAAGAACTCCTGAAGGAAGCACTAAACATGGAAAGAAACAACCGGTACCAGCCACTGCAAAAACATGACAAATTATAAAGACCATCACTGCTATGAAGAAACTGCATCAATTAACAGGCAAAACAAACAGCAAACATCATAACGACAGGAAAACATTCACACATCACAATATTAACTTTAAATATAAATGGGCTAAATGCCCCAATTAAAAGACACAGACTGGCAAATTGGATAAAGAGTCAAGACCCATCAGTGTGCTGTATTCAGGAGACCCATCTCATGTGCAAAGACACAGGTAGGCTCAAAATAAAGGGATGCGGGAAGATCTACCAAGCAAACGGAAAGCAAAAAAAGGAGGGGTTGCCATCCTACTCACTGATAAAACAGACTTTAAACCAACAAAGATCAAAAGAGACAAAGAAGGCCATGACATAATGGTAAAGGAATCAATTCAACAAGAAAAGATAACTATCCTAAATATATATGCACCCAATACAGGAGTTTCCAGATTCATAAAACAAGTCTGTAGAGACCTACAAAGAGACTTAGACTCCCACACAATAATAAGGGGAGAGTTTAACACCCCACTGTCAATATTAGATAGATCAACAAGAAAGAAGGTTAACAAGGATATCCAGGACCTGAACTCAGCTCTGCAACAAGCAGACCTAATAGACAACTACAGAACTCTCCATCCCAAATCAACAGAATATACATTCTTCTCAGCACCACATCGCACTTATTCTAAAATTGACCACATAATTGGAAGTAAAGCACTCCTCAGCAAATGTAAAACAACAGAAATCACAACAAACTGTCTCTCAGACCACAGTGTAATCAAATTAGAACTCAGGATTAACAAACTCACTCAAAACTGCACAACTACATGGAAACTGAACAACTTGCTCCTGAATGACTACTGGGTAAATAATGAACTGAAGGCAGAAATAAACATGTTCTTTGAAGCCAACGAGAACAAAGACACAACGCACCACAATCTGGGACACATTTAAAGCAGGGTGTAGAAGGAAACTTATAGCACTAAATGCCCCAAGAGTAAGCAGGAAAGATCTAAAATCGACACCCTAACATCACAATTAAAAGAACTAGAGAAGCAAGAGCAAATTCAAAAGCTAGCAGAAGGCAAGAAATAACTAAGATCAGAGCAGAACTGAAAGAGATAGAGACACAAAAAACCATTCAAAAAAAAACAATGAATCCAGGAGTTTTTTTTTTAAAAAGATCAACAGAATTGACAGACTGCTAGCAAGACTAATAAAGAAGAGAGAAGCATCAAATAGACTCAATAAAAAATGATAAAGGGGATATCACCACCAATCCCACAGAAATACAAACTACCATCAGAGAACACTATAAACACCTCTATGCAAATAAACTAGAAAATCTAGAAGAAATGGATAAATTCCTGGACACATACACCCTCCCAAGACTAAACCAGGAAGAAGTTGAATCTCTGAATAGACCAATAACAGGATCTGAAATTGAGGCAATAATTAATAGTCTAACAACCAAAAAAAGACCAGGACCAGACGGATTCACAGCCGAATTCTACCAGAAGTACAAACAGGAGGTGGCACTATTCCTTCTGAAACTATTCCAATCAACAGAAAAAGAGGGAATCCTCCCTAACTCATTTTATGAGGCCAACATCATCCTGATACCAAAGCCTGGCAGAGACACAACAAAAAAAGAGAATTTTAGACCAATATCCCTGATGAATATCGATGCAAAAATCCTCAATAAAATACTGGCAAACCGAATCCAGCAGCACATCAAAAAGCTTATCCACCACAATCAAGTTGGCTTCATCCCTGGAATGCAAGGCTGGTTCAACATATGCAAATCAATAAACGTAATCTATCACATAAACAGAACCAACAACAAAAACCACACAATTATCTCAACAGATACAGAAAAGGCCTTCGACAAAATTCAACAGCCCTTCATGCTAAAAACTCTCAATAAACTAGGTATTGATGGAACGTATCTCAAAACAATAAGAGCTATTTATGACAAACCCACAGCCAATATCATACTGAATGGGCAAAATTTGGAAGCATTCCCTTTGAAAACCAGCACGAGGCAAGGATGTCCTCTCTCACCACTCCTATTGAACATAGTATTAGAAGTTCTGGCCAGGGCAATCAGGCAAGAGAAAGAAATAAAGGGTATTCAGTTAGGAAAAGAGGAAGTCAAATTGTCCCTGTTTGCAGATGACATGATTGTACATTTAGAAAACCCCATCATCTCAGCCCAAAATCTCCTTAAGGTGATAAGCAACTTCAGCAAAGTCTGAGGACACAAAATCAATGTGCAAAAATCACAAGAATTCCTATACACCATTAACAGACAAACAGAGAGCCAGATTATGAGTGAATTCCCATTCACAATTGCTGCAAAGAGAATAAAATACCTAGGAATACAACTTACAAGGGATGTGAAGGACCTCTTCAAGGAGAACTACAAACCACTGCTCAACACAATAAAAGAGGACACAAACAAATGGAAGAACATTCCATGCTCATCGATAAGAACAATCAATATCATGAAAATGGCCATACTGCCCAGGGTAATTTATAGATTCAGTGCCATCCCCATCAAGCTACCAATGACTTTCTTCACAGAATTGGAAAACACTACTTTAAAGTTTATATAGAATGAAAAAAGATCCTGCATTGCCAAGACAATCCTAAGCAAAAAGAACAAAGCTGGAGGCATCGCACTACCTGACTTCAAACTATACTACAAGGCCACAGTAACCAAAACGGCATGGTACTGGTACCAAAACAGATATATACACCAATGGAACAGAACAGAGGCCTCAGAAATAACACCACATATCTACAACCATCTGATCTTTGACAAACGTGACGAAAACAAGAAATGGGGAAAGGATTCCCTATTTAATAAATAATGCTGGGAAAATTGGCTAGCCATATGCAGAAAGCTGAAACTGGATCCCTTCCTTACACCTTATACAAAAATTAATTCAAGATGGATTCAAGACTTAAATGTTAGACCTAAAACCATAAAAACCCTAGAAGAAAACCTAGACAATATCATTCAGGACATAGGTATTGGCAAGGACTTCATGACTAAAACACCAAAAGCAATGGCAACAAAAGCCAAAATTGACAAATGGGATCTAATCAAACTAAAGAGCTTCTGCACGGGAAAAAAACTGCCATCAGAGTGAATAGGCAACCTACAGAATGGGAGAAAATTTTTGCAATCTACCCATCTGACAAAGGGCTAATATACAGAATCTACAAAGAACTCAAACAAATTTACAAGAAAAAAAACAAACAAACCCATCAAAAAGTGGGCAAAGGATATGAACAGACACTTCTTAAAAGAAGATATCTATGCAGCCAACAGAGACATGAAAAAAAGCTCATCATCACTGGTCATCAGAGAAATGCAAATCAAAACCACAATGAGATACCATCTCACGCCAGTTAGAATGGCAGTCATTAAAATGTCAGGAAACAACAGATGCTGGAGAGGATGTGGAGAAATAGGAATGCTTTTACATCGTTGGTTGGAGTGTAAATTAGTTCAACCATTGTGGAAGACAGTGTGGTGATTCCTCAAGGATCCAGAACTAGAATTACCATTTGACCCAGCAATCCCATTACTGGGTATATACCCAAAGGATTATAAATCATGCTACTATAAAGACACATGCACACATATGTTTACTGTGGCACTATTCACAATACCAAAGACTTGGAACCAACCCAAATGCCCATCAATGATAGACTGGATTAAGAAAAACGTGGCACATATACACCATGGAATACTATGCAGCCATAAAAAGGATGAGTGCATGTCCTTTGCAGGGACATGGATAAAGCTGGAAACCATCATTCTCAGCAAACTATCACAAGGACAGAAAACCAAACACCGCATGTTCTCATTCATAGGTGGGAAATGAACAATGAGATCACTTGAACACAGGGCGGGGAACATCACACAGTGGGGTCTGTTGGGGGTGGTGGACTGGGGGAGGGATAGCATTAGGAGAAATACCTAATATAAATGATGAGTTGATGGGTGCAGCAAACCAACATGATACATGCATACCTATGTAACAAACCTGCATGTTGTGCACATGTACCCTAGAACTTAAAGTATAATAATAATAATAATAATAATAATAATAATAATAATAAAACAGAGACAGAGAGAGCAAATTTGGGTGGCTAACACTTTAAGGTTTATAATTATTTTATTAACTTTTTATTACTACAAACATAATAAATTGGTTAAAAATGGCAGACTAAGCACATGTTCAGCTTCTCTCACCTGCCCAAAATCCAAGAATGAATTTTTTTTCAAAAATGTATAACATGCGTGAAGACAAAGCAAGAATGGCCTTGGTGGATCAGAAACAAACAGTTCCTAAAAATCCAAAGGCGGATGTGACCAGACAGAATGAGGAACATGCAGGACACAGCTGCTGTAAAGGTGAAAACAGCATTATATCCACATACAGGATGTATCCCAGAAATTAAAAGACGTATTAATATTAACATTATTTTCATGAAAAATATGAAAAAGGAGACATGAACAAGACTCCTGCATATCCCTGCTACTTTTCAACATTGCAAAAAAGGTCCTAAACAATGTAATAAAATGAGAAAAAGAGAAAAGATATAGGAATAGGCATGAATGAAAATAAAACTGTCAACATTCCCAGATATGACAGTCTACCTAGAAAATTCAAGAGAATCAATTGACAAGCTATTAAAACCAAGAAGAGAGCTTAATACATGGTCAGATACAATAACATCATATAAAAAACTACTGCTTTGTGTAGCACCAGCAATAATCAATCAGAATTATTCCATTTTGCATAATTTCTTTTTTTCACTAAAAAATGTACAGACACAGTTGAAACTCCTTGTGCACTTCTTCCCCATTCCATTAAATTCTATCTATTTGCACAACCACTGTCTTGCGTTTGGAGTTTTTCTTTCTCATGCATGCTTTTTATATGTCACTATATGTGTGTGTACTTAAAAATCTATAGTAATATATATTGTTTGAAATTATTTCAAAATAAAAGGTAAAAATATATATAATTTTGCAAATTGAAAAGTTATATACAAATGGTATTAGATTTTATATATAATATATAGCTCTCTCATGCAACTTCATTTTACCCTTTAATATCTTTAGACTTCTCCAACTGGTATTTGTACATGTATATGACATTCTATCTGGAGTCAATATGAATGTATACATTTTTGAAATATATTGTTTATTTCATTTCCAGAAATACTTATATGATAGATAGAAAACGCATCTCAAAGGATATATAGGTTAAAGGATATATAGGTTAAAGACAAATATCACAATGGAAGTACAAAGCAGTCAGTCTGGAAAAAATTGGAAATAATCTCAATGTCCATCAAATAGAAGAAGGTTAAATAAAGTATGTTACATCTATAACATAGAAAATAATTTTACAGTATGTAAAAATAATTTAGTGGATCTATATGCACTGACATGGAAAGATTTTCAGGACATAAAAGAAAATATAAAACAATATGACTCATGTTGTAAAGTTGTGTATTTTTAATCACATATATAGAAATGTATTTTAGAAAAACAGAAAACTAATAACATTGGATGCCTTTGAGTAAGTGAATAGGTTTGAGGGAAGTGAAAAAAGATGGTTTTACTGTCTATTGTTAGTTTTTTAAAAATAAGAATATGTTTTATATTTTTTAGTAGAAAAAATTGATGATCCATAGAAATACAAATACTAGACCCCAAAAGAGTAGTCAAGAATAGACCAAGCACCTCTACGCAAATAAACTAGAAAATCTAGAAGAAATGGATAAATTCCCGGACACATACACTCTCCCAAGACTAAACCAGGAAGAAGTTGAATCTCTGAATAGACCAATAACAGGAGCTGAAATTGTGGCAATAATCAATAGCTTACCAATCAAAAAGAGTCCAGGACCAGATGGATTCACAGCCGAATTCTACCAGAGGTACAAGGAGAAACTGGTACCATTCCTTCTGAAACTATTCCAATCAATAGAAAAAGAGGGAATCCTCCCTAACTCATTTTATGAGGCCAGCATCATTCTGATACCAAAGCCAGGCAGAGACACAACAAAAAAAGAGAATTTTAGACCAATATCCTTGATGAACATTGATGCAAAAATCCTCAATAAAATACTGGCAAAACGAATCCAGCAGCACATCAAAAAGCTTATCCACCACAATCAAGTGGGCTTCATCCCTGGGATGCAAGGCTGGTTCAATATATGCAAATCAATAAATGTAATCCAGCATATAAACAGAGCCAAAGACAAAAACCACATGATTATCTCAATAGATGCAGAAAAAGCCTTTGACAAAATTCAACAACCTTTCATGCTAAAAACTCTCAATAAATTAGGTATTGATGGGACGTATTTCAAAATAATAAGAGCTATCTATGACAAACCCACAGCCAATATCATACTGAATGGGCAAACACTGGAAGCATTCCCTTTGAAAACTGGCACAAGACAGGGATGCCCTCTCTCACCACTCCTATTCAACGTAGTGTTGGAAGTTCTGGCCAGGGCAATTAGGCAGGAGAAGGAAATAAAGGGTATTCAATTAGGAAAAGAGGAAGTCAAATTGTCCCTGTTTGCAGACGACATGATTGTATATCTAGAAAACCCCATTGTCTCAGCCCAAAATCTCCTTAAGCTGATAAGCAACTTCAGCAAAGTCTCAGGATACAAAATCAATGCACAAAAATCACAAGCATTCTTATACACCAACAACAGACAAACAGAGAGCCAAATCATGAGTGAACTCCCATTCACAATTGCTTCAAAGAGAATAAAATACCTAGGAATCCAACTTACAAGGGACGTGAAGGACCTCTTCAAGGAGAACTACAAACCACTGCTCAAGGAAATAAAAGAGGATACAAACAAATGGAAGAACATTCCATGCTCATGGGTAGGAAGAATCAATATCGTGAAAACGGCCATACTGCCCAAGGTAATTTACAGATTCAATGCCATCCCCATCAAGCTACCAATGACTTTCTTCACAGAATTGGAAAAAACTACTTTAAAGTTCATATGGAACCAAAAAAGAGCCCGCATCGCCAAGTCAATCCTAAGCCAAAAGAACAAAGCTGGAGGCATCACACTACCTGACTTCAAACTATACTACAAGGCTACAGTAAACAAAACAGCATGGTACTGGTACCAAAACAGAGATATAGACCAATGGAACAGAACAGAGCCCTCAGAAATAACGCTGCATATCTACAACTATCTGATCTTTGACAAACCTGAGAAAAACAAGCAATGGGGAAAGGATTCCCTATTTAATAAATGGTGCTGGGAAAACTGGCTAGCCATATGTAGAAAGCTGAAACTGGATCCCTTCCTTACACCTTATACAAAAATCAATTCAAGATGGATTAAAGACTTAAACGTTAGACCTAAAACCATAAAAACCCTAGAAGAAAACCTAGGCATTACCATTCAGGACATAGGCATGGGCAAGGACTTCATTTCTAAAACACCAAAAGCAATGGCAACAAAAGACAAAATTGACAAATGGGATCTAATTAAACTAAAGAGCTTCTGCACAGCAAAAGAAACTACCATCAGAGTGAACAGGCAACCTACAAAATGGGAGAAAATTTTCACAACTACTCATCTGACAAAGGGCTAATATCCAGAATCTACAATGAACTCAAACAAATTTACAAGAAAAAAACAAACAACCCCATCAAAAAGTGGGCGAAGGACATGAACAGACACTTCTCAAAAGAAGACATTTATGCAGCCAAAAAACACATGAAAAAATGCTCATCATCACTGGCCATCAGAGAAATGCAAATCAAAACCACAATGAGATATCATCTCACACTAGTTAGAATGGCAATCATTAAAAAGTCAGGAAACAGGTGCTGGAGAGGATGTGGAGAAATAGGAACACTTTTACACTGTCGGTGGGACTGTAAACTAGTTCAACCATTGTGGAAGTCAGTGTGGCTATTCCTCAGGGATCTAGAACTGGAAATACCATTTGACCCAGCCATCCCATTACTGAGTATATACCCAAAGGACTAGAAATCATGCTGCTATAAAGACACATGCACGCATATGTTTATTGCGGCATTATTCACAAAGCAAAGACTTGGAACCAACCCAAATGTCCAACAATGATAGACTGGATTAAGAAAATGTGGCACATATACACCATGGAATACTATGCAGCCATAAAAAATGATGAGTTCATGTCCTTTGTAGGGACATGGATGAAATTGGAAATCATCATTCTCAGTAAACTATTGCAAGAACAAAAAACCAAACACCACATATTCTCACTCATAGGTGGGAACTGAACAATGAGATCACATGGACACAGGAAGGGGAATATCACACTCTGGGGACTGTTGTGGGGTGGGGGGAAGGGGGAGGGATAGCATCGGGAGACATACCTAATGCTAGATGACGAGTTAGTGGGTGCAGCACACCAGCATGGCACATGTATGCATATGTAACTAACCTGCACAATGTGCACATGTACCCTAAAACTTAAAGGATAATAAAAATATATATATATATATATATAAAAAAAAAAAAAAGAATAGACCAAGAACCAGCCGGGCACAGTGGCTTATGCCTGTAATCCCAGCACTTTGGGAGGCCGAGGCGGGTGGATCACTTGAGGTCAGGAGTTTGAGACCAGCCTGGCCAACATGGTGAAACCCTGTCTCTACTAAAAATACCAAAAAATTAGCCAGGCATGGTGGCGCATGCCTGTAGTCCCAGCTACTCGGCAGGCTGAGGCACGAAAATCATTTGAACCCAGGAGCCGGAGGTTACAGTGAGCCAAGATCGCACCACTGCACTCCAGCCTGGGAGACAGAGTGAGACTCCATCTCAAAAAAAAAAAAGAATAGACAAAGAACCAACTCCCAGGGCATGCAATACAGTAAGAGCTGCACTATATTATACACTTATTAAATGGTTATAATTGGTATCCTTATGACCTAAAACTGTCACTGAAGTTTCCTTTTTAATCTATGCTTTTCTGTATATTTGTTTAATTGTAATACAGGAAAGCAAGACAAATAGTTGTAATGAACATACTTACTGACAGATCTGAAAGTTTTGGGTCGGAGAAGACAACCACGAAAATTCAAACGCAGCACATTTAAACGCCACCTTTGCAAAGTAGACACTATATATTTATCTGGAATCACATTTTTCACTGAGGAAAAATCAATCTAAAAAGAATAAACAAAATGCATTAAGAAATGAGAAAGTCCCCAAAAACAATTGCAACAAAAACAATAATAGACAAATGTGACCTAATTAAACTAAAGAGCTTCTGTACAGCAAAAGAAACTATCAATAGAGAAGACAGACAACCTATAGAATGAGAGAGATATTTGCAAACTATGCATCCAACAAAAGCCTAATATCCAGAATCTATAGGAAACTTAAATCAACAAGCAAAAACAACCCCATAAAAATAGGCGAAGAACATGAACAGATACTTCTCAAAAGAAGAAATACAAGTGGCCAAGAAATAGATGAGAAAATGATCCACATCATTATCAGATAAATGCAAATTGAAACCACAATGAGGTCGGGCACGGTGGCTCATGCCTGTAATCCCAGCACCTTGGGAGGCCAAAGCGGGCGGATCACTTGAGGCTGCGAGTTCAAGACCAGCCTAGCCAACATGGCAAAACCCCGTCTCTACTAGAAATACAAAAATTAGCCAGGCGTGGTGACACACGCCTGTAGACCCAGCTACTTGGGAGGCTGAGGCATGAGAATTGCCTGAACCTGAGAGGTGGAGGTTGCAGTGAGCTGAGATTGTGCCACTGCACTCCAGCCTAGGTGACAGAGCAAAACTCCAACTCAAAAAAAAAATAAATAAATAGATAGAGCTAAGGAAATTTGGGGGCAAAAGGTACTCCATAACTCCACACAATTTTGTGACTATATATATATATATTTTTTTTTTTTTTTCCAGACTGAGTCTCTCTCTGTTGTCCAGGCTGCAGTGCAGTGGCACGATCTTGGCTCACTGCAACCTCTGCCTCCTGGGTTCAAGTGATTCTCCTGCCTCAGCCTCCCAAGTAGCTGGAATTATAGGCACCTGCCACCATGCCCGGCTAATTTTTGTATTTTTAGTAGAGACGAGGTTTCACCATTTTGGCCAGGCTGGTCTCAAACTCCTGACCTCAAATGATCCACCTGCTTCAGCTTCCCAAAGTGCTGGGATTACAGGCATGAGCCACCATGCCTGGCCACTTTTGTGATTATAAATGTAATCCAACCTTTGCCTTAACAATTCTACTTCTAAGAATTTATTCTGCCGATGTAATCATACATGTATACAATGCAACACTGAGAAACAGGATATTCACCACAGGATTTTATTAACGAAAGATAGGAAACAACCTAAATGTCTTTCGATAGGAGACAGATTAAATAAATTGAGTGACTTCCATACAACAGACCACTGGACAAAAGCTGAATTCAGGGCAAAAAAGCACAACTCAGAAAGAGAAAATCTAAAGCAATAGAGTCCAAGTATGCTGCTCTCTGATTGGCTGATTCAATTCAGGGACAAAATGCACAGTATCTAGAGGACTTACTGGACCCGAACCCTTCATGAACATTACTCGTTAATGCCAAGCATTTTATGAGAGTTGGGACTCAGGGCTCAAAGTTATATCATTGTAAAAGAACCTTAAGAGGAGAAATTCTATGCTGCTAGTTAGGGGAAAGGCAAATGGCAGACCTGGCATTCTCTTATAAATAGTTGATAATTAAGAGCACACACTTTGTAGTCTGACAAATCAGAATTTGAATCCCATCCTAGCCATTTAACCATGTTGGCTATGACTTAACTAAGGCTTAGTTTTTTTTCATCTGTAAAATGGGAAAAATAACAGTGCCTAACTCAGGAGGCTGCAGAGACAAACTGAGAAAATGCAAATAAAGTACTTAGTGTAGCATCTGGCATATAAGAAAGCATTCAATAAATATTAGCTACTATTATTACTTCAAAAATACATGACAAAGCACACAAAATATGGAGTACATAAATTTTAAAAAGCATGGAATAGGACTAAAATACACAACACATAAGTCATATTTGACAGTGTGTCTGCATGCATGCAGAAACACATACACTCTGGCAATTTCTAATATGAAATCCTAGGCTGGCGCTTATGTACTATTTTTGCCACAGTACTATTTTTTAACCTGAAACATGTTTGTGTTTCTCATTCCAAAGAGACATTGGGGAGAGGACTCAGCCAACAATAAAAAATAAGCAAATAAGCATACGTCCCCCAACAACTTCTCTTATCTGTTTCTTGTAAGATACTTTAATATCAACAAACGTGGTCATTTATGCCATCAACCAATGTTCAGTGGCAACATTTTCCGTGTTGTCTAAAGTCCAGTCAATAGCTGACTTCACGACCCCTCCTTATTGCTAATGATTGAAGGACTGATGATATCACGTGCTCAGACTGACCTATGAATAGGGGGACTGGTGCCATTTTGTAGAAGCTCTAAAACTTAACTCAAAGAAATTAAAAGGAGTTGAGAAGGTTTCAGGGGCTCTAGCTTCATAAGTTAACTCAACATCTTTACGTCGCATCTGGACAACATCCCATTCTTGGTTGCACTACTCTCACTCTGTGCAACAATGGCAAGAAGAGAACTGATTTCATCTTACCAAACCTATCTTAGCTAACAAATTAGGTGTTCCTGTCTTAATTTTATTTTTGGTTTAATGCAGTGATTCTCGAACTTTAGCCTGCATCAGAATCATCTAGGTGGGTTGTTAAAACAGATTACTGTTTACTACCCTAAGAGTTTCTGACTCAGTAGGTCTGGGATGGGGCCTAAGAATTTGCATTTCCAACAAGGTATTGGGTGATGCTGATACTACTGGTTCCAGGACCACACTTTGAGAACCACTGGCTTAAAGTAATAAATCTCTAAATTATGTTACAGATATTTGGGGATGTTGCTTTTTCCTTTGGAAAACCTACAAAGAAGAAAAAAATGAATCCAAATGGTCTGGAGGAGAAAGAATATATACAATATTTAGATAATGAAATGTCTTGCAGAAGCTGGCAGGAGTTAGAAAAAGCCAACACGTCTGCCCAGAGATCTCACTAGATAAAGACCAAGAGCATTACAAGCACATGGCAGTGAGGAACGAAGCCAGGGTAGGAAGTTACACTGCTTTATGTTCAGCAAATTTCTCTTTCCACAATTGTATGTTGCTCCATCCTCCTATTTCTGCTTTTGTGAGTGTTCACATGTGGCACAATTATAATCAGCATTTTTAGCACAAACAATAACTTTATTCAGAAGGCAATGAGAAATTGCCTGTTCACAGGAAATTGCATGTTCACAAATGTAAACTTTTAGCTGACAGTATTAGCAATATTATTTATCAATCAGCCCTGGCCACTCCAAAAACCTCTGCTCTTGTCAATTTTGCATACCATCACCCAGGTACACTAAGGTCATCCTTGTAATCCTGTTTTGGTTTTTTTGTTTTTTTTTTGAGATGGAGTCTCACTCTGTCACCAAGCTGGAGTGCGGTGGTGTGATCTTGGCTCATTGCAACCTCCACCTCCCGGGTTCAAGCGATTCTCCTGCCTCAGCCTCCCGAGTAGCTGGGACTACAGGCGCACGCTACCATGCCCAGCTAACTTTTGTATTTTTAGTAGAGATGGCGTTGGCCAGGATGGTCTTGATCTCTTGATCTTGTGATCTGCCTGCCTCGGCCTCCCAGAGTGCTTGGATTATAGGCGTGAGCTACTGCACCCAGCCAATCCTCTCTTTCTTTTTTTTTTTTTTTTGAATGATACAGAGTCTTGCTCTGTTGCCTAGGCTGGAGTGCAGTGGCACGGTCTCAGCTCACTGCAACCTCCACCTCCCAGGCTCAAGCAATTCTCCTGACTCAGCCTCCTGAGTAACTGGGATTACAGGCACCTGCCACCATGCCTAGCTAATTTTTGTATTTTTAGTAGAGACAGGGTTTCACCATGTTGGCCAGGCTGTTCTCAAACTCCTGACCTCAGGTGATCTGCCCACCTTGACCTTCCAAAGTGCTGGGATTACAGGCATGAGCCACTGTGCCCAGCATAATCCTCTCTTTTTAGTGGAATTAACTCTTCCAAAAATTATGAGTTATGAAAAGGCCATTGCACACCTCACACCCTAAACATCTTTCCCATGGTCATGGACTTAACATATAGTCTATGCTCATGAAAAGGAAGTAGGGACACTGTAATAAAACCAGAATGGAGTACAAACTATCCAATAAAATGGAGCTTTGTTTCAATCCAAAAATGATATTCATTTATATCTACCATTTACATTTAAAAATACTAATGATGTATCTCTTAAAATAGCATTATTATCTTTTTTATCTCTTCCCCCAGGCTTGTGCCTGGACAAAAGAAAACCAAATTCACTTGCTGCTGGTGACCACAGAGCATGGAAGAAGGTGTCCCCACAACAGCTGGCTTCACAGCAGTCCATTCTCCTTTAAGAACTAGTGTAAAGACATAGTTCAGTTAGTATCTACTTACAGCATTCCACAGTGAGTTTAGTTGTGTCATCAACATCCAGGCATGATTAACTTGACCACATATTATCACATCTTTTAAACTGAGGTAGAAGAAAATCTAAACACAAAGAAAAATACACAACTTTGAAAAATGTGAACTTTGATGTAACTTGTCCACTTACCTTTTGTCTGTGTGTGTGCACACATGTGCGTGCACACACACACGCATTAGTAATAATAAGGTAATCCATACTTTGCAAATAGCAAGAGTTTAAGTGCTAGAATTTTATCTGAAGATAGGAGTTTTATCTAAAGTACTGGAACTTACCTGCTGACTCCTTTTATATAATGTAATCCTTTTAATTGATAGTGGCAGAAGGATGGTGAGAAAGATAAGCATATTTGCTTTATTTTTTGAATGAAGATAGAATTCTGCTAGAAAACTAATGATTTCCATAAATAGTCATTGGTACATAGAAGGCAATCAATACTGTCTGCTGAACTAAACTACATTCCTTCTAAAGATATAGGATTCCTCAGAGAAGAAAAAAAAGGATTTCTGGGAAAGAGCAATAAACACATTTTGGCTTCTACTTCTGGAAATGTGGTAGACCAAAAAATCAGGAAATCCTGCTGGTACAAAACATCAGTAAATGCTAAAAGAAACATTTTTTAAAAACATAATTCAGTTGTCAAGAAAGTAAAACAAATATGCAAGGACCCAATCCTTATAAACCCAGACTGATAATAAGGTGCTTCATGCTATAGTTGCTTGGGAGGGAGGAACAATAAAGATGGTTGCTGCTTTTCATAATAAAATGGGTTCAGATTTTACTGGCCATGCAGAGACATAAGAAAGTCACCAGGCCTGTACAAAGCTGGTACAGTCATGCTCTGCATAATGATATTTCAGTCAATGATGGGATGCATGTATGACAGCAGTCCCATAAGATTATAATGGAGCTGAAAAATTTCTATTGTCTAGTGACATCATAGCCATTGTAATATCATAGCACAAGTACTTAATTTTTAAATAAATTTAGTGTAACCTAAGTGTACACTGTTTATAGTGTAGTACTCTATCTGTAGTTGTGTACAGTAATATCCTAGGCCTTCACATTCACTCAACACTCACTCACTGACTCATTCAGAGCAACTTCTAGTCCTCCATTGATAAGTGCCCTATATAGGTGTGCCAATTTTAATTTTTTTACCATATTTTTACTGTACATTTTCTATGTTTAAATATATACTTATCATTGTGCTACAATTACCTACAATATTTAGTACAGTAACATGCTGTACAGGCCTGTAGTCTAGGAGTAATAGGCTATACCATACAACCCAAGTGTGTACTGGATTATACCATCTAGGTTTGTGTAGCACTCTATGATGTTCACACAATGACAAAAATCACCTAATGACACACTTCTCAAAAGGTATCCCCATCATTAAGCAATGCGTGACTGTAATTGAAACTGAGTCAGAAAAAAAAAAGAAAAGAGAGAGAGAGAGAAATCCAGGATTATGAAACAGAAAGAAATCACGCCTGTAATCCCAGCACTTTGGAAGGTCGAGGCAGGTGGATTGCTTGAGGTCAGGAGTTCAAGACCAGCCTGGCCAACATGGTGAAACCCTGTCTCTACTAAAAATACAAAAATTATTGCACACGTCTGTAATCCCAGCTACTCGGGAGGCTGAGGCAGGAGAACTGCTTGAACCCAGGAGGTGGAGGTTGCAGTGAGCTGAGATTGGACCACTGCACTCCAGCCTGGGCAATAGAGCAAGACTCTGTCCAAAAAGGGGAAGGGAAAGGAAAGGGAGGAGAGGGGAGGGGAGGGGAGGGGAGGGGAGGGAAAAGAAAAGAAAAGAAAAGGAAAGAAAAGAAAAAAGAAAAGAAAAGAAAAGAAATCAACCATACTGGCAAAAGAAAAACTAAGGTATCTAGCCTGGTATCAAAAAGATCTCTCGCCAGGCACAGTGGCTCACACCTATAATTCCAGCACTTTAGGAGGCTGAGGTGGGAGGCTTGCTTGAGCCCAGGAGTTCAAGACTAGCCTGGGCAACATAGTGAAACCCCATTTCAACTAAAAATTTAAAAATTAGTCATATATGGTGGTGCACACCTATAGTCCTAGCTACTCTAGAGGCTGAGACGGGAGAATTGTTTGAGCCTGGGAGGCTGCGGCTGCAGTAAGCCATGGTCATGCGACTGCACTCCAGCCTGGGCAACAGAGCAAGACTCTGTCTCAAAAAATAAAATAAAATAAAATCTCTCAAAGAATTTGTAACCATATTGACCATTTTTGGTTTGGGTTAAACAGAAATAATAATAAATTCATTTTTTTTAAAAAAATGAATGAAAAGAAAAAAAGAGTTTGTAACCAAAGGCCAGCGATTATGTGTGTTGGGATTTAAATTTCATCATGCCTGGGATCCAATTTGAATTTGTTACCTTTGTAAATGGATTTGATATATTAATGTGCAAAGAGGTTCCACTGGTAATAACTCTGGGACATTTGGCAGAAATAAATATCATTCTCTCTAAAGAGACAGACACAGTCAAGCCAGGCCTTACAGGATACCCATGGATTAAGCCCTCCAAAAACAAGCTCCCAATCAAAAACTGCAAAACACACGAGGAAAAGGAAGTCCAACAAGATTCAAAAGAAACCTTTAAAGTGATGAAGACATAAAAAGAAAAATAAAACTCTTGAGACAAATGTTGTCAAAACAGGACTGGGAAGATCTGTAAAAGAACCAAATAAAATCATGAAAATTAAAAATATAGTTATTGAAATTTAAAACTCAGTGGGTGAGTTAAATAGCAGATGCGACTCAGCTAAGAAGAGAATCAACAAATGAATATGTACCTGAAGAAATTACACAGGATAAAATGTAGAGAAATAAAGAGATGAAAAATATAAAGGATGCTAAGAGACACATTACATAACATGAAAAGGTCCAACACACATCTTTACAGAATTTCCAGGAGGGAATAAAGAGAATAAAATCAAAGCAAAATTTAAAAATACCACAGACTAAAATGTTTTAGAACTGATGAAAGGCAACACTTTTCAGATTCAAAAAGCACAGGAAGTTCCAAGCAGGAAAATGAAAATATATCAATGGCATTATAAGTGAAACTGCAAAAGGCCAAAGCACAGGAAAATTTTTCAGGCAATTTGACACAGATTACGTACAAAAGACTGTCACGTAGACAGAACAACATAAGGTGGAAGTCAGCAGAAACTATCAATCTGAGATACCATATGCAAGTAAATTACAACTCAAAAATGAGTATTAAGACATTTTTGGCTGAGTGCAGTGGCTCACACCTGTAATCCCAGCACTTTGGGAGGCTGAGGCAGGCAGATCACCTAAGGTTGGGCGTTCGAGACCAGCCTGACCAAGATGAAGAAACCCCCTCTCTACTAAAAACACAAAATTAGCCAGGCGTGGTGGCACATGCCTGTAATCCCAGCTACTTGGGAGGCTGAGGCAGGAGAATCGCTTGAACCCGGGCGGAGGTGGCGGTGAGCCAAGATTGTGCCATTGCACTCCAGCCTAGGCAATAAGAGCGAAACTCCGTCTCAAAAAAAAAAAAAAAAAGACATTTTTTGCCAGGCATGGTAGTACACCTGTAGTCCCAGCTACTTGAGAGGCTGAGGCAAGATTACCTGAGCCCAAGAATTGAAGGCCAGCCTGGGTAACATAGCAAGACTCTGTCTCTAAAAAATTTAAGGCCAGGCACAGTGGCTCATGCCCGTAATCCCAGCACTTTGGAAAGCCAAGGTGGGCGGATCACCTGAGGTCAGAAGTTCGAGACCAGCCTGGCCAACATGGCAAAACCCCATCTCTACTAAAAATACAAAAATTAGCTGGGTGTGGTGGCATGCACCTGTAATCCCAGCTACTTGGGAGGCTAAGGCAGGAAAATCGCTTGAACCAGGGAGGCAGAGGTTGCAGTGAGCCAAGATTGTGCCACTGCATTCCAGCCTGGGAGACAGAGTGAGAGTCCATCTCAAAAAAAAAAAAAAAAATTTAAAGACACTTTGAGACATAGACTGAGAGTTTGCTTCCAATGGACCCTTCACAAAGGAACTTCTAAAGAACACTGAAATCAGAAGAAAGGCATGAAATGCAAATAATAACAATGGGCAAAAAATCTAATAAGTATATGGGTAAAGCCATTAACTTTATAAAACAGTATCATGATGAAAACGTGGGGGTAGAACAATAAGATGGAACAAAAACACTAGATAATAATAACACTCTAACACCAGAGAGAGTAATCAAGAGTTAGTGTTCTAAATTTCAATTATTCTTCAAGAAGAAAGTATAAATATTAATTTACTTTAGGCCTTATTAATAAATGTACACATTAAAAATATTTGAGTAACCAGTAAAATAGTAGAAATAGAATGGTTATCTTCTACAACATGTTAAAAATATTTAAGAGTAACCAGTAAAATCATAGAAATAGAATGTATATCATCTAAAACATGAAAGTAGAAAAAAGGGGGTAGATTTAAATACTCAATAAATAGTACACTACTTGGTAATGGGTGCGCTAAAATCTGACTTCACCACTATACCATTCATCAATGTAACCAAAAACCACATCTATCCCAGAAGCTATTGAAATTACTTTAAACGTTTTTATTTTTTAAAAATTCAATAAAGTCAGGAAAGGGGAAAAATAAAACATATAAAAAGATAATAAATAATAAATAAAAAGATAATAAATAGTATAAAATGAAATTAGAAAAATGAACCCAAGTATATCAATAATCATAATAAATTTAACAAAATGTATTGGTTAGAAGACAAAAATTTTTTATTCCTAAAAATGCTTTTTGCTTTAATGTTTTTCCCCCAATATTAATGTAGCTATCTATTTTCTTTTCTTAGTTTTATTTTTAATTGACAAATAATAATTAAAATGCATTTATGGTTAAAATGTGATGTTTTGATTTATGTTTATAATGTGGAATGATTAAATCAGGTTAATAATTAAGAAATCACCACCTCACATAATTATCATTTTTGTGTGTGAAGAAAACATTTAAAATCTACACTTTCAGGCACGGAAAGACAAATTCTCCATGATTTCACTTCTATGTGAAATTTTAAAATGTTGGACTTACGGAAGTAACGAGTAAAATGATGGTTATCAGCCTTCCTTTCATTTGTGTTCATTTTGTTTTTGAAAGATTCTCCCCAACGCCCGAAAGCTTGAAGGAATGAGTAACTCCTCTCTTCTCAGGCCCAGTCCCAAGGCACAAGGCCACTTGTACCAGCAGCGTGAGTCAGCAAGATAGCAGAAGCAGGAAGAGAGCCGGCCAGAAGACACCTACCCTGGCCGGAAGACACGTACCCCTGAAGATCGAGAAACAGGCCATCTGGGTACCACATAGCAGTTACATCAGACTGGGACAATTCCTGTTTACGGAAGACTATAAAACCCTGCCCCCTACTCATTTGGTGCTGACGCCATTTTAGGCCTTAGCCTGCCTGCACCCAGGCGCTCATTAAAACAGCAGGTTGCTCCACACTGCCTCGTGTTGTCTGTTGGCACACTCTCAAGAGTTTGAACGGATACAAGAATCTTTCATCTGGTGCCGAAACCCGGGAGGGGCTCCGGTCTTCGTCCCCCGTGGACCTACCCCTCCGCCCCAGAAAGCAGGCCACAGCAGCCGGACAAAGGAAGCTCCTCAGCCTCCAGTTGCTTCTCTGTGCATGCACATCAGTCACTGATCTCACCTACTGGTAAGTTTCCCGGGAGCCCGGTTAACAAGGAAAAATCCATACAGCCTCTCTTGGTTTCTCCAGTCTGAAAATCCAACATTGGTCCAAGAAGGCTCCGACGTGTGCCAGGTACTTGCTGATCATCTGGTCTTAGGGGGACGCCTCTAAGCCATTTGATCCCGTTCCGGGAACGAAAAAGGCAGCGGTGACGATCGCTCCTTTCATCGTCTCCCTCCACCATCCAGGATGGTCTCCTTTTTCCCTGTTTTCCCGAGCCTACCCTCAGTTATGGGAAACTCCCCATCCTCAATTCCAAAAAACAGCCCTCTAGGCTGCCTCATAAAAAACCTGTAAACCTGGCCAGGTGCGGTGGCTCATGCCTGTAATCCTAGCACTTTGCGAGGGTGAGGTGGGCGGATCACCAGGTCAGGAGGTCAAGACTATCCTGGCTAACACGGTGAAACCCTGGCTCTACTAAAAATACAAAAAATTAGCCGGGCATGGTGGCAGGCACCTGTAGTCCCAGCTACTCAGGAGGCTGAAGCAGGAGAATGGTGTGAACCCGGGAGGCAGAGCTTGCAGTGAGCCAAGATCACACCACTGCACTCCAGCCTGGGCGACAGAGTGAGAGTCCGTAAAACAAACAAACAAACAAAAACCTGCAAACCTTAGGCCTCAGGCAAGATATCCATCCTCCTTGTCTTTTTTTGCAATTCAGACTGGCCACAATACGAATTGAATAATGGGTCCTAATGGCCCGCAAATAGAACATTCGACTTTACAATTTTAACTGATTTAAGCAATTATTGCTGACGACTGGAGAAATGGGGAAAAACTCCTTATGTCCAGCCCTGTTTGCACTCAGATCACAACCCGACCTCTGTAATTCTTGCTCACCTGTTCAAATCCTCCTCTATTCTCGCCACCCAGATCACCTTTCTCCTCCCAACTCGACATATTTTCCTCGTTAGATCCAGCAGACTGCTGTCCATTCCTCTCAGCCCCTGCCTCTCCCTCTCAGCCGTCTTCTTTAACCCCCTAAGCCTCCTCTTTATCTTCTCAGCTGCGATCTTCTCAGCCTTCATCTTCCCAGTCGCCATCTTCCCAGCCCCCATCTTCCCAAGCAGCAGTATCCACTTCTTTTCCTACACTGTCCTCTCCTCAGGACAATTCTAGCATTGTCTGTACTCATTACTCATTCTCCTTCCTCACTGCCCTCTCCTGAAGCCTGTAAACCCATCCCACCACCTTACGCCCCTATCTATCCTCCACTGCCTATCAACTTAACCCTCCTTCCCCCTTCAAACCCTCAGCAGGAACCACTTTCAGGTTCTTCCTTCTCTCCCACCCATACTCGCTCAGGCACCATCTTTGGCCCATGCCCCACCCTTAGTTCAGCCCCTGTGCTAGAGAGCCCCCTTCAGAAAGTAGCAGGAACTGGAGGCATTGTTAAAGTTTATGTTCCCCTCTCCCTCAGTGATCTCTCTCAAATTAACAAAAGACTCAGTTCATTTCCAGAAGACCCTACCTCTTACATTAGAGAGTTTCAGTACCTCACCCAGTCTTATGAACTAACTTGGCATGACCTCTACATTATCCTCTCTTCCACCCTCACCCCAGAAGACTGGGGCTGTATCTGGACCCTAACTCAGGTACATGCTGATACAATTCATCACCAAGCTCCTGCTCAGCCTACTGGTGCAAAGGCAGTCCCCAACCAGGACCCCCACTGGGATTATCAAGATGGGGCCTCTGGACGCTGCTGTCGAGACCACATGATTGTGTGCCTCCTTGCAGGACTCAAAAAGGCTGCCCATAAAGTGGTAAACTATGAAAAACTTTCAGAAATCACCCAAGGTCCTAACGAAAACCCAGCCCTTTTTATCTCTCGTTTAACTGAAGCCATGAGAAAATATACCAACCTAGACCTAGCCAGTCCAGAAGGAACCGATATTTTAAACCTTCAGTTCATCTCCCAATCCACCCCCAATATTCAGCGCCAGCTTCAAAAACTTGACAACAGCCCTCAAACCCCACAACGAGACTTTCTTAATTTAGCCTTCAAAGTCTTTAACAATCGTGATGAGGAAAGTAAAAGGCAAAAACAGGCAGGGTTTCAAATGCTTGCCTCCTCCATCAGGGGCCCTGCAGGCCATGGGGCCACAGCTCCACACAGAAGCCTCCTAGCAATCCACCTCCACCTGGTGCCTGCTTCAAGTGCGGCAATGAAGGCCACTGGCCCACACAATGCCCAAACCCAGGTAAACCCACGAGGCCATGCCCCCTCTGCGGAGGACCCCACTGGAAGTTGGACTGTGAGCGGCCCCTGCAAGGACCACCCCCATCCCTTCCTGAGCCAATCAAACCCTCCTACTCGGATCTCGTCAGCCTTGCCGCTGAAGACTGATAGTGCCTTGGAACAGACACCCCAGCAACTACCATCGCTTCATCTGAGCCAAGGGTAACCCTGATGGTGGCAGGTAGGCCAGTATGTTTTTAAAATTAATACCAGGGCAACCTATTCTGCTTTCCCTAATTTTTCAGGACCCACCCAGTCCTCCCAAGTCTCTATTGTGGAAATTGATGAACAAGCCTCCAAACCCTGAGCCCCCCGCTCCACTTTTCTGCTCCCTGCACACCTTTTCCTTCACTCACTCTTTCTTAGTCCTGCCCTCATGCCCAACTCCGCTCCAAGGCATCCTTTCAAAACTCCACACTGCTCTCCACTTCCACGTTCCCCATAATACCCAACGCATCAACCCAAACCCCTCTGGGGCTTCTTTCTTCTATTCCAACCTCCCACCTTAAAACATGCAACCTTTCCTTATCCCCCATCTGTAGTTAGCCCCCCTGTTTGGGGTAATTCCACACCCTCAGTCGCAAAACACCACACTCCCGTCCGTCCACATTACCCTTAAAGAGCCCACCCAGTTCCTATCACAGAAGCAGTATCCCATCCCCCAAGCAGCTCTCACAGGCCTAACGCCTATCATTTCTCACCTCCTCGCCAGTCACCTACTCCGCCCAACATACTCCCCTTTTAACACACCAATTCTACCTGTTAAAAAACCAGATGGAACTTATCGCTTAGTCCAGGACCTCAGGCTTATTAACCAAGCTGTACTCCCAGTATGTCCAGTAGCTCCTAACCCATATACTTTACTTTCTGCAGTTCCCTCCAATACCACCCATTTTTCTGTTCTAGACCTAAAGGATGCTTTTTTCACAATTCCATTACACCCTGATTCCCAAAACCTCTTTGCCTTTACATGGGAAAACCCCAACACCCATGGAGTCCCTGTGTATGATCACTTAAACAGAGAAAAACGATCCTTAAAGGTAGGAGGAAGCCAAAGACGGCAAGAGGACGAGTGGCCCCTGCAATGGATCATCGAATATTATGGTCCTGCCACTTGGGCGGAGGATGGTTCATGGGGTTATCGCACTCCCATATATATGCTAAATAGAATAATTAAGGCTACAGGCTGTTCTAGAGATAATCACTAACCAAACCGCCTCCGTCCTGGAAATGCTCGCACAACGACAAAAACAAATGTGCGTGGCAATTTATCAAAACAGGCTAGCACTAGACTACTTATTAGCAGAAGAGGGTGGAGTCTGTGGTAACTTTAATGTCTCCAATTGTTGTCTTAACATAGACAATAATGGAAAAGCAGTTCTAGAAATCGCTTCAAACATCAGAAAAGTAGCCCATGTACCAGTCCAAACCTGGAAAGGATGGGACCTGGCAAACCTTCTAGGAGGATGTTTCTCTAATTTAGAAGGATTTAAAATGCTGATAAGGACAGTAATCTTCATCATTGGGCTCCTCCTTTTTCTCCCGTGTTATCCCACTGATAATAAAAGCCATTAAAACTCTTGTTGAAGCTACAGTTAACTATGTTTATTGTGGCACTATTCACAATAGCAAAGACTTGGAACCAACCCAAATGTCCAACAATGATAGACTGGATTAAGAAAATGTGGCACATATGCACCATGGAATACTATGCAGCCATAAAAAATGATGAGTTCATGTCCTTTGTAGGGACATGGATGAAGCTGGAAACCATCATTCTCAGCAAACTATCGCAAGGACAAAAACCAAACACTGCATATTCTCACTCATAGGTGGGAATTGAACAATGAGAACACATGGACACAGGAAGGGGAACATCACACACCGGGGCCTGTTGTGGGGTGGGGGGAGAGGGGACGGATAGCATTAGGAGATATACCTAATGTTAAATGACGAATTAATGGGTGCGGCACACCAACATGGCACATGTGGCACATGTATACATATGTAACTAACCTGCACGTTGTGCACATGTACCCTAAAACTTAAAGTATAATAATAAAAGAAAAAGAAACTACAATTAACTGCCAGACAATCCAGACAATGCTCCTGCTACAATGACAAGATGGATACTAACCTGTCTCTCAAGAATACCAAAAAAATTAAGGTTTTCTTTTTCCAAGGTGCCCACGCCACCCCCTATGTCATGCCTAAAGTAGTTATTGAGAAAGTCACCCTTTTTCCCTTTTTTCTATAACCAAATAGAAAGGAATGAAGGATTCTCCCCAGGGCCTGAAAGCTTGAAGGAATGAATAACTCCTCCCTTCTCAGGCCCAGTCCCAAGGCGCAAGGCCACTTGTGCCAGCAGTGTGAGTCAGCAAGATAGCAGAAGCAGGAAGAGAGCCGGCCAGAAGACACCTACTCTGACTGGGAGACACGTACCCCTGAAGATTGAGAAAGAGGCCATCCAGGTACCACATAGCAGTTACATCAGACTGGGACATTTCCTGTTTACAGGAGACTATAAAACCCCTGCCCCCTACTCATTTGGTGCTGACGCCATTTTAGGCCTCAGCCTGCCTGCACCCAGGTACTCATTAAAACAGCGTGTTGCTCCACACTGCCTCGTGTTGTCTGTTGGCACACTCTCGGGGTTTGAACTGATACAAGAATCCTTCAGTTTTGTATTGTATTTTAGTTGGATTTTTAAAGTTTATCTCACAAAGAGGGTGACTACATAATAATTAAAGGTAGCAATTCACTAGAGATTATAGCAATCCTAACTATGCAAGCATCTAATAACAAAGCCACAAAGTGACAAGGAGAATCTGACAAATCCACAATCATAATGAAAGATAATATCAAAACGATCTCAATACTTGATAGATCAATGCAAGGAAATAAGTCTTCGATTTCTCAGTGCTCCTGTAAAAAGCACTAGCCTCCAGAGGCATGGAAATCTACATGATATAAAGATAGGTAATTTTACCCTTCACTTACTTTACAAACATTTTACTTTCCACCTACTATTGAAATTAGATCTGTAGTTATTCGTAGACAAATAGTTATTTGTCTGACAAACAGTTAATTGCTCTGATCCAAAAGAATAATAAAACTTCTCTTACCTCCCCAAGAAAGTCAAATGGTCACAGCCTGGATTAGTCAAGATTCCAAGGTGTCAGGAAGATCCCTAATTTACATTTCAAGAAGAAATGGGTCCCAGGACCTTGGAGACATGTCTAGGTCATAAAAGCTGGAGATGCTAGGGCTTACCTGGCCCTTGGAGAGATGCATTCTAAGAAGTCTTGCCTCTCTCTTTTACTTATAAATACCTTTGTGATTTTATTAGATCCACCCAGATAATCCAGGATAATCTCCCCATTTCAAAATTCTTGATTTAATCAAATCTGAGAAGACTCTTTTGTCACGTAAGGTAACATACTCACAGGTTCTGAGGACTGGGATATGGACATCTTTGTAGGGGGTGGGGTAATGTTCTACCTACCATACTATATGAGGGAATAATAAACACTAAATTTAAGACAGCAAATACCTCTGAGGGAGAAAAGAGAATGCAGTCATGGAGGCTTTAATTGTATGTTATGTTTTATTTCTTAAACTGGGTGGTGAGTGTACAGTTGCTCATTAAATTTCTTTGCATGCCTGAAATATTTTATTGAATAATCTCACTTTTTAATAAAAATACTTAGGAATAAATTTAACTAATTTAACTAAAAAGGTGAAAGACTAGCATACTGAAAATTACAAAACATTGCTGTAAAAAAATGTAAAAAGGCCTAAACAAATGGAAAGACATCCCATGTTCATGGATTGGAAGACATAACAATGATAACAGAAATTGAATCAGAATTTAAAATCTGCCTCTGAATAAACACCAAACAAACATGGGCCAAGAGTTTTATAAGACCATTCTATCAAATATCCAAAGAACAGACCCTACAAACAATAAAAATACTAAGATGTCAATACTATCTAAAGTGATCTATAGATTCAATGTAATCCCTATAAAAATTTCAAAGGCTTTTTTTGCAAAAATGAAAAATCTGACCCTCAAATTTGCAGTAAGTGCAAGGAGTCACAAGTAGCCAAAACAATTTTGAAAAAGAACAAAGTTGGAGGACTCACATTTCCTGATTTGAAAACTTACTACAAAGATATAGTAATCAAAATATCAAGGTACAGGATAGACATATAGACCAATGGAATAGAGCTGAGAGACCAGAAATAAATCCATACATCATGGCCAAGTGATTTTCAACAAGTGTGGCAAAACATTCAATGGGGGGAAAAAAGTCTTTTAAATAAATGGGACTGGGACAACTGGGTATCCAAATGTAAAAGAATGAGTTTGGACCCTCTACCTTACACCATATAGCAAAATGAAGTCAAAATGAGATAAATGACCTAAATATAAGAGCTAAAACCAGCCGGGTGCGGTGGCTTACGCCTGTAATCCCAGCACTTTGCGAGGCTGAGGCAGGCGAATCACGAGGTCAGGAGATTGAGACCATCTTGGCTAACATGGTGAAACCCCAGGTCTACTAAAAATACAAAGAATTAGCCGGGTGTGGTGGTGGGCACCTGCAGTCCCAGCTACTCAGGAGGCTGAGTCAGGAGAATGGTGTGAACCTGGGAGCCAGAGCTTGCAGTGAGCTGAGATCGTGCCACTGCACTCCAGCCTGGGCGACAGAGCGAGACTCCATCTCAAAAAAAAAAAGAGCTAAAACCATAAACTCTTATCAAAAAAATAGGGATAAATAAATCTTCATGACCCTGCGTTTAACAAAGAATATGACACCAAAAGCATGAGAAACAAAGGAAAAAATAAATAAGAGTTCATCAAAATGAAAACCTTGTGTGTCAAAGAACATGATAAAGAAAGTAAAGACTTCACTTTTTGCCTGTATGTACTGGGAGGGCAAGAAAAATGCCAGCAATTAAATGAGTTGTTGAAATGGCCAACAAGCCTTGGAAAGGTATTATGTTGGATCAGGTGGCCTGAAAGCTGTACTTGTAGTTTTGTACCTACTGTACTTGTAGGATATTTTTGAAGACAGAGGAACTATTGTAATTAGTCCTATGTTCAGAGAGGTAAAAGCAACTAGAAAAGAAAAGTGGCAGCACAGAAAAGTAGTAGAAATATAGAATCAATTTTCTGAGCATACAGAGAAAGAACAAATGACTTGTTTAAAAGGGTCCATTTTAATGTTCTTCCTTTTTATACTGGTAAATACTTTCTAGTCCAAGAAATCTGGCTCCGAATTTCCTAAAATTTTTACTTATTTGATCTATTCCCCTGTATGTACCCATCTCCCATTGCCTGCACACCTTTCCCCCCCTTACCCACCTCTTTTTCTGACATTGCACACAGGCCAGTCTCTCATCCCACAGACTTGTTCTCAAAGAAGACATACTTTCTCTAGAAGATAGTATCCTAAAGAGCATTCTCCTATTGTCTTAGTCCATTTGAGCTGCTAAAACTGAGTACTATAGACTGAGTAACTTATAAACAAGAGGATTTTATTTCTCACAGTGCTAGTGGCTGGAGGCCTAAGATAAAGTCTCCAGCAGATTCAGTGTCTGGTGAGAGCCCACTTCCTGGTTTATACACAGTCATTTCACTGTGTCCACACATGGCAGTAGGACCAAGGAGAATCTGGGATCCCTTTTATAAGGGCACTAATCCCATTCATGAGGGCTTTGCCCTCATGGCTTAATCATTTCCAAAGACGTCACCTGCAAATACCATCATATTGGGGATTAGGTTCAACGTCTGAGTTTTGCGGGACATAAACATTCAGTCTATAGCAACTATGTTTCCCAAATTCCATTAAAAGCCAAAATATTATTTTGACTATACAGGTCCAAATGGGTCTGTAATCCCAGCACTCTGTGAGGCTGAGGGGGGCAGATCACGAGGTCAATGCTGGGTTACAGCCCAGCATTCAAACACTGGATCCCGGGCACATATAGATACACTCTTCTTTTTCCTCCACTGTGGAGTAGCAGTCCCACTTCTCCTTGATAGTTAGGGTCAATTACTCCACCCAACACAGTAATTCCCTTCTTCGCTTGTTGATTCAGGGGCATGAGGAGTTCATAGTGGTTGGGTGGCAGTCTTAACTTTTAGTTCGATAGAACTATCATTGTGCGTCCTGGTGTAAACATTCCTCCTTTTTGAACCAAAACCTCTAGGTTAGCAGCATAAGCTTATGGAAACAGAAAGCAAAATTTTTGCTAGTAGGTTACTAGGGGTAATAGTGAGTGTGCCACTCCCATTTCCAACCCTTGATTCCTGGACCCAAGAATCTTGACTATGGAAGGAAGAGTATCATATATTGGACTGTGATTCAGAGTATATACAGATTCCTAGAGAACTTTGCCCCAGCCTTGCAAGGTACTCTCCCATCGTTGGCACTGGAATTGAGTCTTCCAAAGGCCACTTCACCATTCTGTCAAACCAGCTACTTCAGAGTAGTGGTAAAAACTACAGTGTAACTGTGTTCACTGTAAAAACCAGTGAATTCCAGGAGCATGGACCCATTGAGGCATTTCTTTTGCTGTGAAGTTTTATAAATGGAAGTTCCTCTGCACAAGCTCTCTTGCCTGCCACCATGTAAGATGTCCCTTTGCTATTCTTTCATTTGCAACCATGATTGTGAGGCCTCCCCAGCCATGTGTAACTGTGAGTCCATTAAACTTCTTTCCTTTATAAATTACCCACCCAGTCTTGGGTATGTCTTTATTAGCAGCATGAGAACAGACTAATACAAGCTTTAGAGCCCTTTCTAACTCCTTGTGCCAAAATATAAATGCAGAATCTCTATTTAGAGAACTCATGTGAATAAACTCAGCGTCTTCCAACTTTATCTTCTTTCTACCATTATCCCATACCCTCATTATCCATTTCCACATATTTTTCAGATTTCAGTCTGTATAAGTTAGAAAACTCAAGTAGTTTTTTTTGGAGTGTAGTGCACTTTCTCATGGGTCACATTTTGTCCCACACCTTCAAAGGCCTGCTGGGACTTGAGTCTAATTATGAGACTAGAAGCAAAGAGGGGTGGTAGGGGTGAGTTCTAAGAAAAATCAATATTGTCTTGCTTGGCAACTGCCTCAGTGGAGGCCATTACAATTTCCTCATGCAGTGTAGCATTAACCACCTTCTGAGGTGGAGAAGCCACTAGCACTGGGAGTGCGGAGGCCACTTCCACTAGCAGTAGGATTGCCTCTTCCACTAGCAAAGAAGACTCACCAGAAGTTAGAGGCTCAATGTCCTCAGTTTCATCAAGGTCTTCCCACAAGTCCCCATTCCAACTTATAGAAACCCATTCTGGTTTTCTTTTTTCCCCTTTTTTTTTTTTTTTTGAGTGGGGTCTCGTTCTGTCACCCAGGCTGGAGTGCAGTGGTGTGATATCAGCTCACAGAAAACCCCACTTCCCAGGTTCAAGCAATTCTCTTGCCTCAGCCTCTGGAGTAGCTGGTTTTATAAGTGCCTACCACAATGCCCAGTTAATTTTTGTATTTTTAGTAGAGACGGGGTTTCACCATGTCGGCCGGGGCTGGTCTTAAACTCCTGACCTCAAGTGATCTGCCTGCTTTGGCCTCCCAAAGTGCTAGGATTACAGGCATGAGCCACCGCACCCAGCAAGAAACCCATTCTTTCCCAGTCAACGCCTTCACTTTAACAGAGTATAAAAGTGGGTCACCGGATGAGATAAGATAACTGTAAAACTGGGTCACAGGATGAGATTCTGCATTTGATTTTCAGGAATCTCAGCCCTGTGGCTAAAGGAGATAAGACTCTCCCTCAGGGCACATGTGGAAGCTTTCAGTCATTTATGCAGTACTTGAGCTGGAAATTTGAATTCCTGAGCTCCTTCTTTTCTTTCAATACTTTGTTCGTGACATTAGGAGCAACAAGCCAACCTAATTATATTCATGTGATTTCCAGAAATGTTTGAGAGTATCATATGCACAATGATCAGCTCCTTGCTTCTTATAAGTGGTTGATTGGGAACATCCAATGGAGATATTTGGCATATCTCTATTGCCAGATAACACCGTGAAACATCAGTGCTCTTTTTAGCACTGAAAAAAGAGTCATTTGCATCTTTAAATCTGATCACATTAAAAAGCCAATTCTAGGAACCTAAAAACCAATTCTAAAAACTCATCCTTAAAATTCTGTTCCTATAGAACCACCCTTGGTACCAAAATCTGTATTAGTCTGGGTTCTCCAGAGAAAAAGAACCAAGAAGATATATATAACTATCTACCTATCTATTTATCTACCTATCTATCCATCCATCCATCCATTAGATATATATTGAGAGAGAAAGATAATTACTTAAAGGAATTGGCTTATGCAATAATGAAGGCCAAGAAGTCCAAGACCTTCTGTTGGCAAACTGGAGACCCCAGAGAGCTGGTGGTATAGTTCCAGTACAAATCTGAGTCCAAAGGCAAGAGAAGATTGATGTCCCAGATCAAAGGCAGTTCATTCATTCTTGGGGCTTATATGATGTTTTATTTATTATAACTACTTAATTGATATTTTTTTAATGCCGTACTTTCAATAAGAAGGGAAAGAAGATAACAATTGTATGGAGATAGAAAGGAGATTTATATTTGTTGTGCACTTCTGTGTGCTAGGAATTTTATTTTAATTATTAGAAGAACCCTGCTATGTGCCAATTATTATCTTAAAGATGCGGGAATCTAACTGCATACCATTTTCTAGTTCTATCTGGGTTAGGGTTGCTGCCTTAAATAAAGGATGCCCAATTAAATTTGTATTTCTGATAAAGAACAAATAAATTTTTTGTATTATTATATGCCACATATTGCACAGGACATACTTACACCAAAAAATAACAACTTTATCTTAAATTCAAATTTAACTGGGCATCCTTTATTTTTATTTGCTAGTTCTGGCAACCCTACCCTTGATTGGGGTCCTGCATTGCTTGTGCTGGTCTCTCTCTCCTTTATCCCTGAAGACAGACCTTCATTCCTGACACCTGATCACCCAGTCTCTGATCACCTGCCTGTCACTAAGATCACCATGTGTTGATGGCTTCATACCCACACCACTGTGTTGTACCTATCTGCAGGATTCCCACCAGTTTAGAATTCTTTCATGCTCACCACCTGGCCAGCATGCATCTGGTGGAACCCCTGGACTACAGTCAAATTCTCTGTAGACCATGTCCTAGCACATCCAGCTATGTGACAGTCTGCACTTCACACTATCCAGAACCCACACCACCCTGGTGGCTATGCTCCTGAGTGAGCTTCCAACCAGCAAACAAACCATTCCACATTCCACACAATAAAAGATATTGTGGGAAGGTACAAACTGTGGATAGATAACTAACCAACAACCCACAGAGGCATGTTACAACTCAGGGGCAGCAGGAAGATCCCCAGAAAGGGGGAGTAGATGGGATTTGTGTTCAATACTTTTTTTCTACATAGATAAGGCTATATTCATGTTTATGAAATCAGTGAATTCCATAGAGCTGGAAGACATAGCTGACTCACTGAATATTGGAATCAGAACCAAAATCAACAAGATGAAATTGAACAGGAATAACAGAAACTGTTATGCTAAGGTTGAGATTAGCAGTGACATAAGGCAGAACATCCAGTCAGCAGTTCACATAAAGACCTCAGAGTTTTGGTTCAACACAAGCTCAAGGATGGGCATTATCATGTAATGGGGGAAAAACAACATTTAGATTCAAACAAACCCAATCTCAAATGCTAATTTCACCACTACATTGCTATGACCCAAGTCTTTGTCTCATAAAATGGGCATACTCACTCATAAAATGGGTGAGTATGAACAAGATAACACATGTTGAGCATGTGTGAACAGTGCCTAGAATGCATGGGAGATACTCAGTAATCCACACCCCACATCCCTGGAACCTGGCACGATGCCCCCCCCCCATCAATACATTTAGTAGGAGACATCATAGCACTTTCCAAATAATCTATTGAAACATTCATTTTTGCCTGTCCTCTTTATTTAGGATGCCAGAAGAAATGGGAAGACATTAAGGTTTATGTGCTAATATTTGAGTCCTTTCATGGCATTTACATGGCAGAGCCAAAAGCAGAAGTTGACAACCATCAGAAGCCAAACCAGCCCCACAAAATACCTAGCCTTCAAGAGAGAAATTGGACCAATCTATGAAAAATGTTGCTGGTGTGTGGGGATGGGGAGGTTGGAAAGTTGCTGAGACTTCGGGAAGGAATGGAGGCTCATGACAGATATTTGTGCCACATTCCCATGTAGACCTTCCTAAAATGTGGCAGGCCCTCTAATGGGCACCATCAGAAAGCCATGGCAACTGACGATCAAAAGATCTGCCTTGAGGCCATGGTCCCTGTGCCCAAGCTGGGCTCAGAAATCATGGAGTCTCCCGCCTTCAAGGGACTGTGTCGATTTAGGCAGTGAGCACAGCCACAGCCGCCCGTGTGGATGTGGACTGAAGTCCAGTTCTCTTCATGGGTGCTTGGCTGTGAGACACCTCTAAGACTCTTGCACAACCAAGCAGCAGGGGAAGAAGGATATTAGAATTGAATGTGATGATTGAGATTTAATTTACTGGTTAAATGGGTGGGGACATGCAGCAGATGGGCCGATTGTAAAGGAATAAATATAACATTTATTTTCATCCAAGTACTAGGGAGTATTTTTTTTGTATGCTTTGTCAGAGATCAGTTGGTTGTAACTATTTAGCTTCATTTCTGTTTATCACACCATAATTCACAATTGCAAAGATATGGACCAAACTAAGTGCCCATCAATTAATGAGTAGATAAAGAAAATGTGATACACACACACACACACACACACATATACACATACATACACACACCATAGAATACTAAGCCATAAAAAAAAAATGTATTTTGCAGCAATTTGGATGGAACTGGAGGCCATTATTCTAAGTGAAATAACTCAGGAAGGGAAAACCAAATACTGTATGTTCTCACTTGTAAGTGGGAGCTAAGCTATGGGTATTCAAAGGTATACAGAGTGGTATAATAGACACTGGAGACTCTGAAAGGGAGAGGGCGAGAGAGGAGTGAGGAATAAAAAAATAGTATACTATGTACACTATTCAGGTGACAGGTACCCTAAAATTTCAGATTTCACCAGTATATAATTCATCCATATAACCAGAAACCACTTGTACACCTAAAGTTATTGAAATTTAAAAATTGTAAATAAAAATCCCACATATATTAGGGAGTATAATTCACACTCTCTATGAAGTAAAAAGGGCTTATACAGTAGGCCAAACTCAACCCTACCACTGTGATTTAACCTAATTCCCCAAGCATCATTTATTTCATTAGCAAAACAGAAAAAAAAAACATACCTCACAAAGATATGGGGAGGATTACATGAGATAACTAATAGCAAAAATCCAAGCACAGTTCTTAGGGTAGTGTGGATGCATTTTATACGAATTTGAATTTGGTGGATTTAAAATAGTGAAATAAAAACATAAGCCTCACTATATGGCAAAACTTGAAATAATGTGAAATCCCACTTTATATTTATTCCTAAATGAAAACGCATCTTGAGTGGGTATCATACACTAATCACTAATGGGACGTGGAGAATTTTTTTTAAAAGGAGAAGTCCAGGATGATTCCCACAATTCTAATTTGGATGACAAGTGATGACACCATTTACCAAGAAAGCCCAGGAATACAGAGGGGTGGGGAGTAGTCCCATAAGAGAGGTGGGGAAGTAACGGCTTCAAGCTGAACACGCTAGGGGGTAGATGCTATGAAATATTCCAGTGGAGTTACCCAGCAGGCATTGTTAAATGACCTGGGTCTTACAAGAGAGTGATGGCTGGAGATACACAGATTTGGCAATCGTGAGTAAACAGCATATAACTATAACCTAAAGCATGTATTTGAAATCACCCAGGGAGTGAAGATGGAATGAGAAGAACAGAGAAACAATGACAGAGTCCTTACAAACACCATGATACAAGAAGGCAATGGGGATATGTTATCCTAAAGGAATCCTAAAAGAAGTGATCAAAAAGGTGAACAGAAAACCAAGTGGGAGTACTGTCACTGAGGATGAGTTTCCAGAGAGAATTAATGCTGAAGAAGCTATTGCAGGTCAGTGGTCAGTCTAGCTAGCACTGCTTCAATGAAGGGTAAAGATATGCTCAGGAATGTCCACTTTAAGGGGCGGGGATGATACTTGCACTGGATGCTGCACTAATCAGATAACACTTGGAATATTTTTTTCCACCTCCAGACACTGCTGAGTATGAAGAACTAATTGGAGAAGGAAGCCGTTGTATAGCAGATGCAGAGCAGCAGCAAAAATGGTAATGAAAATAGAAGATAAATTAGAAAATTTGGAAAAACCCAAACAGATCAGCCATATTGAAGGGAAAAAGAAAAACAAAACAAAGTGGGAGGGCAGAAATGTAGAACGGTATACACTCTTTTAACCCCAAGGATGAATGTAGCCAAGAACACAGTGGGGACTTAGGAGTCTCAGCACAGAGCATTCTCTACTCCCTACTGCTCAGGCAAAGAACTCCTTCATCATGCAGAACCAAAACTGGTGTAGAGTCTTAAATGACCTGGGTATCTCTACGCAGAAGAAAGCGCTTTCCATGTAAAAGGATTAACTTGAACCTGGGTGCTCAAGGGACACCCTAGGCTGCTTATCCCACTGATTCTGATCTGACTGTGTTAAGTAATAAATCATGTGGTTACATATTCACATTATCTTGTGTAGTTTTCTCTCACATTGCTACTTAAAGAGAAACCCCAGACACAATAATGAGGGAGCTCAGTATAAGGGTATGAAGAGATCCAGGCAAGCTATAACCTGGAGAGCTCCTTGCCCTTCAGAAGGTGAGACCACTCAGAATGAGGGAGAAAACGTGGCCCAGCCCACTTTATGAGGAAGCTACAAACAGAATTCTTAGAAGACAGCAGCCAAGGGAGTAGCAGGGATGGGGACAGGGAGGGCTGAGACTAGAAACTCACAGAGGAACAAACAATTGAGTAAACTGGAAACAAGTAACCACAAAAGCACTAGAAAATAAAATGAAAGCTTTGCATGAATAATTGACAAATTTGATCTTCCTTGTGAATGCAGAAGAAGGAACTAGAAACAAAAGATAATGAGGCCGCTTTCTCTGCTTTGATCTGAAGGACAACTTTCTAATTATCTGATCTTTCCCAAGACAGAACAGAATGCATCGCAAAGTCAACAGACTCTCCAGCACAGAAAGTACTAGACCAAATGCTGGATAAACATTACTGCTAATGGAGACGTTTCATTGCCTTGGCCTCACATCTCTATCTAGAAACACTTTAGAAACACTCTGGGCCTCTCTCTCTCTACCCCTCATATCTTCCCAGGAGAAGAGGAGGAGTGTTTGGGAGAAAGAACTAGGCTTGCAATTCAGCTCCTGCTCCACCCTGCCTTGACCTGAATGCAAGATGCATGCATCCTGGTCTGCTCTCAGCAGCATAGGGAGGCCTGCAGTTGTTCAGCTGTGCAGTGACCGAGGGGCGAGTCTATCTGATTCAGGGATGAAAGAATGAAGTAGTATCCTTTGTCAGTGATCTTAAGTCATAGTCTCCTATCAGCTGTATCAGAAAATATGTCCACTTCCATCTCTCTATTTCTCAATTGGTTCCAAACTCAGATACGGAAGAGGGTGCCCTCTAAAACCTCAAGAACATCTGTGAGGAATATTTTCCTGTAAAAGAGGTTGGATCACATAACTCTAAAATTGCTGTATATGTAGAATTCAGTGACTCTTACTTTTCAGATACTTCTAGGACCTTCTAACTTAATGTCTCATTGACATTTCAAATTCACTGAATCCAAAATTAAGTTTCTCTTTCCCCAAAACCAGTTGACTCTCCCGACATTACTGCACATCATAAGTAGCACTGGCTTCACATTCATCAAGATTTAAAAGGTTAAAGTTTCCAAATAATAGGTAAATTGGAAATGTCCTTATCATGATTCCAAAGCAATGCCGACACCAGAGAGTGGTGGGTGAAAGCCTAGCTGTGACTGCCATGACCTAGTAAGAATGTAGGGCAAAGAGAGAGAGCCAAAGCCAACATCTGGAGGTACAGTCAGACCAGAGCCAACATCTGGGTGTGAGGAGAGAGCAAGAAACCTATCCTGAGGATAGAGAAATAATTCCCAGAGAAAAGAAACAGGAAATGTCATGCCACAGAAGCCCAGAATCAAGTGCTACTGAAAAAGCAAGACAAGAAGGGATCATAGGCAATCAGATTTGATGATTAAGAAATTCCTGGGACCTTGATGAGACCAAGTTTGTAATAGTGGAGCTGAAAAGAAAACATCATTTTTCATTCGATCATTCAACCAATATTTATTGGGCATCTACAGATTGTGAATTCAAAGCAGGTAAGACACTGTCCCTGTCCTCAAGGCACATATAGTCCAAGAAGAAAACACAAAATAGGCCATTATAAGAGAGTAAAAAGTATCTCAAGAGGGACTCTGGGAACAGAGAGGAAGGGTAACTAACCAAGACTGAGAGAGAGGACAGAGGATCAAAGGTAGCCTTTCTGGAAGAGATGACATCTGAGCTGAGCCTAAGCAGGACTGAGTAGGGCAAGGAAGAAGAGGAGAGAGCCTACAAAGAGAGCACGTGATGGGTGAAGGCATATGGCCAGAGAGGGTGCCTTGAACTTGGGTAACATGGAGTAACTCCACATGGCTACAGCCAAGGGCTCGTCTGGAGCAATGATGGAGAATGCAGCTGAGAGGTAGTGGAGGCTAGAACTGGAAATCCTCATGCAGCATGTTAAAGCCAACAGAGTTCAGGAGAGATTTTAACCAGGAAGTGACATGAATAAATGTGATCTGAGAAAGACAACTCTGGTGGACAAATGAAAAATAAGTCAGGTGGTCAAAGTCAACAGTCAAGAGTAGATGCCAGAAGACAAATTCAGTAGCTTTGAATTTGATAGTAATGTCACTAATAGACAATGAGTGCCAGAGAGAATGGAGAGAAGAAAGAAAGTGAAATTACATGCTAAAAAGAAAAAAATATGCAGTAGGGGGTAAAAGAGAGAAGTCAAAGATATTTCCAAATTCTGGCCAAGTCAGCTGAGTAGATGATAGTGCCATTCATTGAGAAACAGGATACAAGAGACAGGGTTGGACAGGATATGGGGGAAAAGGAAGGTTGGAGGAAGAAAATGATGAGTTCTGTTTTGGTAATGATGAATTGGCTTGTGCCTTTGGAACACCCAGGTAGAGACTGTTTAAAGCAGTTTTTGAGTGTCACAGTGGGCAGGTGGGAGGTAGTGTCAAGAAGTCTGCCAACACATAACAGGAGAAAAATAGAATACTTAGCAGCATTGAGAAATGATTTATAGGAAAGGAGTGAGTCAAACACATTTTTAGACATGAAGGAATAAATCAATAGAAAGAAAGAAATTTAAGATCATAGGACCAGGGAAGGCATGGGAAAGAGCAAGTTGGCAGTTCTCTCCTGTTTAATGTTACCTTGTAGTGCAATAAAAGGAGGGCTGTCTTTGGAACATAAAACACGGACTCTTGAGTTAATTGATAAATTGCTTCAATGCAAATCACAAGCCACCTGAAACAGATGGTAAACTGCTAAAATAAATTAGGTTCCACCAACCATTCCAATGGAACATTGTATGATATGGAAAGAAAAATACTTAACAAGACAGGAAGCATGAGTCAGGAATAAGTGGTGCGCAGTGTGAGTCATGCCTGTAAGATCAATAAAGAAGCTGGCTCTGCTCCTGACTGCATTACTTCTGAGCCTCCTACCCCTCCAGTCACCCAGTCTCAATGCTGCCCTATCACCCTCCTCACTCATTCTTTCACTCCAGATACTATGGGTCCCAGAATTCTGTTAATGCTTTGGTTCTCACATGGGTCCTTTTTTTTAATTTCCCACTGATACTATCCTAATGCTCTTAGAGAAATCTGTCTACCTCCAGACTTCATCCAACCCCCTTGACCCACCCAAGGCAGGGGGAGGGTGAGGGAAGAACAGTGAAGGGAGAAAAAGAACAGCTTTATAAGTCTGCCATCATGTTACTGGCTTGCAGTGGTCCCTCACTGCCTACTGGTTAAAACCCATCTCCTAAGTGGATACTCAAGGCCTCAACAACGCAGACCCAACCCACCTTTCCAAACACATCTTGTTACTGTCAACTTAAATTCTCTATCATCTCCTTTTTACAAATGAGACAATTTAGAAACAGAAACATTAAGCAGCATGCCCAGCCACAGCTGTCACACAGCTAGTGACAGAAGCGGCCACCCAGACTCCAGGGCACATTCTCCCCATTTCCATGTGGCTGCCTCTTACTGGGGTATAGTTTTTTGTCTTTCATATGCTAGATCATTTTGCAAGGGTGGTCCTGCTAAAATTAATAGAACTGCTTCTGCAATTTAAAAGTCATGAAAACTTTAGATCAAAATCACTTGTAAACTTTTTCCCTTTTTGGGAGGGGGATGGGGTCTCACTCTGTCACCCAGGCTGGAGTACAGTGGCACAGTCACAGCTCACTGCAGCCTCAACCTCTCCAGACTTAAGCAATCCTCCCACCTCAGCCCATCGAGTAGCTGGGACTACAAGACATACGCCAGCACATCTGGCTAATTTTTGTATTTTTCATAGAGACACAGTTTTGCCATGTTGCTCAGGTTTCTCTGGAACTTCTGGACCCCAGCGATCCACCTGCCTGTGCCTCCAAAAGTGCTGGGATTACAGGCATGAGCCACCACGCCCAGCCTGTAAACACTTTAACAGAGACAGCGATTAAGACTAAAGTGATGAAAGTGAGGTCTATGGGTAGAGCAATGTTCCACCAAAAATCAACTGTTCCCAAAGTGACTTCTAGATGTTTTGTTTCATTTGCTTTTTCACCCACACCACAACTTGAGCCAATATCCACATACTTCCTTGATAGAGCAATGTGGTTGTGGAACCTTTCCTTATCTGAAGTTCACACAGTACACAGCTATGAAACCTGGAACCACTGTCTGCATTGGTGAAATGAGGTCAGACTGACCCCTGAGGTTATCAAAACATAGATCTGAAAAGTCACTGGGAATATTCTTTTGTTTTACAAGTAATTCTAAGTAATTTAATCAAACAGGCCTGAACCATCTGGCTCTTTTACAACATGGTACTAGTTTTAATAGCTATCCATGTTTCTTTTCTTCCCCAAGTGAGAAAATGAGTCATCAACACAGTAAAATCTGAAGGTGATTTTATAACCGTTTGCAAGTCCACATGACATATATCTTTTACAAACAAGAAGTCATAGTTGTTTAAAATGAAGACAACCCTAAAGCAACACTTACATTATTAAACTAATCAAGTAATTTTACATTTTAAGAAACTGCATTACTTAACTATTTTAGAGTTTCCAAATTCATCAGCATAAGGCTTTTCTCTGTGTTGCTTGCCAAACTACACAGAAGGAAAAAAAAAAACCAAACTTGTATTTTCACGGAAAACAGTCTTTGCCAACCCTCCCACTAGCTCTAAGTTTGGCCAACAGTTTGACTGATAGTGTATGAGCCCTACCATCTGCTAACTAAGCAGCATTTCCTAACGGGTAAATGATACTAAGAAAAATGGTTGCAAAACAGAACCTGACTTGTTTTCATGAGTTGATGTAACTGAACCTAAAATGCAAGACTACAGTTTGTTATGTGTATTCTAAGAAAGTTCAAATTGTATCCCAATCCAAATTGCTGGTTTCAATTATTCCTTCAAAACATTAAACAGCCTGTATATAAAAAACCTCAATTTATTTAAAAAACTAACACTTCTAACCATTTTAAATAAGGTTCAGACCAAATTCACATCACATTTTTGTTTTCACACCTTTCCTTCTCAAGTCCCTGAGTTAGTGAACCAGATTAAATGCCATTTAAAAAGTATGATTTAAAAAATTAACTTTGCAAATCTATTATACATTAATAAGCATAACAAACCCAACCATTCAAGATATTAGTCTTAGAATAATTAACTTATATGTTTATATGCTATTATATAAATCTACTCTTATTACTTGTGCATTTTTAATGAACATTCTGCACATTATTTGGGGAAATTTTGAGGATATCTATAAAAATAATACTGGCTTTTTTTTCTGTCATATCAAGATTTAGTAACTTTAAAAAAGTTACCCTTGTTTTTTTAAGGACAGGACAACTAAACAGATGTATAATATTCTTAATTATTGCTTTTTGTCTCATGAAATATTAATATATATTCTATTTCTTTAGAATTCTCCAAGAGGAAAAAAAAAAGATATAGAGGCTATAAGCTTAGCCAAGGACACAGAAAAACCAGGTCCTGCCCTCAGTTTTGTAGTTGTCTGACTTTGGGGATGTGAAAAAAGTTATCTGAAAAGGAATTTCGAGAAGAGAGACTTTATTCCAGTGAACAGTTTCCAAACGGGGAAGACAAACCCTTCAGTGGAAACAAAAGATACATTAAAGAAAAAAGGAGGGTTTCGCTTTTATAGTTAAAATTCCCACCCAGCTTTCCACTCAGGTCCTCTTATGCAAATACAGAATTCAAACTGGCTTAGTTCTGATTGGTTGACACTTGCAGAGTTCTGATTGGTCAATGCTGCTGGCTTCTGATTGGTCAGTGCAGGCTACACTCTATTGGTTGGTTCAGGCCACGTGGACAGAAACTGTTAGCTATGACAACCCCAAAGTTAAGCAGATGTGTAGGTTTTCTGGGAACTCAGAGTATGTGTGTGAGCTCTAGTCAGCAAATGGCCACCTGACTCTATTTTAAATTTCAGCCCAGTTAGGTACTCAAAACTCATCTTGAGAGATTGGCTCTTTCAGATTCGCACATAAAATTTCTCAGATCCACAGCTGTCCCTCTTGTAAAAGGTAAAAGCTTAGCACAAACATCTCTAAGCTGTCTTCTAGCTTGATCATGCTATGGTTTGAGCACTCTGGTAGACTTTATAAATCTGGGCCCCAAAGGGCTCTACTTTATTTCCCATGAGCATGGGGGAAGCTGGGGTGAGAGAAGGCATTAAAAGCATAGTCAGCCAGGCACGGTGGCCCACGCCTGTAATCCCAGCACTTTGGGAGGCCAAGGCGGGCAGATCACGAGGTCAGGAGATCGAGACCATTATGGCTAACATGGTGAAACCCCATCTCTACTAAAAATACAAAAAATTAGCTGGGCGTGGTGGTGGGTGCCTGTAGTCCCAACTACTCGGGAGGCTGAGGCAGGAGAATGGCGTGAACTCGGGAGGCGGAGCTTGCAGTGAGCTGAGATCGCACCACTGCACTCCAGCCTGGATGACAGCGAGACTCCATCTCAAAAAAAAAAAAAAAAAAAAAAAAAATAGGCCGGGCACAGTGGCTCACGCCTGTAATCCCAGCACTTTGGGAGGCGGAGGCAGACGGATCACAAGGTCAAGAAATTGAGACCAACCTGGCCAACATGGTGAAACACTGTCTCTACTAAGAATACAAAAATTAGCCAGGCGTGGTGGTGTGCACCTGTAGTTCCAGCTACTTGGGAGTCTGAGGCAGGAGAATCGCTTGATCCCGGGACGTGGAGGTTGCAGTGAGCTGAGATGGCGCCACTGCACTCCAGCCTGGTGACAGAGCAAGACTCTGTCTAAATAAATAAATAAATAAATAAATAAATAAATAAAGGCATAGTCATAAACCATAACACCATACAGAAAGTAATCTTTAAAATGCAAAAACTGGCAATGATTTCTACTGTCCTGAGCAACATTCCCCAATTATTCTACACATTTCCCATATTCTGAAATGGTTTTCCCAAAGTGAACCTAAAACTTAGATTATTCCAAACTCTTTGCTATTAGTTTAGGGTTTGGTGGGAAAATGGGGGTGAGGTAGTTTTAAAGATCAAAGGCCAAGAGGGCTGAAATTGCTCAAGGTCATATTGCTAGTAAACAGTTGAGACTGGATTTAAACCCAGTTCTCCCTGAGTCCTGAGCCTGGACTTTTAATCAATATATTGTCAAACTAAAAGATTGCTGTTGAGAAAATATGTAAGTTCATAGTTTGTCATAATGGTTGCTGTTTCCATATACAAGCTTTTCTAGGCCCTGGATCCCATTATGAAATGATTTGCTAGACTGTGGGTGCTGTGGTTCTTCAGTAGTTGGCTTTTTTGTTCTCTGAATTGTTCACCACAGGGGTCTGGGATAGGAAAGAGCATTAGACCAGAGTTCATTTGCAGCACTGATATAATGACTTATTAAACACTTGCTTACTTCTTATCTGCTGTGATTGTTCCTTTGTTGTTGTTTTGCCTTTTTACTGCAACCTAAACAACATCTTTTCTGGCAAGGAAAAATGCCCTTTTAGATACTGATGACTGGTAGTTCAAATCCACATTCAGTGAGACAGACTATACTGATTAACTCACTCAAACTCCACCCAAAGTCCTCTCCTCCCCAGCAGTTTAACAAGGCCTTGTGACAAAGTTCTAACCTAAAACACATCAATGAAATTCCTGACTGTGGGAATTTGGGGAAACTTTGGATTTCCTCATAAACAAATCAACAAACATCTTGCCTTTACCACTGTGCTTTTTCCCCTCTCTGGCCTGGTAAAAGAACATGAGGCTGGAGGTGGAGTAGACATATTGCAATCATAAGACAAGCAAGAAGATCCTAAGGACTGTGGACTAACAAGATAGAAAGACTTCATTTTTATTGGTATTGTGGATGACTGGCCTTGGACTGCTTTTCTCTGCACATTGTGTAATATGAAACAAATAGCCCTTATTTCTTTAAGTCTTACCATTGGTTATATTTTATTATATTGATAGTTGAAGACAGTGCTCACTGATATATTTGAGAATTACTAGACCGAGAGATCCATAAAAAGAAAGATGATGTGTTCATAAAAAACGTGAAGCCTTAAGATTTTCCAAAACCTTATCCCTTTATTCTTCTGTTCCAACCAGCACTAGAATATTTTTATAGTTATTGAAAGCTTGCCATTTATGTCTATTCATCAATAACTGCTTAGAGATTTTACTTTCAGACACAAAATGAATGACCGCGGAAAACATTCATGCTTTTATTATAGATCTGCACCATCTTTCTTAACATTGGATTAGAACACCATGAAGTAATTTCTCTTTTAAAATGGATACATAATAGTTGTACATATTTTGAGGGTACACGTGATATTTTAATATATGCATACAATGTGTAATGATCAAATCAGGGTAACTGGGATATTAATCACCTCCAACATTTATCTTTTTATGGGAAGACTCCAGTTCTTCTCTTCCAGCTATTTTAAAATATACAATAAATTATTGTTAACTACAGTCACCCAACTGTACTATCAAACACTAACTCTTATTCCTTCTATCTAACTGTATTTTTGTTCCCATTAACTAACCACTCTCTATCCCCCCATACTCCCTACCTTTCCCAGACTCTGGTAACCACCAATATATCCTCTACCTCCATGAGATCCACTTTTTTAGTTCCCACAATGAGTGAGAACATGTGATATTTGTCTTTCTGTGCCTGGCTTATTTCACTTAACATAATGACCTTCAGTTCCATCCATATTGCTGCAAATGACAGAATTTCCTTCTTTTTTATGCCTAATCATATTCCATTGGGTACGTATACCACATTTTCTTTATCCATTCATCTGTTGATGAACACTTACAGTGACAGATACTCTTGGTCATTGTAAATAGTGCTGCAATAAACATGGGAGTGAGATATCTTTGGTATGCTGATTTCCTTTCTTTTGGATTTATACTCAGCAGTGAGATTGCTGGATCATATGGCAATTCTATTTTCAGTTGTTAGGAACCTCCACATTGTCTTCCATATCACTGTACTAATTTACATTCCCACCAACAGTGTATGAATGTTCCCCTTTCTCTGCATCCTCATAAGCATGTTATTTTTTGTCTTTCTGATAAAGGATGATATCTCATTGTGCTTTTGGTACGCATTTCCCTGATGATTCGTGATGTTGAACATGTTTTCATATACTTTTTGGCCATTTGAATGTCATTTTTTGAGAAATGTCTATTCAGATCTTTTGCCTATTTCAAAATCAAATTATTTGTTCTTTTTATGTTCTCTTTGCTATTAAGTTCCTTATATATTTGGGTTATTAATCCCTTTTCAGATGGGCAGTTTGCAAATATTTTCTCCTATTCTGTTGGTGGCCTCTTCACTTTGTTGACTGTTTTCTAATCCATGAGCATGGGCTATCTTTCCATTTTTTGTGTGTTCTCTTCAACTTCTTTCATCAGTGTTTCAGTCTTCCTTCTAGTGACCTTTCACTTCTTTGGTTAAATTTATTCCTAGATATTTTATATTTTTTGCAACTATTGTAAATGGGATTGCTTTCTTGATTTCTTTTCAAAATTATTTGCTGTTGGCATATATAAATGCTACCGATTTTAATATGCCGATTTTTTTATCCTGCAACTTTACTGAATTTGATTATCAGTTCTAACAGTTTTTTGGTGGAGTCTTTACGTTTTTCTAAATATAATATTAGGTTGGGCGCAGTGGCTCCTGCCTGTAATCCCAGCACTTTGGGAGGCTGAGGCAGGAGGATTGTTTGAGCCCAGGAATTCGAGACTAGCCTGGGTGACATGGCAAAACTCCATCTCTACAAATAAAATAATAACAATAATAATAATAATTAAAATTAAAAATATAATATCATGTCCTCTGTGAACAAGAATAATTTGACTTCCTCCTTCCCAATTTGGATACCCTTTCTTTCTTTCACGTAGTTGCTCTGGCTAGGACTTCCAGTACTATGTTGAATAAAAGTGGTGAAAGTGGGCATCCTTGCCTTATTCCTAATCTTAGAGGAAAGGCTTTCAATTTTTCTTCATTCAGTACGACGTTAGTTGTGGGTTCACCATATACAGTCTTTATTTTTTGAGGTTTGTTCCTTCTATACCCAAATTGTTGAGGGTTTTTTTTTTATCATAAAAGCATGTTGAATTTTATTAAATGCTTTTTCAGCATCTATTGAAATGTTCATACGGTTGTCTTTGATTTTGTTGATGAGATGTATTATGTTTATTTATTTGTGTATGTTGAACCATCTTTGCATCCCTGGGATGAATCCTACTTGATCATGGAGAATGATCTTTTTACCATGTTGTTGTATTCTGTTTGCTAGTATTTTATCGAAGATTTTTGCATCTATATTAATCAGGGATATTAGCCTGTGGTTTTCATGTTGTCCCCTTGTCTGGTTTTAGTATCGGGATAATGCTGGCCTCATAGAACAAGTTTGAAAATATTCCCTCCTCTTCAATTTCTTGGAATAGTTTCAATAGAATTGGTATTAATTATTCTTTAAATATTTGGTAGAAGTCAGCAGTGAAGCCATCAGGTCTGGCTTTCCTTTAATGGGTCACTTTATATTACTGCTTTAATCTCATTACTTGCTATGGGTGTATTTGGGTTTTCTATTTCTTCATGGTTCAATCTTGATAGGCTTCATGTATCTAGGAATGTATCCATTTCTTCTATGTTTTCCAATTTGTTGGCATAGATGTTCACAATACTCTCTAATGATCCTTGGTATCTCTGTGGTATCAGTTGCAATGTCTCATGTTTTGTCTCTGATTTTATTTGGGTCTTCTTTTTTTCTTAGTCTAACTAAAGATTTGCCCATTTTATCTTTTCAAAAAAACAACTTTTTATTGTGTTGATCATTTGCATTTTTTCAGTCTTAATTTATTTCTGCCCTGATCTTCATTATTTCCTGTCTTTTACTAATTTGGGGTTTGGTTTGTTCTTGATTTTCCAGTTTCTTGAGGTGGATCATTAGGTTATTTATTTGAAATGTTTCTATTTTTTTGATATAGGCATTTATTGCTATAAACTTCCCTCTTAGCTCTGATTTTGCTGTATCCCATAGATTTTGGTATGTTGTTTTGGTGTGTTTTTATTTTCATTTTTTTAACTTAAGATATTTAAAAATTTTCATCTTAATTTCTTCACTGACCAATTAATTACTCAGGAGTATGTTGGTCAATTTCCATGTGTTTGTATAGTTTCCAAAGTCATGTTCAGGCTGGGCATGGTGGCTCACACCTGTAATCCAATCCCAACACTTTGAAAGGCCAAGGCAGGAGGATTGCTAATACAGGAGTTAGAGACCAGTCTGGCCAACAGAGCAAGACCCTTACTCTATTTTTTCAATTAAAAAACAATGAATGAATTTTTAAAAAACAATAAAAAACCAAAGTTGCTTTTGTTGTTTATTTCTAGTTTTATTCCATTGTGATCAGAAAAGATACTTGATTTAATGTCAAGTTTCTGAATTTGTTGAGACTTGGTTTATGTCCTAACATATGGTCTATCCTGGAGAATGCTTTACATGCTAAAGAAAACATTGTATATTCTGCAGCAGTGAGATGAAATGTTCTGTAAATGTCAGTTAGGTCCATTGGTCTAGGGCATAATATCACTCCAATGTTCCTTTGTTGATTTTCTGTCGGCATGATTTGTCCATTACTCAGAGTGGGGTGTTGAAGTCCCCTACTATTATTGTATTGCAATCTAGCTCTCCCTTTAGATCTATTAATGTTTGCTTTACATATCTGAATGCTCCAATATTGGATGCACATATATTTACAATTGTTATATCTTCTTACTGAGTTGCTCCTATATCATTATACAGTGACCTTCTTTGTCTCTTTTTACAGTCTTTGACTTGCATCTATTATATCTGATATAAGCATAGCTACTCCTGCTCTTTTTTGGTTTCCAATTACGTGAAATATTGTTTTGTCGTTGCTGTTGTTTTTGGACAGGGTCTCACTCTGTTACCCAGGCTGGAGTGCAGTGGCACAATCATGGCTCACTGAAGCCTCAACCTCCTGGGATCAACCAATCCTCCCACCTCAGCCTCCTGAGTAGCTGGGACTACAGGCACATCCCACCACACCCAGTTCTATATATATATTTTTTTTTGATTTTTTTTTTGTAGAGACAGGGTTTCACCATGTTGCCCAGGCTGGTCTCAAACTCCCAGGTTCAAGTGATCCACCTGCCTCAGCATCCCAAAGTGCTAGGGTTACTGGCTTGAGCCACAATGCCTGGCCTGGAATATCTTTTCCTATCACTTTGCCTTCAGTCTATATGTGCCTATATGTGAAATAGGTTTCTTGTAGGCAGTATATATCTGGGTCTTTAAAACAAAAATCTATTCAGCCACTCATTGTCTTTTAATTGGAGAATTTAGTCCATTTATATTAAATGTTATTATTGATAGGTACGATGGTTAATATTAGGTGTCAACTTGACTGGATTGAGGGATGCCTAGACGACTGGTAAAGTATTGTTTCTAATTGTGTTTGTGAGAGTGTTGCCAGGGGAGATTGATATTTGTTTCAGTGGACTGGGTGAGGAAGACTCACCCTCAATGTGGGTCACATCCTATTGGCTGCCAGCATAGCTAGAACAAAGCAGGCAGAAGGAGGTGGGATAAATTTGTTTGCTGCATCTTGTGGTTCTCTTTCTTCTTCCCTGCTGGACACTTGCTTCCTCTCTTCCTGCCCTTGGACATCAGACTCCAGGTACTTTGGCCTTTGGACTCCGGGAATTTCACCAGTGGCTTCCTGGGGGCTCTTGGGCCTTTGGCCACAGAATGAGGGCTGTACTGTCAGCTTCCCTAGTTCTGAGGCTTTTGGACTTGGACTGAGACACTATTAGCTTCTCTCTTTCCCCAGCTTGCAGATAGCCTATTGTGGGACTTGTAATCATGAGAACCAGTTCTCCCTAATAAACTCCCTTTTATATATCCATATATCCTATTGGTTCGGTCCCACTGGAGGGCCCTAACTAATACAATAGGTAAGGACTGACTACTGCCATTCTGTTACTTGTCTTCTGGTTGTTTTGAAACTCCTCTCCTTTCTTCCTTTTTTACTGTCTTCCTTTGTGCTTTGTCTGAATACTTACTTTTCTCTGGTGGTAATGTTTGAATTCATTGCTCTTTATTTTGAGTGTATCTATTACAGGTTTTAGTTGTGTCATTACCATGAGAATTACAAAAAAAATCTTATAGAAATGGCAAGTTTTTTTAAACAGATTACAACTGAATTTTGATCACAAAGAAACAAAGTAAAAAACTTTAAAACTCTACACTTTAACTCAATCTACCACTTTTTTTTGTTGTCTGAATTCACATAATTTTATATTGTCTATATCTTAACAAGTTGCTATAGTTATTATTTTCAATAGATTTATTTTTTAGGCTTCATACTAGAGATGAGTTGATTATACACCATGACACACTATTAGAAGATTTTGAATTTGTCTGAATACTTACTTTTGCCAGTGAGTTCTATACCTTCAACTGTTTTCTTTTTGCACATTAGTGTACTTTTCTTTCAGATTGAAGAACTCCCTTTAGCATTTCTTGTTAAGATGCCTTTGGTGTTGATGAATTCTTTAAGCTTTTGTTTGCCTGGGAAAGACTATCTCTCCTACATATTTGAAAGAAAGCTTTGTTGAATGTAGTATTCTCATTTAGCAGTTTTTCTACTTCAGCAATTTGAACATGTTGTCCCACTCCCTCCTGGCCTATACGGTTTCCACTGTTTGCTGTTTCCAGACAAATCAGACCTCTTTTATGGTTATTTCCTTCTTTTTTCTTGCTGCTTTTAGAATCCTCTTTGACCCTGACCTTTAAGAGTTTATTACATGTCTTGGGGTAGTCTTAATTGTGTTGAATCTATTTGGTGATCTCTGACCTTCCTGACTCAGATATTTATATCTTTCTCTAGGTTTCAAAAGTTTTCTGTTATTATTTCTTTAAATAATCTTTCTAACCATTGCTCTTTCTCAACTCCCTTTGAATGCCAACCACTCTTAGATTTGCTCTTTAGAGGTTATTCTCTATATCTTGTAGGCATTCTTCATTCCTTTTCTTTCTTTAATTCTTTCTTTTCCTTTGCATATTTTCACATTGCCTGTCTTTGAACTCACTGATTCTTTTCTCTGCTTGATCCATTCTGCTATTGAGAGCCTCTAATGCATTTTTTAGCTCAGCAAATGCATTTCTCAGTTCCAGGATTTCTGTTTAAGTGTGTTTGTTGTTGTTGTTGTTGTTTTGGGGTTTTTTTTTTTTTTTTTTTTTTTTTTTGAGACAGACTCTCACTCTCTTGCCCAGGCTGGAGTGCAGTGGTGTGATCTCGGCTCACTGCAACCTCCACCTCCTGGGTTCAAGCAATTCTCCTGCCTCAGCCTCCTGAGTAGCTGGGATTACAGGTGCACGCCACCATACTGGCTAATTTTTACATTTTTAGTAGAGACAGGGTTTCACCATGTTGGTCAGGCTGGTCTCAAACTGCTGACCTCGTGATCCACCTGCCTTGGCCTCCCAAAGTGCTGGGATTACAGGTGTGAGCCCTTGCACCTGGCCATTTTTGTTTGTTTTGAGACAGAGTCTCACTCTGTGGCCCAGACTGGAATGCAGTGGCATGATCTCGGCTCACTGCAACCTCTGCCTCCTGGGTCCAAGTGATTCTTGTACCTCAGCCTCCTAAGTAGCTGGGATTACAGGCGTGTGCAACACCTGGCTAATTTTTTTATTTAGTAGAGATGGGGTTTTACCATGTTGGCCAGGCCAGTCTCAAACTTCTGACCTAAGGTAATCCACCCGCCTTGACCTCCTAAAGTGCTGGGATTACAGGCCTGAGCCACCATGCCCATCTCTTCTGTTTGAGTTTTTAAAACACTAAAAAGTTTTTAATCTCCTTGTTACATTTCTCTGATAAATTTATAAATTGCTTTTGTGTGTTATCTTGGAGTTCACTGAGTTTTCTTAGAACTGTTATTTTGAATTCTCAGTGTGAAAGCTCACACATTACCATCTTATTACTATCAATCACTAGCTCCTTGCTTTGTCTGTTTGGGAAGATCATGCTTCCCTGTTTGCTGTTTTTATGAATGTATACCTGTGGCTTTGCACTGAAGAATTAGTAATTTATTTCAGTCTTGCTGTCTAGCTTGTTCTGCTTTTTCTAAGATATGGTTGTTTGGAGGTTCTTTGCAGTTTGCCTGCTGAGTTCCATTAATGCTGGATTGCTACCTCCTTTTCAGCACTAGTGGTGCTGTAAGTCCATCCAGGTTTGCCTCAGTTCTCACAAACATTCAGAGTGTTGCCCATCATAGGCTGGCGGAGGAGGCCCCAGAGGGAACAGTCCAACTGTGTGAGAAGAACACTGGCTAGAGGTTTGTGCCCAGAGGACCCATGGAGTGTGCCTCTTACAGCATGGTGCTGCTGAACAGACACTCTGATTTAGTGTCTCCTTTGGCTAAGATAAAGAGAAGAATTTCAAGGGCTGGGGTTGCTCTTTGTCTCTAACTGCTCTCAGGGGTTTTTCTCCCTACAGGCACTCACTATGCTTCTTGTTCCTTCACAAGAACAGTTTTCCTGCAAAGAAACTCAAGACAGTGGGGAGGCTGGCTGGCTGCCTCAATTTCACTTTTTCCAGTGTGGAAATTGAGTTGCAGAGGAATTTTCTGCATGGTCCCTGGTAAATGAGAGGAGTGCATCACAGAGCAGTCCATTTCTCTTACTGTCTGCTGAGAGTTTTTCATTTCTTTGTACACCCAGGAATCAACTCAGCCTCAGACTTGAGTTCTGGGATACTGATGGTGATAATCCTGGTGCTCATTTTCAGAGGGGGAGAGTGAAGGCCAGACTGGTTCTACTCTGCCAGTTTGGAGACGTTACTCCTTCAACTAACTTGTTAATTTCTTAAATCTTATGATATATTCACTTACTTGATAAATATTTTACATATGCCTGTAAATCAAGGAACATAGTCCTAGACCTCCAGGTATGACTCAGTATAGGTCAACAACTGAGTACCTTGGTTAAGAGGCAACAAAAATTATATTGACAAATAATCTTGTATTTAAAGTTAATTATACAGCTTTCTGTCAACTACACTTCATTTACTCAGAACTGATATTAATAATGGCCCAAAAGTAGATAATATCACTACCTATGGCAGAAATTAAATAAAAGCATCTGATGTAAATACTGCACATTATATAGGCAAAATTTCTTGAGAACAGAAAAGGAAGCAAAAGTAGGTACAGAGGAAGGTACATTTGAAAAGAGGGTAGGGACATCAGAAAAACAGGATTGAGGAAGGAGGTAAGAAAGAAGGCTGAAGGAGTTCCTACCTGATGGCATATATTTTCTCAGTGAACAAGGACGGAAAGTAAAGGCAAAGAGCAGTGAAGAGGAGGATTTAGCATGATGAAAATTAAAGAGTTGTTTTAGTCTGCTTAGGCTGCCATAAAAAAAAAATACCATAGACTGGATTGCTTAAGCAACAGAAACATATCTCACAGTTCTGGAAGCTATGAAGTCCAAAATAAAGAAACTGGTCAATTCCTTTCTTGCTGTGGGCCCTCTTCCTGATTTGCAGAAAGCCACCTTCTCATTGCATCCTCATATGGCAGAGAGAGAGCTCTGGTGTTTCTTTCTCTTCTTAAAAGGGCGCCAGTTCTACTGGATTAGAGCCTCACCCTTTTGACCTCATTTAATTTTTCATCAACTCTCCACAGGCCCTATCTTCAAATATAGTACATTGAGGACCAGGGATTCAACATGTGAATTTTGAGGGGACACAACATTCAGTTCAGAATAAGAGTTTAGACAGACTCTGTAAGAAACTGAAAAAAAAAGAAGAGACCCATAGAAGGACAGTCAGAAACTATTATGGCTAAAGTTGGCTACCATGCAAGTTCAGAAAACTATAAACAGTCACCCACAAGGTAACTGGTACCAGGCTATCCTTCCCAATATAAAATATTAAAAATGGAAAAAATATATGAAACAACTGCTTTCAGATGTGGATAACAAGGCAGCACAGTATTGTGATCTCCAAAAGAAGGGAAAAAAATGACACAAGATCTATGATAGCCCAGGTTTACTACTTGGGGGCGTATATTAGCTACTTATGATAGAAGCGGTGCCAGATAGTCTCACTAAGCCAAGAAGACAGATCTTGGAGTTCAAGTTTGTTGAGGCTGCTGGAATTTTAGGGCAGAAAAGTGGGAGCTACACAGAATAAGAGCTTGAGAAATACACATATGGATCTTCTTGAGTCTTTGACCGTATTCTAAGCTGTGTATGCACAGAGTGAGACACCATGAAGCTGAACAAAAAATATCTACCAGGGACAAAACATATACCAGGGACCTGTAAGCTGAGTCACTAGTACAGTTCATACAGGATTGAGAAATTTATAAGTTAAAACAAACCAAAATGGAGACGTGTCATTGAATACTTGGGGCATTCAATAAAGACCCAGAAATGTCACATGATAGAAACAGAGATAAACTAACCTTAGTGTGAAAGTTACTCTAGATTTTCCCTTAAAATGCTTAAATATAAATGGAAAAGATTAAACTTATCTTCAACTAAATTAATTGACTACCAGAACAAAATTCAACTCTCTTCAAAGAAAGACAACATTTAGACACTCAACAATATAACCTATAAGATTATCCAACATATAATAAAAAATTACTAGATTTGTAAAGAAGCAGGAAAACGTGACAAATAACTAAGAGAGAAACCAAAAATAGAAACACACAGAGAAATTGCAAGGATAACAGAACTAGTAAACAGATTCTTTAAAATAGCTATTATAAAAATGTTCAAGGATACAAAGAAAAAAATGAACTTAAAAGAAGGGAAGTGGGATTTTAAAAATGAACCAAAGGAAACTTCTAGAGATCAATACAATATCTGTAATTTAAAAGTTCACTGGAAGAGCCTAATAGCAAATCAGACACTTGCATTTAAAAAATTACTAAACTTGAAGAAATAGCAATAACCGCTATTCAAAATGAAGCACAGAAAGAAAAACAAGGCTAAGAGAAAATGAACAGAAACTCAATGACCTATGGGACAATATTAAGTTATCTAAGTTATATAATATTTGTATAACTGGAGTCCCAAAAAGAGGAAGGAGACAGAAAAATAGCTGAGGAAATAATGGCTGAAAACTTTCTAAATTTGCTAAAAATATAAACCCACAGATCCAAGAAGCTCAATGAACTCCAAATAGGACAAGCATAAAGAAAATCACATAAAGGCACATCATAATCAAACTGCTGAAAAGTCAATGATAAAGAGAGAAATCTTAAAAGCAAGAAGAAAAAAAGACACACTACTTACAAAAGCAGAAAAAAAAAATTTAGCCCCTAACTGATTTAAAGCAATGCTAGCCAGAGGATGATGGAATTATATGTTAAAATAGAGTGAATAAACTTAAAAAAACCTGTCAGCCTAGAATTCTATAACTACAGGCAAAATGCTTTTTCAGAAAAATAAAACTGAGAAAACTTAGCACTAACAGACTTGTGCTTCAAGAAATGTTAAAGGGGGTTCTTTATGTTGAAGAAAAATAGCTCCAGATGAAAACTCAGATCTAAAGAAAAAGAGCACAAAAAATGAACAATTTGTGGAGAAATATAAAACAAGTTTTTCTGGGGTTTTAATTTCTTTAAAAAATAATTGAACCCCTTCCGTTACCCTTTTCCTTTCTCCTTCCCATAGAGTTCACATTCTACAGTCATTAGATTGGGCCAAGCAGAGTAGACATCCATGCCAGATGAAGGGTATGGGAGGAGCTGAAGTGGCCCAGGGCAGGTATATCAGAACAAGTGTGGAAAGGATATCCAATCAGTGGGCCATCCTGGCACAGGGTTTCGAGCTCAAGAAGGGTGAGGAGAGTGTCTCCCACGAGGAATGGCCCAGAGTGAAATATCAGAGCCCAAGTGGGAAAAGGAAGGCAATGAGGAGGCATGGCTTATTGTAGGGTATTGGAGCCCAAGGCTGGTGATAGATGGAGCCCAAGAAGAAGTCAACTGCCCAAATCCAAGTCCTGTACCACTGAGATGATGCCATGAGACCACGTCTATGGTCTTTCTAACAAAAACGCCTAACATTAGTCTACTCATGCAGATATTATACATAAAACAAGCCCAAATTGAGAGACATTCTACAATAAAACATCCCTAATCTTTATGTCAAGGTTATGAAAATTAAAGAAAGATTGAGGAACTATTCCAAACTGGAGGAGGCCAAGGAGACACGACAACCAATTGCAACATATGAACTGGACAGGGTCCTTTTGCTAGAACATTTTGGGACAACTGAAGACACCTGAATTGGGAGGATTTTGATGATCAACTGTAAAAGCATGCCCTGTTTATAGGAAATACATCAATAATATTCATGGCATCATGCTGGCAACTTACTCTCAAATTATTCAGGAAAAAATATTCTTTGTACTGTGTTTGCAACTTTCCTATAAGTTTGAGATTGCTAAAAATGAAAAATGTATGCTGGATAAAATATAATTGACTTTTTTTTTCTTTTGTGAGACAGAGACTCACTCTGTCATCCAGGCTAGAGTGCAGTGGTGCGATCTCAGCTCACTGCAATCTCCGCCTCCAGGGTTCAAGAGATTCTCCTGCCTCAGCCTCCCGAGTAGCTGGGACTATAGGTGCACACCAACACACCCGGCTAATTTTTGTATTTTTAGGAGAGACAGAGTTTCACCATGTTGGGCAGGCTGGTCTCAAACTCCTGACCTCAGGTGATCTGCCCACCTCGGCCTCCCAAAGTGCTGGGATTACAGGCGTGAGCCACCGCGCCCAGCTTATAATTGATTATTTAAAGCAAAAATAAATTATATTGTCGTTTATAAATCTATAAAAGCAAAATAAATGACAATAATAGCACAATACACAGGAGGGAGAAAATAAAAGCATACTCTTGTTAGGTCCTTTAATGTAAAGTGGCATAACATTATTTGAAGACAGTCCATGGTATTTAAAATGCATATTTTAAATCCTAGAGCAGTCACTGATAAACAAAGGAACATTAGCAGTCAAAGGCATAGGAGTTCACAGGAAAAAAAAAGATAGCTGCATGAGTGTAGGAAGGAGTGTGATATGGCTTAGAAAAATAACTAAGAATGACATATTAATATGACATTTAAAAAGACAAATAGGTGAGGGGCCAAGATGGCGAATTAGAAGCAGCTCATGTGCGCCACTCTCACCGAGAGAAAACAAAAGGGCTAGTGAACACTGACCCTGCAGGCCAACCATCTGAGAAACCACATTCAATCCATCAAGGCAGCAGGGGAACACAGATTGCAGAGAGGAATGAAGCTGGGGACCAGCCTGTCTGGGCTCAGCATGGAGCCAGGGGAACCACTACATGAGAAAGGGGGAGTGGGTGAGAGCCCCCAGGGGGATTCACACTGTTCACAAGGACTTGTGCAAGACTGGGAATGGGAGAATCCCCCTGGTTTCCCCCAACACCCTGCTATCACACTTTAGACTGAGGCAGAAAGCCAGTCAGACATTTTTGAGGGGCAACTCCTGAGTGCAAGGGGACCTCTACAAGGCTTGGGCCCTGGAGCAGACCAGCACCAGCACTATAGCCCCAGTAGAGGCTGCAGTAGCAGTATCTGGAAGCAGTAAAATTGTTCCACCCCTCCTTGCTGGACAGGGCTAGGCACCAGTTTCCAGCCCAGCAGTCCTGCTTCAGCCCTTAATGAGCCAGCCAGCCAGCCACTCAACCCAACTCTGCCACTTGCAGCCCGGTGGGCAACACTTGCTAGAGCTTGCAACCCAGTGGTCCCACTTTTGTGTGAACTCAGCTGGGGAGTGCAGTCTCCTACTGTCCTAGGAAACACCTGGACAGTAGACACCTGCCCCCACCACTGGTAGCCAGGCTGGCAATACCTGCTAGAGCTTGCAGCCCAGCAGCCCCACTTCTGTGTGAACTGAGCCAGAAGGCATAGCTTCCTGTTGGCCCAGGAAACACCTGGATGGCAGGCAGAGCCCATGACCCCGCCCACCCCACTACTGGTAACCGGGTGCCAGAGCTTCTAGCCCAGTGGCCCTGCTTCTGTATGAACTCGAATGGAGGGCATAGCTTCCTGTTGTCCCGGGAAATACCTGGATGGCAGAGTGTGCAACCCCACCCACCCCCGCCACTGGTAAACAGGCAGACAATGCCTGCTAGAGCTTTCAGCCCAGTGTTCCCACTCCTATGTGAACTTAGCTAGAGGGCAGAGCTTCCTGTTGTCCCAGGAAATACCCAGATGGCAGGGTGAGCGTCCCCAGCCACCACCACCACCAGCAGACAGGTAAGCCATGCCTGCTACAGCCTACAGACCAGCAGTCCTACTTCTGCTTGAATCTGCTGAGAAGTGCAGACTCCTATTGCCCTGGAAACACCTGGATGGCAGGGTGGGCAACTCCACCCACCCTTGCCTCTCATAGCCAGATGGGCCACACCCACTAGAGCTTCCAACCCAGCAGTACCACTTCTGCCTGAATTCTACCTCAGTCTATAGTGCAGTAGGGGGGTTTAGGGGGAAGCCAAGGTGATTCTGCCATTCCCAGTTTTGCATAGGTCCCTGTGGAGAGTATGAATCCCCCTGGGGGCACCCACCCACTCACTCTTTCCCATGTTCCAGTGGTTCTCCTGGCTCCATGCTGAGCCCAGACAGGCTGGTCCCCAGCTTCATTCCTCTCTACAATCTGTGTTCCCCAGCAATCTCATGTTTTCCCAGGAAGCACACAGACAGAAGATTAGGGCTGACCTGGCAAGGATATGGCTTATATGCCAACTGCAGCCCCTGCCTGATTCAGCCCTGTGCAACCGAACACCCAACAAAAGAAACATGGGCATGGAGAGAGTAATCGGAGGTGGGAGGTCCTCCAAGATTCAGGAGTGGATTAGAATCAAGGCCAGTCGACAGACCACCTTATTCTATAATCAAACCCCAAGGGCATCAAAGAAGAAAAAAGCAAAAAAAAAATCCATCCAAAGGACAGCAGTTTCAAAGATTCAAGAGACATCGGCCCACACAAATGAGAAAGAACCAGTGCAAGAACTCTGGCAATTCAAAAAGCCAGAGTGTCTTCTTACCTCCAAACAATTGCCCTAGTTCCCTAGCAATGATTCTTAACCAGGCTGAAATGGATGAGATGTCAGATGTAGAATAAAGAATAAGGATAGGAATGAAGATCATCAATATACCGGAGATAGTTAAAACCCAATCCAAGAAATCTAAGGAGTACAATAAAACAATACTGGAGGTGGTAGACCAAATGGCCATTATAAGAAAGAAACAGGCCAGGCGTGGTGGCTCACGCCTGTAATCCCAGCACTTTAGGAGGCCGAGGTGGGTGGATCACCTGAGGTCAAGAGTTCGAGACCAGCCTGGCCAACATGGTGAAACCCCATCTCTACTAAAAAATACAAAAAAAATTAGCCAGGTGTGGTGGCACATGCCTGTAATCCCAGCTACCTGGAGGCTGAGGCTGGAGAATCGCTTGAACCCGGGAGGCAGAGGTTGCAGTAAGGGAAGATAGCACCACTACACTCCAGCCTGGGAGACAGAGTAAGACTCTGTCTCAAAAAAAAAAAAAAAAGAAACAAACAAACTGATCTGATAGAGCTGAAAAACACAATAATGTACTTGTAAGTATTAACAGCAGAATCAACCAGGCTGAGGAAAGAATCTCAGTGGTTGAAAACTGGCTCTCCTAAATAATTCAGTCAGACGAAAATAAAGAAAAAAACAATAAAGGAGAATGAACAAAACCTCCAAGAAATATGGGATTATGTAAACAGACCAAATCTATGACTCACTGGCGTCCTTGAAAGAGAAAAGAGAGGGAGAGAAACCAAGGACCTTGGAAAACATATTTCAGGATATCGTCCATGAAAATTTCCCCAATCTTGCAGAGAGGACAACATTCAAATTCAGGAAATGCAGAGAACTCCTGAAAAATGCTACAAAAGAAGGCCATCCCAAGACACATAATCATCAGATTCTCCAAGGTCAAAATGAAAGAAAAAAGGCAGCTAGGGCCGGGCGCAGTGGCTCACGCCTGTAATCCCAGCACTTTGGGAGGCTGAGGCTGGTGGATCACCTGAGGTCAGGAGTTCGAGACTAGCCTGACCAACATGGAGAAACCCCGTCACTACTAAAAATACAAAATTAGCCGGGCGTGGTGGCACATGCTTGTAATCCCACCTACTCAGGAGGCTAAGGCAGGAGAATCGCTTGAACCCAGGAGGCGGAGATTGCAGTGAGCCGAGATTGTGCCATTGCACTCCAGCCTGGGTGACAGAGTGAAACTCCAACTCAAAAAAAAAAAAAAAAAAGGACAGCTAGAAAGAAAGGGCAGGTCATCTGCTAAGAGAACCCCATCAGGCTAACAGCAGACCTGTCGGCAGAAACCCTACAAGCCAGAAGAGATTGGGGGAGCCTATATTCAGCATTCTTAAAAAACATAATTTTCAACCAAGAACTTCATATGCAGCCAAGTTGTTTCCTAAACAACGGAGAAATAAAATACTTTTCAGACAAGCAAATGCTAAGGGAATTTCTTACCAACAGACATGCCTTACAAGAGGTCCTGAAGAAAGCACTGAATATGGAAAGGAAAGACCATTACCAGCCACTATAAAAAAACACTAAGTACATAGACAAGTGATACTCTAAAGCAGCCACACAAACAAGTCTGCATAACAACCAGCTAACAACATGATGACGGGATCAAATCCACATGTATCGATACTAATCTTGAATGTAAATGGGCTAAATGCCCCCATTTAAAAGGCACAGAGTGGAAAGCAAAACCCAATGGTATACTGTCTTAAAGAGACCCATCTCACATGCACTGGCACCTCTAGGCTTAAAGTAAAGGGATGGAGAAAAATTTACCAAGCAAAAAGAAAACATAAAAAGGCAGGGGCTGCTATTCTAATTCCATACAAAACAGACTTCAAACCAACAAAGATCAAGAAAAGATAAAGAAGGGCATTAAATAATGGTAAAGGACTCAATTCAACAAGAAGACCTATCTATCATAAATATCTATGCGCTCAACCCAGATTCATAAAGTCAGTTCCTAGGGACCTACAAAGAGACTTAGATAACTACACAATAATAGTGGGAGCCTTGAATACCCCCACTGACACTATTGAACAGATCATCGAGGCAGAAAACTAACGCAAGTATTCAGGACCTGAACTCAATGCTTGACCAAATATACCTAATATAAATCTACAGAACTTTCCATCTGAAAACAACAGAACATACATTCTTCACATCTGCACATGGCCCATACTCTAAAATCAACCACACATATTGGACATAAAACAATTCTCAGCAAACTCCCAAAAACCAAAATCATACCAACCAAGCTCACAGACAATGCAATAAATATAGAAATTAATGCTAAGAATATCAATCAAAAGCATACAATTACATGGAAATTAAACAACCTGCTCCTAAATGACTTCTGGATAAATAATGAAATTAAGGCAGAAATCAAGAAATTCTTTTAAACTAATGAGAAAAAAGATACAAGATATCAGAATTTCTGGGACACGGCCAAAGCACTGTTAAGAGGGAAGTTTATAGCACTAAACACCCACATCAAAAAGTTAGAAATATCTCAGATTAACAACCTAATATCACAACTAGAGGAATTAGAGAAACAAGAACAAACCAACCCCAAGACTAGCAGAAGACAAAAAATAACAAAAGTCAGAGACGAACTAAAGGAAATTAAGAGGCAAAAAAAAACCATACAAAAATCAATAAATCCAGGAGCTTTTTCTTTGAAAGAAGTAATAATACAAGGTAGACTGGTAGATAAACTAATTTTAAAAAACAGAGAAGATCCAAATAAACACAATCAGAAATGGCAAAGGGTGTATTACCACTGACCCCCCAGAAATACAAAAAACCCTCAGAGATTATTATGAACACTTCTATACACACAAGTTAGAAAACCTAAAAGAAATGGATAAATTCCTGGAAACATACAACCTCCAAAGATTGAACGAGGAAGAGATTAAATCCCTGTACAGACTAATATTGAGTTCCAAAATCAAATGAATAAGTCATGACAGTAAGATTATAAAAAGGCCAGGCATAGTGGCCTTTCTATACCAGAAAAATACAAAAATTAGCCAGGCATAGTGGCACATGCCTGTAGTTCCAGCTACTTGGAGGCTGAGGTGGGAGGATTGCTTGAGTCTGGGAGGTTGAGGCTGCAGTGAGCCATGATCACACTACTGCACTCCAGCCTGGGTGACAGAGCAAGACCCTGTCTCAAACAAAAAAATCAAATCAGTAATAAAAGCCTACCAAACAGAAAAAGCCCATGACCAGATGGATTCACAGCTGAATTCTATCAGATGTATAATGAAGAGCTGGTACCATTCTCACTGAAATTATTCTAAAAAATTGAGGAGGAGGAATGCCTCCCTAACTCATTCTATGAGGCCAACATTATCCTGATACCAAAACCTGGCAGAGATACAACAGAAAAAGAAAACTTCAGGCCAATATCCTTGATGAATATGGATGCAAAAATCCTCAAGAAAATACTAGCAAACTGGGCCGGGCGCGGTGGCTCACGCCTGTACTCCCAGCACTTTGGGAGGCCGAGGCGGGTGGATCATGAGGTCAGGAGATCGAGACCATCCTGGCTAACACAGTGAAACCCCGTCTCTACTAAAAATACAAAAAATTAGCCGGGCAAGGTAGCGGGCGCCTGTAGTCCCAGCTACTTGGGAGGCTGAGGCAGGAGAATGGCATGAACCCCGGGGGGCGGAGCCTGCAGTGAGCCGAGATCACGCCACTGCACTCCAGCCTGGGCGACAGGGAGACTCCGTCTCAAAAAAAAAAAAAAAAAAAAAAAAAAGAAAATACTAGCAAACTGAATCCAGCAGCACATCAAAAAGCTTTTCCACCATGGTCAAGTAGGCTTCCTCCCTAAGATGCAAGGTTGGTTCAACACATGCAAATCAATAAATGTGATACACCACAAAAACAGAACTAAAAACAACCACACAATCATCTCAATAGATGCAGAAAAGGCTTTCAATAAAATTCAACATCTCTTCATGTTAAAAACCCTCAAGAAACTAGGCACTGAAGGAACATACCTCAAATAATAAGAGCCATTTATGAAAAACCCACAGCCAACATCCTACTGAATGGGCAAAAGCTGAAGGCATTCCCCTTGAAAACCAGAACAAGACAAGGATGCCCTCTCTCATCACTCCTATTCAACACAGTACTGAAAGTCCTAGCAAGAGAAATCAGGCAATAGAAAGAAATAAAAGATGCTCAAAGGAAGAGAGAAAGTCAAACTCCCTGTTTGCAGACAATATGATTCTATACCTAGAAAACCCCACAGTCTCTGCCCAAAAGTTCTTTGATCTGACAAACAACTTCAACAAAGTTTCAGGATACAAAATCACTGTACTAGCTGTGCACAGTGGCTCATGGCGGTAATCCCAGCACTTTGGGAGGCTGAGGCAGGTAGATCACTTGAGACCAGGAGTTTGGACCAGCCTGGCCAATATAGCTAAACCCCGTCTCTACTAAAAATACAAAAACTAGCTGGGTTTGGTGGCCCATGCCTGTAATTCCAGTTATTTGGGTGGTTGAGGCATGAGAATTGCTTGAACCCGGGAAGCAGAGGTTGCAGTAAGTCCAAGTCACACCACTGCACTCCAGCCTGGGTAACAGAGTGAGACTCTCATCTCAAAAAAAAAAAAAAAGCAATGTACAAAAATCAGTAGTATTCCTATACACCAACAACATACACACTGTGAGCCAAATTAAGAATTCAATTTCATTCACAATAGCCACAAAAAAGAATAAAATAAACAGGAATACAGCTCTAACCAGCTATAACCAAGGAGGTGAAAGACCTCTACAACAAGATTTACAAAACACTGCAAGAAAGAAAACAGAGATGACACAAACAAATGGATAAACAATCCATGCTCATGGATAGGAAGAATCAATATTGTTAAAATGGCCATACTGCCCAAAGCAATTTACAGATTCAATGCTATTCTTATCAAACTACCAATGACATTTTTCACAGAATTAGAAAAAAACTATTTTAAAATTCATATGGAACCACAAAAGGGTCCAAATAGCCAAGGTAATCCTAAGTGAAAAGAACAATGCTGGAGACATCACATTACCCAACTTCAAACTACACTATAAGGCTATGGTAACCAAAACAACATGGTTCCGTTACAAAAACAGAAATGTGGGGGGGGTGGGGGGAGGTTCCAAGATGGCCGAATAGGAACAGCTCCTATCTATAGCTCCCAGGGTGAGTGACGCAGAAGACGGGTGATTTCTGCACTTCCAACTGAGGTACTGGGTTCATCTCACTAACCGAGGTACCAGGTTCATCTCACTGGGGCTTGTCGGACAGTTGGTGCAGCCCACCGAGCGAGAGCCGAAGCAGGGCAAGGCATGGTCTCACCCGGGAAGCATAAGGGGTCAGGGAATTCCCTTTCCTAGCCAAGGGAAGGGGTGACAGACGGCACCTGGAAAATCGGGTCACTCCCACCCTAATACTGTGCTTTTCCAACGGTCTTAGTAAATGGCACACCAGGAGATTATATCCCGCGCCTGGCTCGGAGGGTCCCACACCCATGGAGCCTCCCTCATTGCTCGCACAGCAGTCTGAGATCAAACTGCAAGGCGGCAGTGAGACTGGGGGAGGGGCGCCCGCCATTGCTGAGGCTTGAGTAGGTAAACAAAGTGGCCTGGAAGCTCGAACTGGGTAGAGCCCACCACAGCTCCAGGAGGCCTACCTGCCTCTGTAGACTCCACCTCTAGGGGCAGGGCATAGCCGAACAAAAGGCAGCAGAAACCTCTGCAGACTTAAACGTCCCTGTCTGACAGCTTTGAAGAGAGTAGTGGTTCTCCCAGCATGGAGTTTGAGATCTGAGAACAGACAGACTGCCTCGTCAAGTGGGTCCCTGACCTCCGAGTAGCCTAACTGGGAGGCATCTCCCAGTAGAGGCAGACTGACACTTCACACGGCTGGGTACCCCTCTGAGACGAAGCTTCCAGAGGAATGATCAGGCAGAAACATTTGCTGTTCAGCAATATTTGCTGTTCTGCAGCCTCTGCTGGTGATACCCAGGCAAACAGTGTCTGGAGTGGACCTCCAGCAAACTCCAACAGACCTGCAGCTGAGGGTCCTGACTGTCAGAAGGAAAATTAACAAACAGAAAGGACATCCATACAAAAACCCCATCTGTACGTCACCATCATCAAAGACCAAAGGCAGATAAAACCACAAAGACGGGGAAAAAACAGAGCAGAAAAGCTGAAAATTCTAAAAATCAGAGCACCTCTCCCCCTCCAAAGGAATGCAGCTCCTCGCCAGGAACAGAACAAAGCTAGATGGAGAATGACTTTGACAAGTTGAGAGAAGAAGGCTTCAGACGATCAAACTTCTCCAAGCTAAAGAGGAAGTTCGAACCCATCGTAAAGACGCTAAAAACCTTGAAAAAAGATTAGATGAATAGCTAACTAGAATAACTAGTGTAGAGAAGTCCTTAAATGATCTGATGGAGCTTAAAACCATGACACGAGAAATATGTGACACATGCATAAGCTTCAGTAGCTGATTCCATCAAGTGGAAGAAAGGGTATCAGTGATTGAAGATCAAATGAATGAAATGAAGTGAGAAGACAAGTTTAGAGAAAAAAAAGAGTAAAAAGAAATGAACAAAGCCTCCAAGAAATATGGGATTATGTGAAAAGACCAAACCTAGTTCTGATTGGTGTACCTGAAAGTGACAGGGAGAAGAATCAAGTTGGAAAACACTCTTTGGGATATTATCCAGGAGAACTTCCCCAATCTAGCAAGGCAGGCCAACATTCAAATTCAGGAAATACCGAGAACGCCACAAAGATACTCCTCGAGAAGAGCAACTCCAAGACACATAATTGTCAGATTCACCAAAGTTGAAATGAAGGAAAAAATGTTAAGGGCAGCCAGAAAGAAAGGTCAGGTTACCCACAAAGGGAATCCCATCAGAATAACAGCGGATCTCTTGGCAGAAATTCTACAAGCCAGAAGAGAGTGGGGGCCAATATTCAAAATTCTTAAAGAAAAGAATTTTCAACCCAGAATTTCATATCCAGCCAAACTAAGCTTCATAAGTGAAGGAGAAATAAAATCCTTTACAGACAAGCAAATACTGAGAGATTTTGTCACCACTAGGCCTGCCTTACAAGAGCTCCTGAAGGAAGCACTAAACACGGAAAGGAACAACCGGTACCAGCCACTGCAAAAACATGCCAAATTGGAAAAACCATCGATGTTAGAAAGAAACTGCATCAACTAATGAGCAAAATAACCAGCTAACATCATAATGACAGGATCAAATTCACACATAACATATTAACCTTAAATGTAAATGGGCTAAATGCTCCAATTAAAAGACACAGACTGGCAAATTGGATAAAGACTCAAGACCCATCAGTGTGCTGTATTCAGGAAACCAATTTCACATGCAGAGGCACACATAGGCTCAAAATAAAGGGATGGAGGAAGATCTACCAAGCAAATGGAAAACAAAAAAACAAGCAAGGGTTGCAATCCTAGTCTCTGATAAAACAGACTTTAAACCAACGAAGATCAAAAGAGACAAAGAAGGCCATTACATAATGGTCAAGGGATCAATTCAACAAGAAGAGATAACTATACTAAATATGTATGCATCCAATACAGGAGCACCCAGATTCATAAAGCAAGTCCTTAGAGACCTACAAAGAGACTTAGACTCCCACACAATAATAATGGGAGACTTTAACACCCCACTGTCAACATTAGACAGATCGAGACAGAAAGTTAACAAGGATATCCAGGAATTGAACTCAGCTCTGCACCAAGCAGACCTAATACACATCTACAGAACTCTCCACCCCAAATCAACAGAATATACATTCTTCGCAGCACCACATAGCACTTATTCCAAAATTGATCACATAGTTGGAAGTAAAGCACTCCTCAGGAAATGTAAAAGAACAGAAATTATAACAAACTGTCTCTCAGACCACAGTGCAATCAAACTAGAACTCAGGATTAAGAAACTCACTCAAAACCGCTCAACTACATGGAAACTGAATAACCTGCTTCTGAATGACTACTGGGTACATAATGAAATGAAGGCAGAAACAAAGATGTTCTTTGAAACCAATGAGAACAAAGAGACAACATACCGGAATGTCTGGGACACATTTAAAGCAGTGAGTAGAGGGAAATTTATAGCACTAAATGCCCACAAGAGAAAGCAGGAAAGATCTAAAATTGACACCCTAACATCACAATTAAAAGAACTAGAAAAGCAAGAGCAAACATATTCAAAAGCTAGCAGAAGGCAAGAAATAACTAAGATCAGAGCAGAACTGAAGGAGATAGAGACACAAAAATCCCTTCAAAAAATCAATGAATCCAGGAGCTGGTTTTTTGAAAAGACTAACAAAATTGACAGACGGATAGCAAGACTCATAAAGAAGAAAAGAGGGAAGAATCAAATAGACACAATAAAAAATGATAAAAGGGTTATCACCACTGATCCCACAGAAATACAAACTACCATCAGAGAATACTATAAACACCTCTATGCAAATAAACTAGAAAATCTAGAAGAAATGGATAAATTCCTGGACACATACACCCTCCCAAGACTAAACCAGAAGATGTTGAATCCCTGAATAGACCAATAACAGGCTCTGAAACTGAGGCAATAATTAAAAGCCTACCAACCAAAGAAAAGGCCAGGACCAGATAGATTCACAGCCGAATTCTACCAGAGGTACAAGGAGGAGCTGGTACCATTCCTTCTGAAACTATTCCAATCAACAGAAAAAGAGGGAACAACCCCTAACTCATTTTATGAGGCCAGCATCATCCTGATACGAAAGCCTGGCAGAGACACAACAAAAAAAGAGAACTTTAGATCAATATCCCTGATGAATATCCATGCAAAAATCCTCAATAAAATACTGGCAAACCGAATCCAGCAGCATATCAAAAAGCTTATCCACCATGATCAAGTGGGCTTCATCCCTGGGATGCAAGGCTGGTTCAACATATGCAAATCAATAAACATAGTCCAGCATATAAACAGAACCAAAGGCAAAAACCACATGATTATCTCAATAGATACAGAAAAGGCCTTTGACAAAATTCAACAACCCTTCGTGCTAAAAATTCTCTATAAATTAGTTATTGATGGGACGTACCTAAAAATAATAAGAGCTATTTATGACAAACCCACAGCCAATATCATAATGAATGAGCAAAAACTGGAAGCATTCCCTTTGAAAACTAGCACAAGACAAGGATGTCCTCTCTCACCACTCCGATTCAACATAGCGTTGGAAGTTCTGGCCAGGGCAATCAGGCAAGAGAAAGAAATAAAGGGTATTCAATTAAGAAAAGAGGAAGTCAAATTGTCCCTGTTTGCAGATGACCAGATGACATGATTGTATATTTAGAAAACCCCATCGTCTCAGCCCAAAATCTCCTTAAGCTGATAAGCAACTTCAGCAAAGTCTCAGGATACAAAATCAATGTGCAAAAAACACAAGCATTCCTATACACAAATAATAGACAAACAGAGAGCCAAATCATGAGTGAACTTCCATTCACAATTGCTTCAAAGAGAATAAAATACCTAGGAATCCAACTTACAAGAAATGTGAAGGACCTCTTCGAGGAGAACTACAAACCTCTGCTCAACACAATAAAAGAGAACACAAACAAATGGAAAACAATTCCATGCTCATGGATAGGAAGAATCAATATCGTGAAAATGGCCATACTACCCAAGGTAATTTATAGATTCAATGCTATCCCCATCAAGCTACCACTGACTTTCTTCACAGATTGGAAAAAACTACTTTAAAGTTCGTATGGAACCAAAAAAGAGCCCACATTGCCAAGACAATCCTAAGCAAAAAGAACAAAGCTGGAGGCATCATGCTACCTGACTTCAAACTATACTACAAAGCTACAGTAACCAAAACAGCATGGTACTGGTACCAAAACAGAGATATAGACCAATGGAACAGAACAGAGCCCTCAGAAATAATGCCGCATATCTACAACCATCTGATCTTTGACAAACCTGACAAAAACAAGAAATGGGGAAAGGATTCCCTATTTAATAAATGGTGCTGGAAAAACTGGCTAGCCATATGTAGAAAGCTGAAGCTGGATCCCTTCCTTACACCTTATACAAAAATTAATTCAAGATGAATTAAAGACTTAAATGTTAGACCTAAAACCATAAAAACCCTAGAAGAAAACCTAGGCAATACCATTCAGGACATAGGCATGGGCAAGGACTTCATGTCTAAAACACTAAAAGCAATGACACCAAAAGCCAAAATTGACAAATGGGATCTAATTAAACTGAAGAGTTTCTGCACAGCAAAAAAAACTACCATCAGAGTGAACAGGCAACCTACAGAATGGGAGAAAATTTTTGCAATCTACTGATCTGGCAAAGGGCTAATATCCAGAATCTACAAAGAACTTAAACAAATTTGCAAGAAAAAATCAAACAACCCCATCAAAAATGGGCAAAGGATATGAACAGACACTTCTCAAAAGAAGACATTTATGCAGCCAACAGACACATGAAAAAATGCTCATCATCCCTGGCCATCAGAGAAATGCAAATCAAAACCACCATGAGATACCATCTCATACCAGTTAGAATGGTGATCATTAAAAAGTCAGGACACAAGTGCTGGAGAGGATGTGGAGAAATAGTAACACTTTTACACCGTTGGTGGGACTGTAAACTAGTACAACGATTGTGGAAGTCAGTGTGGTGATTCCTCAAGGATCTAGAACTAGAATTACCATTTGACCCAGCCATCCCATTACTGAGTATATACCCAAAGGATTATAAATCATGCTGCTATAAAGACACATGCACACGTATGTTTATTGCGGCACTAGTCACAATAGCAAAGACTTGGAACCAACCCAAATGTCCAACAATGATAGACTGGATTAAGAAAATGTGGCACATATATACCATGGAATACTATGCAGCCATAAAAAATGATGAGTTCATGTCCTTTGTAGGGACATGGATGAAGCTGGAAACCATCATTCTCAGCAAATTATCACAAGGACAGAAAACCAAACACCGCATGTTCTTACTCATAGGTGGGAATGGAACAATGAGAACACATGGACACAGGATGGGGAACACCACACACCAGGGCCTGTAGTGGGGTGGGGGGAGGGGTGAGGGATAGCATTAGGAGATATACCTAATGTAAATGACGAGTTAATGCGTGCAGCACACCAACATGGCACATGTATACATATGTAACAAACCTGCACGTTGTGCACATGTACCCTAGAACTTAAAGTATAAAAAAAAAAACCAGAAATATAGACTAATGGAACAGAATAAAGAGCCCAGAAATAATGCCACACATCTACACAATCAAGAAAAACAAGCAACAGGGAAAGAACTCTTCATTCAATAAATGATACTGGGATAACTGGCTAGCCACACGCGGAATATTGAAACTGGACCACTTCCTTACACCATATACAAAAATCAACTCAATATAGATGCAAGACTTAAATGTAAAACTTAAAACTATAACAACCCTGGAAGATAACCTAGGAAATACCATTCTGGGCATAGAACTTGGCAAAAATTTCATTATGAAGATGCCAAAAGCAATTGCAACAAAAACAAAAATTAACAAATGGGGCCTAATTAAACAAAAGAACTTCTAGCAGCAAAAGAAACTATCAACAGAATAAACAGACAACCTATAGAATGGTATAAAACATTTGTGAACTATACATCCAACAGAAGTCTAATATCCACAATCTATAAGGATCTTAAACAAATTTACAAGAAAAAAACACCACCATTAGCCAGGCACGGTGGCTCATGCCTGTAATCCCAGCACTTTGGGAGGCCGAGGCGGGTGGATCACGAGGTCAGGAGATCGAGACCATCCTGGCTAACACGGTGAAACCCCGCCTCTACTAAAAATACAAAAAATTAGCCGGGCGTGGTGGCGGGCACCTGTGGTCCCAGCTACTCAGGAGGCTGAGGCAGGAGAATGCCGTGAAACCGGGAGGTGGAGCCTGCAGTGAGCTGAGATCGCGCCACTGCACTCCAGCCTGAGCGACAGAATGAGACTCCGTCTCAAACAAAACAAAACAAAACAGAACAAAACAAAAAAAAATACCATTAAAAGAGTGGTGAAAACAGACAAACAAACACTTCTTAGAAGACATACAGGCAACCAATGAGCATATGAAAAAATGCTCAACATCACTAATCATTAGAGAAATGTAAATCTCACACCAGTTAGAATGGCTATTATTAAAAAGTCAGAAAATAACAGATACTGGCAAGGTTACAGAGAAAAGGAAATGCTTACACACTGCTGGTGGGAATGTAAATTAGCTCAGCCATTGTGGAAAGCAGTTTGGCCATTTCTCAAAGAACATAAAACAGAATTGCCATTCAACCCAACAATCCCATTATTGGGTATATGCCCAAAGGAATATAAATCATTCTACCATAAAGACACATGCATGCATATGCACATCACAGCACTATTCACAATAGCAAAGATATGAAATCAACCTAAATGCCCATCAACAGTAGACTGGATTTTTTAAAATGTGGTATATATATACATTGAAATACTATGCAGCCATAAAAAAGAATGAGATCATGTCCTTTGCAGCAACATGGACGGAGTTGGAGACCATTATCCTAGGCAAACTAACACAGAGACAGAAAACCAAATACTACACATTCTCACTTACAAGTGGAAGCTAAACTTCTGAGTACATATGGACACAAAGAAAGGAAGAACAGACACCAGGATCTACTTGAGGGTGGAGGTGGGAGGATGGTGAGGATTGGAGAAGTATCTATTGAATGCTAGGCTTATAACCTGGGTGACAAAATATACACCAAATTCCTATGACACGCAATTTACCTACATATAACAAACCTTCACATGTACTCCCTCAACCTAAAATAAAAGTTAAAAAGAGAGAGAGAGAGAGAGAGAGAGAGAGAGAGAGAGAGAGAGAGAGAGAGAAATAATTAGGGCAAGGATGACAGACTTTATTACATAAAGCTTTAAAATTTCTGTCATCAGCCGGGTGTGGTGGTTCATGCCTGTAATCCCAGCACTTTGGGAGGCCAAGGTGGGTGGATCACCTGAGGTCAGGAGTTTAAGACCAGCCTGGCCAATATGGTGAAACCCCATCTCTACTAAAAATACAAAAAATTAGCTGGGCGTAGTGGTGGGCACCTGTAATCCCAGCTACCTGGAGGCTGAGGCTGGAGAATCGCTTGAACCCAGGAGGCGGAGGTTGCAGTGAGCTGAGATTGCACCAATGCACTTCCAGCCTGGGCAACAAGAGCGAAACTCCATCTCAAAAAAAAAAAAAAAAAAAAAAAATTCTGTCACCAGAAGACTCCACAAGCAAAACTGAAAGCAAACATCAAGTGTGGGGGAAAAAAATCTCCAAATATATTCCAAAGGGCTAATATTGCCAATATAAAGAGCTACTACAAACCAGTAAGAAAATTATAGGAATTACAATGTAAAAACAGACAAGATAGGAGCAGGTAATTTGTAAAGGAAGAAATAATGGGCAAAAATATCCTTATTCTAACTGAATGCAATACATCAAGAGTAGGATTATAGTGTATACATACATATATATGTATATATATGTGTATATATATATATATATATATATATTTTTTTTTTTTTTTTTTTTGAGATGGAGTTTTGCTATTGTCGCCCAGGCTGGAGTGCAATGGTGTGATCTCGGCTCACTGCAACCTCTGCCTCCTGGGTTCAAGCAATTCTCCTGTCTCAGCCTCCCAAGCAGCTGGGATTACAGGCATGCACCACCACACTTGGCAGATTATAGTATATAATGTATACTGAATTCATACAAACCTGTAATATTGCTCTTTCAGGTAACAGTGAAATGTCACATTTTAGAGTCTCATCTACAAGAAAGACTTCAGAAGAACTTCGTTCAGGAAAATTGGATTCTTCTGCAGCAGCTCTTTTGAGTATTAACCTATTTTTCCATTTTTTCAATTGAAGTTCATGTTTTAATATCTGCAATGAAAATAATTTTAAAATTCCATGGAATTGCTGTAACGGTCAAGAGAGATGACAGACACAAAGCACAGTGCTTGACACAAGAATAGGACCAATTAAACATTATTTATGATCGTCATCATTACTACATAAACTATAATTTTTCATAAGCATGTTTAATGTTCTCTAAACCACCGAAGTATTACAGATCATTTCCATTAGTTGTCATAAAACACTGGCACAGGCAGCCATCTTGAAACGCTGATCTAGTCTCCTCTTTCACAGATGAGGAAGTGAGGACCACAAAGTCAAGGCTCTGGCAATGATAAAACTGGTAATTGGTGCATGGAGTGAAGGTGATTAACATACAGATAACAAAAAAGGGAAGTCAGTAGTAATGCATTTGGGAAATTGCCAAATTTATTGTCACAGGAAGTCCCCATTTTAACTTTTGATACACTTCTGAAAACTGTGTAATAAATAAAGGTAGTATTTCAGTCATAAACATATACACAATATTGGCATAATATATATTGATGTAATATATATATGTGTATGTGTGTATGTATGTATGTATGTGTCTGTGTATATACACACACATATTAGAGCCTGAGGCAGAACACATGTGGAGCGCTTGACACACAGGTGTTCCCTGCCTCTGCTCCCAGCATACACTTGCCATCCTCACTCCATTTAAGTGAATGTAGAATGATTGTTAGGTCAATAAATCATATATCTAGAAAAAAAGTTCTCTAAACACACAATTAACTATATAATATATATAATATACATATATCTTGATGATATTATAGTACATATAGCATAAATTATATATATTAATATATATCAACCACTGTGTGCAAAACATTACGCTCAGCATATGGACAATACTAAGAGAACAATACTGCCTGCTCTCAGGGATTTTTTTGTTTGTTTGTTTTTTGAGAAGGAGTTTCGCTTTTGTCGCCCAGGCTGGAGTGCAGTGGCGTGATCTCGGCTCACTGCATCCTCCACCTCAAGGGTTCAAGAGATTCTCCTGACTCAGCCTCCCAAGTAGCTGGGATTACAGGGGCCCACCACCATGCCTGGCTAATTTTTATATTCAGGGATGTTTAGCTGAAGGGGGTGTATAAGGGGGGACTGGTCATGTACAGTTACCTATTTCACTATTAGACAATCAGTGATCAGGCATAGAGGGCAGTTATCAAAACACTAGCTTAACATACAGACTGGTGGAAAGCAGTGAATGAGCAGACTAACATAGTATTAGGTACCCAAAGTAGAGCTGTTTCACTGGTAACATTGAAAAGGTAGTTTGCAAAAGGCAAAGCCTAGAGGACAGCCTGCAAGACCACCAGCTCAAAACCTATAGATTATAAACTTCTAGAGAGCATCTCAAGTAATCTCTGAGATGCTTAAAGCTCAGCACAGGCTCTAGCATTGTTTTAGGCATATGTAAGTAATAAATCTCCTCATACTCTTTTGCTGCGTGTGTGCTATTGTCAGTCTCAACATCTGAACCAAATTTAGGTGAGTAGAGGCATTGATCCATGGGGCAACCACAAAAGAAGGGGATTTAACTTCACCCCACATTCTCTTTCCTATCTACCCTTACTTTATATTTCAAAGAATATTAATAAAATATCTCCTACTAAATAATGTAACTACAGAAAAAAAAATCCAGCATGTTTCTACATCTGATCATAGTGTTACTTTGAGCATACTAAACCAATATTAAGTAATGATATACTAATAGCTGAAGTAAATTTTAAATTATTAAGTTAAAGAACAAGAATCCCGGCCAGACACGGTGGCTCACGCCTGTAATCCCAGCACTTTAGGAGGCCGAGGCGGGCAGATCACCTGAGGTCACGAGTTCAAGACCAGCCTAGCCAACATGGTGAAACCCCATCTCTACTAAAACTACAAAAAAATTAGCTGGGTGTGGTGGCAGACACCTGTAATTCCAGCTACTCAGGAGGCTGAGGCAGGAGAAATGCTTGAACCTGGGAGGCAGAGGTTGCAGTGAGCCGAGATCACACCATTGCACTCCAGCCTGGACAACAAGAGCAAAACTCTGTCCCAAAAAAATAAAAATAAAAAAAAACAAGAATCCCATCAAAAGTAGATAATATTCAGGATTTTAGTATTTTCCACACACGGCATTACTATTTGAGGCAACATGAATATAACTGAAACATTCGGATTCTTAAAAAATTGTTTCAATATACAATACCAGCTCATCTTCTTTCTTTTTACTCTTATGTCTTGCTGTATTCCGCCATTTTGTTAGGATAATGGTTAGCTTGTGACAATAGATGATCTGTTGTATCCGCAATAGAATATCTGAAGGAAATTTACTAGATTACTGTATATATTAATAGTTATAGCTGTTTCCAAAAAACACAAAGTGATTTAATAGTCTATCATGTTTATGAGACAATGTCGCATCTGATCGTTTTTGTTTGGTCTTATTTACACTTGAAATTAATTACTTTTGATAGCATTAGTACTCTCAAGACTTTACGAACTGGGAAACATCACCTTTGCCCTTAGAAATTAAGATGTAAAACTGCAATAGAAATGTCAAGACATGTATCATTTCCTTTTTTTAAACAAGGTTGTTCTTTGTAAAACCAGAACTTCTAAACTTTTTCATAAGAAATACAGTCATAAGGTAGCATTTAGATCCAATGCCTTTGAATTTAATTTTATGTCCTGTGATTAACCAGTTCCTAACCCTTCGTTACACTAATGTTAAAATTTTCGGAGGGTCCACTCTAACTGAGGTACCAACCAAAGCCAGCCAAAAAGAAATGATTCTCTGGTTTGCAACAGTCATAAACAAGTTGTTATCAGGAGAGTTGCAAAAAAATCTAACTGGAAGACAAGAGCTCTTGGAGGTTATACTGAGTGAGCATGGATCACATGAATGTACCTCCCACCCACTCAGTATAACCCCCAAGGTCTTAAGAGAAGATAATTTTTATTTTTTAGTTTCGTCATATATACATTAAATATAATCTTTGTAAAAAGCATAAACCTCTTTACAAAAATAGTCAATTTTGGTACCTGTCCATACTATTTGGAACCCATCCAGCTCTCTATTATGTAGAAAAGCTCATAGTAGATTCTATTTATATTCATGTATACATACACACAAATGCACACAAGATTTGATTTTAAATGTTTTCTATTAAAATAAAATCCTTTGAGACAAATCTCCTTAAGTATTTTTAAATTAGCAGCTCTACCTTCATTTCATGACAATTGTCTAGACATAAAAATGATAGGTTCTCTAAGTACCCAAAGTATGCTTAACTGTTAGTTTTTTTATTATTTCAATAAATGGATACAAAAAGTAATTGCTACTATGTAAGAATTTACTTTTAAGTTTTTCTTTCTGGTCTTCCATATAAGAGTGCCAGTGATGAAATACAGATTTTTGAAGTCTGAAATTGTAGCATGTCACTGCTCTGTTCATTTTTTCAGCCAGGACGACATTTTCATTTGTACGAGCTATGTCTCTCCAAGTGCTGCAGGCAGAAGACATTTTTTAAAAAATAATATTTTGATATTAGGGCAATATATCATTAAATAAATTAAGGAGAACAAAGAATGATATCTCCTTTATGACCTCAAAAACCACAGCATAGAAAGAAACTTCTACAACTTGGGTATGACCTGAAGAATTCCTAAGAGTTATAGAGAAAAATGGAGATTATATGAGTCATATTTCTTTTTAGATAAAATAAAGAAATCATGGGATAAAATCATGTTGTCATAATTCCAATTTACCAAAAGAACCACCTAATGATGTCTTTTTTTAAAAGGAATCTAAATTCCACAACATATTTGGCTCCAAGGGTTTCAGATAAGTGGACTGTGAAACTAACTATATTTTAATTTTAAAGTTTTATTTTTTAAGAAAAGATAATTATACCTTAAAGAAGTAAAATACATATTTTAACTAAGTAAAAGCTGATTAAATATAAAAGAAATATATAATACAAAATGGTAGAAACATGATTAAACAGATAAAATCAGCACAACTGGCCAAAAGTGAATTTTTCTTTGCACGGAGAATATCAAGAATAAAAACTCAAAGAGGAAGAAATTGTAAAAATCACATTCTTACCAAAAATGAGTCTTTACTAAATGTCCAGTATAAAAGCTACAGGCTTTTATCATCAATTCCGGAGTCATCTAAAGTAAATAAATAATTGAAATAACAAATATTAGAAATAAATGGAATGCACAGACTACCTCTGCAAGATACTCAAGAAAAAGAGAGCAATGGATGCCAAGAGGGAAGGGAATTGGGCAGTTGGAGACAGGAATGGGCTGAAAGAACTATATACTATTTATGTTTTGGAATTTTGTGTATGTCTGTAAGCTATTTTTTTAAGTTAAAATAACAGCTTAATATATTTTCCCATTATATCTCACTTAGTTTGAAGAGTTAAGCATCATGGCATTGTTATGATAAGCTATATTTATAATAGTATAGAATTGCAGTTCTGCTGTTCACTATTAAAACAGAATGATTTTCTGAATCATTCTGAATCAAACAGAATGATTTTTTTCAAGGATATAAACTGAGATTCTCTTTTCAACATAGAGGAATTCCTCATTTACCAAGCAGGAATAGGAAAACCACATAAATGAAAAGTCTAAACTGTGGAATATGCTTAAAGAGATGCAAATTTATCACTTACAACTATTCACAATAACATGTGGCAACAGCTAACTGAAATCATCTATACCTTCTGTGCATTCTTTAATAAGTAAAGATATTATTATATTAACATAAGTATTATATGCACATGGCTACTGTTAAGTGTTAATGGTGTTTTCCTCTTATTTTGTTGCCCCTTTGCTTACTATATAGATATACAAACATATGGTCACATCTATTTGGTGTATAGGTAAGTTTGGTTCAAATCTATACCAACAGCCAGGAATTCTGAATTCTACTTTTCTAAGGCAAATGTTTTCTCCTTTGCACATTGCTGTAAATACTTTGTTAAATTAACAGATATGGCATACACATGTTCATCATAGATTTATTTTAGGCATACAAGAAAGGCCCATAGGACCCCCGACATGTGAAAATCCTCACTTTTGATGGAGATTAAATGCAAATTATGCCTACAGTGAGGGACAACATAAACGATTCAAGTCATTCTTCACTAAATTCAGATTTTTATAGAAGAAAGGAATCCAGATGAGTAAAGGAGTATTGAGGATATTACAGCAGGCAGAATAAAAACCAAGAAGGGGATGAGGTGGCAAAGGCAGACAAATTTCACTAACATTACAATTTTTCAGTACTGTTGTAGGTCCCTAAATTTCATGAGCTTAATTCTTTTTAGATGATATTACCTGAAAAGTCCTAAATAAATAACTACAGTAAATGATATGTCATAAAAATATGAGTATATTATATGACCAAATGAATGTAGTTCAAAACATTATAGTAATAATGATTTTGAAAAGAATTATTAAAATTCAGCAAATACCATTTGAACTCAAGTTTTCTTTTCTGATGATCAACTCTTTAAAACAGCATAAAAGCATTTTCTATTCTATTATTGAAAGAAGTAATTTAAATCCTCATTAATTCATGATTTATAATACACCAGAATTTTTGTTGTTCTAATATTCATTTTTTAAGAGTTTCTCTTCATAAATTTTTATTTTAACTTTACATTTATTGTTCTCCCAGTTTGCAAGGGAGGGAGGGAGCGAGGGAGCGAGGGAGGGGAAAGGAAGGAAAGAGAGAAAGAAACAAACTCACAATTTTTCATTATTATTATTATTGGTATATATTCTTTTCTTCACAGGGAAAAGCAAGTTTAAGAGAGCATCTCCAAGGGACTAATATGCAAGAGGACTCCAGCCCAGTAATGCCCCATTCCCCACTTAGGGGTGGGCATGTGTTGACTTCACTGCAGCTCCAAGGAATCTCTGGCCAATCCAATCACTGGGCACATGTCTGGACCACTTAGTCACATGGCTTCACTTCCTCCATTTATGTTTCCACCATCCACACTCCAGCCAATGGCTTCCCACCCTTCACAGTCGCTGCATATTGTTTAACTGCTTCTGACTGAAAAATATTCTTCCTCTCACCTTTTAATTCCAGCTGGCAGTGTTTTGCACAGAGTAGGAGCTCAACAAATATATATGTATTGATCCATCAACAGAATTAGAAAACTGCTTAAATGCAAGCCAATTCTCCACCATCTGACTACCACAAATGGAGGGCAAAGGATTCTGGTAACAACTTTGTGGGCAAGTCAGTGGATAAACAGCAAGTTAGTGCTGGCTACAGATGGCCTCAGAGTACCCTCACATAACACTCACACCACTAGTGCTGCTATCCCCAGACACCCGTAGTTACAAACAAAGTGAGGGAGGAATGGACAGTGCATCACAATACGATTTCTAAGAGTCCAGGTACACTGAAAGGTTAATTTCTAGTCTGGAAATAAAAGAAAAAATTCTACCATAAGAGATGATTTTTAAAGTTAAAGAGTGGGAATGTGTAAATAAATAATGAATTCGTTGCAAAAGATTTTTCATAGTATTAAGTTAGGGTTTAACACTACTTTTTTAGGCCAGTGGCCTACAAGAAGCCAGTTGGAATCAACTGCAAAACTTGTAAACTACCCAGGCTCACTTCCCAAGATTCCTTAGCCCTCCACTCTTACCCTCTCTAGGAATTACTGCTGTGATTAGTCACTATTATGACTAAGAGTATGTCTTATTCCTCATGTACACTGGGGACAGAAGAATGTTAAGTCCCAAATTTTAAGCTGAGTTCCAGCAGCATACAATAGCACACACACTAGTTTCAAGGAAACATGTTTTTATAGATTAGGAGAGAAAAAGAAGTGAAATATAAAACTGATTTCTTTTTGAAAAGATATTATATGTAGCATGATTACAACCCAGTCCTAAAAAAATAGCTTATAAAAAAATTTCATTCCTCTGCCAGGGTTGGAGGAAAATAAGATTTAAAATTTCAAACTTACAGAGAAATAAAATAAACACCTAATACCCACAATCCATGTTTAACATTGTCAACATTCTGCCATACTTGCTTTTTCTATTTTAAAGTATATAAATTAAGACATCATGACATTTCATCCCCCAAATCTCATAATATCCATCTCTTAAAAAATGAGTACCTTTTCTTTGCAACCACAATTCCATTATCCTGCCTTAGACACTTAATAGTAATTGCTTAATATCATTGTACCCATGCCATAGCCAACTCTCTGGAATTGGCCTCCAAATGTCTTACACGGTTTGTTCAAACTAGAATCCAGACAAGGACCATATATTTGCATTGCAAACTCAGTTGATGCGAGGATTTCAATAGCTACAGAAAAAAAGTTTTAGTTTTTCCTTCTCCTTTTCTATATTTTCAACATTTAATGAGTATGAGGTGTGGAGGTGGGATAACATTGGCCTAAATCTAATGGATTCTGTTACCTGGGCCTGTCTAATATTACATTCTAAAAGTCAGCCAGGCATGGTGGCTCACACTTGCAATCCCAAAACGTTGGATGGCTGAGGTGGGAGGATCCCTCGAGCTCACGACTTAAAGAGTAGCCTCGGCAACATAGTGAGACCTTGTCTCTGCTAAAAATAAAAAATTAGCGGGGTGTGGTGGCATGCACCCATAGTACCAGCAACTTGGGAGGTTGAGGTGGGAGAATCACTGGAGCTCAGATAGAGGCTGCAGTGAGCAAGCTATGATTGTGCCACTGCACTCCAGCCTGGGCAACAGAGTGAGACTCTCTCTCTCTGTCTGTCTGTCTCTGTCTCTCTCTCTCCATCCCCCCATACACACACACATACACACTCACACACACAGAGTTCTAAAAGTCAATTTAAATATTTTTGACAGACAAGAGACTAAGAAAGGTTTTTTTGTTTGTTTTTTGTTTTTGTTTTTCTTTTTTTTCTTTTCCTATGCTCTGAAAGAAAGACAAGAATGGGGATGGGGTGGGGAGCCACATGTCATCTGTCTCTGCCACCTGAATCAGGGGTCTGAGTCTTAGGGAAGAACAAACTGCAGGCAGAATCCAAAAGAACTGCTCCTATGAGGCACACAGCACTATTTGTGCAATACAAAGTGAAGGAAAGGCATTGTGTCCAGAATTGGTGGGTTCTTGGTCTCACTGACTTCAAGAATGAAGCCGCGGACCCTCGCGGTGAGTGTTACAGTTCTTAAAGGCGGCGTGTCTGGAGTTTGTTCCTTCTGATGTTCGGATGTGTTCGGAGTTTCTTCCTTCTGGTGGATTCGTGGTCTTGCTGGCTCAAGAATGAAGCTGCAGACCTTCCCGATGAGTGTTATAGCTCTTAAGGCAGCGCGTCTGGAGTTGTTCGTTCCTCCTGGTGGGTTTGTGGTCTTGTTGGCTTCAGGAGTGAAGCTGCAGACCTTCACGGTGAGTGTTACAGCTCATAAAGGCAATGTGGACCCAAAGAGTGAGCAGCAGCAAGATTTATTGCAAAGAATGAAAGAACAAAGCTTCCACAGTGTGGAAGGGGACCCCAGCGGGTTCCCAATGCTGGCTCGGGCAGCCTGCTTTTATTCTCTTATCTGGCCCCACCCACATCCTGCTGATCGGTAGAGCCAAGTGGTCTGTTTTGACAGGGCGCTGATTGGTGTGTTTACAATCCCTGAGCTAGACACAAAGGTTCTCCACATCCCCACCAGATTAGCTAGATACAGAGTGTCGACACAAAGGTTCTCCAAGTCCCCACCAGAGTAGCTAGATACAGAGTGTCGATTGGTGCATTCACAAACCCTGAGCTAGACACAGGGTGCTGATTGGTGTGTTTACAAACCTTGAGCTAGAGACAGAGTGCTGATTGGTGTATTTACAATCCCTTAGCTAGACATAAAGGTTCTCCAAGTTCCCACTAGACTCAGGAGACCAGCTGGCTTCACCCAGTGGATCTCGCACTGGGGCTGCAGGTGGAGCTGCCTGCCAGTCCTGTGCCGTGTGCCCACACTCCTCAGCCATTGGGTGGTCGATGGGACTGCGCACCGTGGAGCGGGGGGCGGCGCTTGTAGGGGAGGCTAGGGCGGCACAGGAGCCCATGGACGGTGTGGGGGAGGCTCAGGCATGGCGGACTGCAGGTCCTGAGCCCTGCCCCACGGGAAGGCAGCTAAAGCCCAGCGAGAAATTGAGCACAGCAGCTGCTGGCCCAGGTGCTAAGCCCCTCACTGCCCGGGGCCAGTGGGGCCGGCTGGCCGCTCTGAGTGCGGGGTCCGCTGAGCCCACGCCCACCCGGAACTCCCGCTGGCCCGCAAGCACAGTGGGCAGCCCCAGTTCCCACCCACGCCTTTCCCTCCACACCTCCTCGCAAGCTGAGGGAGCCGGTTCCGGCCTTGGCCAGCCCAGAAAGGGGATCCCACAGTGCAGTGGCAGGCTGAAAGGCTCCTAAAGTGCCGCCAAAGTGGGAGCCCAGGCAGAGGAGGCGCCGAGAGCGAACGAGGGCTGCGAGGGCTGCCAGCACACTGTCACCTCTCAGCATGTCCCCCACTACTGTACAGCACACAGAGTACAAGGCCATCAAATTTAATGTGACTTTAAATTTTGCAAACTTAAACTAATGTGATACAAAATATATTACAAAAGTCTTACATTATGCCAGTTTTTGAAAAAACACAATCTTTCAAATTAAAATTTTACTGAGAGGTATTTCCTTTCAAAGCTGGTGGGAAAACGAATTAAAAGTTTAAGTATTGCCACAAAGTGGTACTATTTTGGCAGGTAAACAAATGCGGCTTTAGTCTTGAAGTATGAGTTTGAGTTATTAGCAGTCTTCAGAAAAATACGGCATCTTGTGAAAAGTGTGACCAACCAGTGTGGTCTGAGTAAAGTTGGCAGGCAAGGGAAAGGAAGAGTATTTGGCACTTAAGGATTCCAGGTGTACAGCCTGGAACACCAGCTCAGGCAGACATTGGGGCTCTTAGGAAGACCAGGTTGGCAGTTCTAGGGTCCCCTTCAGATGGCCTCACAGGTTCCAGACAGACACTAGGAGGAATTCTTGAATTTACATGGGATAGCTTTGGGATTCCCAGACACAAATGGGTAGAACTTGAAGAGGAAACTGACCTCTTGTGTTATGAAGACAGGAGCTAGAGGCAGTGAAATCTGGGATATTCCTATTAACACTGCTCTACTAATATCCCAGGTTGGTGAGACCTGGGGAAGTGTTGTAGTAAATGAAAAAATAATGAAATACTATTACAAATTACTGTTGACTTAACAGATACCAAATTTATGGCTCTTTAATATAAGTAGTAATTGATCCCATTAATTTTTAATTTTGTAAGATATCCATTTACTATATGTAAAAAAATGCATTTAAACAACAGCTATAGAAAAAAAGTTTCAGTTCTATAAAATACTTAAAGTATCTAGTAAAGTATTAAGAATCTGGTAAGAACCAAATGTAAAATAAATGTAAATCATTAACTTTATATTATAATTTTTAGCTTCCAGCATATTGTAATATTATTTTTCTTCTGGCAGGCAATTCCCTTTTTTGCTCAGTTAACCTGTGAATCAAAAGATTATATATGAAATTGTCTTAACATAATTCACCATATTATAAAGTACCATGCCTTTACTTCATTAATGAGCTTCATTTATATCCCACATAGTATCATTCTAGAATAGGGGTCTCCAACCCCCAGGCCACAGACTGGTACAGGTCCATGGCCTGTTAGGAACTAGGCCACACAGCAGGAGGTGAGCAGTGGGCAAGCGAGCATTACCTCCTGAGCTCCACCTCATCAGCCGCAGCATTAGATTCTCATGGGAGCACGAACCCCACTGTGAACTGTGCATGCAAAGGATCTAGGTTGTGCATTCCTTATGAGAATCTAACTAATGCCTGATGATCTGAGGTACAACAGTTTCATCCTTAAATCACCCCCACCACCCCACCACAGTCCATGGAAAAAATTTCTTCCACAAAACCAGTCTCTGGTACCAAAAAGGTTGGTGACCACTGTTCTAGAATAATAATAGCAAAACAGAATGGGGATTATAAATATGTGTTGAATGGATATGCCTAATTTAAATCCCTCCCAACTCAGATTTTTTTTTTATTTTTCAAAAGCCCTACAAGTTAATAACAATGGCAAAAAGAAGCCATGTCTTTAATACAGAGAGAACATATCTTTATATATAGCAGCACGGCATGGTATGAAGTGTTGAATTTTTCATGATGAGTCATTTTTCTTATTTCTTGATCTTCTGCAAATTACTGATTTATTTATTTATTTATTTTTGAGACAGAGTCTCAATCTGTCACCCAGACTGGAGCACGATCTTGGCTCACTGCAATCTCCACTCCCCGGTTCAAGTGATTCTTGTGCCTTAGTCTCCTCAGTAACTGGGATTACAGGTGTGCACCACCACACGTAGCTAATTTTTGTATTTTTAGTAGAAATGGGGTTTCACCATGTTGCCCAGGCTGCTCTTGAACTCCTGGCCTCAAGTGATCTGCCCACTTCGGCCTCCCAAAGTGTTGGGGTTACAGGCACAAGCCACAGTGCCTGGCCCAAAAGAGTCTTTAATACCTAAAGGGCTTTTGTGCCTGGACAGAAACGCTCACTAACATTTGTACTTTAATGCTTTTTACCAATAAACACATATTTAAATAAATACAATTTTGGAAACTCAATGTTTCTTAAACATGTTCATGTTTGTTACCAACTTCATTAAGTAAAGTCCCTGAAATAATTTAAACTACAATTACAATTTACAAAGCCATTCCTTAGAACACCTAAAATGCCATAAATAGCAGACAGAATATACATAAATATCATATCATTATTATATGTTACACTTAAACTTATCCTAAACAACATGAATCTAGTTCATATCTTCATTACTTCCACACTTTACTTAATGTTTTACTCCTTCCTGATTACAGTAATGTTTATTTTGATGCCTTATCAGATAACAGTAATGTACTCAGTTTCAAAAGAAATGAAATACCTTTGCAGAGCCAACAAGGATACAGGATCAACCAACTGATTATCAACCAACTGATTCTTATTTGGGGCACAGGCATTGTCTGCCTCTCCCAAATGATTAAAACTCCAGCCCCTAAGGGTCTTAAGATTAAGTTTCCTTTCCACAGTTAAACTTTGTTCATCAGTAAGACTTTTCAAATCCATATCTTTCATTTACATTTTAGGGTTTTTTTTACACGATGCTCCTCTGTGATAGCATTATTTTAAAATATTTTGTATTTTATTTTATTATTTTAAAAGACACAGTGGGTCACGCCTATAATCCTAGCACTTTGGGAGGCTGAGGTAGGAAGATCTCTTGAGGCCAGGAGTTTGAGACCAGCTGGGGCAACACAGTGAGACTCTGTCTGTACCAAAGGAAAAAAAAATTAGCCAGGTGTGGTAGCTCACATCTAGTAGTCCCAGCTACTCAGGAGGCAGAGGCAGGAGGATTGTTTGAGCTCAGGAATTCAAGGTTACAATGAACTATGATCATGCCACTGCACTCCAGCAAGAGTGACAGAGTGAGACCCTGTCTGTAAAAGAATATTTTTGGGCATGCTTCCAAGATGGCCGAATAGAAACAGCTCCGGTCTGCAGCTCCCAGCGAGATCCACGCAGAAGACGGATGATTTCTGCATTTCCAGCTGAGGTATCTGGTGCACCTCACTGGGACTGGTTGGACAGTGGGTGCAGCCCACAGAGGGCGAGCTGAAGCAGGGTAGGGCATCGCCTCACCCAGGAAGTGCAAGGGGTCAGGGGATTTCCCTTTCCAAGCCAAGGGAAGCCATGACAGACTGTACCTGGGAAAACGGTACATGCCTGACCAAATACTGAGCTTTTCCCACAGTCTTCGCAACCTGCAGACCAGGAGATACCCTCCCTCCCATGCCTGGCTCGGTGAGTCCCACACCCATGGAGCCTTACTCACTGCTAGCGCAGCAGTCTGAGATCGACCTGCGACACTGCAGATTGGCGGGGGGAGGGGCATCTGCCATTGCTGAGGCTTGAGTAGCTCACAGTGTAAACAAAGAGGCCAGGAAGCACAAACTGGGCGGAGCCCACCACAGCTCAGCAAGGCCTACTGCCTCTATAGATTCCACCTCTGGGGACAGGGCATAGTAGAACAAAAGGCAGCAGACAGCTTCTGCAGACTTAAACGTCCCTGTCTGACAGCTCTGAAGAGAGCAGTGATTCTCTCAGCACGGCGTTCAAGCTCTGAGAATGGACAGACTGCCTCCTCAAGCAGGTCCCTGACCCCCATGTAGCCTGACTGGGAAACATCTCCCAGTAGGGGCTGATAGACACCTCAAACAGGCGGGTGCCCCTCTGGGACGAAGCTTCCAGAGGAAGGATCAGGCAGCAATATTTGCTGTTCTGCAGCCTCCACTGGTGATACATAGGCAAACAAGGTCTGGAGTGGACCTCCAGCAAACTCCAACAGACTGGCAGCTCAGGGGTCTGACTGTTAAAGGAAAACTAACAAACAGAAAGGAATATCATGAACATCAACAAAAATGACATCCACACCAAAACCCCATCTGTAGGTCACCAACATCAAAGACCAAAGGTAGATAAAACCACAAAGATGGGGAGAAACCAGAGCAGAAAAGCTGAAAATTCCAAAAGACACAGGGCCTATTCTCTTCCAAAGGATCGCAGCTCCTCGCCAGCAAGGGGACAAAACTGGATGGAGAATGAGTTTGACAAGTTGACAGAAGTAGGCTTCAGAAGGTGGGTAATAACAAACTTCTCTGAGCTAAAGGAGCATGTTCTAACCCATCCCAAGGAAGCTAAAAATCTTGAAAAAAGATTAGATGAATGGCTAACTAGAATGAATAGTGTAGAGAAGACCTTAAATGACCTGATGGAGCTGAAAACCATGGCATGAGAACTTCATGATGCATGCATAAGCTTCAATAGCTGATTCCATCAAGTGGAAGAAAGGATATCAGTGATTGAAGATCAAATTAATGAAATAAAGCAAGAAGACAAGATTAGAGAAAAAAGAGTGAAAAGAAATGAACAAAGCCTCCAAGAAATATGGGACTAGGTGAAAAGACCAAATAAATATACATTTGATTGGTGTACTGGAAAGTGACAGGGAGAATGCAATCAAGTTAGAAAACACTCTTCAGGATATTATCCAGGAAAACTTCCCTAACCTAGCAAGGCAGGCCAACATTCAAATTCAGGAAACACAGACACCAACACAAAGATACGCCTTGAGAAGAGCAACTCCAAGACACATAATTGTCAGATTCACCAAGGTTGAAATGAGGGAAAAAATGTTAAGGGCAGCCAGAGAGAAAGATTGGGTTACCCACAAAGGGAAGCACATCAGACTAACAGGGGATCTCTCGGCGGAAACCTTATAAGCCAGAAGAGAGTGGGGGCCAATATTCAACATTCTTAAAGAAAAGAATTTTCAACCCAGAATCTCATATCCAGTCAAACTAAGTTTCATAAGTGAAGGAGAAATAAAATCCTTTACAGACAAGTAAATGCTGAGAGATTTTGTCACCACCAGGCCTGCATTACAAGAGCTCCTGGTGGAAGCACTAAATATGGAAAGGAACAACCGGTACCAGCCACTGTAAAAACATTCCAAATGGTAAAGACCATCGATGCTATGAAGAAACTGCATCAATTAACAGGCAAAATAACCAGCTAATATAATAACAGGATCAAATTCAAACATAACAATATTAACTTTAAATGTAAATGGGCTAAATGCCCCAATTAAAAGACACAAACTGGCATACTGGATAAAGAGTCAAGACCCATCAGTGTGTTGTATTCAGGAGACCCATCTCATGTGCAAAGATGCACATAAGCTCAAAATAAAGGGATGGAGGAATACTTACCAAGCAAATGGAAAGCAAAAAAAAGCAGGGGTTGCAATCCTAGTCTCTGATAAAACAGACTTTAAACCAACAGAGATCAAAAAGAGACAAAGAAGGCCACTACATATTGGTAAAGGGATCAATTCACCAAGAAGAGCTAACTATCCTAAATATATATGCACCCAATACAGGAGCACCCAGATTCATAAAGCAAGTCCTTAGAGACCTACAAAGAGACTTAGACTCCCACACCATAATAATGGGAGACTTTAACACCCCACTGTCAACATTAGACAGATCAATGAGACAGAAGGTTAACAAGGATATCCAGGACTTGAACTCAGCTCTGGACCAAGGAGACCTAATAGACATCTAAGAACTCCACACCCCAAATCAACAGAATATACACTCTTCTGAGCATCACGTCGCACTTATTCTAAAATTGACCACATAATTGGTAGTAAAACACTCCTCACCAGATGTAAAAGAACAGAAATCACAAAAAACTGTCTCGCAGACCACAGTGCAATCAAATTAGTACTCAGGATTAATAAACTCACTCAAAACTGTACAACTACATGGAAACTGAACAACCTGCTCCTGAATGACTCCTGGCTAAATAAATAATAAAATTAAGGCAGAAATAAACATGTTCTTTGAAACCAAGGAGAACAAAGACACAATGTACCAGAATCTCTGGGACATATTTAAAGAAGTGTGTAGAGGGAAATTGATAGCACTAAATGCCCACAAGAGAAAGCAGGAAAGATCTAAAATCGACACCCTAAAATCACAATTAAAAGAACTAGAGAAGCAAGAGCAAACACATTCAAAAGCTAGCAGAAGGCAAGAAATAACTAAGATTAGAGCAGAACTGAAGGAGAGAGTCACAAAAAACCCTTCGAAAAACCAATGTATCCAGGAGCTGGTTTTTTGAAAAGACCAACAAATTGATAGACCGATAGCAAGACTAATAAAGAAGAAAAGAGAGAAGAATCAAATAGATACAATAAAAAATGATAAAGGGGTTATAACCACCGATCCCACAGAAATACAAACTACCATCAGAGAATACTGTAAACACCTCTATGCAAATAAACTAGAAAATCTAGAAGAAATGGACAAATTCCTGGACACATACACCCTCCCAAGACTAAATCAGGAAGAAGTTGAATCTCTGAATAGACCAAAAACAGGTTCTGAAATTGAAGCAATAATAGCCTACCAACCAAAAAAAGACCAGGACCAGACGGATTCACAGCCAAATTCCACCAGAAGTACAAACAGGAGCTGGTACCATTCCTTCTGAAATTATTTCAATCAATAGAAAAAGAGAGAATCTTCCCTAACTCTTTTTATGAGGCTAGCATCATCCTGATACAAAAGCCTGATAGAGACAAAACTAAAAAAGAGAATTTTAGGCCAATATCCCTGATGAACATCAATGTGAAAATCCTTAATAAAATACTGGAAAACTGAATCCAGCAGCACATCAAAAAGCTTATCCACCACAATCAAGTTGGCTTCATCCCTGGGATGCAAGGCTGGTTCAACATATGCAAATCAATAAACATAATCCATCACATAAACAGAACCAATGACAAAAACCACATGATTATCTCAATAGATGTAGAAAAGACCTTTGACAAAATTCAACAGCCCTTCATGCTAAAAACTCTCAATAAACTAGGTATTGATGGAACATATCTCAAAATAATAAGAGCTATTTATGACAAACCCACAGCCAATATCCTACTGAATGGGCAAAAACTAGAAGCATTCCCTTTGAAAACTGGCACAAGACAAGGATGCCCTCTCTCAATACTCCTATTCAACATAGTTTTGGAAGTTCTTCTGGCTAGGCAATCAGGCAAGAGAAAGACATAAAGGGTATTCAATTAGGAAAAGAGGAAGTCAAATTGTCTCTTTGCAGATGACACGACTGTATATTTAGAAAAACCCATTGTCTCAGCCCAAAATCTCCTTAAGCTGATAAGCAACTTCAGCAAAGTCTCAGGATACAAAATCAATGTGCAAAAATCACAAGCATTCCTATACACCAATAATAGACAAACAGAGAGCCAAATCATGAGTGAACTCCCATTCACAATTGCTTCAAAGAGAATAAAATACCTAGGAATCCAACTTACAAGGGATGTGAAGGACCTCTTCAAGGAGAACTACAAACTACTGCTCAACACAATAAAAGAGGACACAAACAAATGGAAGAACATTCCATGCTCATGGATAGGAAGAATCAGTATCATGAAAATGGCCATACAACCCAAGGTAATTTATAGATTCAATGCTATCCCCATCAAGCTACCACTGACTTTCTTCACAGAATTGGAAAAAACTACTTTAAAGTTCATATGGAACCAAAAAAAAGCCCACATAGCCAAGGCAGTCTTAAGCAAAAAGAACAAAGCTGGAGGCATCATGGAGACTTCAAACTATACTACAAGGCTACAGTAACCAAAACAGCATGGTACTGGTACCAAAACAGATATATAGACCAATGGAACAGAATAGAGACCTCAGAAATAACACAACACATCTACAACCATCTGATCTTTGACAAATCTGAGAAAAACAAGCAATGGGGAAAGAGTTCTCTATTTAATAAATTGTGCTGAAAAAACTGGCTAGCCAAGTGTAGAAAGCTGAAACTGGATCCCTTCCTTACACCATATACAAAAATTAACTCAAGATGCATTAAAGACTTAAATGTAAGACCTAACACCATAAAAACCCTAGAAGAAAACCTAAGCAATACCATTCAGGACATAGGCATGGGCAAAGACTTCATGATTAAAACACCAAAAGCAATGGCAACAAAAGCCAAAATAGACACATGAGATCTAATTAAACTAAAGAGCTTCTGCTCAGCAAAAGAAACTATCATCAGAGTGAACAGGCAACCTGTAGAATGGGAGAGAATCTTTGCAATCTACTCATCTGACAAAGGGCTAATATCCAGAATCTACAAAGAACTTAAACAAATTTACAAGAAAAAAACAAACAACCATATCAAAAAGTGGGCAAAGGATATGAACAGACACTTCTCAAAAGAAGACATTTATGCAGCCAACAAACATATGAAAAAAAGCTCATCATCACTGGTCATCAGAGAAATGCAAATCAAAACCACAATGAGATACCATCTCATGCCCATTAGAATGGAGATCATTAAGAAGTCAGGAAACAACAGATGCTGGAGAGGATGTGGAGAAACAGGAATGCTTTTACACTGTTGGCGGGAGTGTAAATTAGTTCAACTGTTGTGGAAGACAGTGTGGTGATTCCTCAAGGATCTAGAACTAGAAATACATACCATTTGACCCAGCAATCCCATTACTGGGTATATACCCAAAGGATTATAAGTCATGCTACTATAAAGACACATGCACACGTATGTTTATTATGGCACCTCCGTCGCCGAGGCCGGAGTCTAATGGCATGATCTCAGCTCACTGCAACCTCAGCCTTCAGGGTCTGGGCAATTCTCCTGCCTCAGCCTCCCAAGTAGCTGGGATTACAGGTGTGTGCTACCATGCCCAACTAATTTTTTTGCATTTTTAGTAAAGACAGGGTTTCACCATGTTGGCCAGGCTGGTCTTGAACTCCTGACCTCAGGTGATCCACCTGCCTTGGCCTCCCAAAGTGCTGGGATTACAGGTGTGAGCCACTGCACCCAACCTGAATATACACATCTTAAAAGCAAAAAGAATTGCATAATCTTCTTAAACTGCATTCAGTAGTCTTTTTGTTAGTGGTTCTATGGTAATGTTATTCGGAAATCATTATATGCACATTGTAGGATACAATTAATACAGAATGATATTAAGATCTCTAGGAGTCAAGATTCATTAAAAGTGGGTCAACCAGATCATGTGTGCCTCCAGATGTGATGCACTAGGAAAAACACAACACCTCTATGCAATATTATTGTCCACACAAAATGTTGGTAGGGGGGAACCTGAATGAAATCAAGCATCTAGATTTAACTACCAGCTTGCATGAAATACGGGAAACAGAGTAAGTAAAATGACACTAGAGGAAGCATTGAGAACCTGGGACATTTTACAAGACAAATTACCCGTTTCCTTCAATAAATAAGTCGCATGCAGAAAAAATAAGACAAGGAGAATTCTTGTCCATTACAAGAGATGTTAGATAAATAACAACCAAGTGCAATATGTAGACTCTGTATGAATTCTGATTTGAACACAGCCACATGTAAAAAGACATTTTTGAGACAATCTGGGAAACTAAAATATAGAATATGAATCTGAATATAATCAGGACTAGATGACATTCAGGAATTATTGTTATTTATTCATAAGACAGTGGCACTGTGTTTCTATTCTCTAAAAATATAATCTCCTATTAGAGATGCACACTACAGTATAATATAATTTCTGGGATTTGCTTTCTAATACTCCAGCAAAAATGGAGGAAGAGAGAATAAATTAACAAGATTGGCAAAATGCTGATTATTGTTCAAGTTAGATGATGAGTGATCATTATGGTATTCCTTCTACTTCTGTGTTATATTAAAATGTTTCCATAATAAAAAGATTTTTTAAATTTTATATATGCTTTCTCTTGTAGTTAGAAGGCCCATCTGGAGATTTCATTTCCTAAGAAATGAGAACCAAGTCTGTGAAGTTCATTTCCTCCTTACAATGGTTGATTCTTTCATCTTGGAATGCTTGAAACAATGAAATTGTCTTTCCTTCTACTATTATGAGAGCAGTTCCTACTTTTTCTTTACTATTTGGCTTACTCACAGTTTCCTGTATTCACTCGTCTTTAAGTAGAGACATATTTATCCTTTATAAATAGGCAATGATAAAAGAAAAACTTCAGCCGAATTAAATGTAAAGGAATTTAATTGAGCAATGAATAATTTGTGAATTGGGCAGCCCCCAGAATCACAGCAGATTCAGAGAGACTCCAGTGCAGCCACATGGTGGAAGAAGATTAATAGACACAAAAAGGGAAATGATGTGCAGAAATTGGAAGTGAGGTACACAACAGCTGGACTGGTTACAGATTGGTGTTTGCCTTATTTGAACACAGTTTGAACACTCAGCAGTGTATGAATGGTTGAAGTATGGCTGCTGGGATTGGCCAAGACTCAGCTATTGATACACGTGCATACTCCTAGTTAGGTTTTCAATCTTGTCTATCTATTAAGCTAGGTTGCAGTTCGTCCACAAAGACTCAAATATAGAAACAGGGAATCCTTCTCAGGCCACATTTAGTTCACTTTAACAACTTCCCCCTTTTGGTCATTTTCTCAATTTTGAGAGATTGACCAAAACTTTAATTATCAATGTCACTATCACCATTGTAAAAGTACTTATTTGGTCTTGAAACATACTGGGAAACAGTAGAACATTGAGTTTTGCAAAGGTAAAAACAAGTATGAGTAGAGGGACCCTTTATGGGTACCTCTTTATGCTGGAATGTCCTATTTACAGGAGAAAAACAAAACCTGGTCTGTTCTAGGATCTATGTGTTTCCGTAAAGTCTTAGTTTGATTATGTCACATTTAGCATAAGTGACCCCATTTTAGTTTGGTTTGGCCTGTTGGGGCCTAGTGAATGAGCTTAGTCCAAAACAGTGGCCTCCCACAACTTTGTTTAAAAAAGATTCCCCCCTTTTTGGTCAGGTTCTCACTTAGGTGAAAGTGTGACCAAAACTTAGGGCCTTAGTGCCACTCTCAGTTACCATCATTTTGGGTTTCCAGTCTCACCACGTCATTCATAGGTTATAGTAATCTCATGGTCGCACATTTCTTTCAGCTCGTCTTTCCATTTGAAGAGAGACCATTTGACATTCTAGAGGTGGCTGCATGCAAGATTTAAAACCTTCGAGAGAATACAGTGCACCAGGGAGACTATTATTATGACTCTCAGGAGGATAATACCAAGAGTTTAGAGTATGCTCCTTACCCAGGGTACCCATAAACCGAACCACCTAAAATTAAATAGATTAAAGAATGAGCTGGATAAAGAGTCTACTTGCTTTAAGTGGTCTTTTCATTAATCATCTACAACTGAATTTTTATAATCTACGTTTGATGTATTTCTCCATAGGCCACAAGTGTCAGAAGCTGCACAGGTACTTTTCTGTTTAGCCAATTATATTATTTAGCATAACTTTCACAAGAGAATTTAAAGTCTGTTGTGTAACAATAGGCTTTACATTAGAATCTGCTATACAGCCTATCATGAGGGATACATTTCTAATTATTGCCTCTTTTATTCTAAACCATGGAAAAAGGACCTAACAAATGATGTCCTTCTAGAAGAGTGAAGGCCTCCTGGCAATGTTCTATTTAACCCATGATGTGGGCTAAGAGGAGTTTTGACTGATTATGAGGCGACATATATACCATTAAAGTTTCTCACCTATGTTGGGCCTTCATCTTTTATCCATCAAAGTATAAAGTTATTCATGTATAAGGCTGGTGCAAAATCCTTCACGAATAAAAGTATACCCTATAAGTGCACATAATAGACCCCCTCATCATTTCTATTGGCTACAGAGGCATAAATAAGGAAAAAATATTCAAAGATAAGAGTCTCACAATAGTAGATGTCTTGATCTGTGATCTCGGGAAAAGCTGTTTACATCAAGGATGCCATCTTATTCTGGGGAGAAACTTTCCTGGTTAGTTTTACCTTAAGGGTTCCAATGGGTGTACAGTTCCAATAGTGTGGAGGGACCCTTCTCAGTTGTGAGATTATGAACTTAAAGTTCAAGGTTCCAAAGTTTTGTTGCAGTGTGGATGGCAAGCACAGTCTTTCTCTGATGTTCTCAAAAGATCCAGTCTTTAGGTTCTAGACTGTGAAGCAGTTGATTATCCTCGGTGAACCATAAAAACTTTCTTTACCTGGTGAAAATATACTGTGGCGTAATAATTACTGTAGCATAAAACATGCATTAAAAATGACAGTTGAATGAACTCCCTTTATAAATGTTTAAATGACCCATCGGATAGCCAAACGTACCTGATAGCCAAGCGTACATGAAGGTTTGATTGTCTTCCCAGGAATATGGAACCAAACATTGGTTTTAAACTATTTTTGAAATGTATAAGTCATTATATCAATATATTCAATTTGGATGATTTTATCTTTTCCATGATGAGTCATGGAATGCAGAGCCTTTAATAACAAAAGCTTTAAGGGCTCAGGAAGGACAAGATAGCCTTCCTGGTCTTCCATGAGTCTATGCTTAATATTGGACTTATGTCCTGTTGAATACCAGTTGTTTCTCCAATTTAAATTCATAGCACTGATAACTAATGGTTATCACAGGTAATGAGACTTAGACTATGGAATTCAAATTGTATATCTAATCAATTTCACTATCGGCTGGTTTAACATGAAAATCTTGGCAAAGTATTTTCTTGGTATTTAATTAATTTTTTGTTTTACTTGGGTTAGCAGTTCTATACAAGGAAGTTTGGTTATTTCTGTGATATACAATAACTTAACATAATAACTATAATTATGGTTGACAGTATATACTCAGACATATTAGAATTTTATAAGTCCTATACATTTTTTTTTGTTTGTTTTTGAGATGGAGTCTTGCTCTGTCACCCAGGCTGGAGTGCAGAGGCACGATCTTGCCTCACTGCAACCTCCGCCTCCTGGGTTCAAGTGATTCTTCCACCTCAGCCTCCCAAGTAGCTGGGCTTACAGGCACCCGCCACCATGCCTATCTAACTTTTTGTACCTTTAGTAGGGACGGGGTTTCACCATGTTAGCCGGGCTGGTCTCAAACTCCTAGCCTCAGGTGATCTGCCTTCCTCGGTCTCCCAAAGTGTTGGGATTACAGGCATGAGCCACTGTGCCTGGCCCCATACAATTTTAGAACATACATTAATATCATTCACTAAAATATAACCTGAAGATTAAACATTATTTTTATTTTGACAATGCTTCCCATGTAACTTAACATGTTAAATAATTCTGTTTACCTCTCTTTTGGATGCTTCAGGGGCCCTCTGTAGCGTTCCAAAGTTAGAGGTCAGAAAAGACCATTTTAAAGCTGAAATTTAATTTTGGGAAGCCTATTAAATATAAAGATATATATATAAAGTTTTAAAACACTTGATATTATGAACTAGAATTCCAGGTCACTGTAAGTCACTCACTTAGCCAAAATGATGACTCAAAAAATTTTTTAAAGGCAAAAACCTTTACTCATTGATAGAGGGAAGACTCAGCTTTCCAAACAATCTGTCTTTTGTCTTTCCTTTCTTTTTTTTTTTTTTGATAGTGTATTTAAAAGGCAAACAAAACAAAAATCTTTCATTACCTTTTAATATTACATGAAAATCTTGTTCAAGAGAGAAAGCCAAATTTCACCCTTGCATTAGTGGACTATTAATGTCAACCCCAATTTTTAATAAAACCTCACAGACAAATCTATCTAATCTTAATCAGTTTGACCATAAGGTGAGATTTTCATAAACCTTTTATAACCCTTTACCAATTTTTATTAAAGAGCAGATTAGTGCTTTAAGAAAACCCTATTATGCTTTTATTTCAATGTTCAATTTACAGAAAAACTGAACAATACACTTTTAAATTTAGTCAATATTTTCACACACAGAATTTCTTTTACAAATTTTTACAAACCTTCCACAACTTGTTCAAACCTTTAGCTTTATTCTATTTAATTTAAAACAATCCTTTAACCCATTAAACTAGGTAAAAATTTACATTCCCATGCATTCTTATAATCTCTTACCAAAAACATGTTTCATTCTCCTCACACACCTTGCGTGTAAACCTAGTTTTTCAGTAGTCTCAATCACATGTTATAATGGTAATTCTTAGCAACTTTCACTTTTGGTGCATAAATTTTCTTTTATGAATCCTTTCACGACTTACACAGACCATCTACAACATGCTTGGTCTTTCTGACTTGTCCTAAACATCCCTCTTTTTAAACAACCAGTCATTTTACTTTAGGACAAGAATTTACTCTACAAGATCCTTTCTTATATAAAATCTCTTTTCTTTATAACCTTCTTTTCATAGCTAGGTGGCATGGCTAATTCCACATATCCCCAGGACTTATTTAGAATGTAATGTCTCCAAAATAAATTCAACAATTTTCAAAGGTCAAAGCAGTTTATGGCCTTAAACATATTAAGCAAACCTAATATCTGACCTGCATAATTTAGACTAAATGTCTTTATTTTATCAATAATCTTTAAAGCTGTTTATATTTCCCAAAGATGACTTAAGTTACATGAACTAAAAAGCATTACAGTTTTTCTTTCAAAATATTTAAGCACTTATTTTTGTTTAAACCAATGAATTAGAGTTCTTTTATACAAACATTACACACACAACACATATATAACTACACAGACAAACCAAAGAAGATTACTACAGTAGTTGTAAGATTTTCCATTCACCAGTTTTTAAGTTTCTTAATTAGATTACTGGCTTTGGGGTGGAGTCCTCGCAAGAACAGGGCCAAGAAAGGATCTCTGGTGCCTCCTGTTTTTCCCAAGGAGTCCCAGGCTGTGAGAGCTTGAATATCCACTTTTAATTAAGCTGACTTTTAACCATAGCACTCTTTAATAAAGTCCTTTTAAAATTTCTTATTACCCGACTTTAGCCAGGCCAAAGAGCTGATATTTCTGGCTTTTAAACTTTACCCAAGGTAACCTCACAGGTGCTCTGAGAAAGGAAAATTCAAGACAGTTGGTGGAGGGGAAGAGAATCAAAAAATGGCAAAGGTCACCCAAATATCAATCAGAAAGGCTCATCCCCTAAGCTAGGGATTGAACTCTGAACCCAGGCCACCATTGTGAAAAGAGAAAGCATAGCCACGTGGCTACAAGGTCAAGCGCCTAAGCACATAACTGACCAGTTTGCTGGGTCGTCTTGAACAACAGGCTTATGAGGTTTTGGGCACACATTTTATCCTAAGGTACCCCTCTTTATGACAGAACAATACAGAAAGACACACAAAGCACATCAGATTCACTACAGCTTAAGAGAAGCCTCAGAATTTTTTTTGTATCAATCAAAACTTTACACGGGAGATAAGAGTAATTTTTGCCATTCATTTAACCATTTTGCACAAAGAAAAAGAGGAAAAAAGCCAGAAATATGACTGGTAAGAAATTCTTACCCTTTTACTAGCATGCCAGGCTTCTGGGCTTTCTTTCCCTTTCCCTGAGCAGCCCTAGCGTCCCAGCTTGCCACACCATCGCCCTGGGGGCCAAGCTGCATCATAAAGGAAAATTAACTTTTTTCGTTTTGGCCAGAACAAAACACATATGATAAAACATAGACATTAGCCACTCTGCTTAGCACCCAATATCAAACTGGTAAGGCTTAAATTTGCCTTCAGATGGCCCCTGTCATCTTTAATCCAACCTCCAACTAGGAGTTTCAACACATGGTCTCTGGGCAAGATGGTTGCCCTGAGTAACAGAAAAGATAGGAAAGGAAAGGTAGAGAAAGAAAAGTATTGCCTGTGGCAAGGTGGGGAAGGTGAAGAGCTCAGGGAGGCCAGAGCAAGACCCACTCATTGCAATGACACTGAAAAATTCAGGCGGCCACTTGTCAGTAGTGAAGGCATCTTTTCCAGCAATCCCATCAGCTCTCAAGTTTCCCCTTTTGGGGAGGAAAAAGCTTCCCATGTCCCATGGTCCTGTACATGCCTAATACTGTCACCTATAGCCGTCAGCAAAAAGTACAAGACAGATTAATCAAAAGAGAATAGCAGTTAACATCCCATAGCGCCAAACCTGTTCTTAACTGAAAGAGACTTTACTGAGAACCCTCATTTTTAAACACACTTCATTGCTTTGTTGCTCATTTGGAACATTCCACTGTAAGTTACCTTTAGTAAGATTTTGTCATTTCTCTAAGACTATGCTGCCTCCCAGGCCTAATGTATAAGCTGGAAGGAACTTAGTTTTCCAGAAATTAAGGATCTCATTTTTACCTAAAATATTGGCTTGATTCTCAGGGTCTCTTGATTAACTGAGCCAATGATTTTTCCTACCTAAGCATGCAAGAAAAATGAAACAAAGGGGTAGAACATAAAAATTCCTGTGAATTTTCAAAAGCCAACTTTTATAACCCCTGCAATATTACTGCTTACTATCAGTTCCTTTCTGAACCAGTCAGGTGTAAGAGACCTCTAACTGGATCCAAGCCAATTAATTCCCAGATCAAATCCATTCCTGGACCCAGCTGAGTTTCTGTCGTGACTTCCAAACCCTGTTTGGATCAGAAATTTGCTCAAAGAAACTCGGAGAGCTCAAAACACAAATCCATGGAGCTCTGAAATCCGAGAGAGAGCTTACCCACGATCCCCAGCTGCTCTGAGAGATCAGTGAACACAAGTGGGTCCTGCAGGTACCTTGTTTGTTCAGTTCACTCAACGCTCCTGGGGTCGCTAGAAGCTCTACCTCAGATCCCATTTCTGACACCATCTGATAAAAGAAAAACTTTAGCCGAATTAAATTTAAAGGAGTTTAATTGAACGATGAACAATTTGCAAGTCAGGTAGCCCCCAGAATCACAGCAGATTCACAGAGACTCCAGCGCAGCCACCTGGTGGAAGATTTATAAACAAAAAAGGGGAAATGATGTACAGAAATTGGAATTAGGTATAGAACAGCTGGATTGGTTACAGATTGATGTTTTCCTTGGTTGAACACAGTTTGAACACTCAGTAGTGTATGAATGGTTAAAGTACGGCTGCTGGGATTGGCCAAGTCTCAGCTATTGTTACAGGCACATACTCCTAGTTAGGTTTTCAATCTTGTCTACCTATTAAGCTAGGTTGCAGTTCTTCCACAAGAACTCAAATACAGAAGTACAGAGTCCTTCTCAGGACATATTTAGATCACTTTAACAGCACATATTGGCAGTCCTCACTGTGCAGAACTGTGTAGTGTAAGACTGAAAAACCCTGCAATTAGGCAATCCACAATTAATGGGAAAAATTATAGTTATTCATAACCTTTGAAGTTTTTTGTTGAAACATTAAAAATCATTTTACTGCCAGTTATAACGGTATGGAAAACCACATAGGAAAGGCATATGAAAAAAAGTAAAACCAATATTCATTTAGTATACTATACATTTTTTTTAAGAGATGAGGTCTCACTATGTTGCCCAGGTTGGTTTCAAACTCCTGGCCTCAAGCAATTCTCCTACCTCAGCCTCCTAAGTAGATGGGAGTACAAGTGCATGCCACTGTGCCTGGCTTTAGTGTATATACTTTAAAATATCAAAAATATTGAGGACTAAAGTGTTTTGCTTCTTTGTAAAAAAAAAAATTTCATTTTTCTCTGACGGTGGAGGAGAAATTAATGTGGATCCAACCTAGGTTGAGCCCTCTAACAAGCAACCCTAGGACACTTGGAGATTCACATTTTCATGTCTAACCTTAACAAATATTTTCGTCATTGCTTTTGCAAAGTCATATCTCATTTTTATTATTTCCAACTTATTATATGAAGTGGACACCTTTTCTATGCCTTGGCAAACTGTCATAACTCTAAGTTTGGATCAGCTTCTAATATTTTAACTTTTGCATTTTCAACATCATGAAACATCTCTGACAATTCCTTTTCTTTTTTTTTTTTTTTTTGAGATGGAGTTTCATTCTGGTCGCCCAGGCTGGAGTGCAGTGGCACGATCTCGGCTCACTGCAACCTCCGCCTCCCAGGTTCAAGTGATTCTCCTGGCTCACCCTCCCAAGTAGCTGGGATTACAGGCACCCGCCACCACGCCCAGCTAATTTTTGCATTTTTGGTAGAGACAGGATTTCACCATGTTGGCCAGGCTGGTCTCAAGCTCCTGACCTCAGGTGATCCACCCGCCTCAGCCTCCCAAAGTGCTGGGATTACAGGCGTGAGCCACTGCGCCCAGCCGACAATTCCTTTTCTAATAAAACTTTAGGTTTGAAGTAGCTATGATGTCTCTTGAAATTCTCTACAGGTTTTTTGTTTGTTTTTGTTTTGTTTTGTTTTGTTTTGTTTTTTGAGACGAAGTCTTGCTCTTGTGTCGCCCAGGCTGAAGCACAGTGGCGCAATCTTGGCACATTGCAACCTCCACCTCCTTGATTCAAGTGATTCTCCTGCCTCAGCCTCCTGAGTAGCTGGGATTACAGGCACCCGCCACCATGCCCAACTAATTTTTGTACTTTTAGTAGAGACAGGGTTTCACCATGTTGGCCAGGCTGCTCTCGAACTTCTGACCTCAGGTGATCCACCTGCCTCGGCCTCCCAAAGTGCTGGAATTACAGGCATGAGCCACCGCACCCAGCCAGAATTCTCTGCAGTTTTTAAGTGATTCCCTACGGGCTTCTAGCTGGACACTGGACACAGCCTGATTTTATATAAGGTCTTTGTCGTAATATTGACAATAGGGTTTACCACGCTAAATCAGTGGTTTTCAAAAACTTTAGCATATTTTAGCAATAGTTGTCAAGCTTTTCTCAAGCAAAATCATACTGAAACCAAAACTATTCTGGAGTATAGGAGTAGGCATACACAACCCAGAATCCTGTCCCCTAGGCCTCTCCCTCAGCTCCTGAGGTTGTCCCCAAACAGCTCCAAAAACACAGTAATTTGCAGATATCTGCACTCCATAGGTCAAAAGTCTGTGGTTAATAAAGTACTATAAAAACACCTACACACCATGATGCAGATCAAGTAGGATGGGATACATGGGTTCTGCCCAGTGTACTGGCACCTCAGAATCATCTCATCCCTCTAATTCTGTTTCTCTGTTGCAGACCACTGATTAGGATCCAGTGTTACTCTCCACCCATCCTTCTAAACAGATGCCTCAAATTGTTTTTGCCTCTCAGCCCCCACCTTGAACATGGCTTTGATTCCACTTTTCAACATCCAACTTCAGTAGCAACTCCAAGTCCTGCCTGGACCTACCAGACAACAGCCCTGTAATCAAGAGATATCATGCACGGGCCAAGCACAGTGGCTCACACCTGTAATCTGAGGCTGAGGCAGGTGGATTGCCTGAGGTCAGGAGTTCGAGACCAGCCTGGCCAACATGGTGAAACCCCGTTTTTACTAAAACACAAAAAATTATATTTTAGTGGCGTGGCAGCATGCATCTGTAATCCCAGCTACTTGGGAGGCTGAGACAGGAGAATCACTTGAACCCGGGAGGTGGAGGTTGCAGTGAGCCAAGATCGCGCCATTGCACTCCAGCCTGGGCAGCAGAGCAAGACTCCGTCTGGAAAAAAAAAAAAAAAAAAGAGAGAGAGTTATCACACATGGTTCCACACATATCTAATTTGTGTTAGTATTTCTCTCTTCATGTGCCTTTTGCTCTGTTAGCCTCTCTTAAACATTTATCTTTGTTCTAAAGTCTTCATGTCCTAAATTACTTCCTTGCCCTCTTTACAGGATCAAAACTAGCTGCTGGTACCAGTTTTCAGTAACAATGAGATCTGTCTTTTAAGTTGGATGTCAATAATATTTTGGTCATGTCATTACGAGCATGATTCCCTGTAACCTAATCTGAGAAGGCAGACAGCAGAGAGAATGGGCGGTGGAATGGAACACAGAAGGAAGCAGATTAGAAAGGAAAGAAAACATCCTCTTGTAAAGCTTTCCATAATTCTATTTTCATCTTTATAAAGATGCACGAGAGGAGAAGGAGGAGAAAGAGGAAAGGGGGAAAACTTAATGGAAAGATTTTATAAGAGAAGGAACAAATGCCTTTGTAAATACTTTCTGGAAATTTGGGAAGGTTACTATGAATGTGGCTTTGCATGCGTCTGTGTATGTGTGTGGCTATTCCTTCACTTTTCTCGGTGCCCCCAACAACAAAAACAGTCTGACCTCACACCTCCCATAAATATAAAATCTACTTGGAAAATTCCATCGAAGTTTAAAATATATATTTGCGTATTCTTGATTACTAATAATTACCAGCTGATCATCCAATTCAAAAAGTTGTTCCAGGTAAGTTTCAGACAATCTTCGAATGTTTGGTTTCATTGATGGAGTAATGCACATATCCCTTTAATAACATCATAAAATACAGTCAAAATTAATTTCATTAATTAGTTAGTTCCGTAATTAAATCAGTGATTCTTGTAGGTGGAATGAAAGGGAGGAGAAGGAAAACACATTTCCCCTTAGGAGAAGCAGATCAGAATCACCTGGAGGACTTTTTCAAACTACTCTCGCAAGATTTTGCTGTGTCCCCCAAAGGAGGATATGCCTCCCTTTCCTCTTTCCCAACTTGAAATAAACCGGCCCTATGAACACGTTACTGATAAGAATACACCGTATTTCTCAGGTTGAGATCTAGTGGGCAAATTATTCAGGTTTGCGTCTTTGAAACTGAAAAGCCTGTGGAGGGATTCCTTAACAATCTTGAGATTGGAAGCATTCATTGGCAAGACCTTATTTTGTTACTATGCAATAAAAGTTTTCCTTCAAAATAAAATATTTCCCTATCAAAAATCAAAACAATACTTACCAAAGAAGATTCTGAAGACCACTTTTGATTATAACCATGATCATTCCCTCTAAATACCTCAGCGGATCCTCAGGACATGTAACAAGTATACCACATAACAGTGCCTAGGGGAAAAAAGGGAAATGGCATCAATGTTTCTGAATTTTCACGTTTTTACTAAGCAGCACGTAACTTTTTATTGTTCAATTTGTTTTGGGTTTTTTTGGTTTTTAATTATTTATTTCCATAGGTTTTTGGGGAACAGGTGGTGTTTGGTTACATGAGTAAGTTCTTTAGCGGTGATTTGTGAGATTTTGGTGCACCCATCACCTGAGCAGTGTACACTGAACCCAATTTGTAGTCTTTCATCCCTCAAACCCCTCCCACTCTTTCCCCCAAGTCCCCAAAGTCCATTGTATCATTCTATGTCTTTGCATCCTCATAGTTTAGCTCCCATTTATGAGTGAGAACGTATAATGTTTGGTTTTCCATTCCTGAGTTACTTCACTTAGAATAATGGTCTCCAGTTCCATCCAGGTTGCTGTGAATGCCATTAATTAGTTCCTTTTCATGGCTGAGTCATATTGCATCATATATATATGATGTGATATATATATCTCACAATTTCTTTATTCAATCATTGATTGATGGACACTTGGGCTGGTTCCATATTTTTGCAATTGTGAATTGTGCTGTTATAGATGTGTGTGCAAGTATCTTTTTCATATAATAACTTATTTTCCTCTGGGTAGATACCCAATAGTGGGATTGTTATCCCACTACTGATCAAATGGTAGTTCTACGTTTAGTTCTTTAAGGACTCTCCACACTGTTTACTAGTTTACTTTTTTTTTGAGCAGAGTCTTGCTCTTGTCGCCCAGGTTGGAGTGCAATGGTGCTATCTCGGCTCACTGCAACCTCCACCTCCTGGGTTCAAGCGATTCTTCTGTCTCAGCCTCCTGAGTAGTTGGGATTAAGGCATCCACCACCACGCCTAGCTAATTTTTCTATTTGTAGTAGAGACAGGGTTTCACCATGTTGGCCAAGCTGGTCTTGAACTCCTGACCTCAGGTGATCCGCCTGCCTCAGCCTCTGAAAGTGCTGGGATTACAGGCATGATCCACCATGCCCAGCCTAGTTTACATTTTCACCAGCAGTGTAGAAGTGTTCCCTTTTCACTGCATCCACGCCAACATCTATTTTTTTTTTTTATTTTTTGATTATGGCCATTCTTGCAGGAGTAAGGTGGTATCACATTGTGGTTTTGATTTGCATTTCCCTGATCATTAGTGATGTTGAGCATTTTTTCATGTTTGTTGGCCATCTGTATATCTTCTTTTGAGGACTGTGTATCCATGTCCTTAGCCCACTTTTTGATGGGATTGCTTTTTTCTTGCTAATTTGTTTGAGTTCTTTATAGATTCTGGATATTAGTCCTTTGTTGGATGTATAGATTTTCGCCTACTCTGTGGGTTGTCTGTTTACTCTAGCAGCAGCAAACTTTTTCTTATACAGTTAAAAAGTCAAATAATGTGACAGTTTTAAAGTAAATGTGTTTTTACATACCCCTCTGTATTTATTCAGTGTTAATATTCTGCTAAAGTAAAACAAAAATGCAGTTTATCTTGCCTCTTTCTAAAAATCCATCATAAACAATACAATAAAGTCACTGTACCGTGAGGGTTTGCATTACTTGAGGAGTAAGTTCTTTATAGCCAATCTGAAGACATAACTATGATGCTTTACATCAGGGTTTTCTAGCCTTTTAAAGTATGAGAAACTCATTGGGGTTGGGGGGGGTTGTTTTGTTCTGTTGTTTTGTTTTGTTTTGTTTTTGTTTTGCCAAAAAGTTCCTTAGACCCAACCATAAAAGAGATTGAGAAAATCCACCATTAAAATGTGTGAATTTAAGAACTCTTAAAAACACATTTGTATTTTATCATTCACAACATCTACCGAGTATATACATTTGAAAAATTGTAGCTTAGTACACATAGGTGGGAAACAATGGACTTGCTGGATCTAAGATACTGTTTAAAGCACATATGTGGAACTCGTAAAGTTGCTGCTGTCTCATTTTCCTTATGAGGTCCCCCCAAAAGAAGAAACTTCTTGTTAAAAGTGTCTGCAAGATATACAGAATTACTGATGTTTTCTCCATTTGAGACAGATGAAAAGGTCTGCAGCACACTTCCCACAGAAACCACCTGGAATTCTCCATCGGCATTTCTCTTTCCCTTTGTGGTTCACTGTTTTCTGGTGGGGTCTAGTGTGCATGTTGGGGGTGGTCGGGATGCTTCAGACCCACTCCTGCTGGCTTCTTCTCTTGATCCTCTATTTCCAGAATAAAATAATTCCATCACTTGAGTTACACAGAGCAGTTCTCCCTACCTCCATAGGCCAAGTGTCAGCAGATCTAGGCCTGGGGTCTTTTCTTAGACTCTCAGCAATTCTCATACTGTTCCTCCAAAACTAAAAAGGGTAATTTCTCCTAATTGGACCCTGCATAATAACAATCTCCCCCTTTGCAATGGCTCCATGCTCCTCTTCTTAGTGTACAGCCTTCAAGCAGGAAGCTCAGTCCTTTAGAGAATGGCAGAAAGGTAAGATTTAGATCCCTCTCCCTCTCCAGCTCTGCCTTCAGACCAAGCCCATAGTAACTGCTTACAAGTGCTCAGCCACCTGCAGACTGACTTCCTTTTCCCCCAAACCAAGAGACTATAGTTGCACAGGAGATTAGTGGTCTCACCACAGTTGCAACCTGAATTTGGACAGTCATCTATTACCTAAAGAGCCAGCAAGAGTGGGTCCTACAGGGACCTAACAAAAAGGGCTGAAGCCATCTATTATCTGGAGGCCAATCAGACTTCCCACAGCTCCCTCAATATCCTTGGTGAAAAGCCCATCTGCTCTCTAGCACTTCTGTGCCTGGGTCTCCAGAGTACTGAGTTTTTGTATTCCTCACTCTACATCCTTTTCTCCATCTTATTCTGGCACCCTGAGGACATCTATATCAGAATCACCTGGAGAATGAATTTGTCTCTGAGAATAGGGCCTAGAAACCTGCATTTTACTAAGCTCCCCAGGTGATTCCTATGCATACTGATGTCTGAGAATGAGTGCCTAAATGAAGTTCAGCTTTATGGTACATTTTTAAGAAAGTTGAGATCTGGTTAATGTATGTGAGAAATTGATTATATATATATTTCCAAGCTCCACTTATAATAAACTACTTTTCCTGAAAAGCTATCCTGCAGAAGTCAGGTTGAGAGGATAAGTCTCTGAAATGCTAATAAAGGCATATGGAACTAGCAGAGTTGAAATGCACACTTTTCACATAGGAAATCTCACTGTTGGCCAGGTGTGGTGGTTCATGCCTATAATCCCACCACTTTATGAGACCAAGGTGGGAGGTTTGCTTGAAGACAGGAGTTCAGGACTACCCGGGGCAATACAGTGAGACCCCATCTCTAAAAAATACAAAAATTGTTTTAAAAATTAGCTGAGCATGGTGGCGTGTGCCTGTAGCCCTAGCTACTTGCTAGGTGGGAGGTGGGAGGTGGGAGGATTGCTTAAGCCCAGGAGTTCAAGGCTGCAGTGAGTTATTATCACAACACTCTACTGCAGCCTGGGTGGCAGAGAAAGACCTTGTCTCAAAAAATAATAATAAAGAAAGAAATCTCACTGTTTGTCTTTTTCCCTTGGACAAAATAGCACAGCATGATATTTTTTGTATTAATGAGTGAACAGCGCATAGCTACATGCCAATAAGACAGCAGTTAATGAATCAATAGCTTTTTCCCTGCCCAATGAAAATAAAAATCACAAAACCATTAACTTAGTCTTTATTGTAAGCAGAAGCAAAATAAACATTCCCATAAGATTAACGTTTGACTCTCAAAAACATTAATCAGGGCCTTATTATTAATAATATTCTCAGTAAAAACTTACACAATCAAGGACAAAAAAGTCCATGAGTTAATTATTGGATTAGCTCTCTCAAGCTTGTAAATTCACAAAGCAATTACGTAATCCTCAGTTTCTTTTGGCTCTACTTCCCTACACTCAGTTCCCAATATTTCTCATCTATTCTGAAGGATGTTCTGGGTCCTGAGGACAAACATGGGTTTAACCAGGACTGTTGCTTCCACTCCTTTCTCCTGCTACCTATCTTTCAAAGAGCAAGATAATGCAAAGGGTGGAGTCCACTTGGTTTAAATCTGGGATCTGCAATCTTCTACCATGCAACCATTGACAAATTACGTCTGTTTCCGTTTCCTTAAAAAAGGGGGATAATAAAGGTTCATACGCTATAGGGCTATCATGAAAATTAAAAACTGCTTTGAATAGTGTCTAGCACAAAATAGGCATTCAACAGATAATGATAGCAAGATATTTTATATATATATATATATATATATATATATATATATATATATATACTTTTTTTTTTTTTTGAGACAAGGTCTTGCTCTGTAACCCAGGCTGGAGTGCAGTAGCACAATCAACCCAGTGTAACCTCAAGCTCTTGAGCTCAGGCAATCCTCCCACCTCAGCCTCCCAAGGAGCTAGGACTACAGGCATGAGCCCCCAAACTCACTTAATTTTGTTGTTGAAATGGAGTCTCACTCTGTTGCCCAGGCTAGTCCTGAACTCCTGGCCTTAAGTGATCGTCCTTCCTCTCAGCCTCCCAAAGTGCTGGGATTACAGGCATGAGCCACTGTGCCTGGTCCATCACTATTTTTAACCATTCCACTGTTAATTATCACCTTAATTAGAGGAAAACACTTGGACATAGAGAAAATAAATTGAAAATATTCCCTTGTACCACTCAAAGTCCAGTGTGATGACTGAGAGAGAAAGACAGAGACTGACTCTGACTTAAACCACACCTAATAGAAGATGTTAGGACAAAAGCATTTAGGGGAAAATGGCTAGGAGAGAACTGAATAGACCAATAGTTCAAATATAAATAGCAAGATAGTAACTATTATAACCCTTGGTGGACACACAAAAACAAATGTAAGACACTTAAGAGAACAAGTCTTGCTTAGCTTTTTAGATACTCAGATAAACATAGTGAAATACGCTGAGGGCTGAAATAGTAATATTATAATATAAAAAATAATTACTCCAAAAGTGCAGAGATAAAAGTGATTATCAAATACTTGGGGAACCCTCAGCAGGTGAAGAAACAGAAAAACATTGTTCAAAGTCCCTTCCATTTCCCTATCCCCTACCCCAACCTCTGAAACATATCTAAAGCAGTATCTCACAAATGATTGCCATCCCCCTGTGGGACGGAGATGGAGGTAGCACGCTGTTGTTTTGGGAGATATCTTAATTTGTATTTATGGAAGTTAGTAAGTCACAATTTTGAAAATAAAGGGGCTTTTATGTCTTTTTAACATTGAAATAGATGGTGTCAAAATTTTATTTTAGAAACTCTATAAATGAATATTCCGGAAGATTACTGAAAGAGGCCAACTAGCTTCAACATTCAGATGAGACCCCAGGAAGAGGAAGATGCCCCTCAGGACCAGACTTGAAGGGTTTTTTTTTTTTGTTTTTTTCTTTTTTGTTTTTTGTTAGACTTGAAGGTTTTTAAAGCAGACTGGACAGGACAGGTGAGGAGCAGCAGGCTCTATGAGGTAAGAGTGAGACAAAGGACTCTGATACCTGCCGGACTGGGCCTGTCCCAGAGGGGAAGCAGTCCCAGCCGTCTCATCCCCTCTAAGAAAATTGTTATTGGAAAATTAATAAATCATGTGCTTTTCTTTGTTTAGTGTCCTGTGGATTTACCTCAGGAACTACACGTGTAAACTGCCTGGCTGGGCTGAGGGAATTCAGCAAAGGTAACTGTCCTCTGGAGAAGCCACAGCCTTCCTGCCCAAGGTCCAGCAAAATGAGTTAGTGTATCCAGCTCCTCCTCTCCTAAATGGGCAGGGCAGTCCCTTGCTCAAGAATCAGCAATTTCTGATTCTTGCATCTCTGACAAATACGTGCAGCAATTAGTCTCTTAAAAAAAAATACCTGGCCCAGCACGGTGGCTCACGCCTGTAATCCCAACACCTGGGAGGCCAAGACAGGCAGATCACGAAGTCAGGAGATTGAGACTGTCCTGGCTAACACGGTGAAACCCCGTCTCTACTAAAAATACAAAAAATTAGCCAAGCATGGTGGCAGGCGCCGGTAGTCCCAGCTACTCAGGAGGCTGAGGCAGGAGAATGGCAGGAATTCAGGAGGCGGAGCTTGCAGTGAGCTGAGATCGCGCCACTGCACTCCAGCCTGGGCAACAGAGCAAGACTGCGTCTCAAAAAAAAAAAAAAAAAAAACCTGATTGGCAACTTAATCTTGAAAGAAACATAAAACATAAAAACTTCTCAGAAAAATCATAATTACCAAAAAAAAAAAAAAAAAAACAAACCTTTGCTTTAAAACCATAATTTGTAGATTAAGTACTCCCTCTGCTGAGCAGATCTGGTTTTGCAAACTCTTTTCATCTTCCCTAAATGCTAAACTGAAATTGGAGCTCACCATTTGAAGAGTACTTTCTTCCTCTCAGATACAATCACTAGGTGTATCTGCTTAATGTTTTTGTAGACCATAATATCTAGCTCATCTTTGGTCCCTGTGGGGCAGTCCTTGTTTGTCTGTAAACAATGTACTGACTTCTACCTAGTAGAAAATTGAGGGAGAAACTAGGGTTTCTATGTTATTTCTGGATGACCCACTGTCTGAAGGTCTACCAATAAGGCTTTATTATATGAGTTCCTATCTTAATAATCTCTTTCAAAACACAAATGCCTTTGGGAAGGAGTATATCCAAAAATAGAGGGCACATTAAGCTAATTCCCACAGTGGTGGAAAGAGTATCTCAGAGTTCTGAGAGACAGAAATGAAGAATACAAGGAGAGTGAGGGATCGCAAGGCAATACTTAGTTTTCCTACAATTTCTACCTATCTTCAGGTGACTTAAAAAAAAAAAAACCTCTGAATTTCTAAAATATATTTTTCCTGAATCTTAATGATGAAATGTAAATATCTTCATCTCTATTTCTCCAAGATAGATTTCTATGAAAATATAGAATCAAAAGGTATATATTACAGATCTTCATACATATCTCAAAACTGTTTTCCCAAAAGGTATTATCAATGTATAATCTCATCCCAAATGGATAAATGCTCAGAGAGCTCAGGAGACAAGCTCAGGCTAGGGACAGCCTCAGAGTTACAGCTCCAAGTGGTTGAAGCCATTGAGGTGTTTTCAACTAGCACGTGGTAGAGACCCAGCAAATATTTGCTGATAGAATGTCCTAGTGTATCCCCCTCAGCTGACCACTCTTGCTGTTCCCCAGGAGAAAAGACTGGCTGGTGTCAAGAGCCTCATCTGTTCAAAAAATTAAGTTACTTGTTTAACTTGAATTGAACATAGAATCCAGTAGTCTTTAAGTTGGACATGTGAATCTCCAAGAGCCCACAAAGACTTTTGAAGGATTACATGGGCAAGAATAGTATAACGGAGTCCACTTTCAGATCTTCACCTTTCCTATGCAGGTTGGCCTTCTATATCCATGGGTCCTGCATCCATAGATTCAATCAACCACAGATCAAAAATATTTGAAAAAAAGTTTTATCTGCACTAAACACATACAGAATGTTTCCTCTTGTCATTATTCCCTAAATGAAACAGTATACCATCTACTTACATAGCATTTACATTGTATTAGATATAAGTAATCTAAAGATGATTTAAAGTATAGAAGAGGATGTGTATAGGTTATATACAAATGCTATGCCACTTTTTATCAGCCAACATCAGTCTCCAAGGAAGGTCTTGGAACCAATCCCCCATGGATACTGAGGGATTACTGTATTCTTTACTTAAACTGATCTGCCTGAGGACACAGTTTGCTATTTTCTTTTTCTACTTTTCTCTTTCACAATGGCTCTTCCTCCCACTCTAGAAAATAAAGCCCTCTATCACATCCATCTGGAATCTTACTATAAAGAAAACTGAAGCAGAGAGATTTGGAAATTTTCTCAGTCACCCAGTTAACAATTGGTGAAGCCTAGAATCAAACTTAGGCTTTTTTTTTTTTTTTTTTTTTCTGTAGAGACAGTCTCTCACTATGTTGCCCAGGCTAGTTTCAAACTCCTGGCCTCAAGGAATCCTCCTGCCTCACACTGCCAAAGTGCTGGAATTACAGTCATGAGCCATCATGTGGGGCCTAGGAAGGTCTTACAAATAAGAAATAATCCCCTCATCTTGCTTCAGATGCTTTAGGTTTCAAGTAACAAACTCAACTTAATACGTACTCTATTAGCTCCTACAAGAAATTCAAAGGTAGATGAAGCTTCAGTGTGGGTTTAACCCAGTGGCTTACTGATGTCACTAGGGCCTGGTTTCTTTCCATTTCCCCAACTGGCCTTTTGTGGAATCCACTTCATGCTAAAATTCTCTCTCCTTGTGGCCACACAGGTAATTGCCAATGTTCCCAGGACTAAGTGCTTCCCCATCAACATCCAGAGAGGGTATATCCAACCAGCATCCTGATCTAAATCAGCTTGGATTACATATTGCCCTCCCCCATGACCCTATACCTTCTGCCTCCCTGTCGTTACAAACATTATGGCCAGGGAAACTGAATGCACCGGTTGTTGCAAGCCAGTTGGGGTCCAACCCCAGAGATGGGGATAGACAGTTTTCTTGAAGCAAATGGGCTAGGTGAGGGAAGAGACAGCGTATAGAATAAGAATGTAGGAAATATTAGGAAGAGGGAAGTAGATGCTACGTAGGCAACTTGTAAATGCCCAGTAGACATCTGCTCCTGGAGAACATGGGAAAGGAAGAAGAAAAGGGGGTAATTACAGTAATTGAGATCCACTTACTGAGTGATGCTGTTGTGATCTATATCTTTTTAGAGACTGCTTTGAGATCCAACTTGATCTGACTCCCCTTATATGAACAAGCCAAGTATGGCAGATTATATTTTCCACAATGGCCATAACAGTATCTCCCATCCTCCATGTTCTTTTTGCAATGTGCCTTTGTTATACCTCCCATCATGAAATGGGTTCCATGTTCCCTCCCCTTGAATCTAAGTGAAAATAATGTTGACTTCCAAATCTAGATCATAAATAATGGTATAACTTCTACCTGGTTCTCTCTGGGGAGGTTTGGTCTTAGAAATCAGCTACCATACTGTGAGGAAGTCTAAGCAGCCCATGGGCAGGTCCAGATGAAGAGGAACCAAGCCTACTGGTTCACAGACCTGGCTGAACTCCCAGCCAACAGCCAGCACCAACTTGCTAGGCATGCAAAAGAAGATATCATCTTAAAAGTGGATCTTCCACCCCCTGCAAAACCTTGCCAAAATTTCAAATTTTTAAGCAAACTAAGTGATTCCTGTTGTTGTAAGCCACCAAGTGCTTTAACTGGTTGCATGTCACATGGCAATAGATAATTGACACACCAAACAAACAGAAAATGACTACACAGCCAAATCAAATCTGTCATTCCATCCATCCCTAGCAACATACATTCTGAAAAAAAAAGCCTAGCCATAACTATCTTTCATTTTAGATTTTTAAATTTCAAACATTTAGAAACAGTAGTATAGGGAACACTTATGTACCTATCACCCAGTTTCAACAATAATTATTCTGTGATTTTTGTATCATCTATATATCTACCCATTTCTACCTATTCTCAATTATAATTTAAGGTAAAATTTATATTATTTCAAATGCATAAATCTTATTAGTATAATTTTGATAATGAAAATACCCACACCCCGGGTGTGGTTTCTTTCCAACTCTCCGGAAAGTTCTCATGTCCCTCTCCAGTTAATCCTCCTGTATCACTCAGAGTCCAGTCAAGAGACAGAAATCACACCCGTGTTTTGAATAAAGAACAATTTATTCTATCTCATAAAGAGATTCTAATAAAGAATGCAATTCAAAGAATTACTAACTAGTAAAAAGAGAGTAACTACTAAGAGCAAAAGAGAACACTAAAGGACACCCTGTGGCTCAGACAGAGTACCCAAAGATGAAATAACCTTGGAAGGAGGGCAGCCACCTCCCCAAGGCTGAGATTCAGAGAATGTGGAGTGTGGCTGAGGTATAGTGGGGAAGTCCATTAGGTTGCCCTGAGACAGAGATAGTTCTCAGCCATGATGGTCCAAGGCTTGGTGAACAGGACCCCACCAGCTCACACTAGTGAGCAGACGCCCCCTGCTGGGGTGCCAATGGGCTGAGGCTGGTGAGCAAAACTTGCTGAAGAGTGGGCACCACTGGGTGCACCACACACATGCTCCTGGAAGCTGTGTCATGTGAACAAGAAGTGAGGAAGCACACAGGAACCAGGAACTGAAGTCCCTCTCCCTCCAGGGTCCCTCCAGCACTGACAAGGCTTAACAACATGCTAGCCCAAAGCAATGCCAAGGTCTAGATCATGACACCAGTCCAGCTTCTAGGTGTCAAGGGCTACTTTTCTCCTCCTCAATATTTCTGCAGTATTATAATCAGCTGTCTAGTTTTATGGGGAAAAAAATTTTAGACTTTAACTAAAATTGCATTGAATTTATACATTTTCTGGGAAGACATTACATGTTGTTATTTTCCCATTCATAAACACAGCAGAGTACTTCATTTCTTTAGGTCACCTTAAACATCTTTCAATAAAATTTTACAAATTCCTCCAAACAGGTCTTTCACATCTTGTCCTAAGAAACCTTATATTTTTTGTGGCTATTATGAATGTAATTTCTTTTTTTTTTTTTGAGACAGAGTCTTACTCTGTTGCCCAGGCTGGAATGTAGCGGTGCGATCTCGGCTCACTGCAAGCTCTGCCTCCCGGGTTCACACCATTCTCCTGCCTCAGCCTCCTGAGCAGCTGGGACTACAGGCGCCCGCCATCACGCCCAGCTAATTTTTTTTGTATTTTTAGTAGAGACGAGGTTTTACCTTGTTAGCCAGGATGGTGTCAAGCTCCTGACCTCATGATCCACCCGCCTCAGCCTCCCAAAGCGCTGGGATTACAGGCGTGAGCCACTGCGCCCAGCCTATGAATGTAATTTTTAAAAGCTACTGTTTAAAACTTTGGTTCTAGTGAATTGAAATGCAATTGATTTTTTAATATTCAGTGGAAGAATTTTGTGAGGATTTTTTTTTTTTTTTTTGAGATGGAGTTTCGCTCTCATTGCCCAGGCTGGAGTGCAATGGCGTGATCGCAGCTCACCGCAACCTTCGCCTCCTGGGTTCAAGAGACTCCCCTGCCTCAGCCACTCGAGTAGCTGGGATTAAAGGCATGCGCCACCACGCCCAGCTAATTTTGTATTTTTAGTGATCTTTCTCCATGTTGGTCAGGCTGGTCTTGAACTCCAAACCTCAGGTGATCTGCCCGCCTCGGCCTCCCAAGAATTTTTTTTTTTTTGTCTACTCTTTCACTGTGGGTGTAATGGAATTGTCAGAAACTGAAAATACTAGGAAATGTAGGACTATGGATATTGAGAGCCCATTTGACAACTGAGGATTGAATTTAAAGTGACACAATTCAGTTTAATTGTGTGTTCTTCCTTTAAATAATGTTCAGTTGCTCAGGGGTAAGCACGGACTGCTGGATATTTGAGTTTTACCAGGGATGGGTGTTTGTCACATCAATAGGACAGAGGGAGAAACAGGTAAAGGAGATAATCGTATTTGAAAGTGATCATAATGATGGTGTGGTGGCATTTTAAAAGCATGTCTGCAAATGATATTTCTTACATAAAGAGGTGGGGTTTAATTCCTCTCCTCTTGAATATGGATTAGTCTTAATAATCCACTTGTAATGAAGAGAATACAGTGAAAGTGATGTTGAGTAACTTCTGGGGCTAGGTTATAAAAGGAGATTTTACTTGGCTCTGTCTCTTGGACACCTGTTTTGGGACCCAGCCTCCACGCTGTGAGGAAGCTCAAGCTACATGGAGATGTTACACATAGATGTTCTACCTGTCAGTCTCAGGAGAGGTCCTCATCGACAGCCAGCATCAACTGCCAGGCATGTAGGTAAGGAAGCCTTCAAGATGATTTTAACCTCAGCCACTCTGACATGTAAGTGCATGAGGGATCTCAAGCAATAATATTCTGTCAACTCCCATAACTGTGAGAGGCAATAATAAAATGAATACTGTTATTTTAAATCACTAAATGTTGTAAAGACATTTAGGTAATAGACATCCACAATAATGATGAACCAAGGAATCTAAGATGGGTAAAGAGAGAAATAAGGACATAAGAGTAATATTTGACAGTGCAAAGATAATTGAATGAAATGGTGGTTTGAGTCAGTTGAAGAAGTGCTAGTGTAGAAGCTCCAATGTGAGTGAGCTAAGAAATTAAGAGATAAGTGGATGAAGAAATGGAGATTTCAGAGATGGTACAGCAATTTAGGATAAAATGGTTAAGAGTATGACCATAGAAGGACATGACTGAGGAACGGTGAAAGCAAAGATAACTGGAAGAAAGGTCAAGGATGTGAACGGAACATCCCTGTGAATACTGCGGGCACAAGAACAATGACAGGAGTAGAGAAAAAGGAAGATGGTGAGCCAGATGCTAATGCTACCAACAAAACATAGAGATTGGTACATAATGAAGACAGTGAGTGCTAAATCTGATGTTATGAACTACAAAGAAGCTGAGACTTTAGAAAAAGGAGGGAAGATACATAGTTTGGAAGTGGAAATGGGGAGCCAAGGAAGACACCTAACCTATCTCTAGATCTGAGGTAAACTGAGGAGTGAAACAAGACAGTCTCCCTAGGATTTCATATCTGAGTAGGATGTGGAAAGTCACCATGGTCCAATGACCCTGCTACAACAACTAGAAAAAAACAGACACATTACAAAAATCACATTTAAAAAAGATATTGGCGAGCCATGGAATTCCAGGGGAAGGAAATTTTTCTGAAGTGAGCTGACAATGCACAGCTGCTTTTTTTCCCTGGGAACGTGTGCCAGCTCTGGGTAGGAAAGAGGACAGGGCTGGGCCCAGGCAGAGAAAGTCTACAAATGGGAAGAGAAACCAATAGGCTTATGGTGGTGGCACGGGGGTAACATGACAGGTTAGAAACTTGAGGTGCCCCAAGTGTGGCCACTGTCTCCCATAAGGCAGTGAGTTCTGGGAGTGTTCACACAGGAGGCTGAGGAGCTAGAACATCAACTCCTACAAGGCAGAGTGAGTCTTTCATAATCTCAGGGAAGGAAGAGGAAGCCTGCCTCAAACATACAGCCAGCATAACCTTCAATGTACTTGCCAGATTTTAAAGTTGAGGGCCCACGGCCACCACGCCATCTGGGAAGTAAGGAGCACCTCTGCCCAGCCGCCCCACCATCTGGGAAGTGAGGAGCGCCTCTGCCCGGCCGCCCCACCGTCTGGGAAGTGAGGAGCACCTCTGCCCGGCCGCCCCACCACCTGGGAAGTGAGGAGCACCTCTGCCTGGCTGTCGCCCCCTCTGGGAAGTGAGGAGGCCCTCTGCCCTGCCGCCCCACTGTCTGGGAAGTAAGGCGCACCTCTCCCTGGCTGCCCCACAGTCTGGGAAGAGAGGAGCGCCTCTGCCCAGCCGCTGCACCTTCTGGGAAGTGAGGAGCGCCTCTACCTGGTTGCCGCCCCATCTGGAAAGTGAGGAGCGCCTTTGCCCGGCCGTTGTGCAACCCTCGAAGTGTGAAGTGGCAGCCTTGTGTGTGATTTTTATGCCCTCCCCAAGTTTGCATTTTTGATATTAAAGTTTACTTTTAAAAGTTTTAAATTGGGGAATATATATACATATATAAAAGTTGAGGGCCTAGAAGGGAAACTAAAGAGCTAAGCTTAAATACCTCCGAAGAGCAGAACCAAATCTCTCACAATCTTTCAGTCTGAGGAGACAGAGACTGGCTAGCTTCTCAATCAAAAGCCCAGAAGAGCTATGCCTGAGGAATAGGGATGAACCAGATGTAAACCGAACCCAAATAAATCCACAGTCCAAGCTCAACACAGATCAGTCCCTTCCTGGACTGAGGTCATGAGCTCTGTACCCTATACAGAGGAAAGGACGAACCTTTGCTGGCGAAAGAGTATATCATCTGGAACTTCTATTGTTCTTTTCTCACACAATGTCCAATAAAAATAAGAAATTACTAGGTATGGGCTGGGCGCGGTGGCCCACGCCTGTAATCCCAGCACTTTGGGAGGCCGAGGCAGGTGGATCATGAGGTCAGGAGATCGAGACCATCCTGGCTAACACGGTGAAACCCCGTCTCTACTAAAAATACAAAAAAATTAGCCGGGCATGGTGGCAGGCGCCTGTAGTCCCAGCTACTCGGGAGGCTGAGGCAGGAGAATGGCGTGAAGCCAGGAGGCGGAGCTTGCAGTGAGCCGAGATCCCGCCACTGCACTCCAGCCTGGGCGACAGTGCAAGACTCTGTCTCAAAAAAAAAAAAAAAAAAGAAATTACTAGGTATGTATGAAGGCAGGAAAATGTCTTGAATTATCAACAGAAGAAAATAAGCAATAGAAGCAGACCCACAAATGATCTGGATATTCAAGTTAACAAACAATGATTTAATTTTATGTATTTATTTTATTTATTTATTTTTTTAGAGACACAGTCTCACTCCATCACCCAGGCTGGAGTGTAATGGTGTGATCTCAGCTCACTGCAACCTCTGCCTCCTGGGTTCAAGCGATTCTCATGCCTCAGCCTCCCAAATAGCTGGAATTACAGGCGTGCACCACACCTGGCAAATTTTTGTATTTTTAGTAGAGACAGGGTTTCAGCTGGTCTCGAACTCCTGGCCTCAAGTGATCCACCCACCTCGGCCTCCCAAAGTGCTAGAATTACAGGCATAAGCAACAAACAATAATTTTAAAATAACAACCATCAACATGTGTGTTGATCCATTTTGCACGGCTATAAAGAAATACCTGAGGCCAGGTAATTTATAAAGAAAAGAGTTGTATGCGGCTCAGGGTTCTGCAGGGTGTACAAGAAGCATGGTGCCAGCATCTGCTCGGCTTCTGGCGAAGGCCTCAGGAAGCTTTTACTCACTGCAGAAGGCAAAGGGAGCCAGCATGTAACATGGGAAGAGAAGGAGTAAGAGAAACAGCTAGAGGGAGGCTCTTCTAAACAACCAGCTCTTGGGTGAACTAATAGAGGGAGAACTCACTAATTATCACAGGGGAGGGCACAAAGCCATTCTTGAGGGATCTGCCCACATGACTCAAATACCTCCCACTGGGCCCCACCTCCAACACTGGGGATCAAATTTTAACAGATTTGGAGAGAACAAATAAAGAAAACAGAAAAAGGCAAACTGAATGAAAAGATGCATAATTCTAATAATCAGAATTTATTTAAACATCAAATTGTCATTCTAGAACTGAAAAACATGTCTAAAATTAAGATTTCATTTGATGTATTTAAGAGTAGACTGGACACAGCATAAAACAAAATTAGTAAACTTGAAAACCATCAATGAAAAAGATCCAAACTTGAGCTCAAAAAGAAGAAAATGGGGAAAAAGCAGAAGAGATCAAAAGAGGCATGTAGAACAAGGTAAAGAAAAAGAAAAAAAAAGCTAACATATGTACGATTGGAGTTCCAAAAGGAAAAGAGAGAACTGAATAGAAGTACTATTTGAAAAGAACCAAGAATTTTCTAAAACGGATGAAAAATATCTATCAACAGATTCAGTAAGCCCAGGGGACCAAGCAGGATTGTTTAAAATGTTTTTTAATTTTTTATTTTTTTAGAGATAGGGTCTTGCTCCATCACCCAGGCTGGAGTTCAGTGGTGCAATCATAGTTCACTGCAGCCTCAAATTCCTGGGCTCAAGTGATCCTCTCCTCTCAGCCTCATGAGTAGCAGGGACTACAGGTGTGAGCCACTAAGACAAGTTAGCTTTTTTTTTTTTTTTTTTTTAATTTTTGTACACACAGGGTCTCACTATGTTACCGAGGCTGGTCTTGAACTCCTGGCAAGCAATCCACCTGCCTTGGGCTCTCACAGTGCTGGGATTACAGGCATGAACCACCAAGCCAGGCCTGATTTTTAAAAAAATCAGTCTCTATTCAAGAGATTTGCAGGAAAATGATATTGTAGGTAGAAAATCAGGTTTTATTTAGGACAGGTAGATGAAATTCAGAAGAGGTTAAATATACAGGGAAAACTTTAATGAAAGGTTATTTATGTATTCCAAGGCTTGCAGAAGATGGGTTTTAGAAAAGTATAAAACCTGCCAGACATGGTGGGTCATGCTGTGGTGGGTCATGCCTGTAATCTCAGCACTTTGGGAGGCTGAGGCGGGTGGATCACCTGAGGTTAGGAGTTCGAGACCGGCCTGACCAACATGGTGAAACCCTGTCTCGACTAAAAATACAAAAATTAGCTGAGCATGGTGGCAGGTGCCTGTAGTCCCAGCTATTTGGGAGGCTGAGGCAGGAGAATCGCTTGAACCCAGGAGGCGGATGTTGCAGTGAGCTGAGATGGCACCACTGCACTCTAGACTGGGCGACAGAGCTAGACTCTGTCTCAAAAAAAAAAAAAGTATAAAACCCATCTGGGAAATTGAGTCAGATAAATAAATGTACAGACAGGATATGAGGCAGAATGGAATTCATCTTGATATTCTCTTAGAAGAAATGGGTAATGAGTTTAAGGTGGGTGTGTGGGGCCCAGAGGATTGCTCCTTTGCACTTCCTGCTAGTGTGCTAGCAGAGGTGAGTGAAGGACTCCTCAGGAGAACATGATCTTAGACAATGGAGAATGCATATAAGGGCCTCCTCTATGGGTGCAGAACAATGCAGTAAGCTGGTAAGGAAGGAATGCTTTCACCCAGAGGGGGAACTGGGGACTGCCTCATTGCAGCTTTGTGATGTTATAGTAACTGGCGGCCTAGATGAGAAGAGGCCATCCCTTCCTTGATGTACCCTGACTCTCAACTCAAGTCCATTTCTGCCACCTGCTCCACCGCCATATCACAGACTGAGCCATCACTCAGAATGGCTGCACCCTGAATTGTAAATATAAACGTTCCACTTTCTGACCCCCACCTCCTGTGTTTCCAGCTCCCTCACTTAATTACTCCCTCTACTTCTCTTCACTCACCTCTTAGAGGAGTCTTCACTTTCTGTCCATGTATCAGTATGATATCCTTTTCTCATTTCCCACTGAGTCCTTAGAGTCCTTGGCCCATCACTTCAGATACTCAGGAGCTTAGCTCCCTAACCTACTGCCTTTCCATTCTATTAATATATGCCTGGCAAATTCCTATCCCAGACGAAGTCAACTTGGTTATCTCTGTACCTACATCTGATTTACTGACTGCTACTTGAGAAAATCACACAACCGGGAAGATGGGTACCATTCTCCCTACATATTTTCAAGCACAATTGTATAGAGGTACAACACAAAACTCACTGTAATAAATTAAAACAATACAGCTATGGACAGAGTAAAAAGTTAGAATTCTCCATCTTTTCCCCCAAAACCATTCCACAAGACATCTGTTATTAACAGTTTGGCATAGGTTCTATGCATGCACTATTGTCTTAAAGCTAGATATATACACATATATGTACATAAACACATATACAACATATATGAAATCAAATGGACAGCTAGAGCAGAATGGACAGTTGCTAAGCAACTTGCACTTTTTCTTTTTTACTTAATAATATGTGTTGGGAGCCAGCCATGTGGTGTATGCCTGTAGTCCTAGCTACTTGGGAGGATGAGGTGGGAGGATCAATTGAGCCCAGGAGTTTGAGGCTGCAGTGAGCTAGGATGGAGCCACTACACCCTAGCCTGGGTGGCAGACCAACACCCCGTGTCTCAATAATAATGATGATAATAATAATATGTCTTGGAGGACATTTCTTCTTAGTAGGTACAGATATACTTTATTCTACATAATGCCTCATTCGCTTAGTCACTCTAGGTCATTTACTATTTTTACTATGAAACAAAGTTATAATGAATATCCTTGTACATCCTCCTGAACACATGTGCAAGTATTTCTCTAAAGTAGATCCCTAGAAGTAGAAATGCTTGGTTAAAGGGTACATGTATTTAACATCTTAATAAATATTTCTCAATTACCATCCAAAAAAGAGACGGGTGGGGGGTCTCTACCAAATTGCCCTCCCAACCGCCTAGGAGCGTTACTACCCTCAGGTAGGACCTCCTCTTTCTTTCCCTAGACATCTCTCTCCCTCATTCTCCACATAACGTATCTTTGCTCGAACCTCCTACTGCACCAACATCCCCATCCCCACTCAAACACGCACATTCTTGGTAAATATCTCACCAACTATTTGTAGAGAAAAAAAGAGGTCAACAAAGGCAAATGTTCTCAGCTTCCTACCCCCAAACCTACAAAACCTAATGTCTATCCCCTTCCTGTCTTCCTTCCCTACTCTTATAACGGCAGTAGGAGGGCAGTCCTTCCTGTTGTCTAAAGGCAATCCTGGTTGAGAGGGTCCTTACCTTCACAAAGGGCTGACTACACTGACCAAAGGTCTCAGCTTCCACTCTTCCCTCCGCTAACCTCCATCTATTTTCTGCCCTCACGGCTCCATGGAAACCTCAGGCTCACCTTGGGCAGAATCCAGCTCCTTATCTTAGGTGACTAGTGCCTACTCCCTACTTCTGACAACATTCTTCATAATGCCAGTCTGCTGATTTTCCTCCTCAGGCTCTCTGGCACTTCTTTCTCACTCCTCCACTCCTCAGGTACTTCTTGTCCAAACCTTAAAATCTGAGTTTGGGGTTTCCGATCTGGGCCTTGTGCTCATTCCCCCTGGGAGATGTCACCCATTCCCCACGTGCAGCCACCATCACCCTCTGTTTTCTCTCTAATCAGCGTCTTCAGCCCTGATCGCCTACAAGTCCGAATTTGACTTCACTTTCTCGCATTCTGCCCCGCCTTCCCTCCACTCCTCCCCAATCCCGAAACCTAGTCCCTCCTCCGGGAAGTCTTTCCTGACTCCTCCCCCTTCTAACTCCCCACCGACGGTCTGTGTCCGCTGCCACGCGTGTCCAGTACCTCGCAGACCTGAGGAATGTAGTTCTCCTTGAAGTAGTTCTTCAGCCTCGGGTTGGCATTGCGTAGCGAGGCCATGGCCCAAGGCCTGACGGAGAAGCTGCGATAGTACCCTCCCCGCGCTGGGACTAGGGGCCGGGCGCGTGCGGGCGTTGTCCCGGCAACCAGGGGGCGGGGCTGGGCGTGGCACCGCCCCGCGCTCCGCTGCCAGGGGCGGGAGGGAGGAATGGTTGCTTCACGCCCCGGGGGAAGAGACGGGAAGCTCGGCTCTGGGTTGCGGGCCCCGGCGTCTCCGCGTGGGGCGCACCGTCCGACCCCCCCCTCCCGGTGTGCAGCGCCCCGCACCGCCCCGCCTCGCCTGGGAGAAGCCGCCGGGACGCGCCGGGCTGGAGTGGGCGGTTATAGGCTTTGAGCTAGGCCGTTTCCGGGAGGCGGAGCTCAGACCCCATTTCCTTTCTCCACATCCAGGTCAGGTGGCGTTTGCTGTGGCGGCTAGGCCCGCGTGCGCTGGAGACCTCCGCGCTGGCCCCCGCGAGCCTCCTGCCCTGGCCCGGCGCTGCGGCTCTGCCGCGGCGGCAGCATGGGTGGCCCCCGGGGCGCGGGCTGGGTGGCGGCGGGCCTGCTGCTCGGCGCGGGCGCCTGCTACTGCATTTACAGGCTGACCCGGGGTCGGCGGCGGGGCGACCGCGAGCTCGGGATACGCTCTTCGAAGTCCGCAGGTGGGACCCCGGGGTTTCCGGCAGGTGGGCGGGGACTGGGCAGGGGGGCTCCCCAGGCCGGGGTGGTGGCTTGCGTGTGCTCGGGGTAAAATGAGGAGCCGAGCTAGAGGGAGAGGCAGTACTTGTGTGAGTGCAGGGTGCTGCGCCGCCCCCGCCGCCCCTTTGCTGACTATACTGGTATGAAAACTTGCCCTGGCTTTCCTGCCTGAGCTCCGCGTCACAGCGGAGGATTAGATTTCTTAAAAACCTGTTGATGGCCTCTCATTTTAAAGCTTGCTCCGGGCCTTTGTGTAACTAAAGGGATTCTCCCGATTGTGGAAGGGCTGTTGAGGGGCCCAGAGCCATAGGTCAATCTCTGCTTGCAGGTGCCCTGGAAGAAGGGACGTCAGAGGGTCAGTTGTGCGGGCGCTCGGCCCGGCCTCAGACGGGAGGTACCTGGGAGTCACAGTGGTCCAAGACCTCGCAGCCTGGTGTGTGTTTTGGAAATGGGAACAGTTGTCTGCGCGAGACACACCCTCCCAGCGGACAAATGCATGATTCGGTTTCTGTCCAAAAGTTGATCGGTACATTAAAACCCTCCAAAGGCATGTTTCACATCATGGAAGCTGTTAGGGAAATAATTTAAAATATCATATCTGCCATCCAAGAAACTCCTGTCCACAATTGTAGAAGAGAGCTAAACAGCTTCATTGTTGAATAAGCACAAACTAAATTGCCTCACACATCACGGGCAATTTGCTAATGGGATAGCAGGAAGAATTCTAATTCCTTTAAATGTAGCTGGACAGATAGAACCGATTTCATATTACATACGTGTTCTCAAGATAAAAAATAATTTGTCCTTAGGTAAGAGGACTTGACAGTACCATTTGCTACATGTAGTTTATCCTGAATTTACTGGTAATTGGGGTGGTTGTTATCTAATTGCCTTTATCCAGAGGAAAAATAAAAATATCTTTATGATGTGGAACCAGGTGCCCAGGCTAAAAACTCACAGAGTTGGGGAGATTGGGGATCTATCTTCCTGGAAGAGTAGGTTTCAAAGAGTACGCTTTCGAACAGTAGGCTCCAAAGCTTTTAAGAAAGTCTTTCTTGGGCTGTAAAACTGGCCAAATGCTTATTTCACTTTTAAAAAGATTTACAGGCTGGGTGTGGTGGCTCACACCTGTAATCCCAGCACTCTGGGAGGCCAAGGCAGGCGGATCATGTGGTCAGGAGTTCAAGACCAGCTTGACCAACATGGGGAAGCCCCATCTCTACTAAAAATACAAAAATTAGCCGGGCTTGGCGGTGGGTGCCTGTAATCCCAGCTACTCAGGAGGCTGAGGCAGGAGAATCACTTGAACCCAGGAGGCAGAGGTTGCAGTGTGCCAAGATTGCACCATTGCACTCCAGCTTGTGCGACAGAGCAAGATTCTGTCTCAAAAAACAAAAAACAAACAAAAAGATTTACATTTGTATCAAAGAAGCAGAAAAAGGAGTTTTGTTTTGTTTTCAGACAGGGACTCCCTCTGTCACCCAGGCTCGGTGCAGTGGCGCAATCACAGCTGCAGCGGCGCAATCACAGCTGCAGCCTCCACTTCCCTGGGCTCCTCCCACCTCACCCCACTAAGTAACTAGGACTACAGGTGCACACCGACACCTGGCTAATTTTTCCAATTTTTTAGGAGATGAGTTTTCACCATGTTGCCCAGGCTGATTTGAACTTGGCTTAAGCAGTGCTCCTGCCTCAGCATCCCGAAGTGCTGGAATTACAGGATTGAGCCTCCTCACCTGGCCAATAAAGGATTTTTAATTACAAGTTTGCACGAGGGAATGCTTTAAGAAAAAGGGAGTGGAAGGGGAAGGTCTCTCTCACTTTTGCCACTAGGTATAATTCAGCTTTTTTTTTTTAAAGATTTGTATGTACCCTTACTGTATTAGTCCATTTTCTGTTGCTTATAATAGAATATCTGAAACTGGGTAATTTATTAGGAAAGAAATTTATTTCTTAGAGTTATGGAAGCTGAGAAGTCCAAGATTGAGGGGCCGTAGCTGGTAAGGGCTTTCTTGTTGTGGCATAGGGCATCCCAAGGCCAGAGGGGCAAGTGTGTTAACATGCTGACTCAGGTCTCTTGTTCTTATAAAGCCACCAGTCCTGCTCATTAATCCATGAATGGATTAATTCATTCATGAGGACAGACCCCTCATGATCCAGTCACCTCTTAAAGGCCTTACCTCTCAATACTGCCACATTGGGAATTAAGTTTCGACATGAGTTTCGCAGGAGACATTCAAATCATAGCATTTACAAAGCCTAATTTGTTGTCTTTGCCCATGTCAGAGATATTTTTGTATAAGTACATTGGGAAGGTGTCCTGGACTCAGATATCTTCTCAGTTATACTGACTCAATCTGATGAATGTGGACAGTCTTTTAAACTTAACAGTTCCCATAATCATCATTATCTTAGGTAAGGCAGCTTAAAAAATAATTTGCTCACAGTCCCTTCTTCCTGAAGCTACTCCTTTATCATTGAAGAAGACTTGAGAAATGCTCATTTCATCATCAATATGGTTTGGCTTTGTGTCCCCACCCAAATCTCATCTTTTTCTTTTTTTTTGAGACGGAGTCGCACTCTGTCTCCCAGGCTGGAGTGCAGTGGCATGATCTCAGCTCACTGCAACCGCCACCTCATGGGTTCAAGCGATTCTCTTGCCTCGGCCTCCGGAGTAGCTGAGATGACAGGTACACACCATGTGCCTGGCGAATTTTTTTTGTATTTTTAGTAGAGACAGGGTTTCACCATGTTGGCCAGGTGATGTGCCTGCCTTAGCCTCCCAAAGTGCTGGAATTACAGGCATCAGCCACTGTGCCCGGCCCAAATGTTATCTTGAATTGTAATCCCATAATCCCTACATCGTGGGAGGGACCCGGTGGAAGGTAATTGAATCACGGGGGCAGTTCCCCTCCCCTCCATGCTCTTCTCGTGATAGTTCTCAGGAGATCTGATGGTTTTATTAGGGGCTTCCCCCTTTGCTCTGCACTCCTTCTCTTTCCTGCTGCCTATGAAGAAGGAAGTGTTTGCTTCCCCTTCCACCATGATTGTAAGTTTCCTGAGGCCTCCCCAGCCATGTGGAACTGTGAATCAATTAAACCTCTTTCCTTTATAAATTACCCAGTCTCGGGCAGTTCTTCATAGCAGCATGAGAATGGACTAATAAAGTCATCATCACGCTTAGATTTCAGAAGATGATCTTTTGTTTTTTGTTTGTTTTGTTTTTGTTTTTTTTTGAGACGGAGTCTTGCTCTGTTGCCCAGGCTGGAGTGCAGTGGCGATCTTTTCTTTGTTTTAAACTCACACCTCTAATCCCTTTGGGAGGCTGAGGTGGAAGAATCGCTTGAGCCCAGAGTTCAAAACCAGGCTGGGCAACATAGTGAAACCCCATCTCTACAAAAAATAGAAAAATTAGCCAGGCATGGTAGTGTGCACTTGTAGTCCCAGCTACTCAGGAGGCTGTTTTGGGAGAAACCCTTGAGCCCAGGAGGTCAAGGCTGCAGTAAGCTGTGATTGTGCCGCTGCTCTCCAGCCTGGACAAAAGAGCAAGACTCTGTCTTAAAAAATAAAAAATAAAATAATTTTTGTACTAACGTGGTTTGAGAGCATTGAAAAAGACGGAAACAGTCCCAATTCATCCAACAATCTAACGTCATAACCTGACAAGGATGGTAAGAAAAACTATAAATCTGTCTCAACTATGAATAAAGATATAAAAATCTTAAAATATTAGCAAGTCAAATCTATCAGGGGATTAAAGTAATAATATACCAAGGCCAAATGGACATGGAAGGAGGAGTCATACTAGAAAAAGGAAAAGCCACATGATGACCTCATAATAAAAAGGCATTAAAATATTTCTTTCCATAGCTGAAGCTCGGGGAAAAAAAAAGAAAAAAAATTTTATCATTTCTGATAAAAACTTGCAGCAAGTAAGGAATAAATAGAAGGAAATGTTCTTAAGTTGATCAAGTACATCCATCAAAACCCAAAAGCAAATATCGTATTTAATAGACACACTAGTTAGTAGCATCCTTATCAAACTCAAGAACAAGAGAAGGGTGTCTGCTATCACAGCTACTATTCAACGTTCTTCTGGAGTCATAGCTTGATAAGAAAACAACATGCATAAATATTGGAGGCAGAATTATAATCGTAGGTGGCATAATGATTTACTTGGAAAAATCCAAGAGAATTAACTAACTACTAGAAGCAATGAGTTTAATAAAATATCTTGAGTACAAGTAAATATACCCAAATCAATAACTTCTTGTATACATGCAGTAACAATTCAAAATTTTAATTGAAAATATTTTATTTGACAGAATGAGACCCTGTTTCAAAAAATATATATCATTCATGATAGCTATAAAAACTTTAAAAATTAGGAATTCACTTTAAAAACTAGGAGTTCCTGTAGTGAGAAGATAATTTTACTGAAGGGCCTAAGACTACATAAACAGGCATATTGTGTTCCCAGTTGGAAAGATTCTGAACCATGACAGTTATCTTGAAATTTGTCTTGCTACGTTATAATGTGGTAGTCACTTTTCATTCCCTTTGAGAATTCTAATTTCTCCTTGATTTACTGGAGGAGACCACAAACCACCGAGCCTAAGATTCTTTCACAGTCTTGTTGGCACAGAGCTAGATGGAAAGTAGAACACATGTTTGACTCCTCACCTGTGTAATAGCAGTCCAAAAACTCACCAGTGGAAGAGCTGAGTATTTGATGATCGCCCTCCTGTAAAATTTTTAGAGTTTTAAGTTTTACATTTCTTTACTAAAAAGTTATACATGGTTTTTGTTTTGTTTTGTTGTTTTGAGATGGAGTGTTGCTCTGTCGCCCAGGCTGGAGTGCTGTGGTGCGATCTCAGCTCACTGCAACCTCTGCCTCCCAGGTTCAAGTGATGCTTCTACCTCGGCCACCCGAGTAGCTGGGACTACAGGCATGTGCCACCACTGCTGGCTAATTTTTGTACTTTTAGTAGAGACGGGGTTTCACCATCTTGGCCAGGCTGGTCTCGAACTCCTGACCTCAGCTTATCTGCCTGCCTTGGCCTCCCAAAGTGGTGGGATTACAGGTGTGAGCCACCGTGCTGGGCCGATAAATGGTTTTTATTAGAAATTCAAAGAGAATATATAGAATTAAAGTATAGGCTCATTATTTTATTTTTTATTTATTCATTTATTTTTTGAGATGGAGTCTTGCTCTGTTGCCCAGGCTGGAGTGCAGTGGTGGGATCTCGGCTCACTGCAACCTCTGCCGCCCAGGTTCAAGCAATTCTTCTACCTCAGCCTCCGGAGTAGCTGAGATTACAGGCATGTGCCACCATGCCTGGCTAATTTTTGTATTTTTAGTAGAGACAGGGTTTCAGCATCTTGGCCAAGCTGGTCTTGCACTCCTAACCTCGTGATCCGCCCATCTCAGCCTCCCAGAGTGCTGGGATTACAGGTGTGAGCCACCGCATTCAGCTAGGCTCATTATATTAATATACTAGGAGGAATAATGGTTGAGAGGAAAGAGTAATGTAGGAGTAAAAAGATCTGGATTCTAAAGCCACTTTTGCTATTATTAATCAGCTATGTGTCCCATTAATGAAAATAATATACTAGTCACTTTAAATATTCTAGGTACAAAAGTGCTTTGAGGTAGGCACTATTAACTCCCACTTAGCAGATGAGTAAACTGAGGCTGAGAGAGCCTAAGTCTCTTACCTGGTAAGTAGCTTATTTGGGAATTTGAACTAGACAACCTGACCCCATAGCCTTGGCTTAGTTTTAACTACCACATTGTGCCTCTTCCCACCAAGTGAGAATTCTGTGATACAACACCGTGAAATTTTATCGTTAGTGATTTAATCCCTAGAAAAATTTTAAATGGCTATTTATAAAGAATTTATACATCTATAAGCTTTCTCTTTTTTAAAAACAAAAACAAAAACAAGGTTTCATTACTGTCACGCAAGCTGGAGTGCAGTGATGCAATCTCAGCTTACTGCAACCTCTGCCTCCCAGGCTCAAGCAATTTTCCCGCCTCGGCCTCCCGAGTACCTGGGATTACAAGGCATCCTGCACCACGCCTGGCTAATTTTTTTCTGTTTTTAGTAGAGATGGGGTTTCACCATGTTGGCCAGGCTGGTCTCAGACTCCTCAGTTCAAGTGATCTGCCCGCCTCAGCCTCCCAAAGTGCTGGGTTCACAGGCGTGAGCCACTGCACCCAGTCTATAAGCTTTTTAAAAATGACTTCATGAGATAACATAGAGTGGTATGATTTTGAAATATCTCAAATATGGATGAGTTAAATTTATCACATTTCTGCCATGCATGTGCACGTGTATGTATGCATGTGTATATGAAATCATACAACTTCAGGGCTGTGTAGGAAACTCTGGAGCCAGTTACAGTATTAAGCCAACCCTTTTATTTGCAGATGAGAAAACTGAGACCCCCAAAAATAGTAAGTGACTTACTTGTAACTTTGATTTTTCATTTCTGTGGTTTCTGCTACTAACTACCCCTGTGACTTTAGGCAGATCCTTGAACAATCCTGGCTTCAGTTTCTTCCTGTGTAAAATAAGAGGTTTGGATGAACCCCAAATTCTTTCCGTTCTAAAAAGTTGTGTTTTTATCATTCTTTCCTTTATCTTTTCAAGTATTCTTTGGGTGAAACGCTATTTTATAAGGTGTTAATGAGGCCAACAGTGTATTCAAAAGTAAAAGGTCCTGATTAAGACTTGGTAGTGAGAATATTCTAGCTTTGTAGCTGTGACATTTTCTTAACATTTCTTATTTGGCTTCCTCAGGGCATCACATATTATATATCACGTACCACATATTGTTTCCCATGTGTAATCTATACTTGTCCCTTTATTTATTTTTGTGTGTGTGTGTGTGATTCTTCTTTGAGCAATATACTTAGTTATTTTAGTTACAGAAATAATACCTGTTTATTGCAAAAAAAAAAAAAAGTACTGTTGAGTACAGGGTAGAAAATAAAAGTCCTTCATAATCCCACTACCCAAAAATAATCACCTTTAACAATTTTATTTACTTATTTTTTTTTTAATAGAGACAGGGTCTCATTATGTTGTGCAGACTGGTCTCGAACCACTGGCCTGAAGTGATTCTCCTGCCTCCCAAAGTGCTGGGACTACAGAGATGAGCTGCTATGCCCAGCCTAACAATTTTATGTGTTTTAAGAAAAAACACAGATTTGAGATCATGTAACACCTATTGTTGTGTAACCTCCTCCTCACCTACCCTTGCCCCTCCCCCCACCACCCCAGTAAGAGTGTTATAAAATGGCTTCTGTTCTTCCTGTGGTGATTTCTGTAAAGAGGATTTTTTTTAAGGTAAAGCCATAAGTTTAAACATCATTGAGCAGATCCAGCATTTGGCTATCCTAGCTCTTCTTCAAAATGTCAGGTTTTCTTTTGTCATCACCACCAGCAGGACTATTATTCTAGGATCCTAGTCATCATGCCTTGTATAAATCAAACAAAAATGCCACACTAGCAACAAGATTGGTTTACTCTCATAGCTTTCCTTCTATCTGATGTGCTCAGAAAAGATCTGCTTAATGCAAATCATATTTCCTAATTAATCTCTTTATAGGTAAGTGTTCATTGGATGGGTGTACCTCGTTTTTAAAAGGAGAAGCAAAATGTTATCAGCATTTGAGGTATATAGTATTTGCATGAAGTGTCTTACTAACAGCCATATGCCAGGTGACCATTGACTAATTTCTTGGTATCTATAAGCCTACACTTCCCAGCTGTAATTTGAGAGTACTACAAGTATCTTCTTCCTAAGGATGTAAAGTGCTTAATACTGTGCCTGCCATACAAGTATGTATTCGATATTGTTTTAAAAATTTTAAAAAAACAGGCTGGGCACAGTGGCTCATACTATTATCCCACCACTTTGGGAGGCCAAGGCAGGAGGACTGCTTGAGGTTAGAAGTTTGAGACCAGCCTGGGCAACATAGTGAGACCCCCATCTGTACAAAAAATGTTTAAAATTAGCCGGGTGTGGTGCATGTGCTAGGACCACAGGTCCTACCTACTTGGGAGGCTGAGGCAGGAAGATCACTTGAGCCCAGGAGATCAAGGTTGTAGTGAGCCATGATTGTGCCACCGCACACCAGCCTGGGTGACAGAGTGAGAGCCTGTTTCAAAAATAACCTCGTATTGATTTTAGCTTAACTTCAAATAACTTTCTTCTTATGCAGAAGACTTAACTGATGGTTCATATGATGATGTTCTAAATGCTGAACAACTTCAGAAACTCCTTTACCTGCTGGAGTCAACGGAGGATCCTGTAATTATTGAAAGAGCTTTGATTACTTTGGGTAACAATGCAGCCTTTTCAGTTAACCAAGTAAGTACCTCAACTCAGCAAGCAAGCTCTTTCCATTCTTACACACTAGCGGTAATTGTGACCCTGAATAAATTACTTAACCTCTCAGACCCTCAATTTCCTCATCTGTGCAATGTGGCTACTTATACTTAAAACATAATGTTTGTTTACTTCTGAAAAACACAGCCTAATAGTGATATGATTATTAATGTGATTATAGATCCCTATGAAGTTGGTCACTGGCATCACATTCGTAAGTATATCTAATCAACGTTTACCATTTCATGGCCTTTTAAATTATTTAAAATTCAGCAGTGCTTCAGTAAAACAATGAATGCATCTAACATTTAAGTACATACTTTAAATTGTATATCGGTCTTATGAATATGATTCTGATGCTGATGGTCCCTGGACCACACTCTGATAACCACTAATCAATGTAAATGGCTCCTGCAAATGGAGACTTAACACTAAGACTAAAGAGCTTAATTTGAACATGTGCTTCTTCCTACTCTTCCTCACAACCCTCCAGCATGAAAAAATAGTTAAAACAAAATTTCGTAATTGTTTTCAGCCAATGCCCTTTGTTAACATTGTCATAAGTACAAAATTATTTTGAATTTATAGTTTTTTTTAGCCCAGCTTTCTCCAGAATGGCAAGGTTTACTGTAAAGCTCTATAAACGTATAGGGAGATAGAGAATCTTTGTGCATTATGTACTCTTTCAGTTATAAATGACAGAATTCACTTTAAATTATTTTAAGCCTAAAAGGGAAAATATTGAGCTCAGCTAACTTGGACAGCGAAGAATAGCATTGATTTCAGGCACAACTGAGTCCAGTTCAAGGTTGCAGAGTTCCCAGAGTTCTCTCTTTCTCTACCTTTTGGCTTTGCTTATGGCCGCTCAATTTTATGTATTGGTCTTTATCTTTCTGGCCACAAAGTGGTTTTCTTCACCAGGGTTGAAAGAAAGCCACTAGCCTCTCTAAGCCTTCATCTCTGTAGCTCATTATCCAAAAGGTACAGTTGTTCTTCTAGGATCCAGTGTTAACCCTTTGGATCAATCTCCGGGGCAATTTCTGGATCAGTCGAGGGACCATGGCCCATGTTTATTGAGGCCTGGTTCACATGAGCATCCTGCAGCTAAGTAGCAGGGATGGCTGTGAATACAAGTGAACAACAATCCCAGCAGGGACCGTGTGGGACAGAGGAGATGCCACATCTGCCCCCGTGGAAAGAGAGCCACTAGACAAGCAAAAACAATAGCTAGTGATTAATGTGTTAGCCTGCCTTTAAAGAAGTATTTCTGATGGCATAATTTTGTATTCCTCTAAAATAAGTTGTAGTCAGAGTAGGCCAGTACCCACTGGAGAAGAAGTACTTTCTTGAGCAGCGGGGGTCAGTGCCCTCACCATCAATTATAGTACCTTAATCTGCTTTAACAATACAGTTAAAAAAAAAAAAAACTTTTCTAGTAACTGCAAGTCCTTCGAAAGAACTTGAAATTGTAAAGGGAAAGTTTATTTCTCTTTTAATGCTAAGATCACCCTTAACGGTAAAATGGAGTATTGAGCTATTTCTAAGAAGTAGATTTTGGCAGTCTTTTTCTTTTTTCCTGCTAGAATAGCATGTCTTCACTTGACAAGAATAATTTTTAGCATATTTTTCTTACGAGAATTAAAGCGATTTAATTCTTTCAATGTTTGAGCCAAAAGCACATGGTAACATAGTATTGCAACCAACTGTAAGACATCCCAGATTATTTTCCCTCTGAATATTTGGGTACCATTTCTCTTCTTTTTTTTTTTTTTTTTTTTCTTTTTTTTGTGGCAGAGTCTCACTCTGTTGCACGGGCTGGAGTGCAGTGGTGCAGTCTCAACTCACTGTAACCTCCTCCCAGGTTCAAGCGATTCTCCTGCCTTAACCTCCCCAGTAGCTGGGATTACAGGCACTGGCCACCACGCCTGGCTAATTTTTGTATTTTTAGTAGAGATGGGGTTTCACCATGTTGGCCAGGCTGGTCTCTACCTCCTCACCTCAAGTGTTCCACTCATCTCGGCCTCCCAAAGTGCTGGGATTACAGGTGTGAGCCACTGCGCCTGGCCCTGGGTACCATTTTTCAAACTGTGTGGAACCTGATTCTGCAAGATATCAGTGCGTTCCCACCACTTCCACTGCTGAAAAAATGACCCTTTTTTTGTGTTTAGTTCATAGACATACTATCGTCAACACACCCCTCTTCAAGATTCCCAATGCACATGGACATATTAAAGAAACATGCTTACTCTTGTTATACTCAGATTTTCCTAAACTTAGATAACCATGGGAAACCACCCCCCCTTATTTTTATGGAACATCTCTTAACATTTTGAGGGATTAGTGTTTCAAATAATACGTGTTAGCAAAACACTACTTTAGTATTCTAAATCCAAAACACTAACTTTAGTATTCTAAATTATAACACTTTTCCAGTTTTGCCTATAATGGAGAAGTCATATAACTCATCTCAAAGAAAAATAATTTTATTTGTAAGTTGCTTCAAGATCGTTATAGTATCTCTATAAATTTTTATTGTATTTCTCAACATTGTAGTTTAAATAATTATATATCTTAATAATCTTATTTTCAATGGATTTTCTTTACCTATAAAAGTATGGGTAGTGAGATTTTTTTAAAATATGAATTAAATATTTGTATATGGGAAAGAGATTTCCAAAAAGCCGTTGATTTTTAATTGTATTTGTGGATGCAAAGAATTCAGTGAACGGAGATGCATACTGAAGTCCCAGTCCTGCTTTTTTTTTTTTTTTCCCCTCGTAGGCTATTATTCGTGAATTGGGTGGTATTCCAATTGTTGCAAACAAAATCAACCATTCCAACCAGAGTATTAAAGAGAAAGCTTTAAATGCACTAAATAACCTGAGTGTGAATGTTGAAAATCAAATCAAGATAAAGGTAAGTTGACTGAAAATCACAAATGTATAAGGTTTTCTATAAATAAAAAATAACAAAAAGATGAGTAATGAAACTTTAGTAGACTATCCTTTGTAATTTTACAGCCAAGGATTACCTTTAGAGGAATGGAGAATAAGACAGAAGAGGGAGGGACCTGAACTAGCCAATAAGAGGTACAATAAGACTTTTGTTTCAGTAAAATAATGCTTGTTTATTCTACAGGTTATCCTCTACATCAGGGACAGGCACTGGTGACAGTAATAGCCTTAAGGCTATAGGCACCAACCAAATAGTGAATATAGTTGGCTGAAAGTTGGGACAAGACTTTGCGCTAGAACTAGAACTAGTATTACAAGAGATTCATTCAGGGAGCATATCCGATGCTACATATTCATAAATATGGTTGTTAATGCATACAGTTTGGCTAGTTTTGCCTTTGAAATTAAGTGTACTGTATGAGTGTATTGCAAAGTGTTAAGTCACTGTATGCTTTAGCTCTTTCAATGGATGAGGCAAATGTGCAAATAGATTAAACTGACTTTTACAGAATAACTGTTCCTTTATCTTGTTGTATGGGGAGAAATCCTCCATTTTAGGATGCACATAAAATGCTAACCTACGTTACTGACATTGCTTTAATGCTTTTTCAAAAATGTTATTTATGAGGCAGTTAACCTGTAAAAAAAATAGTTAACTTGGTAAATGCCAACAGTTAAAACACTTCAGCCATGGCATATATAGCCAGAACCCAGTGATACCCCTTGGTTATAGAAAAGAGCAGTGTTTTATGTTTATTATTGAAACAGGACTCCCATGTTCAAACTAGAAATTGTCATTCAACAGAACAAATCAGGTCAAGACAATCACGAAACAAGAGACAGGAGGATGTGCTCCTATGAAGAAAAAAACAACAAATAACCAAACTTTATTTCCTTGAATATAATGTTGATGGCAAGATTTGTAAGAGGTAATCTCTGTATTTAGTTTAGATAAAGACTTCCAGCCCAAAACACTGTTAAGCAGTAACTGTGAGGAGCTATGCAGAAGTGATGAGAGGCAAGTACTATATAGACTAGAAAATTTAATTTTCTACAGAATTACAGATTACTATGCTATGAAGCAAAAGCAGACCATTCTTAATGTATCAAATTGGTGAGCTTATTAATTTCAATAAAAATATATGACCCCCATCACACAAACAGGTAACTCTAAATCTACTTTGAAAATCTGATCAGTCAAGAAGTATTACCAGTTTGGAGGCTATGTACCAAGTGTCATACCAAAGATAAGGCTGCTGTCCTCACAGAATATATGGGGTCATTGACAATCAATTAGAATATCCAATGAAGTGGATATTCTAATATTTGGAGAAATATTGGAAAACTAGCAAAGTGCCCTGGAAATTATGTGTTCTTGCCCTTCCACAAGACGTATAGATCCAGATGAGATTAGTTTGGAATAGGGGTCTTTTTTTAGTCCAGAAAATCTTTAGAGTCCAATACAGTTATGGCTAATCAGAGACTAAAGAACCTTTATGAAAGTAAGTAGGATTGGAAGTCCTTGGAAATTGAGAACGCTTATTTTGAATTAGCATGTTTTAATCAAAGGTATAGAATTAATCAAGTATCAGTTAAGAATTTCTGGAATGCACTCCAATGCCAGAAGACCACTAGCATGCTATTTTGTACTATGAAGATTTCCTGATTTGAAATAGAAGGTAAAAAAAAATATTGCCAGCCATAAAATAAATTTTACTCTACTTGCTTAGTTCTCCAAAGAAAAATCTTACTTTTTTCCCATAAGAAACTCACTGGATCAAATGAATGTTAATTAAACAAAAGATTGTGTAAGTAAAACTGGGCAAAAGACAACCTCTGAAATCCATGAAAGAATTAATCATCAAAAGAGAAGAATCATTTTTACAGTAGCCCCATTGCCGTGAGAGATATTTTCATGAGCCTGGGCCACCTCTCCAACATATAGTGAGAACTTATTACAGGTTTCAGCCAACCAATTTCCATTCCAGCTTGACAGGCTGCTGCAAATTGCTGAGATTCCTCCTTGGTTGAGGAAAATAGAGTAACGACAATTTTACTAGACTCTTTTGCCATAGTGTCCCATGGGTTTATTTCAATGGTACCACTGTTGCCAACACCTATTACTTATCTTCCATATGACAAACAATTCGCATATTTACTAAGATTTATATTAGCTATTATTTCAATAATCACATCAATTCCTTTCTTATCACACATTTCTTAATTTTATCAACATAGTTAACTTCTTTGTAATTAAACACTTTGTGGGCTCCATTTTGCAAAAGTCTTTTTGTCCCTCAGTACCAACTGTGCCCAAAACCTTTAAGACATAAACTCTAGCAATTTGGCATGTTGCTACTGCAGCTCCTCCACTAGCCCCATGAACCAGAACACTCTCCAGCTTTCATACAGACACTGTGAATCAGAGCTCGATATGCAGTAAGATATGGGATACCAATGGCAGCATTTTGTTTAAAGTCCAGTTTTTCAGGCAGTTTGTAAACAGCGTAATCTGCTCCCAGAGATTGTGCCGGTAGTGAAAACTGTCACTTTTCTTGAAAGTAGATGCATTCCCTCCAACAGCTTCCGTTACCCCAGTTACATCTGAGCATAGAATAAGGTGGTTTTCTATTATAAATACCAGAGTAAATGTATGTCTCCATGGGGTTGACACCACACGCATGAACCTTGATTACAACTAATGGTCTTTTGGAACTGGTACTGCAACATCTGACTGAGTTTCAGGACTTCTGGTCTACCAAATTCAAACACTCTAACAGCTCTCACCAGCTTTTGTTCAGTTGCCATGGTCATCTAGATAAAAGCTCTAGAGTGGGAATCAAAATCTGCAAGGGCTCCTTCATATTCCACTGAAGGAGGCTGGCCAGGCTGCTTCTAACTTTTGCAGCCAACAAGACTTTTGGAGTTGGGGTTCAGTTTAATCTAAGGGTGCTAAAGGAACCAGGCCAGGGTCAGATAATGTCAGCAGAAAAATGCAATATTAGGAAATTATGTTATTTCAATTCAATATTTATCAAACCTCCTGCTTTGTGGTGCAGAGTATACAAATGAGCATGATGCAACTCTTGTTCTAAGAAAGGTGGAAGGAAGGATAAGGCAAGTCCTTAAATAATTGTAAGTCAAGGCAGAACATAATGAAGTCCTTTAAAGAAAAATGTAAGTAAAACATGATTGAGTACATAGAAAGGAGAGATTTCATCCAAAAGTTTCTGTAAGAGGTGGAGTCTGACCTGGCTCTTGAGAATGTTACCCTACAGGTAGAGTTGGGGAAGGAGAGAATTCCAAGAGAACAGAACAAGATGAGGTGGACACAGCTGCAGGAATAACTAAGCTGGTCCATTTGGTAATCTTGTTATTATAATTGAAATGGTAAAAAGATTCAGATATAATAAGGATGTAAACAGTCCACACATTTTAGGAAATGCCTTGAAAGACATCAGCATCTTACAGAAGTATATGATTTATAAAGAGCTAAATAAATGCCATGTTTTTAAAGGATGGATGTATAATTAAATTGTAACCAAAGAGAACCAGTTGACTTTCAAATGTAAATTAGGGCCAGGCGTGGTGGCTCACACCTGTAATCCCAACACTTGGGAGCCACGACAGGAGATTGCTGGAGGCCAAGAGTTCAAGACCAGTCTGGGCAACATAGTGAGACCCCATTTCTTTATTTTTGTTTGTTTTTGTTTTGAGACGGAGTCTCACTCTTGTTGCCCATGCTGGAGTGCAGTGGTGCAACCTCAGCTCACTGCAACCCCTGCCTCCTGTTCAAGCAATTCTCCTGCCTCAGCATCCTGAGTAGCTGGGATTACAGGTGCCCACCACCACGCTTGCAATTTTTTGTATTTTTAATAGATATGGGGTCTCACCGTGTTGACCAGTTTGGGTGAGAACCCATTTCTAAAAAAAAAAAAAAAATTTATTAGCTGGGCATAGTGGCATGCATCTGTAATCCCAGCTACTCAGGAGTCTGAGACAGGGGGAATTTGAGGCTGCAGTGAGCTGTTATCACACCACTGCACTCCAGCCTAGGTGACAGAGTGAGACCCTGTCTCTAAAAATAAATGTAATTTAGATCTTGAAACCAGATTAAAAGTTTAATCTCTCATTGCTTTACTGCCATTTAGTTTCTATGGTAACATGGATACATTTGGGATTTTTTTTAAATTAATAATTGTTTATGGGACAATTGGTAACTTACCACTTCAAATTAGGAAAATTTTCTTAGCAGTTAGAACTTTTGGTGGAGTTCAGATTTGCTTAAGTGATTAGTAGTTATCTGTAAAACATAATTTTTGTAAGCTAGAAAGCTTATGGCCAGGCCGGACATGGTGGTGCACACCTGTAATCTCAGCACTTTGGGAGGCTGAGGCAGGCAGATCACTTGAGCTCAAGAGTTTGAGACCAGCCTGGGCAACATGGTGAAACCCTGTCTCTACAAAGAATACAAAAATTAGCTGGGCATGGTGGCATTGCAGCCTGTGCGGCAGTGAGACCTTGTCCCCCCGGAAAAAAAGAAAGCTCATGGCCAGACACAGAAAGTAGAGTTTCAGAAAAGTTTCCATCACACTGAGTTTAGTTGTGTCATGTATGATACAAGAGTACTACAGCATTGCATTACTTTTTACCAGTGATAGTTAACAATATTATGAAGGGGTGAATTATATATATATATATATATATATACACACCTAGGTAAATAAGAACCTTAGGCCAAGTATAATTTTGTTCTGCTTACTTTTGATAGGATTAATTCTAGGGAAAGATTCTGTTTCACATTATCCTCCCATTCTTTACTTCTGAAATGATGTAGCTCTCTAGACCCTACTGCTAAGGTACTTATTACTATGATACAAAATGGCCTCACATCTTCTTCCCTGATCCCAGTGTGCGCAGACCGCAGACCAGTTGAAACCGAAAGGTGGACTAAGATGGGAGGCCTCCAACCAGGGAGAAGCCACTGGTGTTAACAGCATGATCTCTGGGCTTGGCTATTGCATCCCCACCTGCTGTCTGACATTGGGCAGGGGACCCGAGCTCTTTAAAGACTTAAAAGTCCTTGTCTGCAAGATAGCCGTAATAGTACAACACCCAACTCATTAGAGTTGTCTTCAGGATTAAGTGAGGAGTATTTGTAAAATGCTAAGCACTGTGCCTGGAATTACCAAAGGAAGCTTTTAAAAAGTCAACAACTTTTGAGGGCCAGATAGAAATTTCATATTTTGGCCGGGCACAGTGGCTCACGCCTGTAATCCCAGAATTTTGGGAGGCCGAGGCGGGCGGATCGCGAGGTCAGGAGATCGAGACCATCGTGGCTAACATGGTGAAACCCCGTCTCTACTAAAAATACAAAAAAATTAGCCGGGCGTGGTGGCGGGCGCCTGTAGTCCCAGCTACTCTGGAGGCTGAGGCAGGAGAATGGCGTGAACCCAGGAGGCGGAGCTTGCAGTAAGCTGAGATTGCGCCACTGAACTCCAGCCTGGGAGACAGCGAGACTCCGTCTCAAAAAAAAAAAAAAAAAAAAAGTCGTATTTTTTGAGGAGTCGGTTCCATCCTGAGCAGTAGCCCTACTCCACTGTGCAGAAAAGTGGCTGTTCAGTAGAAAAATTTTGGAGATTCTAAGATGCTCATTTTCCTCCCCTGCCTTCAGATATACATCAGTCAAGTATGTGAGGATGTCTTCTCTGGTCCTCTGAACTCTGCTGTGCAGCTGGCTGGACTGACATTGTTGACAAACATGACTGTTACCAATGACCACCAGCACATGCTTCACAGTTACATTACAGACCTGTTCCAGGTGTTACTTACTGGAAATGGAAACACGAAGGTATGAAGAGCTATTGTGTCAAGCTTATTAACATTGAAATAGTATTTGCAGGCCACCTATCTTAAGTTGATGTGCCTCAAAGAGGAAGATTTATTAAAAACTCACATGGGCCCAAGAAAGTATATTATTTTTAGTCCCAAATATTCCATTGCAAAATTAACTTTTGAAAACCATCTGTTGTTTCACTTATCAACAGATTCCTGTTCATTTGGTTTTCTGAGAAGCTAGCTTCCCCCCACCAAATATAGGAACATTGTGATTAAAAGGAGTCTGAGTAATAGTAGTGGTTAGTTGAATATTTTGCTTACCTCAGGGTTAACAAATCATTTTTTTGATTCAGTTATTTGTTGAAAAATATTTCTAAAACAACTTTTAAGCTGTAGTAAATGAAGTGAATTGAATATATGAAAGATGTCTCAGTGCTTCACTCTGTCCAGTTAGGTTGATATAAGAGGCAACAGATATTGAGCTGAATTAAGTAGGACCTTAGGAGATGCCCTATAAAAAGTTTCTTAAGTAAATCTCTCATATTAGTGTGCATTCTTATCAATTGCCATTTTTCAAGAAAAAGTAGCATAAAAATAGATTGTAGGCTAATTAAAAGTTCTGATAAGTCGGGTTGATTGTTCATCAAGGCTTTTTACCATGTTAGTCTGTGTTCTCTGGAACAGTTGAGAGACAAATGCATAAGCATTTTAGAAAGACCAAATGTGAAGCCATACTCCAAATATTCAACATCACTGCAGTTATTTTTGAGTTTATCAAGATGTGATTACAGGAGAGTCTTACTGTAGTCCTGCTTTTATGTTTCCAAGGTGTTTGTACATGGACTTTCCTCTTTTCCAATAGCCAAACTTGTTTGGATGTGATCCAAGATGTACCAAAAGGTATTGAAAATTAAATGTAAGAGTAGTCTTCTAGCAATATTGCACCATTCCCAGGCAGTTTCCAACGTGCATCAGCATGTCTGTCTCCAGTGGAACAAGATAACTTCCAGCCCCTGAACCCCTGGGGAAACTCCTTCCCTCTTTACTGTATGTTGTTGCCACTGTAGGAGAAATCTCTCCTCTGCCTGACTCTGCAGCTGCTTTACCCAGAACCTCAGGAGGAACTCTGAGTCCAGAGCCAGGCTGAGTTCAGCCAGGCAAGTCTGGCCTTGGGGCTGTATATATCTGTCTCAGACATCGTCTGTGTTTTCATATATTTTTTGACTTTTTAAAAGATGACCCAGACCACAATAGTATGTTCTATTTTTGTTTTGTTGTGTTGTGTTTTTCCATTACATTGCTTAGTACAGTATTTCTAGGATAGAAAATTTGCTTTCTTGGTCTGCCTTGGAACATACCTACCAATTACAACATTGATTTTCCATAAAAATTGAGTTTAAAGTTCCAACTTGCAAATGAACTTTTGGATAGCCATCCATTTGTTAGTGGGAAAGTGTGTCTGATTTAGGTATTTTCTTAGTAAATAACCACTAAAATGAATGTTTAAATATCGTATTTTGCTTAAGTCAGGGATCTCACTGTACTGTAATAACCGTTTGGGTACACCACTGATTGATAACTTAATGCAGATAGTGGAGGATTAACATAAACTGTGTGCTTGTTACATCCTCAATGAAAACAAAACTAATGGTTTAAAATGTCCTAGTGTCACCACAAGATGGTGCATGTGACGAGGAAAAAAAACATGTCTTAATATGGTTTCAAACCAAAATCCATATATTTGTTTAATCTGTAGTTGTACTCTAACTGTATATATATTTTTTTCTCATATTTAACTCCCTTCTACAAAGAATAGCAACATCAGATTTTAATACAGGATACCAAATAGCTATTGCTGTTGCTATTCCCTGGTTGTATACCTGCCCTCATTGACTATTAGTGGGTCTTAGATTTTGACTTCATCCAGGCTTATTTCGTAAGTTCAGGACCATCCTATTTCATACCTCCTGTTCCTATTTTTCTAATTGAAACTTCATTGACATTGGAGCCAGGTGTTTTTTTCCTAACACTTATTCCTAGTGTTGCTGATAGTCAGTCAGGCCAGATGAGATCTGATAGTGACCTCCACGGAGTGCACTAAAGAAGGGTCAGAAGTCTCCTTTACTCTTTCAACCCCAGAGGCCTTAATTTATTAATAGCATCTCTTTGAAAAAGACAATCTCTGCATATTCAAGAAATGTTACCAGTGGACACTGCTGAGGATTGGAAGGGGCCAAAAGCATGGTGGCTTTTGTTTTTACCTTGTTCTCTTTTGCATTACTTAAAATTTTTATCATGACCAAGTAGTAATTTTCTAAAAATAAAGAAATATTTGATAAAAACAGTAAAATTAAGCAAAGTATTATGTCATCCTCAAATAAATTAGTATCTACAACATGATCAAAGAAATTGTGACTATACAGGATATTTGCATAAAAGACCAAAAAGAAAATACTAAAACTTTTCTTTCTCTTTTTTGACACAGAATCTCACTCTGTTGCCCAGGCTAGATTGCAGTGGCATGATCTCTGCTCACTGCAGCCTTGAGCTTCCAGGCTCAAACAATCCTCCTACCTCAGCCTCCCTGGGACTTTGGTCACATGCCACCACGCCTGGCTGATTTTTGTATTTTTGGTAGAGACGGGGTTTTGCCATGTTGCCCATGTTGCTCTTGAACTCCTGAGCTCAAGTGATCTGCCCACCTTGGCCTCCCAAAGTGCTGGGAATGCAGGCATGCGCCACCGCACCTGGCCAAAAATACCAACACTTAATCGTGATCATTTCTGGTTATGTAAATACGGGTAAATTTTCTTTTTCTTTGTGGTTTTCTATTTTTTTGAAAGTGCTATGGTAAACATCTGTTGCCTTTGTAATAAAAAATTTTTCTAAAATAATATCCAGGTTCCTTCCCAGCTCTAGTGAAGAGCACATTTGTCCCATTTCCCTGAGTTAGTACCCCCCTCTATGCTTATTTTAGTTCCAGGTATCTTGTAGAAAGTATGGTTTCACATGGCCTTTGTTTTTAAAAGACTTGGAACCAACCCGAATGTCCAACAATGATAGACTGGATTAAGAAAATGTGGCACATATACACCATGGAATACTATGCAGCCATAAAAAATGATGAGTTCATGTCCTTTGTAGGGACATGGACAAAATTGGAAATCATCATTCTCAGTAAACTATCGCAAGAACAAAAAACCAAACACTGTATATTCTCACTCATAGGTGGGAATTGAACAATGAGAACACATGGACACAGGAAGGGGAACATCACACTCTGGGGACTGTTGTGGGGTGGGGGGAGGGGGGAGGGATAGCATTGGGAGATATACCTAATGCTAGATGACGAGTTAGTGGGTGCAGTGCACCAGCATGGCACAAGTATACATATGTAACTAACCTGCACATTGTGCACATGTACCCTAAAACTTAAGAATAATAATTAATAAATTAAAAAGAGGCATTCTATTTGAGTCTTGTTATTACTGACTTTTCAGTTATAAGTGATAAGAATGCTGATATTTTAGCTAGTCACCCATTAGATAACATTTATTTGCTTATTATTTATATCATTGCTGGGCATGGTGGCTCATTGCCTGTAATCCTAGTTACTTTGGGAGGCCAAAGTGAGAGGATTGCTTGAGGCCAGGAGTTCAAGACCAGCTTCAGCAATATAGTGAGACCCCCATCTCAATCAATCAACCGATCTATCAGTTTTTATCACTGTGCTTATTTATATGATTGTAAAACACTTTCACATTAAAAGATAACCTCAAAAATTCATGGTAGCTTACCAAAAGGGGCCATATTGTTATTTATTTAGTCTTGGTAACCAAACAGTTCCAAAATTTTTACTGTTTAAGTAGAAATGAGCTGAGCTTTGAGAGATTTTTTTGTTGTTGTTTTAAAGATTATATTTCTTTATTTCTTTTTTGTCGGGGGTGAAGATGGGGTCTAAGGGTCTCACTATATTGCCCAGGCTGGAGTGCAGTGGCTGTTCACAGGCACAATCATAGCTTACTACATCCTTGAACTTGAACATCCTTGAGATGGGAAGGCTCAAGAGATCCTCCCCCGCTCAGCTTCCCAAGTACCTAGGACTACAGGCCGACACCATCATGCCTGGCCATACTTCACTTACCAGTAATCATAATGAAGATCGTGTATTTAACAGATGTTAAGCTTACCAACTGTTCAGATGTGCATGTGAATTGGGGGTAGATTGTGAAGACATTTGCAATATTCTATCTCCCTGACATTATAATTGGGAAAAATTAGGTTTAAATAACCGTGTGATAGAAAACCTGTATCTCTGTGATAAGTTCTCTAAGAGTGGTACAAGACATTTGCAATATTCTCTCTATCTCCCTAACGATGTAATTGGAAAAATGAGGTTTAAATAACACTGTTCTATGATAGGTTCTCTAAGAGTGCTGCCAAGTGTTATAAGAGTTCAGAATGAGACCTTTAAAGTAGAATGAACGGAGAAGGTTTCCTGGAGTAGAGAGAATTTGAGCCAGGCCTGGAAGCTTAGGCAGGACTTTAACAGGAAGACATGGTGAGAGAACAGCATGCCTGAGAGAGAAAATTCATGCTTGCCAGTCTGAGATAAGCCAGTATCATCTTCTTTCAGGTGCAAGTTTTGAAACTGCTTTTGAATTTGTCTGAAAATCCAGCCATGACAGAAGGACTTCTCCGTGCCCAAGTAAATAGCTTATATATTTATTTTGTAAATATACACATATATACATTTGAACAGACAGACAGATCTGGAAAGATTAAGCCTAAAATGTTAACAGGGATTCTCTCTGAGGAGCAGTATTAAAGGTGGTTTTTTAAATTCATTTTGTATGTGTAAATTTCCTAAATTTTTTGCAATGAGCCTCTTTTACTTTTGAAAAACATTTTTAAAAATTCACCCTAGCAACAATAAATTATAACTTTTTTCTCTACCCAATTTTGGGTACAATTGTGCCATCCCATATTTTATACTTGAACTGTTTGTGTTTACATGTATCTTAGTATCCACTGAAACAGCAGTACTGAGTCCCCAGCATATGCTAGATGAGACACACCAGTGAGCACAGCGTGACATGGTACATGTCCTCACGAAGCTTACAGTCTAGTGGAGAGACAAAAATATATAACAAGTGAACAAGGTAATTAAAAGCTGTGATAAGTGTTCTGAATGCTGGGATAGAATGGAGCTCCACTCCTGTAGAAGAGGAACCATCGTATTCATCTGCTCATCCCTATTCCCCACCCAGCTCTGTGCCCTGTGGTGTATGGGCACTAAATGTTTGATGAAAAAATGAGTTCCCATGAAAACCGTATGATGATCTTAAAAAAGAAAATGGTTGTTTTTCCCAAATAACCACATTCTAAAATTCCAAGGAAATTGTATTTTTCCAGCTGAAACACTCCCTTTTTTCCATTAGTATTACAGCGTGGGGGTACATAAGGTTTTATACATCTAAGTTATGAAATTTTGGGTTTTCTGTGACAAAATTTTTTTAATGTGAGATACATTTTAAATGTGAATTTAAAAATTTTAAAATGTGAGTTATTCAATGTAGTTTTAAAATGTTAAAATATACATGAAAAAGTTTTCATATATTATTAATATAAAATAATACTCATTGTTTCATATTTCAGGTGGATTCATCATTCCTTTCCCTTTATGACAGCCACGTAGCAAAGGAGATTCTTCTTCGAGTACTTACGCTATTTCAGAATATAAAGAACTGCCTCAAAATAGAAGGCCATTTAGCTGTGCAGCCTACTTTCACTGAAGGTTCATTGTTTTTCCTGTTACATGGAGAAGAATGTGCCCAGAAAATAAGAGCTTTAGTTGATCACCATGATGCAGAGGTGAAGGAAAAGGTTGTAACAATAATACCCAAAATCTGATTGGTCATATTTTTCCAAAGAGTAATGCAGTCTGGATATAAACGTATTTTCTGTCTTCCTTATAAGGGGATTCTCCCAGCTGCTAAATTTAAACAGTAAATATCACATTTTGTCATTAACACAGCTATAACTTGCCGTGGTTCTCAGATTTATTTTGGACTATTTTGATGCCAAGTGAATATAAGAGCTTGTACTGAAACCATTTATTTCTTTCTATTTTGCTATTTGCAAATGCTTGTTATCTTCCCTACATGAAGTGGCAGTAACCTTTTTCACATTTAAGCTACCCTTCTACCTTTTGAAGTGATTTGCAGTTACTCATCTGAGACAGCATCAGTATTTGACTAAATCATTGTTTCACAACTGAATAGTCTTGTTCTTTTAGTAGCAACGAAATCCTAAGCTCTTGAGGCCATTCACCTGCCAACCTGACCATACTGCTTTCAAAAGTCTTTTCTCATCAGTAGAATCTATTTTGGTCACTTCTAGTCAATGAAAAATGTAAACTTTTAGGAGAGAATGTTTCTTAGGACTCACCCACTCCATTCAATGTTATATATAAAATAGTGTGATCAATCACAATGTCCATCTTTAGACAGTTGGTTAAATAAATTATCTGGTCTTTGAAAAGACCGTGCTGGGCGCGGTGGCTCTTGCCTGTAATCCCAGCACTTTGGGAGGCTGAGGCGGGCAGATCACCTGAGATCGGGAGTTTGAGACCAAGCCTGACCAATATGGAGAAACCCTGTCTCTACTAAGAACACAAAATTAGCTGGGCATGGTGGTGCATGCCTGTAATCCCAGCTACTTGGGAGGCCGAGGCAGGAGAATTGCTTGAACCCGGGAGGCAGAGGTTGCAGTGAGCTGAGATAGCGCCATTGCACTCCAGCCTGGGCAACAAGAGCAAAACTCTGTCTCAAAAAAAAAAAAAAATGATGGAGCTCCGAATGTGCTTAAGTGGAAAGATATCTATGAAATATGGTGGTTTTTTAAAACACAAAAATTATAGAATATGGGATCCCGTGTGTGTGTGTGTGTGTTTGAATGAAAAATGCTTATGTATTGACAGAACACTTCTAGAATGATACCCAAACTCCTGGAGTGGGAGTGGGGAATGCCTTCTACGTACACACTGTTCTACTGTTTGAATTTTTTAATATGAGCCCAAATTGTATAATCTTTTTTTAATAAAGGGGAGAAAAATCACTTACAAGGTTATACATATTTTTTCCCTTGACAGTACTTTATTAATTTTCATCCATATTTTACTTGACTAAAAATACAATGTATGAAAATTTATCTTTAATAGCATTTTCCATAAGCTACTATAACAATTTATTGATACATCTGGGATTCAGCCAGGTCTTATAGTATTTAAATTTATAACCCCTGCCATGCTTAGCATTAAGTAAATCAGTATGCAAGCAGTATTTAAGGCAAAGCTTTAAGAATACTTTAAATTTCATTTGTAAATACATAGATGCAAGACTGTTTCCATAGGAAGTCACAAATCCTCAAACAGAAATATGTGTGTTCTCAATGTTACCCTGATACAGAAATCAAACTTGGAAGAAATATTTTTACATTAGAAAAAGGACTCAGTATAAGGTGAAAACAAAATTCCCAGTGGGCTAGACATGAACAAAAGTATTCATTCCCCAAAAGGCACATTTCTTTATAACGGTTTTTTCAAATCTACCTCCCTATTTAATGAAAGCATATTCATTAAATATGAAACTATGCATACATTAAAAACCAGGATTTGTTTTTAATGTGCTTTAGCAGCAGTAGATTCTAAAACTGTGTCTTCTTGTCCTCTCATTAGTTTGAATAATCACACTCCCTAGAGATCAGAGCATTGAGTCTGAAATGTCAAAATGCTAGAGAAAAGAGGGAGTAATTTTTAACTACCCAGAAAGAAGATGCACAAATACATCTTTTCCTACGTAGGTCACGGCATATGTTGGCTTTTATAATTTGGGATTTCTCCTAATTGATGACCCACCCTATTGGGCAGTGAGGCATAGCAAAGTATTCCTCAGTTATCACAGGAAACTTCAATAAAATCTTACATATTGCTATGGGTATTCACGAAGAGGAAAATGAAGTTGACTTAGAGGATAAGACTGATTAAAAGACACTACAATGCATATTAGACTGAATTGAAGAAGAGAATGGATTTGTCTTATTTTTCAAAATTTGTTTTCACTTTGCACATAAACCCTTCAAAATGTAGATAACAAATGAAAAATAAAGTGGAACCCACTCAATAAGGTGAGATTCTGTAAGCAGAGATGAAGCTTGATGTTCTTAATGAATAGTGTCAGTGTAGAAAGAACATGAGTGGTAATAAAAAATTACAGCTTACAAAAGGGCCTAGAAAAATGAGGCAGGCCAGACGAGTGGAAATAGAACACAACAGTTTAAAGTGCTTTGAGACCCTCAGTTAAACAGTACACGTGAATACAAAATAATGTTAAGGCCATTCATGGAGAAGAAATACTTAAGCAAGACATACCTGGCTTGCTTCATAGAGAAGAGGTAAGAGATGGATTTTCAATTCGGCGTGCAGCAGCAGGGAATATGGCTACAACAACGCTGGCTAGTATTAGGGCAACACACCTCAAAGCTAACTCACCATAAACCTAACATCTTGATTCACATCTGCTTGGAGTGAAAAAGTTTATGATCAGTCTTTTCAGGAAGGTTTATTTTATGGGGGATTTTTTTGTGCTTTAGTACCCCAAAATCACATATGTTCGCATACATCATATACACACACATTGCATACACATTTCCCCTTGACTGATTCGCATCTTTGTAGATAAACACTAAATTTTGATAAAGATTATTTACACTTATTTAGGCTATTACTCCAATTTAAAAATCAGTGAAAGTTTTCAATGTTTAGTCTCCTAATATATAATGCTTAAATTTGCAACAGGAACAATACATTATCAAAAGCATTAACCTGTATTTAGCTTTCAAATATACCTGTCTATATTAGGCAGTGATATCTTAAGAAATCATTTTCTCCCTTATATTTTCTAAAGTGCTTTAAAAACTCATTTAATCTACACATTTTTCAGAGGTAGGTCGGAATTATCCTCTTGTTGCAAATGAGGAAACAGGCACAGTGAGCACTGGTGACTTGTTTCAGGTTACACAAAAAAATCCATGATGAAAGCAGGGTAAAAGTTCAGATTTAGTGGCTAACGTGGCACCACACATACAGGTGTGCAAATAAATTATAGAGCACTGCCTGGGTAGCATTTGGTGTAGAAAACCTATTTTGATTATTTTGTATGAATAAAGTGCTGAGACTGGATTAGGAATACAGAATGGGCCTCCAGTGGTATCTAATCCACCTCCCTCCCTTAGGAAGGGTCAGAATAATCAAGTGAATACAGAGTCCTTATTAGGACTAAATCTTATGTCAACTGACTCCCCCCCCGCCCCCCAACCACTGGCATTCATACTGGCTTACCAAAAGAATCATGCTTAAGGTTCATTTAATATAAAAATGTAAGACATCTGAATCAGGTAAAAAAAATTATAAATCTGATTGATATATTTAGAGCTAAGAGACTCCAGGAAAAAAAAAATGTGTAGAGAAAATTAAAAACAAATTTAATTCAAAGAATATGGTCTATTAACATTTTGTCTGTAAAATATTTCATTGTAGCTGTATTTGTGCTTAGAAGATCTTCTAGATTTAAAAACAGAAAATGGCATAAATCATATTCTCATAGCCACACTCCTTCCCTTCCTCTGCTCAGCTAAGGAGAGGGCTTTCTTTTGAGACAGGGTCTCATTTTGTCGCCCAGGCTGGAGTGCAGTGGTACGATCACAGCTCACTGCAGCCTCTATCTCCTGGGCTCAAGTGATCCTCCCACCTCAGCCTCCCAAGTACCTGTGACTACAGGTACACACCACCTCACCCGGCTTTTTCTTTTTTCTTTTTTTTTTTCCGAGAGAGACGGGAGGTCACCATGTTGCCCAGGTTGATGTCAAACTCCTGGGTTCAAGTGACCCACCCACCTTGGCCTCCCAAAGTAAGAGGTCTTTTGGGAATTGTAGACGTGCAATAGAATATACTGTTCCCTCTCATCTGAAGGCTCTAGGAAAAAAAGAATATACTGTTCTTTTAAAAATTTAAGTGAATGGTGGTCATGGGTGCATTAATGCGAAAGAACTGTACACTTAAAAATGGTTAAAATGGTAAATGTTTAAAATGGCAAATATGTATTTATATATTTTACCACAATAGAGAAAATCAAGTCTTTAAAAATGATAGCCCCTATGTTTTTATGCTTACCTAAATAAACCATATTTAATATTTGGCATATAAGCTAATTTGATAGAGCAAGAATTGCTATGTTTATAATAAGCATGTTGGACTGAATTTCATCATTTATTAGAATGTGCATATAAGAAAGATACTTGTATTTGTAGGCCTCTGAAAAACATCTAGGTAGGTAGAGAGCCTTGACTCACCTTGCCGAAGGTCCTGAAGAATGGAAAAAAGAAAAATGAATCTTCAATATCGGTTTTTCACCTCAGGAAATTCTAGTACCACAAAAATATAATGTTTTAGTAAAAACATTTCCATTGCAGTGCTTATATCATGATATGAAATTTAAAATCCACATTAGCCAATTCATTATTTAAATGACCCACCCCTGAACCCTCTCATAGTGTACATGAGCTGATCATACTAGGAAGCAAGTTATTACACAAAACATAAAACATAAACTTGCAGAAGTTGTTTCCAAATGTAAAATAATCACAATATTCATGAATTTCTAAGTCTTTTCATTTGTTTTTAAACTTAGATGATGCCTTTTTCATTAAAAGTGCCTGTGCTCACATTTATTAAAAGTTTTCATCATCATTATTTAGGTATCTTGATTCTCCATGCTTCAAGACAAAAAAATCTTCAGCGTTAAGTCCGTATCTCTCTAGAGCTTCATTCAGCTTCACTGGAGGCTCTAAGTAATGCTGGCCAAAGAGAAAGAAGAAAAATAGAAAAAGATTAAACATATATTTGGGAGATTTTCCAAATAACAGTTCAAACTAAAATAACCAACAGATGCCTAGTTAGAATTAGGCCCTTTCTTTTAATTGAAGCATTAGCAAATGGGTCTATCACATTTTCTAATACAGTTTTGAGTCATGAATTAAGTCAACAGGTATTTGGTTGGATAGAAATCATGCCAACACCATGTATGTGAAATTTGGTGCCATCTTACTTTGAACATCACTGGATTGCATGAAATCATCACGGTTTCACCATATGAAATTCCAATCTAGATGGAATCAGTGCCAAAGATGATGTTATTAGAGAATTACATGTTACTAACATTTTTGAAAAATATAGAAATCAAATTGTGGTGTGTGTGTGTGTGTAACCAAATGCTAGAGCAAATTGTTTTGCTGAAGAAGGGTTGTTATCCTCAAAAAGTCTAGTCACATACAGAAACCACAGTCTACAGAATGAAAGAGGATCCCAGAGAATATGAAGGTTGAGCTCTGTGTGGCAAAGAGGAGTCAAGATTTTGCCCTGAGGAATTGCTAAATGGGAGTCACCCTTTACTGAGATGTTTGAAAAGTAAGCTTGAGGGAAGATGAGAAAGTTTAATTTCAGACTTTAGTTCTAGGTACCTAATGGATATCCAAGTGGAGATGTGAAGGAGACAGTTGGATATATAAATGTGGATTATAGAAGAAAAACATCTGAGCTAGAGAGGAACAGCAGGTAGGTGGTATTTGAAGCCATAAGACTGGATGCGATTCCCAAGGGAGAAACCAACTACAGAAGAGAAGAGGTCCGTGGACTGACTTCTACGGCACGCACTGTTCAGAGCAAGCGGAGAGGAGGGACTAGCAACAGAGAATAAGGGACAGCCAATGATGTGCAAGGAAAACCAGGCAAGTTTCCTGAGCCCTTAAATGCACAGGTTTGGTAACAGTTGTTGGCCACACACAGGTCATCCTTTTCCCCCTTGCTCAGTTCCAGGTTTTATGGCTATGTTTAAAGATAAAGGATACCTTTCAACTGACTACTGAGTAAGTTTGGTTTTAACTGTATGCTGGTTATCCAATATTCCTAGAGCTAACCCCTTAGTAATGGATAGTTGATAACAGGAATTTACTTTTAGTCTATTTTATATATAAAGAAAAAAGATCACTAATTATATTACAAATAAAATTTAACTTTATACCCTAAGTCAAGAAATTTCCCCTGAAATAATTTCCTAAATTATTTTAAGAGATTTCAAAATGATGAGCTTTTTTCCCATTGAAAAATAACTTCTTTTGTTAAATTCTCTTTCTCCCATGCTGTACAAGTCTGGGCTAACAGTACACACTCACAGAATCACCCTACGTCAGTAACTTATTTGCTAAGCTATAACTTTAGTGTGGAGGGCGATGTTTGCGTTTAGTGAGAATTCTGATATGTTAGAGTTGGCAGTAGACCCTCTGTCTTTAATCTGCCTAGATTTAGCAGTATCTTTCTGAGTTTCTTCACAGACCAATTCTTCGCTGTTTCAACCATCTGGAAGATAACCCTGGAGGTAGGTCTGAAAGGCTTCTGAGTGACTGAGAGCTCACAGTCCAAGCACTTTAGTCCAGAAGGGAGATAAAAATGCCCCATAACCATGGGACAAAACAACTACATATAAAGCAAAACAGCAGATCAGAGATCAATATGAGTAAATGGGAAAAGCAGAAGACTCCGAGCATTCTGGATCCATTAGGGTCTAGGCAGCTAGCCACACACAACTCGTAAATTCCTAAAGGGGTCAGTTTCATGATATACAACAATAGAATATATTCAAAGTAAAGACCCGGATCACTTGAAAGGCAATGTACATATTATGTAATGCTTGAAACTCGTTTCCATCAAAACTAGTAATTTAAGTTTTAGTGCTTAAATATATGTAGGAAATGCACTCATCATTCCCTAGATAAATTAGATGTTGCCATATATGCAATTTTAGAGTATTGCCAAGTTAAGGACATCCTTAATCTGCTTATATTACACGAGGCAGCTACTATAACAGCATATATGCAAAGAGTGTTAAAGTGTTTAGAAGTCATGGGTAACTGGCTGGGTGCAGTGGCTCACGCCAGTTAAGGCTGAAGCGGACGGATCACCTGAGGTCAGGAGTTTGAGACCAGCCTGGCCAACATGGCAAAACCCTGTCTCTACTAAAAATACAAAAATTAGCCAGGCATAGTGGCCGGCACCTGTAATCCCAGCTACTTGGGAGGCTGAGGCAGGAGAATTGCTTGAACCCAGGAGACGGAGGTTGCAGCGCGCCGAGATCGTGCCACTGCACTCCAGCCTGAGCAACAGAATGAGACTCCGTCTCAAAAAAAAAAAAAAAAAAAAAAAAAGGCTGAAGAGGAACAGCTCTGGTCTGCAGCTCCCAGTGAGGTCTACACAGAAGGTGGGTGATTTCTGCATTTCCAACTGAGGTACCTGGTCCATCTCATTAGGGCTGGTTAGACAGTGGGTGCAGCCCACGGAGGGTGAGCCAAAGGAGGGTGGGGCATTGCCTCATCCAGGAAGAACAAGGGGTTGGGGAATTCTCTCCCCTACCCAAGGGAAGCCATGAGAGACTGTACGGGGAGGAACAGTGCACTCCAGCCCAGATACTGCACTTTTCCAATAGTGTTCGTAACAGGCAGACCAGGAGATTACCTCCGGTGCCTGCCCCACCAGGGCCCTGGGTTTCAAGCACAAAACTGGGCGGCAATTTGGGCAGACACCAAACTAGCTGCGGGAGCTTTTTTTTTTTTTCATACCCCAGTGGCACCTGTAATGCCAGCAAAACAAAACCGTTCACTCCCCTGGAAAGGGGGCTGAAGCCATGGAGCCAAGTGGTCTGGCTCAGCGGGGCCCACCCCCACAAAGCCCAGCAAGCTAAGATCCACAGGATTGAAATTTTCGCTGCCAGCACAGCAGTCTGACCCTGACCTGGGATGCTTGAGCTTGGTAGGGGGAGGGGCGTCCGCCACTGCTGAAGCTTGAGTAGGCAGTTTTCCCCTCACAGTGTAAACAAAGCCACTGGGAAGTTCAAAGTGAGCAGAGCCCACTGCAGCTCAGCAAGGCCGCTGCAGCCAGACTGCCTCTCTAGACTTCTCCTCTCTGGGCAGGGCATCTCTAAAAAAAAAAGGCAGCACCCCAGTCAGGGGCTTATAAATAAAACTCCCATCTCCCTGGGACAGAGCAACTGGGGGAAGGGGTGCTGTGGGCGCAGTTTCAGCAGACTTAAACGTCCCTGCCTGACAGCTCTGAAAAGAGCACTGGTTCTCCCAGCACAGCGTTCGAGCTCTGATAAGGGACAGACTGCCTCCTCAAGTGGGTCCCTGACCCCTGTGTATCCTGGCTGGGAGACACCTCCCAGTAGGGGCCGACAGACATCTCATACAGGAGACCTCTGGCTGGCATCTGACGGGTGCCCTTCTGGGACAAAGCTTGCAGAGGAAGAAACAGGCAGTAATCTTTGCTGTTCTGCAGCCTCCGATGTTGATACCCAGGCAAACAGGGTCTGGAGTGGACCTCCAGCAAACTCCAGCAGACCTGCAGCAGAGGGGCCTGTAAGAAGGAAAACTAACTAACAGAAAGGAATAGTATCAGCATCAACAAAAAGGACGTCCACTCATAGAGCCCACCTGAAGGTCACCAACATCAAAGACCAAAGGTAGATAAATCCACAAAGATGGGGAGAAACCAGCACAAAAAGGCTGAAAACTCCAAAAACCATAACACTTCCTCTCCTCCAAAGGATCACAACTCCTCACCAGCAAGGGAAGAAAACTGGACACAGAATGAGTTTGATGAATTGACAGAAGCAGGCTTTAGAAGGTGGGTAATAACAAACCCCTCCGAGCTAAAGGAGCGTATTCTAACCCAATGCAAGGAAGCTAAGAACCTTGAAAAAAGGTTAGACAAATTGCTAACTAGAAAAAACAGTTTAGAGAAGAACATAAATGACCTGATGGAGCTGAAAAACACAGTAAGAGAACTTCATTAAGCATACACAGTATCAATAGCCGAATCGATCAAGCAGAAGAAAGGATATCAGAGATTGAAGATCAACTCAATGAATTAAAGCGAGAAGACAAGATTAGAGAAAAAAGAGTGACAAGAAATGAACAAAGACTCCAAGAAATATGTGACTATGTGAAAAGACCAAATCTACACGATTGGTGTACCTGAAAGTGATGGGGAGAATGAAACCAAGTTGGAAAACACTCTTCAGAATATTATCCAGGAGAACTTCCCCAACCTAGCAAGACAGGCCAACATTCAAATTCAGGAAATACAGAGAACACCACAAAGATACTCCTCAAGAAGAGCAACCTCAAGACACATAATCGTCAGATTCATCAAGGGTGAAATGAAGGAAAAAATGTAAAGGGCAACCAGAGAGAAACTTCAGGTTACCCATAAAGGGAAGCCCATCAGACTAAGTTACCCATAAAGGGAAGCCCATCAGACTAACACCAGATCTCTCAGCAGAAACCCTACAAGCCCAGAAGAGAGTAGGGGCCAATATTCAACATTCTTTTTTTTTTTTTTTTTTTTTTTTTTGAGATGGAGTCTTGCTCTGTCACCCAGGTTGGAGTGCAGTGGTGCAGTCTCAGCTCACTGCAACCTCCACCTCCCGGGTTCAAGCAGTTTTCCAGCCTCAGCCTCCTGAGTAGTTGGGATCACAGGCGTGCGCCACAACACCCAGTTAATTTTTGCATTTTTAGTAGAGACGGGGTTTCACCATGTTGGTCAGGCTGGTCTCGAACTCCTGACCTCATGATCTGCCCGCCTCAGCCTCCAAAAGTGCTGGGATTACAGGCGTGAGCCACCACGCCCAGCTCAACATTCTTAAAAGAATTTTCAACCCAGAATTTCATATGCAGCCAAACTAAGCTTCAAAGCGAAGGTGAAATAAAATCCTTTACAGACAAGCAAATGCTGAGAGATTTTTGTCACCACCAGGCCTGCCTTACAAGAGCTCCTGAAGGAAGCACTAAACATGGAAAGGAACAACCAGTATAAGCCACTGCAAAAACATACCAAATTGCAAAGACCATCAACACTATGAATAAACTGCATTAACCAACAAGCAAAATAACCAGCTAACATCATAATGACAGGATCATATTCACACATAACAATATTAACCTTAAATGTAAATGGGTTAATGCCCCAATTAAAAGACACAGACTGGTAAACTGGATAAAGAGTCAAGACCCATCAGTGTGCTGTATTCAGAAGACCCAACTCATGTGCAAAGACACACATAGGCTCAAAATAAAGGGATGGAGGAATACTTACCAAGCAAATGGAAAGCAAAAAAAAGCAGGGGTTGTAATCCTAGTCTCTGATAAAACAGATTTTAAACCAACAAGGATCAAAAAGAGACAAAGAAGGGCATTACATAATGGTAAAGGAATCAATGCAACAAGAGCTAACTATCCTAAATATATATGCACCCAATACAGGAGCACCCAGATTCATAAAGCAAGTTCTTAGAGACCTACAAAGAGACTTAGACTCCCACACAATAATAGTGGAAGACTTTAACACCACATTGTCAATATTAGACAGATCAACGAGACAGAAAATTAACAAGGATATCAAGGAACTGAACTCAGCTCTGGACCAAGCAGACCTAACAGACATCTACAGAACTCTCCACCCCCAAATCAACAGAATATACATTCTTCTCAGAAACACATCGCACTTATTCTAAAACTCACCACATAATTGGAAGTAAAACACTCCTCAACAAATGCAAAAGAAAGGAAATCATAACAGTCTCTCAGACCACATGCAATCAAATTAGAACTCAGGATTAAGAAACTCACTCAAAACCACACAACTGCATGGAAACTGAAAAACCTGCTTCTGAACAACCTGCTCCTGAATGACTATGGGTAAATAACAAAATTAAGGCAGAAATAAAGATGTTGTTTGAAACCAATGAGGACAAAGACACAATGTACCAGAATCTCTGGGACACATTTAAAGCAGTGTGTAGAGGAAATTTATAGCATTAAATGCCCACAAGAGAAAGCGGGAAAGATCTAAAATCAACACCCTAACATCACAACTAAACTAGAGAAGCAAGAGCAAACAAACTCAAAAGCGAGCAGAAGACAAGAAATAACTAAGATCAGAGCAGAACTGAAGGAGACAGAGACGCGAAAAATCCTTCAAAAAAAATCAATGAATCCAGGAGCTGGATTCATTAGCCAGACTAATAAAGAACAAAAGAGAGAAGAATCAAATTGACGCAATAAAAAATGATAAAGGAGATATCACCACTGATCCCACAGAAATACAAACTACCATCAAAGAATACTATCAACACCTCTACGCAAATAAAGTGGAAAATCTAGAAGAAATGGATAAATTCCTGGACACATACACCATCCTAAGACTAAACCAGGAAGAAGTCAAATTCCTGAATAGGCCAATAACAAGTTGTGAAATTGAGGACGCAATTAATAGCCTACCAACCAAAAAAAGTCCAGGACCAGACGGATTCACAGCCAAATTCTACCAGAGGTACAAAGAGGAGCTGGTACCATTCCTTCTAAAACTATTCCAAACAATAGAAAAAGAGGGAATCCTCCCTAACTCGTTTTATGAGGCCACCATCATCCTGATACCAAAACCTGGCAGAGATTCCAAAACCTGGCAGAGACACAACAAAAAAGAGAAAATTTCAGGCCAATATCCCTGATGAACATCGATGCGAAAATCCTCAATAATGGCAAACTGAACCCAGCAGCACATCATAAAGCTTATTCACCATGATCAAGTCAGCTTCATACCTGGGATGCAAGGCTGGTTCAACATACGCAACTCAATAAATGTAATCCATCACATAAACAGAACCAATGACAAAAACCACATGATTGTCTCAATAGAAGCAGAAAAGGCCTTCGACAAAATTCAACAACCCTTCAAGTTATTCAATAAACTAGGTATTAATGGAACATATCTCAAAATAATAAGAGCTATTTATGACAAACCCACAGCCAATATCCTACTAAATGGGCAAAAACTGGAAGCATTCCCTTTGAAAACCAGCACAAGACAAGGATGCCCTCTCTCACCACTCCTATTCAACATAGCATTCGAAGTTCTGGCCAGGGCAATCAGGCAAGAGAAAGAAATAAAGGGTATTCAATTAGGAAAAGAGGAAGTCAGATTGTCTCTGTTTGCAGATGACATGATTGTATATTTAGAGAAACCCATCATCTCAACCCAAAATCTCCTTAAGCTGATAAGCAACTTCAGCAAAATCTCAGGATACAAAAATCAATGTATCACAGCATTCCTATACAGAATTAAAAATCACAAGCAAACTCAAAAGCGAGCAGAAGACCAATAACAGGCAAAGAGTCAAATCATGAGTGAACTCCCATTCTCAATTGCTACAAAGAGAATAAAATACCTAGGAATACAACTTACAAGGGATGTGAAGGACCTCTTCAGGAAAAACTACAAACCACTGCTCAAGGAAATAAGAGAGGACACAAACAAATGGAAAAACATTCCATGCTCATGGATAGGAAGAATCAATATTGTGAAAATGCTCATACTGCCCAAAGTAATTTATAGAGTCAATGCTACCCCCATCAAGCTACCATTGACTTTCTTCACAGAACTGGAAAAAACTACTTTAAATTTCATATGGAACAAAAAAAGAGCCCACATAGCCAAGACAATCCTAAGCAAAAAGAACAAAGCTGGAGGCATCATGCTACCTGACTTCAAGCTATACTACAAGGTTACAGTAATCAAAACAGCATGGTACTGGTACCAAAACAGATATATAGACCAATGGAACAGAACAGAGGCCTCAGAAGTAACACCACACATCTACAACCATCTGATCTTTGACAAACCTGACAAATACAAGCAATGGGGAAAGGATTCCCTATTTAATAAATGGTGTTCAGAAAACTGGCTAGCCATAAGCAGAAAGCTGCAACTGGATCCCTTCCTTACACCTTATACAAAAATTAACTCAAGATGGATTAAAGACTTAAACATAAGACCTAAAACCATAAAAACCCTAGAAGAAAACCCAGGCAATACCATTCAGGACATGGGCATGGGCAAAGACTTCATGACTAAAATACCAAAAGCAATGGCAACAAAAGCCAAATAGACAATGGGATCTAATTAAACTAAAGAGCTTCTGCACAGCAAAAAAAATTATCAGCAGAATGAACAGGCAGCCTACAGAATGGGAGAAAATTTTTGCAATCTATCCATCTGACAAAGGGCTAATAACAAAAATCTACAAAGAACTTAATTTACAAGAAAAAAACAAACAACCCCATCAAAAAGTGGGCAAAGGATATGAACAGACACTTCTCAAAAGAAGACATTTATGCAGCCAACAAACATATGAAAAAAAAAACTCATCATCACTGGTCATTAGAGAAATGCAAATCAAAACCATATTGAGATACCATCTTATGCCAGTTAGAATGGTGATCATTAAAAAGTCAGGAAACAGATGCTGGAGTGGATGTGGAGAAATAGGAATGCTTTTACACTGTTGGTGGGAGTGTAAATTAGTTCAACCACTGTGGAAGACACTGTGGCGATTCCTCAAGGATCTGGAACCAGAAATACCATTTGACGCAGCAATCCCATCACTGGGTATATACCCAGAGGATTATAAATCATTCTACTATAAAGACTCATGCACACGTGTGTTTATTGAGGCACTGTTCACAATAGCTAAGACTTGGAACCAACCCAAATGCCCATCAATGATAGACTGGATAAAGAAAATGTGGCACATATACACCATGGAATACTATGCAGCCATAGAAAAGGATGAGTTCATGTCCTTTGCAGGGACATGGATGAAGCTGGAAACCATCATTCTCAGCAAACTAACACAAGAACAGAAAACCAAACACCGCATGTTCTCACTCATAAGTGGGAGTTGAACAATGAGAACACATGGACACAGAGAGGGGAACATCACACATTGGGGCCTGTCAGGGGGTGGGGGGCTACGGGAGGGATAGCATTAGGAGAAATACCTAATGTAGATGAAGGGTTGATGGGTGCAGCAAACCACCATGGCACGTGTATACCTATGTAACAAACCTGTATGTTCTGCACATGTATCCCAGAACTTAAAGTATAATAAAAAAAAAAAGAAGTAAAGGGTAACATATCCTCTCTGAAGATTATATCTGCTTTATAATTCAACTAACTCATAGTTATGAGGTTTATTCAACATCAAAACATGAACAAATTCCAAAATGCTGAAAGTCAAATGAGTTTTTATTAACATTCTCATTAAGAAATAAAGATGGCGGTTAGGTTTATAACAGGAATAATTCTTGAAGGCTGAATAACACAATAATTCTCAAAGACAGGATTTTTTAATCCTCTCTCATCTTCCCCATCTCAGTAAAGAGCACAACTGTCTAACCAGCTATTGAAGCTAAAAATCTAGGAGTCAACCTTGATTCCTTTCTTTGCATAGGTTTAATAAAATACCATTACTTCATCTAAGTCCCATATATATGGAATATACATAATGGAATATGTGCATACACGCACACATATATAGATGGAATAAGAAATTGTCACTGAAAACCAGTCTTAAACTTCTCCCTTCTCCAAATACGCACCCACACACCCACATTTATATTCTCATTTATCCTCCCCACAACCCTATGGTTAGTCATTATTCTATTCCTTCTCCCAACAGTGGCCAAGAATTGCTGCATTGTGGCTCAGGGTTGCTGCCTCATGGCACAGGAATTTTGATTAGGGAGTGGGGGAATGGGCAGGCAGTGTATTAGGTAATTTTGGAACACACTGCATCTTTGGGAGAGGGCAGGCCATAAGTGAGACAGAGGAGTAACTAAAACTGCAAGAAAACACTGAGTTCCTGCAGAGAGGCTCTGGGATGTGGAAGATGCCACAGAAAGTAAAGAAGCCAAGTCCTAACCACACTTTTTTTTTTTTTAAAGACAGAGTCTCACTTTTTTTTTTAAGACAGAGTCTCACTTTTTTTTTTTTTTTTTTTCTCAAGACAGAGTTTCGCTCTTTCACCCAGGCTGGAAGGAAGTGCCGTAATCTCGGCTCACTGCAACCTCTGTCTCCCAGGTTCAAGTTATTCTCCTGCCTCAGGCTCCCGAGTAGCTGGAATTATAGGCGCCTGCCACCACGCCCAGCTAATTTTATTAGAGATGGGTTTTCATCATGTTGGCCAGGCTGGTCTCGAACTCCTGACCTCAGGTGATCCACCCGCCTCAGACTCCCAAAGTGCTGGGATTACAGGTGTGAGCCACAGGTGCCCAGCCAAATCTCACTCTTTTGCCCAGGCTGGAGTATAGTGGCACAATCTCGACTTACTGCAACCTCTACTTCCTGGGTTCAGGCGATTCTCCTGCCTCAGCCTCCCGAGTAGCTGGGATTACAGGCACGCACCACCACGCCTGGCTATTTTGTATTTTTAGTAGAGACGGGGTTTCGCCATGTTGGCCAGGCTGGTCTCGAACTCCTGACCTCAAGTGATCCACCTGCCTCAGCCTCCCAAAGTGCTGGGATTACAGGTGTGAGCCACTGCACTGGGCCTAACCATACATTTCTAAGTTTTGTTTAGAGAAGACCTTGGATCCAGGAAAGGAGAGAAAGCTTTATACTATCCTCTGCTTGATCCCAGGACCCAGGCTAGTGGCAGAGTTCTAGGGTCCATCTGCCTTAAGGAAAAATTATCTCTTCTGTTTTAATCTAGGAATAAAATCACATTTATCCCTATGCCTGGCACATAGCAGACACCGAGTCAATGTTTACTGAATATATTTCTAGAAAGTTCCACACTAGCCTTACTTCTCCCTATTGCCCTCCACTCTCCTGCTGAACTGATTCAAGTACTCCCCACACTAGCTGCCTCCGAGCCTATGCTCTGCCCTTTCCTCCTCTGAAAATGCCTTCCTCCCTGCCCTCTCAGAGCCAAGTTCAAATGTCACTTATTCCATCACGCCCTCTCTGATCCCTGCCATCAGCAAACATCCTGATTCTGAGACCATCTCATCTGTTCCACATTACAGCACTTTCCCCTTCTAACATCTGTATCACATACATGACTTCTGTCTTCTGCTAGCATGAGAGCCTGCTTGAGGGGTGAGACATGATGGCTTGCTTTTCTAGTCTCCAGACCACATACAGATTTTTGGTTATACAAATACAAGCTTTACTAACTTCAGAAATAAGCCAAAAGAAAACACAATGAGGTTGTGTTGTTTTTTTTTTCTGACTGTATATGTGTGTATTGTTCTACTAATTAGTATGATTTACCACCCTAATTCATGCAGTGACTGTGATGACTGTGCAGTATCTGATTCCAGAGTCTTGGGTCTGAAAACTAAGGAACAGTGATGCCTGAATCCTATCATTGGTCAAACACACAAAGTTATTTTTATCGCAATCAAACTTACCTCATTTGCTAAGGCAAAAGTTCCCCAGTGAATTGCCATAGATTTCTTTGTTTGGACATCAGTGTGAATCCTTACAGCTTCTTCTGGGTCTACATGCTGGTATTTCATAAACCACCTGAAGAAACATGGCAATTTCTTAATTCTGACCTTTGAGATATACACTAAATTCTAAAATCTGTTTCACTTAACCAAACTTTAAGATTCTGCGCAGGACTATGGATGTTGAGAATTAAGAACCACTGGGATAAAACATGCAGTTTTGGGGAGGATGAGCTAGAAACCAAGTCTGAAGGCCAGGTCAAGGCTAGATTGTAAAAACAAAACAAATTCTGCACAGGAATTAAGTCACAGGAGGCAAAACCATCTCCCTTTGGTACACTTTCTGCTGAAAAATAAAACAAGCAAAAGTCTTTCTTGTACAAATTGCTATAAAATAAGTAAGTCTCAAGCAAACTCCCCTCTGAATAGTGAGATTTTTGTTTCACGTATATTTTGATTTTACTGGATCTATCTGAAGATACAACTTACTGATGATGCAGGGGAGGCGAGCCCCAAAATTGAGGCTTAGCCCAGGAGGGTTTTTGGCCTCACAAACGAAATATAATTCAACGGCAAGCCAGTGGTGCTGGCCAGCAATTTTTTTTAAACGATACTGCTCCTTGAGGAGCAGTGCTAAGTTATAGGCAGTAAGTGCACTCAGAGTTGGCAACATATGAGGGGTTGGTAACTGTATTTACACTCACTTATACCCACTTTTAATTATATGTAAATTAGGGAATGGGTTAATGCAAATTAAAGGGCAGATTATTTAGAACTTTCTAGGAATGGGGTGGTAACTTCTTGGTCATTGCCATGGAAAGGGGCAGTAACTTCTAGGTTGTTGCCATGGCCATTTATAAACTGTCATGGTGATGGTGGGAGAGTCTTAGGCTAATGAGCAATGAGGGCAGCTAGGGATCACTTCTGTCACCATCTGCTGGTTTTTGCCAGTTTTTTCTTTTTTTCTTTTTTTTTTTTTCTGAGATTGAGTCTCACTCTGTCGCCCAGGCTAGAGTGCAGTGCCGCGATCCCAGCTCACTGCAACCTCCGCCTCCTGGGTTCAAGTGATTCTTCTGCTTCAACCTCCTGGGTAGCTGGGACTATAGGCACGTACCACCTCTCCCGGCTAATTTTTTGTATTTTTAGTAGAACCAGGGTTTCACCATGTTAGCCAGGATGGTACTGATCTCCTGACCTTGTGATCTGCCTGCCTCCACATCCCAAAGTGCTGGGATCACAGACGTGAGCCACCGCGCCCAGCTGCCAGTTTTTTCACTTTATCAATTGAGACTGGGAAATAAGTCCTGCCTCACTGTTACTTTTAAAAGTAGATATTTTACAGTCCTGGATATGTATCAAAGAAACTGAATAATTGGTAAAGAAATAAAAACCAAAGCTCCAATTACAAAAGAATTTGTATGTCCTGCTGATACAAATTTGTAAAAACCTGCTAAAGCAAAAATAAACAAAAACTAGTACATAAAATTTAAAGACCAGGAGCCAAATATCCAATTACTATTCAAGAAATTTTATTTAATCATAAAACTGAACAATGAGGTGTTTGGTTTGGCAAGAAGATCAGACTAATGGGTAAATGATTAAGGAAATAATGAAAGGGTGCCTAATGCCTTGGGAAGAGCGAGGGCTCAGGAGGCAGAAGGCTTGGGTGTGAATCCTAGCTCTTGCAGTTCTTAGAATGCCTTTGGAAAGTCTGTTCAAATTCTCTGAGCTGCTATTTCTTTGTCTGTGAAATATAAATTTTACCCCATTATGTGAGGGTATTGTGAGGATTAAACAAGACAAGGCTTAGGAAAGCATAGAGAACATCATCTACTTTCATAGAATTCTCCCAAAACAGTAAACAAAACCAACACTTTCAGAAGAAAGACGTATTATTCCTGATATAAAGGAGAAAGTGTACTGTCTACAAGCAAATCCTTTGCCTTCCAAGCCATCAGTTTCAAGGAGGAAAAACAACACTGTATTCACATTATTTACATCCTAGTCTGCCAGTGACAACTAACACTACAGTGAAGACCAACAGACATGGATTCAGCACAGGAGCTTCCACACTTTACAGAAGACATCATGGAGAAGTTTATCCATCTGCAACAGATATTTACTGTTAGGAGTTGCTGGGTCCTACAGAAGGCTGAAAACAAAGCCACTGTGTTCTCCTCAACAGCAAATGAGAGCAGCACTGTTCTGCCATATCTCCTGACTCTTGGGATTCAGGGAAAGATGAAAATGGTTTTTGGTGTTTCTCTCTTGATTTTTTTTAAATCCTAGTGCAAATCAAAGGGATAGATATATTCCTTTCCACCTGAAATAGATTTAAATTTTTTACTGTGATATAACAATTAAAATAAAAACTTAAAATCTTAACTGACTTGGATAGAATACCTGGTGACAGGAGATTCCCTAAAGTAAGAATGAAACATTCCAAGCATATTATTGAAAGTTGTTTTCGGTCTAAACATCTTAAATTTATAGAGCACTCTCAAGTGTTATTCAATATCTTATTTCTAAAGCCGTTAACAGTAACCAAAGAAACAGACTACACATTAGAGGCTACCACAATTTAACTCTCTTAGGGCAAATAATAGCCTCCTTGTCTTTTTCCCATCTTAGTTGTTTCCTGTTTGCCTGCAATGCAAGCAGGAAAGGGGGATTATGTGAGTAAATTTGGTTGTACATATTTTATCATCACAAATATATGTGACAAATTTATATATTACTACATATGAAAACTTATTTTCATAACAAATAAAAGATGTTCTAATCTATTAAGAACATACATCAGGCTGGGCATGGTGGCTAACGCCTATAATCCTACCACGTTGGGAGGCCGACACAGGCAGATCACTTGAGGTCAGGAGTTCAAAACCAGTCTAGCCAACATGGTGAAACCCTGTCTCTACTAAAAACACACATAAAAAAACTAGCCAGGCATGGTGGCAGGCGCCTGTAGTCCCAGCTACTTGGGAGGTTGAGGCAGGAGAATCACTTGAACCCAGAGACGGAGGTTGCAGTGAGCCGAGATCGTGCCACTGCACTCCAACCTGGGCAACAGAGTGAGACTCCATCTCAAACAACCAACCAAAAAAGGAACATACATCGAGTAAAGACCAATTTTATGTTACAAATACATAACTGATTTGTAACAGTTCTAAAAATATATAAGTTGACAGGTTTTGAGAGGTTTCATTAGAATTATAACTATTTAATTAGAAAAGTAAAATTCAAGCACCAATATTGATTTGTAATCATTTTAATAATTATCAAGAACCAAAAAAGGGTAAAAATATCTAGCCCCTCCAAATAAGGAAACTAGCAAAAAACAAAAAGGGATAAATAAGCATTAGTAAATAAAAATAGGGACAAAATCGTTTTAGTGAATGTAAAAATTTAGCAAATAACAAAATCAGATGAAAACAAAAGTTTAGATTCATTCAATTCATCTATGTATTAGAGAAATACTTGTTCTTCCACTTATGGAATTACCTAAACAAAATGTTGTTGTATGTATCTGTCCATGCACTATAGAATACAATATTTTTAAAATTATCCATTGCTTTGTTACTATTAGTGTTTTGTTTTCTCTTTATTTGCACATATAAACCAGAGTTGACTGAAATCTAACTTAATTCTTTGAAATCACTTCTCTTTTCCCTAAACAGAGAATATTAAGGAAAACAAAGACAGTGGATGAGTCTCCTAGGTGTCCAATGAGAGTGTGACCTTTCGCTGCTCTGAAATAGGTCAATAGTATGTCAAGGTTGGAGGATGAGTGGTGAGTAGTACAACACCACCATGACCAGATTAACTTCAGTGCTGACTGAAATAAAACCCTCACCAGGGACTAATGCTATAGGCCAATTCCTTGCTTTTTCTCTTTGCTAAACGTAGGAGAGCTGTAGGACAGGGGATTGGGGCACTCAAGTTATGGAGCAAAAGGTGGTTATATAAAGAAAGTATTCTCCATGTGAAAGAATAAGAGTAGGTTTTATTACTGGCTGACCAGTTTAGTTGAATGGTATGTGAACTTCTGGCTAGGTATAGTAATTCTTTAAACCTTGATCCCTTTCTTATGGTAACATCATCCCTGATTTTGAGTAATTTTTTTAACTCATATGACTATAATTAAAATATTTTAATTCTCACCACAAAAACATAAGTATGTGAGATAATGCACATGTAAAATAGTTTGATTTAGTTATTCCACAATGCATACATATATCAAAACATCATGTTGCACACCATATACACAATTTTTACTTGTCAATTTAAAAAATATTTAATTTAAAATATTTAAAAATAAAATCTAATTGAATCTGACCTACCAACCCCCAATCATGTATAACAAAGTCCACCATTAAAATCATAAATTACAGTGTCACAAAAATCATAATTGCTTTACTTTTAAATTCAGTTAATTTATCACATAGCAGGAATGTTTTCTTTGGAAGTCTACATACCTCGGTTCATAAGCTCCGATGGGAATAGCTGCAAGGTCAAAAGGTCCAAATCTTTTTCCTATCTCTTCAAAAGCAGGGCAATAACCAGTATCTCCTGCGAAAAAAAATCGATTCCAAGGCCCCAAGACAGACCAGCTGCCCCATAGCACCTTGTTGTCATCCATTAGAGTCCTTTTACACCAGTGCTGGGAAGGTGTAAAGACAAAAGTGACCTTATCATGTCCGGGGACACAATTCTCCTCCCACCAGTCCAACTCAATCACATTCTCACAGCCACATTTTTGCATCCAGTCAAGGAGACCCAAAGGCACAAACCATCTCAACTCATTACCAAATCGCTCATTCAAAGCAATGACAGAATTGTAGTCCAGATGGTCATAGTGGTTGTGACTGATAAGGACCGCATCTATTGGAGGGAGTTCACTTATTGTGCACGGGGAACGACGAAATCGCTTTGGACCCATGTACTGCGATGGTGAAGCACGAGAGCTAAAGATGGGATCCGTGAGAAATATGAGCTCATCCATTTCCACCATTACCGTGGCATGTCCCAGCCATGTGACTCTTAAGCCAGCTTCCCTCACTCCAGCTTCTTCAGGGTTAGTGATAAAATATGGCTTAAGCACTGGGAGTTCTTTGTCTAGTTCCTTTGTGTATAAAGAAAGCAAGACAAAAGAGTAGTTAGAAAAAAAAGTATTATATCATCATAGTCCACATTTTGACCTAAATAATGGCAAGAAGAGCTGTTTTAAGAGAACTAAAGTCATTCAATAAACTTGCTACACTTTTGCTTTTTTCTTGAAAATGCATACTTCTTTCTGAATCTGACTTAATAATCATGATAATATGGTAATCTTCTTCCTCCCAAATGCAAAAGAGAAAATTAAATTTAAAACTTTGAGTGCTGCTAAATGTATCAATTTTTTAAAGGCTCTCTTCAGTACTGCCAGAAGTAGACTGGCCTAGATGCAGTCATTTTTCTATTGCCATTCTACTCAGCTGATGTATTTGCTGCTAAAAACTGCCTTAAAAGCAGGTCAGTCCCTGGAAATAGTAAAGAAAGCTTATGACCATTTATTTGTAGCTCTTGGCTCTCAGACATGAATCATGAATCTGATATTTTTCTTTTTTTTTTTTTTTTTTTTTTTTTTGTCTGAGACAGGCTCTCGCTCTGTTACCCAGGCTGGGGTGCAGTGGCATAATCACAGCTCTCTACAGCCACAACCCCCCAGGGTCAAGTGATCATCCCACCTCAACCTCTCAGCTGGGATCACAGGCACACAGCACCACCATATCCAGCTAATTTTTTATTTTTTGTAGAGACAGGGTCTCATTATGTTGCCCAGATTGATCTTGAACTCCTGGGCTCAAGCAATCATCCTGTCTTGCCCTCCCAAAGTGCTGGTATTATAGGCGTGAGCCACTGTGCCTGGCCTGAATCTCACTTTCTGAGTACCTATAATTCAAAATGGAGCGCTGTGATGATTCCTGGACAAATCACAGTCATAAATTGTTTTCCTCATTCCTTACCTTTCTGATTTTCTACCATTAATCAAACCAACGTGAATATGATCCCTTCCTGTGAGAAGCTGATCACTGAGATAAGGGGGGCCGTAAATGGATATAAAACAATAACTATAACAAAGCGTGAAGAGTATTATCCCTTGGTTATTCTACATTTTATACTTGGATTAAGCTAGGCCAACAAAAAGTGGTAAGGTTGCAGCATCACAGTCCTGGCTTTTATAAAGCTCTTTTACTGAATTGTGCTCTGGTACCATGCTATATAGCTGCATGGAGGTCTCTCATAGGAAGCCACCTCATGAAACTCACCATGTATGTGTTCAGGCTGCAGACTTGGTACCACCTCCACCTTCCTACTTACCCCAGAAACATTTCCCTCCCATCTCGTTTCAGGAAAAATTCTTCTCCAGAGCACCTGGCTTTGTCATTTCTGTCACTGGGAAAACTCTTAAGATTTCATGATACTTCTCTCTTTAGGAAGTTCAGAGGAAAAGCTGAGGCCACCTGCAGCAACGTGCAGCACATGATGGAACATATTTCTATATTAACTTTATTCTTGGCTTTATTTTATTTTTCTAGTCTAATAGTCCATTTTGCTCCTAGACTGGCTAGGTATAGTAATTCTATACCTCATCCAATTCTTTTTTTACTGCTTTATGTATGTTTGTAAGTTGCCACTAAATCAACTTTGAAAGGGTGTGGTACTGGATAAGTAGTTAAAATACAGGTCATGTTATAGCCTGATAAGAAGGAATGAAGAGCCCAGTTGCCAAAGGCATCACAGACACAGTGACTTGTGTGAGTTCCTGAAGAATGATGAGAAACTCATGATGCAGAGAAAAGGAAGAAGGGCATTTCAAGTAGAGAAACCACCCAAGCAAAGGTACAGAGCCAAACAGGAATGTGGTGTTTGAGGGCAGGGGACAAACTAAATCTATAAAGATGGGAACACATTAAGAGCCTTGAGTGTCATGCTTCACTCTAAGACAATGAGGAAGCATCTTTTTTTTTTTTTTTGTAGAGACAGGGTGGGTTTTACCATGTTGCCCAAGCTGGCGTCGAACTCCTGGGCTGAAGCGATCTGCTTCCCAAAGTGCTAGGATTACAGGTGTGAGCCACCACGCCAGGCCTAGGAGGTATCTTTTTGCCCTCACACGTGCACACACACACGTACACATGCATGCATGTGCACACACACATACACACAGACATGACCCAATTATGTTTAGATAAAACAATTCTAGAGTCCAAATGATGGCATGGAGAGTGTCACAACAGTTGCCAAGATATGAAGAGATGAGGACCTGAGCAAAGGATACACCGGTAGACACAGACAAAAGAGGGCAGATGGGGAGATGCTGGTGAAGGGAAACTGAGAGGTCAATGAGAGAGTGAGTCTGAATGGGAAGAAGGCCTGGACAGGAAGAGAAGGAGCAGCACAGGTGGAGGACAAAAAGGTTTCTCTTAGCCACTTAAACCTTTAGTTTCCTCATCTGGAAAACAGGTGTAATAATTGTACCTATGCTTCATTCCTGTGAGGATAGAATTACGAGTGGCTGGGACATAATAAGCACTCTACAAGTAGTCCAAAAGAAAAAGCAAGAAAGTTCCAACCCTGACAACAAACCAGGCACCAATGTTACCAATCTTTTGCATTTCCGTGGAGCTACTAACCTAGTTAAGATGCTAAGAAATATTCAGACATTCAAAGCTCTCCAGATTGCTCAACTATCTGCCTGTCAACTCAATCCATGCACAAGAGCCACCTCAAAAACAGCCAACTTAAGGTATAACTTAAGTCTCCTCTGCTGCAAAATCTCCACTGGCTCTCTACTGCCTGACAAAGTCTGTCTCACCTCCTCAGCCCAGCAGTGAGCTGCCCAGGGACTGCCCCAATTCTCTCGGGCGTTTCATGCTCCTCTTCCACATGTGCTGTGTCCCACCTACATGGAGACTGCTTCCTACTCCTAGACTGAGCTCAAGAACCCTGCACGGTACTCATCCCATTTCTCAGGTTAAATTATCTTCCCCCTTATCCCTTCGGGCCATCTCTTGAGTCCCACAGCTAGAAGCACTTACTCCTGCCTCTCAACTTCCATATCTCCCTATTCACACATCTCCTCTGGATATTCTGGTTATGTGTACACAGAATTTGTCCCATGTCTTATGAAAGGTGGAATCATTCAGTGCTCAGTTTGATTAATGAAACACAGCATGTGCTCAACAAAATTTGTTGAATGGATGAGTAAATGAATGAATGTCAACTTTCAATCAGTTCTTAAATTTGGGAGTTAGGGTTAGTGAACAATGACATATGCCAAGAGGTATACTTATCCAGAATTAATGAGGAAAGGGAGAGGGAATGAATATAAACTGAGTACCTACTAAGTACTCGTACTTGGCATCATATTGGGCACATAATGATGATGAACTACCTAATGTATCAAGTACTTTAGCATAACACAAAACAAAATACTATTAACAACAGCTACCATTTATGAAGTGCTTATTATGTGCTAGACACTGTACTAACTGCTACTGGCTACGACCACAACACTGGAAGTAGGTCCTATAAACCAGCTCCATTCTACAGCTAAGAATACAATGAATTAGGGAAGTTACAGCACTCAGGCAAGGTCACCCAGCCAGACCCACTGTAGTAAACCATACTTCCTCTCATTAAATCTCATTTACTAACATGTTTTCGTAAAAAGTAACAGCCTGGGGTCCAGGTTGGGAGAATAAGGGGGTATGAATTTCAAAAGGACACAAGGAAACTTTTGGGGATAATATATATGTTCATTGTCTTGATTGTGGTGATCTTTTCGTGGGTATATACATATGTCAAAACTCATTAAATTATGCATTTTAAATATGTGAAGCCTATATCATGTTAATAAAACTATTTTTAAAAGTTTAAGGCTGGTGCTGTGGTACATGCCTGTAATCCCAACACTTCAGGAGGCCTAGGCTAGAAGACTGCTTGAGGCCAGTAGTTTGAGACCAGCAGGGCAACATAGTGAGATCCTGTCTCTATTTAAAAATAATAATAAATAATAATTAAAAAATAATAATAGACCAGGCACAGTGGCTCACGCCTGTAATCCCAGCACTTTGGGAGGCCAAGGTGGGTGGATCACCTGAGGTCAGGAGTTTGAGACCAGCCTGACCAACATGGAGAAACCCTGTCTCTACTAAAAATACAAAATTAGCCAAGTGTGGTAGTGCATGCCTGTAATCCCAGCTACTCGGGAGGCTGAGGCAGGAGAACCGCTTGAACCCAGGAGGCGAAGGTTGCAGTGAGCCAAGATTGCACCACTGCACTCCAGCCTGGGCAACAAGAGCAAAACTCCGTCTTAGAAAAAAAAAAGGAAGAAAGAAAGAAAAAGCATATAGAAAAAGGGGTGGGGAGAGGATGGACTCTTGTTTACTTGAGGAAACTAATCACTCACGTGGCATTTTCATGGCTAGATCAAGACTTTCTTGGCTGGTCTTCCTTTTTGAAAGCTGCAAAATGGAAAATCCCAAGACTCATAATTAACCAGTACGCTAGTTAATGTTTTACTTTTCTCGGGAAAAGGGAAAAATCCTAACGTTCATTCAATAGCTACTCTTTGCAAGGTGCTTTAGGTATACTGTGTCATCTAAATTTGTGAAGCAAATATTACTGCCATTTTACAGATGACCAGACCAAGGCAGACTGGGGTCACTAAGAAATTTGCCAAAGTCATGCAAGAGGTAAGTACCCAATCAGGAGTGAAATCTAGGTCTTCCTAACTCAAAAGACCTCTCTTTCACTAAGCCATGCTCCTTCGATGGCATAAATATTAACTTACATTAAAATTAAACAATGAAACTCATATCTTCTTAACATACTTACAATTTTAAGAGTATGTGTTTGTGTGTATTAATGAGACAAAAAAGAAAGATGTGACTCAAATCCATTTAAACCATGTTTTTAAAATATCACTTTTAAAGAAGACACAGTAATACTTTTCTTCCAACTGAAGGTACATTTTCACCATCTTAGAAAACTTTACTACCTATACTGTAATCTGCAACTCAGATTTTTTAAATTAAAAAATAACATTTTTCTTTTTCACATTTGTTATATGTGAACACTGAATAAAGATACATGTGTTACCAAAATAACTCCAATTCAATTAATTATTGATGCCAATGTTTGATATTTTTGCCATGTGTATTAAGAGTATAAGATCTATCAAAATGGCTTAGTATTTTTAAACTCCTTGATTATAAGAGAAAATGCTCTTAATATGTGGAAAATGCAGAAAAATATAAATAGTTGCCATCATTATATCAACATGCAGATATTATAACCACTGTTAACATTATGATCTGTACTTGTAGTTCTATTTTATGAATGGTTGCAATCAGAGTATTCATATTTTCTAGTTTTATAAAAAAATTGTATATGGTGACATTTTCAGTCATCCCTACGACTCTACGAGACACAAGGTTTAAAAATGAAACAAATAGGGCCAGGCACAGTGGCTCATGCCTGTAATCCCAGCACTTTGGGAAGCCGGGGCGGGTGGATCACCTGAGGTCAGCAGTTCAAGACCAGCCTGGCCAAACATGGTGAAACCCCATCTCTACTAAAAATACAAAAAAAATTAGCCAGGCGTGGTGGCAGGCGCCCATGGTCCCAGCTACTCACAAGGCTGAGGCAGAAGAATCACTTGAACCCGGGAGGCAGAGGTTGCAGTGAGCCAAGATGGCGCCAGTGCACTCCAGCCTGGGCAAAAAGAGTGAGACTCTGTCTCAAAAATAATAATAATAATAATAATAATAATAATAAATAAAAATGAAACAAATTCTTGAGGAAATTTTTCAGAATGCAAATTTTTTTCAAATTGCTGAAATTTATTAAAATTGAAAGACATTGTTTAATTAATCTTCTCTGCCATGAAACTCCATCAGGCTGTGTACAAAAACCACTGGGAGGCTGAGGGTCACTAGAGCCCGGGAGTTTGAGGCTGTAGTGAGCCTCAAAGGGCTACTACACTCCAGCTTGGGTGACAGAGTGAGACCCTATCAAGGTTTGCATGCTTGCTTGCTATCTGTGGTCATTAAAAACCCTAGACCTCTTTAGGAAATCAGGTCTGCCTGCACTTCTCCAAGCATGAATTTTGAGTTCTTTGCTTCTTTAAAACTTGCTCCATGTGCACTGTTGTCAAGCCGATTCTCTATACCTTTAAAAGGTCTCCAAAAATCTGCACTCAATCAACAGATAAAAACGTTACCAGTAATAAAACCATAAAGCTAGTCTAGACAAGTAAGATTCTATCATTTCAACTTCCAGGCTTCTGTTTAATGCCTATGTGCCAATGGCTAAAGTTAGGCTTGCTCTTTAGGACCTCAGCAGTTATCCTCATACCTCCTTTGGGACACAACTGTTCATAAGGCACCATCAAAAGCCACACTGCATCTGCACCTAGCATCATTCCTCCCAGGGGCCACCTCCTCAGAATGCAATTTTTTTTGTTTTGTTTTGTTTTTTGAGACAGGGTCTTGCTCTGTCACCCAGGCTGGAGTGTAGTGGCACGATCTTGGCTCACTGCAACCTTTGCCTCCCAGGCTCAGGTGATTCTCCTGCCTCAGCCTCCCAAGTAGCTGGGATTATAGGCACACTCTATTGCACCTGGCTAATTTTTTGTATTTTTTTTTTTTTTTTTTTTTTTTTGGTAGAGATGGCATTTTGCTATGTTGCCCCGGCTGGTCTCGAACTCCTCAGCTCAAGCAATCCACCTGCCTCAGCCTCCCAAAGTGTGGGTATTATAGGCATGAGCTACTGCACCTAGCCATGTAATATTTTTAAAAAGATAAAACATAGAAGAAATTTTCTTAAATTACAGAGAATTGATCCAGGAGGTCCAAAATAGAACTACTATAACTAATAGTCATTTTAGAATAAAAACATATAGGGAAGGACATTTTCAAAGATACAGATGAAATTTCCTAGAACTGAAGGAAATGGATTTTCAGACTGAAAGGGCCCACCACACACAGAGCACAATGAATAAATAAAGAACTACACATCGTGGCAATTTTCAGAACACTGGTGCCAAAGAGAGGATTCTCAAAGTCTCTAGAGAGAAAACAAAGGGCCTGTTCAAAGGATCAAGAGTAAGGACGGCACTGAACTTCCCCACAGCCACACTAGAAATAAAGTTATGGAGGCAATACTCTCAAATTCTGAGAGAAAACTGTTTCTAAACAAAAATTCTATACCCAAATTATCAATTATGAATGAGAATAAAGACATTTCAGACAAGCAAGAATTCAAAAAACTTACTTTCCATGTACCCTTTCTCAGGAAGTTCACTGAAAATATGCTCCACCAAAATGAGAAAATGACACAGAAAGAGGAACAAGTGGGATGCAGAAAACAAGGGTGACCATAGAAGACACAAGGGAGCCCAGGAGGCTGGTGAAGGGTGCCCTAGAATGTAAGTCGGCAGAGACCCTGGGAAGGCATCAGCTCAGACTACAGCCCACTGCTGAACGACCACCTGAGAGTCTTTCCCTCAGGAAAATGGCATTGAGAGGCCATAGGAGGCAGGGAAATAATTGTCATAAATACACAGAAAGTCAAGCAGATGAAAGAGATGTTGTTAACACAGCAGAGGGAGAGGTATATAAGGAAAGGAGACACAGTCATAGTACTTACTTCATTCACCAATGAAAAATATTGATATACTCAATGTAAACCATGAAATCAACTTAACCCAAAACTGTGATCTGTCTATTCTAACAGAATAGAAGAAGGCCAAGTAGAATCATCTTAAGTAAAACTAGTACATTTAAAGGCTAGGAACCTAAAGTCAACTTTTCAAGGTCTGGAAAGGTCATCTGAAGCTCCCTTTCACAGCTTTGGTAGCCTTATCCAAGGGTTAAAAGCCAAGCACTCCAGGCCATGCCTTCACCCTCATGATCCATATTCTACACACGTACCAGGCTACTACCTTCCAGAGCAGGTAATACACTGTCTCACCTTCATGACCTTGTTCATGCCATCATCTACCTGGAAAATCACTGTCAAAATACTTTTTAGTTGACTAGGCCCAGCTGAAATATTCACCTCCTCTGTGAAGCCATCTCCAGCTCTTCCTGTCAGCATCACGTTCTTTCCTGTACCTCTAAAGCACTCTGTTCCTACCTCTAGTTGCCACCAGATCAGGGTTGGTTATTCCTATATGTACTCTGCTACTGAACGATGAACTTTAGGGCCTAGGTTACACCTATCCACTTTATCTCCTCAGACCTAATTCTATGCCTTATGATATACAAGGGCTCAAATAACTAGAGTGTCATATATGAAGAGCAAATATAAAGCACTCAAAAAAGCCAAGCGCTACCTCTTTAGAACTTGGAACACTGCTGTGATCTTTCTCCATTATCAGCCATCTGAGAACATTTGGAATAGAGGGGTTTTTCCATGTTGGCCACGGATTCACAAATCTCCCATCTTTTCCTTTCTTGGATTTAGTTACATCTTCTTCTAGTCTATAATCCAGTTTGAAGCTTTTCCTAGAAAACCTAGAAGAATCACTTGCTCCGGAATTCCGTGCTGAATTTTGACGTTTTCTTACTGCTTCTTTAGGATATTGGCTGCTTGTCATCAGAGACTGGTTGCTTTCATTTTCATCCATGTCCTTTGGTGAAGAACTAAAAAAAACAAGGGGGAAAAATACTGAGTTGAACATAAAGGCATTCAAACATAACACAAGGTACTATTTGTTAGCCAATAAAAATTTCTCTAAACTTATAAAAATATTATGTCTGTATTAGCTGAAACTTTCTTCCTGCAAGGCACAATTTTAGAATACAGTATTACTTCTTGCTAAATAAGAAAGATGTGCCAGGCGCAGTGGCTCACACCTATAATCCCAGCACTTTGGAAGGCCGAGGCAGACAGATCACCTCAGGTCGGGAGTTCGAGACCAGCCTGACCAACATGGAGAAAGCCCATCTCTGCTAAAAATACAAAATTAGCCAGGCATGGTGGCACATGCCTGTAATGCCAGCTACTCAGGAGGCTGAGGCAGGAGAATCGCTTGAACCCTGGAGGTGGAGGTTGTGGTGAGCTGAGATCACGCCATTGCACAAACAAACAAACAAACAAAACAAACATGAAAGAAAGAAGGATGTTTGCTTTACCTATTAACATAACTGCCAAGCCCTTAAAAAATCCTTTATCTCCTGTAATCCAAAACAACATATTTCCCCAGCCAGCATGTAAGCATATTAAATTTTCCATTTCAATGACATTCTGTGGAATAAATTAAGGCACCTTCATAAATCTATAGTATTTTCATACATGTATTTAGAAAACATTATTGTTAACAATGCATAGTAAGGACTGCTTCAGTTCCTTGAGGGAATTTAGTAATTCAAGCAAGTCGAATATATACACCACTAGGCTTAGTCATATTTACACTGAAGATATTCTGTAACCAATGCCCCCAGAAAGAACAGCCAGTCCAAATCCCTGGAAAGGAGATAACACATTAACTGAGAGACATTTCAATAATGTATTTAACTGATCAATAAAATACATTTAAATATATGAGAACTGCCAAGTCAGTGAGTATGTATCCTAGCTATACGACCTTGAGCCAGTTTCCCACCCTCTCTGTACCCTGATTTCCTCACCTATAAAATGGAGAGAACGTTACTTCCCTCCTAGGTTTATTAAGAAGACCTGTAATACAAGTAAGGCACTTGGAAACATAGTAACACACACATAAACCCAACATCACAGCTCAATCAATGTCAGCTGTTGCTGCTGACCTTGTTATTCCTGCTACTACTGCTACTGCTTAACTCAAGGCATTAAAATCCCTGATTTTGACCTATATAGGACTCCAGATACACAAAAGTGATAAGTAACGTATCTGCCATGAATTTCATTTCTTTCTTATTCTGTTAAACATTTGCTTTCTGTTTCATTAGTTTAAATACAGTGCACACACACAGCACATTTTATAAGTGGAAATAAGGAAATGAGCACAGTAACAGAAAGCCAAATATTATTTTTATGGCTACAATGGTGTTTAAATAGAAATACTGCCCCAGAAAGAAAGGGAAAAACACAAACCCTAGGATGAATACGTACACAGAACCAAAACTTTTTTTCCAAACTGTCTAGAGTAAGCAGTCTGTAATCTAGAGAAGAATCACTGTGAAGAAAAGAAACCCCAGCTGACTAAAGCTAAAGCACACGCTGTTGCTCAGCCATCGCTGTATGTGGGAGAGCTCAAGAGTTAAGAGAGAGTCTAACAAGATTTATACTTTGGGCAAATAGCCTACCCTTTCTCATCCTCCATTTTCTCCTGGTAAACTATCTACCTACCTGTGGAGGTTTCTCTCAAAGGATCAAATGGCACAGGTACATAATGTACTTGGCACTCACAAATGCTCATTCTTCTTTTCCCTAATCTTGTTAACTGGCCATACATCTAAATTGTTTATTTTTTTTTATTTTTGAGACAGGGTCTCACTCTGTCACCCAGGCTGGAATACAGTGGCTCAATCACGGCTCATTGCAGCCTCAACCTCCCGGGGCTCAGGGTATTCTCCCACCTCAGCCTCCCAAGTAGCTGGGACCACAGGTGTGTGCCACCATGCCTGGCTAGTTTTTTTATTTTTTAGTAGAGATGGGGTTTCACCGTGTTACCCAGGCTGACCTGGAACTCCTGGGCTCAAGCAATCTGCTTGCCTCCTCGGACTCACAAAGTGCTAGGATTATAGCTAAATTCTTTAAGTTATTCTAGAACTTAAAGTGGTCTCGGAGAGTAAGCTCTCATAGAATCACTTTTTCTGGGTTATAATTAAGTTCAGGCCAAGGACTTTACAAAGAGCAGAAACAATGACCATCCATCTGAACCTCACTTCGTTTAACAGATGAAAATGTACAAGTTTAGAGAGTTTAAGTTACTTCTCAAAAAGACAATATGTCCAACAGATGGCAGAAGTGACCTCATGCTACTCCTTGTCATGATAAAACAGCTTATGAGATATCTGTATTTGTCATATACATATACATATGTATGTATATATATACACATATATATCATAATTCTACCAAATACATTAATAAATGTTTGGCTCATTGTTTTAAACAATGAAGGGATAAGGGAGAAAGGAAAAAAGGACACTTTGATTCAAAGACCACAAAGACAACATCAAAATAGGGTTTTGAACAACATCTAGTGGTCTAATGTAGCTAGGACATAAAAAGCAAGGAAGGGCCAGGCGCAGTGGCTCAACGCCTATAATTCCAGCACTTCAGGAGGCCAAGGCAGATGACTCACCTGAGACAAGGAGTTCAAGATTGGCCTGGCCAAGATGGTGAAACCCTGTCTCTACTAAAAATACAAAAAGTAGCCGGGCGTGGTGGACCTGTGCCTGCAATCCCAGCTACTCAGGAGGCTGAGGCAGGAGAATCACTTGGACCCTAGAGGCAGAGGTTGCAGTGAGCCGAGATCGCGCTGTTGCACTCCAGCCTGGGTGACAGTGAGACTCTGTCTCAAGGGGAAAAAAAAAAAAAGCAAGGAAGGTTTGTGAAAGTCGAGACTATAGAGGGTTAAAAGACTGGACAGTAAAGATGGGACTAGATTGTGAGCCTGGACTCCCTCTAAGGAGGTTAGGCT